>NC_000010.11:23135000-23760000 GCF_000001405.40 Homo sapiens | reverse complement strand
AGGTAAATAGAAAAAATGAACTAATTGGGGATATGGTGTCAAGTCAAAGGAAATTATTCTTCCTCCCTTTACTATAAGTAACAGGGGAAAATAATGCACTCTTCATACTCATGATGTAGGTGTGGATATAGAAACAAACTGAAACTTCAAAAGCATGCATAGGTACAACTTTTGGAGGGCAATTCCACACATGGGGACTGGAGGCTCACAGAAGTTAAGCACTTTGTTCAAAGTCTGATAGTCAGAAAACAGAAGTGTTATGAATCAGCCCAAAGTCTGTCAGACATCGTTCTTATCTCACTACACCATTATCTAATTATTAAGAGTGTTACTGTTGTTCTTATTTTTGCCTTCTACAGAATAAAGCTACTTACCCTGAAATCAGACATTCAGAGAAACTGTAACACTCAAAATTAAATACTAATGTACCTCATCGTAAAAGAGCCATATATGAAAAACCTGCAGTAATCATCATACTCAATGGTGAAAGGCTGCAAGCTTTTCCTCTAAGATCAGGAACAAGGCAAGGATGCCCACTTTTCCACTTCTATTCAACACAGTACTGGAAGTCCTAGCCAGAGCCGATAGGCAAGAAAAAGAAATCAAAGGTATCCAAATTGGAAAGGAAGAAGCAAAATTATCTCTGTTCACATATGGCATGTTCTTATATGTAAAAAACCCTAATTATTTCACCAAAAAATGTTAGAACTAAGAAATGAATTCAACCAAGTAGCAGCATACAAAGTCACAAAAAACACTTGCATTTTTATATACTAAAAATTAACAATCTGTAAAGGAAATAAGAAAACAACTCCATTACAATAGCATCAAAAAGAATAAAATACTTAGGAATTAACATAACCAAGGAGGTAAAAAACAAACAATAGAAACTATAAAACAGTTCTGAAACAAACTAAAGAAGAAATAAATAAGTGGAAAGATTTCCCATGTTCATGGGTTGAAAAACCTATTAAGACGTCAATACTACCCAAAGCAATCTACAGATTTAATGAATCCCTATTAAACTCCCAATGACTTTTTTTAATATAAATAGAAAAACCCACCCCAGGTGGATCACCTGATGTCAGAAGTTCAAGACCAGCCTGGCCAATATGGTGAAACCCCATCTCTAACAATAATACAAAAATTAGCCAGGTGTGGTAGCACACACGTGTAATCCCAGCTACTTGGGAGGCTAAGGTAGGAGAATCACTTGAACCCAGGAGGCAGAGGTTGCAATGAGCCAAGATCACGCCATTACACTCCAGCCTGGGTGATAAGAGCAAAATTCTGAAACAAAAAAAAAAAAAAAAAGAAAGAAAGAAAGAAAAAGGGGGAGGGAGGGAGGGAGGGGGAGAGAGAGAGAGAGAGAGAAAGTAAGAAAGAAAGAAAGAGAAAAGAAAAGAGAGAAAATCAAGAAAAGGAAAAAGAAAAACCCACCCCAAAATTCATGTAGAATTGCAAGCAGTCCCAATTAGCTGAAACAATTCTAAAAAATAACAAAGCTGGAAGACTCACACTTGCTGATTTCAAAACTGGCTATGAAGCTACAGTAAATTGAAACAGTGTGGTGCTGGCATCGACATACAGACCAATGGAATACAACAGAGTCCAGAAATAAACCCTTGCATATATGGTCAAATGATTTCCAATAAGAGTGCCAAGACTATTCACTGGGGAAAAGATAATTTTTTTAAAACAAATGGTGCTGGGAAATTTTGATATTCACATGCAAAAGAATGAAATTGGACCCTTATCTAACACTATGTACAAAAATTAACTTAAAATGAATCAAAGACCTAAATGTAATAGCTATAACTGTAAAACTCTTCGAAGAAAACATGAGGCAAAAGCTTCCCAATATTTACTTGGCAGTAATTTCTTATATATGATAACACCAAAGGGACAGGCCACAAAAAGAAATAGACAAATTGGATTCCATCAAAATTTAAAAATTTTGTGCATCAAAAGGCACTATTAAAGGAGTAAAAAGACAACCCACAGAATGAAAGAAAATATTTGCAAATCATACGTCTATTTAAGGGATTAATATCCAAGCTATATAGAAGACTTCTGAAACGCAATAACAAAAAGTCAACAATCTAATTCAAAAATGGGCAAAGGACTTGAATAGACATTTTTCCAAATAAGAAATGGCTAATAAGTATATGAAAAGATGCTTAGGCTGGGTGTGGTGGCTCATGCCTGTAATCCCAGCACTTTGGGAAGCCGAGGAAGGTGCATTACCTGAGGTCAGGAGTTCAAGACCAGCCTGGCCAACATGGTGAAAACCCATCTCTACTAAAAATAGAAAAATTAGCCAGGTGTGGTGGCATGCACCTGTAATCCCTGCTACTCAGGAGGCTGAGGCAAGAGAATCATGGGAACCCGGGAGGCAGAGGTTGCAGTGAACTGAGATCACGCCACTGCACTCCAGCCTGGGCGACAGAGTGAGACTCCATCTCAAAAAAATAAATAAAATAATAAGAAAAGAAAAGATGCTTAACATTGTTAATCATTAGAGAAATGTAAGTCAAAACCACAATGAGACACCCCCTCACACCCATAAGGATGGCTGCTATAATTTTTTTTAATTAAGAACAAAATATAAAAAATGACCGGTGTTAGTGGGGTTGTAGAGAAATTAGAACCCTTGTGCAATGCTGATGGGAGTGAAAATGGTACAGTCACTGTGGAAAACACTATGGTGGTTCCTCAAGAAATTAAAAATAGAATTACTGTGTGATCCAGCAATTTTCCTACTGAGTATATACCCAAAAGAGTTTAAAGTGGGATCTCGAAGATATATTTCCACAGACATGTTCATAGAAGCATTAATCGCAATAACTAAAATGTGGAAGAACCCACGCATTCATCAGCAGATGAATAAATAAACAAAATGTGATCTACACATACAATGGAACATTATTCAACCTTAAAAAAGTAGAAAATTCTGACATGTGCTATGACATGGATGAAACTTGGAAACATTATGCTAAGCAAAACAAGTCAGCCACAGAAAAACAAATACTGCATGATTCCACTTATATAAGGCACTTAGCATAATAGAAATCATACAGACAGTATTGTTTAATGGGTATAGCATTTCGACTTTGCAAGATGAAAAATGTATGTGGGATAAACTGTGGTGATGGTCACCAAACAATATGAATGCACTTAATGCCACTGAATTGTACACTTAAAAATGGTTAATGTACTAAATTATGTTATGTTATACATGTTTTACCACAATAAATAATTGGAAAAATTAGGTGAAAAAATTAAATACTAATAATTTTTAAATAGCTATTTTTGAAAGGACTGTTATATATTTTAAAATTATTACATCCTAATGGCTCAAACAACCTAAGATTTAATAAAACTATCGTCCCTTTATGCTTACATTCATTAGTAACATGCCATAAGTTTTTGATGCAAGAATAAAGAGCATCATTTCAAAACAAACATAGTCAAACATTGCACCTGTGTTTGGAGAAATGGAGAAAGTGCAATATTACATGAATTGGAAAATTATAACATGGTTCTTAATTCTGAGTTAATAAAAATAAAAATGAATGTCGTGGTTATTTTTTTGAAAAGACTGTTTCATGTGGGCATGAAACTCATCTTTAGTAGCCCCAATGTTGTTTTTTAAAATATTAATTACATCAGTTCCTATTTATTTACAGGTTTTCCTTTTGTTTTTATAAACCTTATACTTCTTTAAAATAGGACTCAGGCTGGGTGTGGTGGCTCATGCCTGTAATCCCAGCATTTTGGAAGGCTGAAGTGGGAGGATCACTGGAGCTAAGGAGTTTGAGAACAGCTTGGGCAACATAGTGAGACCTCAGCTCTACTAAAAAAAAAAAAAAGAAAATTAGCCGGGTGTGGTGGTGCATGTCTGTGGCCCCAGATACTTGGGAGGCTGAAGTGGGAAGATCCCTTGATCCTGGGAGTTTGAGGCTGCAGTGAGCTATGATCACACTGCTGCATTATTCCAGCCTGGATGACAGAGTGAAACCCCTGTCTCCATAAAATTTTAAAAATCAAAAAAATAAAATAGGGCTCAGAATCACATAATAACCAAAGGTATTGGTTATTATGTGATATCGCACATAAATATATGTGGAAGATTAGAAAGTAAAATAAAGTATCAGTGAAATAAAGTACTGGTTCACAATCCTGAACATGAGGCATAGATGCTTACTTGAGGTTAACTGGATTCTTGTAATTATTAGCTCGCAACCTGTTCAGCAGGCTCTCAGTGATACACAGCACAGTCAAACTTCTTATTTTGACTATTGACATTTCTATTTTTTCCTTCCACAATAACCTATTAAGTCTTCTCCCCCTAGGCTTGTGTTCTGTTTCTCTTCTCTTTTCATTCCTCGTTTGTTTTTGCTTTGCATTCACAGAATTATAAGTATTTTGCTCCTCACTCGAGGCCACCAGGGAGAAAAGACCATTTACATTCATCTCTACATTGCACATTCTATATACTCTTACCAATAGGACTGTATAACAGAAGTATTGAATTTTAGCAATATTAGGGACTTTTATGATCACTGAAGATGACAGAGGTTAACAGACTTGGACAAGATTATTATGCCTGCGTGGAGACTGAGTTGAGACTAAACCAGATCTCTTAATTCCCTGGATATGGCCAAAGATCTATGGTGAAGAACTGTCGTATATATTAGAAATGTTTTTCCTCTCCCTACAGATTCATGTTCCTAGGATTCCTCTAGGATTTCAATTTCTCTCAATAAGCTCCAAAGATCTAAGTTATCTTCTCTTCCAAACTTTTTTGTTCCATTTGCTCTCCAGCTCAGGAAAGAATCTGGGCCACAGCTGGGGGCAGCTGGGCTTGGAAGCGTCCGCCGTGGGTGCCACAGCTGTAGATCCCTGGATTGTGAGTGTCAGTCCTGACAATTACACAGTCTGTGATTTGTCTGTGTATTTATATAATGAAGATGAAATTCGGTTTGTATTTAATTATTATTTTGATAATTTGGTGGTTTTTAATCATTTGCCAATTGTTTTTTTTTTAATTCCTTTTCCTTTGATTTTATTCTTCCTCTTAATGCAGCAATTAAATACCACTTCTTGAAGCTCACAAATGGAAAAAAATTAGCAAGTCTCATTTAGGAAAAAAAAAAAAGTTGCAGGAAATGGTACAACGGCCCTATCAGCTCCTTCTCTCAGGCGATGCCCAGAGATTAAGGAAGCAAGGTGTAGGGCAGAAAAGGAGCATTTAGAAATCTAAGCAGCTGAGTGTCAGGATTCAAGGGTCCCAAAGAGAAGGTGGACAGCAGAAGCAGGAGGCGGACACTTTATCCTCGAGATGCAGGACATTAAAGATAAAAAGGATAGAGAGAGCGGGAGAAGCTATGAAGGCAGCAGCCTAGGCATCCACTGCCCTGCACCTGAATGGAGCACTGCTAAAGGCTGTCAGAATCAGAAGATCCAACAATATTCGTCAAAGATCACAAAAAGAAAGAAGAGATTTTCTGCCTGTTAGACTGTGTGAGAAAATGCCAGAGAGGCTCCTGGGCAGAGCCTGTAAAACTCTGAGTTCTAGCAAAGCTTCAGTCTGAAGACACTCCTTATGTGGGTCACATGGTGCCAGGAGGGGCACTGAACAGTCATCCTGATTGCTTTTAGGACAGAGATGAGTCATTAATGAGATCCTTCAGTCTTTAAAGTTCTGGGAAATGTCCCTTTCCTTTCCTCTCTTTTTTGACATGATTGTCTCTGATGCACCCATGCATTGCCTTCCCCGTGTTATTCATACATTTGTTTAACAATGTATGAATGTTTAACAAATATTGAGTGTCTCTTAAATGTCAGGCACTGTACTATATTCTGAGACAAAAGAACTGGCTGCTACCCAGGTGCTCACAGCTCAGCCTGGCAGATACCCAGAAAGGTCAGTCATTAAATAGCGTACAGGGGGAATCAAGAAAGGGTTAACTCCAGTGAGAACAGGGAGGAGGGGACATTGGGCATATAGTTAAGGGAGAATCCATAAATGAGGGTATTTTTGAGCTGGGTCTAGCAAGAAAGTAGGAATTTCTCAGGAGGACTAGGAGGGTTAGAATAATCCAGATCTTAAGGCAAAGTTGAAAGCGAGAATCAAAGTTTTAAGATCTATGATTTTCTCTAAGTTCTAAAAATAGATGTTTAAAAATCACAGGAGACGTGATGGTTCTTCAAAAGTTCTTAATTACTTTTCATTGATAAACTGTTGAGATTAGTTTGGATTTTAGACATAATGTTATTTTTAATCATTAAAACAGATTAATTTGCTTATTATCAAATAGACCCCCAATTTGTACTCCAGCATTCAATAGAAACTAGAAGTCTGGATAACTCTTGCTTCAATCAGTGAGATTCCTACTCCCAAATGTTTTGAAAATATATTATAGCAAGTTGAGTCAACCCAATTGAACACAGTCTGTAAGAGCTCCAAATTCAATTCCTAGCTTGCATCCTAAATCTTATAAAACTATTACAGTTACAGCTTCAACTAAGAAACAGGTAGGTAGCTCTTTGATTTTTGATTGACTATGTTCACAAGCAAATGTACAGATGAAGCAATCAAACAGACACAGCTTCGTACAGTGCAAAGCTCTCAGATTATTTCCATTAACAGCTAGAAGCTTAATGGTCATGCTTCTTGAGCTACAAATGGTCTCCTAATCCTCATACTGAGGATGTCATCTTTTCTTTCTATAAAGCTTTAAGCAATGCTGGTGAATATTCTGCTTATAACCAATGCCACTGGTCTTAGCCAGTTTTCCCTCTATTTGTGTTTGCCAGCTCCATTTTTGGCACCACTATTTGTCAAATCTGAAATCTTTTTGCAAGTAGGCACAGAATGCTTTCTATACAATGATTTGAGCCCCCATAAAAAATAAGAAGCATGAAACTGAAGAACCAAAACGCAGAGCATCTATCACTGATTTCAAAAAACCCATGATCTCAAATCCACCAACTGTTATTTGTATGAATTTGGGGTAGGCACTTAACTTCTTTGTGCCTCAACTCCTTCTGTGTAAAATGGGGGTGATAATTCTTCACAAGGCTCTTGCAGAGCTTAAATGTGATAAATTGTAGTATGTGTAGCTTAGCACAGGGCTGCCCTGTGGAAGTTGTTGGGTAATACCCATTCACTTTGGTTTCTGATGGAATTTTTTTAAACCAGCAATCTAAAGACACTGAATAAAACATAATGCCTAGGATTTAATAAAAATATCATTCCTTTATGCTTACATTCATTAGTAACATGTCATAACTAATGCCTTTGATACAAGAGTAAAAAGCATAATTTCCAAGTAAACATAGTCAAAAATGATACCTGAGGGAAATTGAGAAAGTGCAATATTGCATGAATTCAAAAATTATAACACAGTTCTTAATTCTGAGTTAATGAAAATAAAAATGAACGTTATATGTGGTTATTTTAATTGGAGCCTATATCAAGCTGTTTAAAAATAGTCAAATTTTCAGAAACAATTCTTCAGTATCCAATTAACATTTGGATCAAAGTACATTTCCCCCCACACATAATTTGAAGCAATAAAATCAGCCTACTCTTGGAGCTCACAAATAATTTGTTCAATGACTTCCTGTCTTAAAAAGAGACTTGCTTAAGCCCATATCTAAGGAGTCAATAAAATGTAAATGTCTCAGGAACCAAAACAAAAAGAGACAAAATTAATAGTATTTTAATTCATTAAATCCCCCTCCCACATAATACAATACTTCCAACTCGCTAATTAGCGAAATTCCAAGATTCTAGGAATTGATGAAAATGTTCACAGTGAAATTCAATCTGTTTCTTTATGAAAATTACTTGAGTTATTATTCACCACAGAATAATAGAAACTGACATTCAGTTGGCTCTACCAAGAGTTCACAAACACCCAGAAACGACTCCATCTTCCCTCTAACATGAGGGTGGATTGCTCATGATGTGAGGTACAGCATCTGCCCTCAAAAGTAAAACAAATAATCATACCACATACCCACCTACTTTTTGCCTATAAAAATAGTTTTCCAGAGAGTTGACTTTTAAAGACAGTAGACATAATAAAAGATGTCTGCTAATTTTCTCTCATCTCATCGTTTTAAAATCCTCAGCCTGAACAGCTTCTCTCCCAGGTTACACTGCTTGTAATTAGTCACAAATATCTTCAAGACAGATAATCTCACAAGAAGCCCCTGCAGATGGCTTAAAATACAGTAAAGAAAACCAGGAAGAAAAAACTTTTTATTCACATTTTTCTTCAACCAGATTTGCTAAATGAATGAAATTATTTTAATTTTCAAGACCACTAGCCACAGTCACAAATTAGTTTGGTCAATCACAGTAAAATAAGAAGAAATTTCTTTTTTTTTTAATACTGAAAGTAAGTTCAAGGGGACTAGGGAAGAGTTGGAGAAATGGCATCTTAAAAAAAAGACATTTTAGCTCCTGTAAGGACCTCATGACACATAACATAGGGAAGTAAAAACTAGAAGACTCATTTTCTGCATACTTTCAAAAATGCTTCAGTACATATGATCCTCACTGATTTAAATTATTAAAATACGTGATTGAATAAACTTTCTAGACAACACATTTGTCCTGGTGCATGGGACACCTCACATGGTATTGTAGAAAATTCTCGCCAGGCACGGTGGCTCACACCTGTAATCCCAGCACTTTGGAAGGCCGAGGCAGGCAGAGAGCTTGAGCTCAGGAGTTTGAGACCAACCTGGGCAACATGGAGAAACCCCAGCTTTACTAAAAATAAAAAATTCAGCCCGGCAAGGTGGCATGCACCTGTAATCTCAGCTACTCGGGAGGCTGAGGCACAAGAATTCCTTGAACCTGGGAGGTGGAGGTTGCAGTGAGCTAAGATCATGCCACTGCCTTCCATCCTGGGTGACAGAACAAGGCTCTGTATCCAAAAAAACAAAAACCAAAACAAACAAACAAAAAAAAAACAAAGGGAAGGGAAGGGAAGGAAAGGGAAGAAAGGGAAGGGAGGGGAGGGGAAGGGAAGGGAAGGGAAAGGAATTATCTTAAGGTCAGCACATCATGAGTAGAAAATTCAAAGTGCATGCCTGGTGATGAACCACTAAAATCTATATTTTTCCTAGCTAGAAAGTACTTGACCATATTAATGATCATGTAAAATAGGACCAACACTTCATTCTGCCAAGATGCTGCTATTAGAAGCCTCCTGCATTTGTGCCACCATTACGCAGTCACAGCCCCTCATTCAAGCTCTTCAATTAGTCATTCATTAATTGAACAAGTGTATATCAAGCCAGGGTCCTGGGCACTGGGGAGTTAACAGAGAATGTGATTTGAGTGCCTTCCGTCAAAGGCATTCATTCTGTCTAGTGATGGAGACAGAGGCGTAAAGGGGCAAATACAACATGCAATAATAATGCAGTGAAAGAAAGGACTGTGCATGTGAGAACACAAAGGAGAGCCACCAAGCCCACCGTAGAGGACATCACAAAAGCCAAACTGTGAAGAGGAGGTTAAAGAGAGGTAAGAAAAAGGCTGTTTCTAGGCAGTTGAAACAGACACATTAGAAAGAATGGCAGATTCTTGAATTCTTAGGACTGCTGGACTATTAGGATTCAGTAGAGAGAAGGACAGCAAGAGTTGAAGCAGAAGAGGTAAACTTGGGTTACATTTTGAAGGGTTGCATATTCCATGACAAAACATTTAGACTTTTATTAAGGGCAATGCAGAGAAATGGAAGGGCATTAAGCAGAAGAATGACATGATCAGATTTTCATTTTAGAAAGCTGACAGTTTGGATATTAAATTGGATGGAATTAAGAATAGATATCTGGAAAGCAGTTTAAGAAAGGACTGCAATGGCCTAGGTAGTAGATGATGATGGCCAGAAGCTGTGGGAATGGAGTTGGAGAGAAGAAAACAGAATCAAGATACGTGAGGAAGGTCAAAAAAAGAAAAGAAAAGAAAGGAATGGAAAGGAGAAGAGAAGAAGAGAAAGGAAACGGAAAGAAACAAAACACAGGAGACAAAGAAAATTTGTGGAGATGGTTGGTATATTGCATTTAGTTTCTAACAGGTTGAGTTTGAAGTCAATATTAGTCCCTTTTGTACAATCAGCACATAGCTTTGAGATAACTGTCTGGACCTCACAAGCTAGGCTGAGGCATCTCTAAATTTGGAAAACATCTGTATGCAAATTATTACTTAAGCCCAAGGAAAGACAGAAATCACAGGTAGAAAGTGTAGAATTCAAAGAAAAAAGATCAAAATGCCGGGCGAGGTGGCTCACGCCTATAATCCCAGCACTTCGGGAGGCAAAGGTGGGCAGATCACAAGGTCAAGAGATCAAGACCATCCTGGCCAACATGGTGAATGCCATCTCTACTAAAAATACAAAAATCAGCTGGGCATGGTAGTGCATGCCTGTAGTCCCAGCTACTTGGGAGGCTGAGGCAGGAGAATCACTTGAACCTAGGAGGCGGAGGTTGCAGTGAGCCAAGATGGCGCCACTGCACTCCAACCTGGTGATAGAAACTCTGTCTCAAAAAAAAAAGCAAAAGACTAAACATTAAGGGACACCAACATTTAGAAATGGGTAAAGATGGCAGAGAACAAAGGGAGTTGGAGAAAGAGACATAGGAGAATCAGAGTAAGTGTGAAGGAAGCCAAAGAAAAACATTTCAAGAAGGCAGCAGTGGTTAAAATTGGTACATGCTGCCAAGTTGTCAATTGAAATAAAGGTAGAAAACCACAGTGGATTTAACAAAAAGGAGGCAGATGGCAAATGAGTTGGGGATCTTGGTAGTATAAATGCTTGATTGGATTGAATCAGGATGTGTCTACGTGGTGAGGAATTGAAGTCAGTGGTGTAGAGAACATTTTTATGAACACTAATTGTCCACTTCTGGAAATATACACCAATAAAAACAAAAATGTTAGATGTGGTATAACAGCAGGTGATGACGAGCTCTAGGACGAAGCCAGGGGTGGATGGTGGCAGAGAAGTGATGATGAAGTTCACTAGTATTGAGGAAGTCAAGAGACCAAAAAACTGGAGTGTTGAGTGGATCATTTTTTAAGACACTGACATTACCCTAGACTTGGGGTAAAGGAGATACAGGAGCCAGACAGCAAAGCCTTTACTACATGAAGAACAGAAGTAGGAAGGTAGTGCTGACAGTGATGGGGTAGTGGGTTTTATAACCAGACAGCATGAACCTCACAGGACCGTGGATAAGAGGAAGAAGAAACGTTACCTGTAAAAGGCACAGGGAAAATAGAGGGGTCTCAACCCCAACTACTGACTCTGAAAACACAGGTTGCAGGCAAATAAGCAAATCCATCCTCCCATCTTCCTTCCCATCCTCCCTCCCTTCCATCTTCCCTCCCCCCTTCCTTCCGTCCCCCTCCCCCTCCTCTCCCCTCTCCTCTCCTCCCCTCCCCTCTCCTTCCTTTCCTCTCCTCTCCTCTCCTTTCCCTTCTTTCCTTCCTTCCTTCCTTCCTTCCTTCCTTGCTTCCTTCCTTCCTTCCTTCCAGAAGCATTTCTTGGGTGCCTGCTAGTGCTGGGGCTGTGCTAGATGCTAAGAAAATTCTGGGTAAACAAATCACATGGGGTTCCTGCTCTCATAGAATCTACAATCGGAAGGCTGCTAGAAAATTAAAATTCTTGAGCTGGAGGAAGGTGTCAGTTAAGACCCAGGGATAAAGACCCTCTACTAAAGAGGAGGATGAAGGAAAGGACTTTTGTTCACTAGGAAACAAGCACTCCAAAAGATGTCGTGCATAGGTTTTGGAGAGAGGGAGTGAGGGAGGCTGGGCCAAGGGGAGGACACACAGAGCAGGTTGGGCTGCAGAGAACAGATAACCTACCTTGGAGGGGCTTCCATTTTGAGAAGCACCTGAGAATGTCAGAGGTGTGCAGTCTGGAGGAACTGGTCAACTGGCCTTGGGGTTTCCAATGGAATTGATTCCACACCTGCAGGTTTGAATTCACTGAGCTTCCCCAGGGAATCCAGGTGTAGCGCACAACAGTCACTCCTGGGGATAAGGGAGGAGAGAAACTGGCTCTCATTGCAAAACAGCCCAGGTCTAGCTAGCTTGTATTCTTGGGGAAATCTAAGTGTAGGGCAGCAGCAGGAAACATGGAGATGGATTCATCACGTATCAGTCACAGAAACAATCCCCGGAGCTCAGCAAGAAGCTGGGCCTTTTGCAAAGAGGCCAGCCAGTTCTAGATTGGGCTTCTGAAGGAACTCACTTCTGACTTTAGTTCTCTGTATCTTTCTGACCTTTGTATCTTCTTTAAATCTTCATTTTCATCATTTCCTCCACTATTTATGAATGCTCCCTCTGGGATCTATTCTCAATCCCTTCCTAATAAGGAAATGTCCTTCCTTAATTGTCTCAACTATCTTGGTGCAGATAGTCATTCCCTTCTTGACATGTCCTGGCCCTACTCAAGAGGCTCATGTGTGGTCATGTGGGAGCATATTTCCTTGAACTGTTCTCTGTTGCCTGGACTTACACCAAAGATACAGTCTTTATCTCTCTCCTGAAACCCACCCCATTATCATCTTCATAAAACCTCTGAGAGACCCCAGTGCCCCAGGATCCGAAGCCCAGGAAACAAAAGATGCATCTCCATCTTCATCCAAAGTCTGGAATAAATAAATGCCAATACTTCCCTGGACATCTTCATTACCTTCATTTATTTTTTATTCCTCAAGACTCCTCTGGCTACTGTCATCGCCCCAGCAGCCTTCTTGTTTCTAGCTAGTTTCCTCTCCAGAGATTCAAAGAGGTATTTTTCTTTGCCAAATCAGATTACGTTCCTCTGAGATGAGTGCCATGCATACTAGAAAGTGCTTTATCAAATGAGATAGTCCCCTAGGCCCTGCGTAGTCTTCGCTTCCTTCCTGATGGTTTCAAGCCTTTCTGCCAGTTTTTCTAGTTTCTTCTTTACCTCCTATAGTTTTTTACTTCCTTCACTATAATCAGATACTCCCTTGGCACACTTTGCTTAATCCTTCCTTTGCCATCTCTATCTCTCCTTCCCTACAGCTGCTGGCAGAGAATGATTCCCATTAACCCTTTACCTTGACCCCTGTTTTCTGTTAAGTTTTCAGCTACTAAAATTGTAGCTGAAGCAAATCATTTTGTCCCACCAACTAGGAAAGGTGCATACACACCTCTGCCCCAAACTTCTATCTAGAATGTCTCTTAGTCCATTCACGTTGCTATAAAAGAATATCTGCCAGGCACTGTGACTCACACCTGTAATCCCAGCACTTTGGGAGGCTGAGGTGGGCGGATCACAAGGTCAGGAGATCGGGACCATCCTGGCTAACACGGTAAAACCCTGTCTCTACTAAAAATACAAAAAATTAGCTGGGCGTGGTGGCGGGCGCCTGTAGTCCCAACTACTCGGGAGGCTGAGGCAGGAGAATGGCCTGAACCCGGGAGGCGGAGCTAGCAGTGAGCCAAGATCGCACCACTGCACTCCAGCCTGGGTGACAGAGCAAGACTCTGTCTCGAAAAAATAAAATAAAATAAAAAATAAAGAATATCTGAGGCTGGGTAATCTATAAAGAAAAGGGGTTAATTTGGCTCACGGTTCCTCAGGCTGTTCAAGAAGCAAGGCACCAGCATCTGCTTCTGGGGAAGCTTCAGCTGCTTCCACTCATGGCTGAAAGCTAAGCAGAGCCAGTGTGTGCAAAGATCACATGGTGAAAGAGGAGGCAAGACAGAGGGGATGGAGGTGCCAGATTCTTTTAAACAGGCAGTTCTCACTGGAACTAATAGAAGAACTTACTCATTACTGCTTGGATGGCACCAAGCCATTCATGAGGGATCTGCCCCCATGACCCGAACATCTCCTCTTAGGCTCCACCTCCAACACTGGAGATCAAATTTCAACATGAGATTTGTAGGGAACAAACAAATGGCAGCAATAAGTTACTGGAGGGCAGGGAACATGGTGAATGACATTCAGTGTAGTCCTTCAAAAAGTGGTGTTTGTAAAGGGCATAAAATATCAGGAAAGTCTGAACCATGAAAGGAAGGTAAGTATGGGTTAGCCTTCTCTTTATTTGTTTGCAGACAAAATCAGATGCATATTATTTTATTCATTGCTCATTGTATTTGCACCCACTGCTGATGAACTTCTTGCCAGTCCTGTCTCCCATCCATCTACAAGGCTATGATTTATCATTCACTCTACCATGGGCTCCAGGAGTACTTCCACACCTGTCGGTCACATTTTCCAAGGCTACAAATTATCGGTGGGCCAAGTACAGTTACAAATAGCCTTCACAAGCTTTGCTGGTAAAGAAAATACATCATTTCTCTTTCCCTTTCAATGTGCTGTAATATATATACAGCTAAAACTCCTCAGACGGTTCATTAGCTTTCTCACTTGGGTGAGAGCTTCTCAGCAGGACACACGGAAACATCATGTATTGAAGTCTATTGCCAATTTCTCCATGATAATCAGTAATATGAAAAAGTTACGACCAATTTCCAAAGATGCCCAATTTATGCCTAGGAAGTATAGGAACACAAGCCAGACAAACCGAGCAACTCGACGTGATGTTATTACATACATTAGCACAAACATTCTGTCCAGAATGGAAATAACTAGAGTGTCATATAATGTGCTTTCAAATAATTGAACTCAAACATTTATCCTATCATTTGTTTATTTATAAAATATTTATTAAGCACCTACTATGTGCTAAGTTATATTATAGGCACTGGGGATACATCGACATGGAAAAAAGTAGTTTTAAAATTCATGTTTTGTTGGCAACAAAAGACAATCAAGAGACATTGAGCTCTAAAGGGGCATCCCCTCCTGCGTCAGTCTTTGGAGGCTGTGATGGTTAACTTTTTATATGTCAATATGACTGGCCCATGGTCCCCAGATATATAGTCAAACATTATTCTGGAAGTTTCTGTGAAGGATTTTTTTTGGGTGATCCTAATATTTAAATCAGTGAACTTTGAATACAGCAGATTGCTCTCCATAATGGAGCTGGGCCTCATCCAGTCGGTTAAAGGCCTTAACAGACCCAAGTCTGACCTCCCTCAAGCAAGAATTCTGCCAGCAAGCAGCTGGCCTTCAACCTAAACTACAACATTGGTTCTTCCCTTTATCTCCAACTCACAGGTTCAAAATCACAGGAATATGTACCTTCCAGCCTCCATAATCATGTGAGCCAATTATTTAAAATAAATCTTTTGACATACAAGTACATCCTATTGGTTCTGTTTCTCTGCAAAACCCTAACACGGGGTAAATGCTTTTAATAACTAAGACTGATGGAAAATTACCCAGTCCCAGCATAACCTTCCGTAATCATTTCCATCATGCCTTTTCCACGTACTTCCCAGGGCTGCCTTTGGAGAGACTTGTTATGCCTACTTCTCCCAAAACACCCTTTATGATACACTCGGGATGCGACCCTGTCTGGCTTAACAGTGGTCAATAAAAGTGTGACCTTTGGAAGCTCCAACTTTGTCACCTTCCACTGACACCTCCTCAATTTCCCTTCCCCTAGTGTGTCCTCTGAGGAATTAGGCAGTTCAGCTGGCTCTAGAGGTAACCTACACATCTTTCTAGAAGCAAAAATTGACCTTTAGACCTGAAAAACGCCAATTTGGATCCTCTTCTGGGGTCACCCAAATGTTAAAAGCAGCGGGAAAGTACCCAAGAAGAAATGGCATTCAGTTCTGTCCCTGGGACAACAGGCTACCTAGTAGCTCACATCCTTGCTAGCTGGGGGCTACAGACACCACTAAGGCCATCCCCTATCTTTAAAGCCCATAATTCCAAGGTTGCCAACTTCCTGTTGGATTTGGCCCTGATCCAGGCCCATCTAGCTGTTCTAAGTGGTCTCGTCTTTGTGGATGCTTCCCTTCTACGTGGGATGTGTTCTTCCACTTTTCTACTAGAAAACTATCTCTCCTTCCAGCCCTGCCAAATGTTAGCATTTTTCTGAAGTCTTTCCTGATCCCTGTCAGGAAACATTAACTACTCCCTCTCCTGGGTTCTCAGAGACATTTATTTTTTTTTTTCTGAAAATTAAAACAACACGCAAAAACATGGTCCTATTAACCAAACATTCAAACATCAGCCCAATGAAAGTTGTTTTGGAAAACTAGTAAAACTATGAGACAGTGCAAATTTTACTGGCTATATTTTATCCTGCCTTCTATAGCCACTCTTTATAAATGCAATTTGCAAATAAAAGTTTATAACACTGGGTAACTCAGGGTAATAACCCTCAAATTTAAGAACTCCAAAACATAAAATCTTGCAGTGTCAGAGAAGTGGCTGCTGATCATTTCTCTCAACATAGCAGCGTGTGAGCTCCATAATTATAATTGTTGTATTCTAACTACCCTCATTTCCTCTATTCTTTAGATCCTTCATCCCTTAGAGCAAATATAATTGTACAATTCAGGCAGCCATCAATTCATTCCAGTGGAATGTCTTAATAGAAATGTCCCCTCTTGCTGGGAATTTTTAGAAGTGGCACATGTGAAATCCATTTAAATGCCAGAGAATTTTTTTGTCCCTCAGGTTGATTTTAGTACATATCACATGCCTGGCTTAGAGGTGAATTGCAAAAGAAATAAGAAAACCAGGCTAATCATGGAAATAGGTGTTGGGTGGAATTACCGATCATACTGTGGTAAGAACTACCGTAAACACTGATTTTTTTTTTTTTCAAAGTTCATCTGTCACCTGGGGCCCATCAGGAGGCAAGTTCCAATTTTGTATTAAGTTCAACTTTCTGGTTTCCTATGCAGGCCACATTCAAACGTACCATAAAGATGATGCCAAAATCATCTTGCAGAAATTCCCAGCAATCTGTGTTTTTCTCCCCTGCCCCACACTGCTTCAGTGGTGCTAGTTTTGGCTTTGATCCCAGGCAATCCAACCCATCACTTTCAACCCTTCTGCAGAGGCAGAACAGGTTTGGGCAGCCTGCACATTCTGCTCTCCTCTAGCAGTTGGCACAGCAAAGGGACTGTCCCTTGAACACATGGTCAAGAATCAGATCTCCCCTGAACCCCTACACTCCCAAACCTTCTTGTTATATGATGATCATGGCCCACCCAATGGGAATTTCTCAGTCTTCATTGTACCTTGGCTGTTCATCAGTGTTTGATAGAGTCAACCCCTGATACAGTTTGGATATTTGTCCTCACCCAAATCTCATGCTGAATTGTAATTCCTAATGTTGGAGGTGGGGCTTGGTGGGAGGTGTTTTTGTCATGAGGGTGGATTCCTCATGAATGGCTTGGGCCATCCCCTTGGTGATAAGTGAGCTCTTGCTCTGAGTTCACACAGGATGTGACTGCTTTAAAAGTGTGTGGCACCTCCCCCTCCACTCTTTCTCTCACTTCTGCTTTCGCCATGTGATGTGCCTGCTTCTGCTTTGCCTTCTGCCATGATTGGAAGCTCCCCAAGCCCTCCCCAGAAGCTGAGCGGATGCAAGCACCATACTTTTCTACACAGCCTGAAGAACAGTGAGCCAATTAAACCTCTTTTCTTTATAAATTACCCAGTCCCAGGTAATTCTTTATAGCAATGCAAGAACAGCCTAACACAACCCCCTTCTCCTGAAAACAATCATGCCTATGATTTCCAAGATGTCACACTCTTCTAGCGTCCTGCTCAGTGGCAGGCCCCTCCAGACATCTACCCCTCACACTTCTCCCTATCAATAGATGGCACAAGGACTTATTGACTCAGGCAAAAATCTTGCATGCATTTTTTGATATTTATCATGTACTCAAACCCCAGAGCGACTCCACCAACAACTCCCATCAGCTTGATCTCCAGCTCTACGATGACTTCCTGGCACTATCACTCAGTCCAAGTCCCATTGCTTCCTACCTGCGCCACCATTACATTAGCCCTTAATTGGCCTGCCTGCCCCTAAGGTCAGTTCTCTAGAGCATTGAGTGATGGTTTTAAAGAATAAATCAAACTACATCACTCACCTGCTCATAAATCACCCAAAGACTCCTGACTTCCTGTGCCTGGACTCCATATCCCCAGATGGCCTCATCCCATCACTTGTTTCATTCTTACACCATTTCAAGGCCACCTCTTAGTGTTGCTCTACCTATCCACAACAGAGCTCTATCCCCTGTGCCTATATCCCTAGCCCCTATTCTGCTTTATCACCTAGATTACATGTGGATTTGTTTGATGTTTGGCTCTCCCACTAAATTTAAGCAGAGGGAGGCATGAACTTTCACCAACTCGTATACCACTGACCCCCATCCTGGGAGTGGCTGGCAGCTCAGGCCACCCAGAGCTGGCTCTGCATGTACAGCCTATGTGCTTACAGACCAGTGTCTCCTGAAGCAACCTACTGATGTCATCTCTGAGATGCTGAAAAGGGGGGTTAGTGAAATAAGGACCTGAATGTGCTTTCTTTGTTCAATGAACTACTTGTAGTCTCTTTATTTCCCTTGCCTTGACCTGAAGGATTGAACAGGCATGAAATTAGTCAGAATCATTCCAATTGCAAATAGCCAATTTCAAAAGGCATAAGCAGAAAAAAAATAAGGAAAAGAGAGAAGAAAGGGAGGAAGAGAGGCAAGGAAGGGGGAAGAAGCCATCCTACGGTGACTTGAGGCATGGCTGGATCCAGGATCTTTAAAGAATGTTGTCAGAGTGTGTATTCTCTCTGACCCCTCACCTCACTTTTTCCTTTTTATGAAGACTGTGTTCTCTCTTCCTATGCTTCCTCTGTGCAGCAAGGGAATAACTTTTGCCAATCCAGAATTACATTAATTAGTTAATTCAGTAGAAAGAGGCTTCTTTCTGCTAGCAGCCTTAAATTCATCCCAGGAAGACACAGATTGCGGCTATGTGTACTACTGGACCAATTACTGGACAGCTAAACTACAGAAAGGGTAGGACATCCATATCTAAAAGAGCAAACTAACATTTGATGGATGTCTGCTTTATCCCAAGCATAAAATAAGATTTTTATTGTTCCTGTTTTTTGTTGTTGTTGTTTTTGAGACAGAGTCTTGCTCTGTCCCCCAGGCTGGAGTGCAATGGCACGATCTTGGCTCATTGCAACCTCTGACTCCCTGGTTCAAGCAATTCTCCTGCTTCAGCCTCCCAAGTAGCTGGGATTACAGGCATGCGCCCATTTTTTTTTTTTTAATCTCAACCTACATACAACCTTTAGGTCTAGAAGAAAACTTTAGGATGGCTACAAGGATGAGATGGGGTCCTCTGAGACAGACCTGGGTGGAACTTTTACATTCAAAAATCAAAACAAGGCCAGGTATAATGGCTCATGCCTGTAATCACAGCACCTTGGGAGGCCAAGATGGGAGGACTGTTTGAGCCTAGGAGTTCAAGACCGCCCTGGGCAATATAGCAGGACCCCATCTTTACAAAAATTTTAAAAAATTCACTGGGTGTGGTGGTGCGCATCTGTAGTCCCAGCTAGTTGTAAGGCTGAGGCTAGAGGATTGCTTAAGCCCGGGAGCTTGAGGCTGCAGTGAGCCATGATTGCATCACTGCACTCGAGCCTGGGCAACACAGTGCCCTGTTTCAAAAACTAAAACAATCTAATACGTGCTTACATGACATAACCTACACCACAGGAGCCCTAAAACCAATCTCAGAAGACTACTGTGTAAAATAAGTAGAAATGAACAAATCAAAGTCAAAAGTGAATTATACAAATGAAAATGCCAACATATCTATTTCTCTATCAGCACTCCCTCCTTTGCTGTCATCTAGAGTTATGATTTTAAATGCCATTTAGCCACTGATGAATCTCATATCATTTCTCCAGCCTGACCTCTCCCCTGAGCTTCAGATTGGTGTATCCAATTTCCTACATGTCAGCTCCACTTACATAGGCATCTCAAATTTAAGATGTATAAAATGGAACCCCCCCATCTTCACCAAATCTCATCTCCCCTCAGTCTTCTCCTGCTCAGAAGGTGGCAACTCAATTTTGGTTCCCAGGCAAATATCCTTGGACTTATCCGTAACTCTTCTCTCTTTCACCTGGCATCTAATGTTTTCAGCCAATCATGTTGGCTCTGCTTCAGAATATATCTAGAGCTGAACTCCCAGCACTTCTCCGCTGCTGCTCCCACCTGCTGTAATTGCCAGCATGTCTCACTGGAATCACAAGGTGAGATCCACAGGATCTCTCAGGAGCCTCGTCCCGGGTCTCCCTGCCTCTACTCTGGCCTCTACAGTCAATTCCTAACCCAGCAGCCAGAGTGATCTTGTAACAACAAATGTAAGATTATGCCATGCCTTTGCTCATACCTCCTCCACACATTCCCATCTCATGTACAAAAAAGCAAAAGCCAGAAAGCCCTGCCGGACCTTTTCACTGGACCTCATCCCTTGTCCCTCTCTGACATCACTTCTCACCCTCCCTCGCTTGTTCTGCTCAAGCCACGCTGACACTCTTGTTATGAAACATACACAACTGACATGCACCCACTAGAGGTTTTTGCAACATAGTTTCTTCCACCTGGAATGCTCTGTTTCCTATATCTTTATCTACTTTTTTAAAAAACAAAATTGTGTAAATTTAAGAGTGCAAGTGCAATTTTGTTACATGCTCATATTGCATAGTGGTCAAATCTTGGCTTTTAGTGTATCGATCACCCAAAATAACATGCATTGTACCTATTAAGTCATTTCTCATCACCTGCCCCTTTCGAGTCTCCAATGTCTGTCATTCCATACTCTGTGTCCATGTGTACACATTGTTTAGTTCCCACTTATAAGTGAGAATATGTGGCATTTGACTTTATGTTTCTGAATTGTTTCACTTAAAATGGTGACCTCCAGTTCCATCCATGTTGCTGCAAAAGACATGACTTAATTCCTTTTTATAGGTGAATAGTATTTCATTGTGCATATATATCATATTTTCTTTATCCAATCATTCTTTACCTTCTCAGTTTAAAAGCAACCCATGCACCTGATCCAAAAATTCTTCTCTCCTTTCCCTACTTTACTTTTCTCTAGGGCACATCCCTCTATCTGATGTACAAATGTTTTATTTATTTGTATGTGTATTCCCTATTCCCCTCAGTATAATATAACCGCCATGAAAGTAGGGACTTTTTTTGCCTGTTTTGTTCACTACTATATCCTCAGGGCCTGAAATAGTACCTGGCACATAGTAGGTGCTCGATAAATATGTGCTGAATTAATTAATCAATATCTATCCATAAATTCTGTCTGCCCAAGAAAAGCAAAGAATAATGGCTTAAAGGAAAATCATCTGCCTCCTCACTGCTCACCATTTTCCTTCTTGGATTTGAAGAAATAGAAAAAAAAACATTTCTAAAGATATCTACTTTTTGAACCCAATATGAAAAAATAATGTGTTAAACAAGAACTGGCTGAAAAAGATACAAGAAAATGAAATATGTAACAACAAATAAAATCAGCAGGCACGCAGAAAATCAATTTATAATTGTAGAGAATAAACTTGAGAAGCATTTTCAGAGTAGAGGCCAAATAAATGACAATGTGAAAAATACACATAAGGCAATGACATATTTAAATGCCAAACCTTCGAAAGAAAACTGCCCAATGCAAGAACAAATGAATCAGTGAGAGGCAATAATCAGAGATATGAGAGAATAAAACATTCCAGACCTTAAAAAGCAAACTTGACATTAGAAATTGATAGTGTAACATCTTCCAGAGAAACTTAATGAGCAGAAATAAATATTAAAATATAGCCTCATAAAAATTTTAAACTTAAAGAATTTTTTCAACAAGTCCTAAAATTAACCAAAGTGGGGGAAAAATCAACTATACTTTTCTTTTCCATATCTCCTCTACAATAACAAATGCTAAAAACAAGGCAGAGTATTATGCGTGGAGGGAGAAGTTTATGATTCAAGGATTTTATATATATATCTACGTGCTATTTATATGTTAGAATGACTTATGTTTAATGATCATCCCTGCAAATGAATATTATAAAAAAATCAGCTACAAGATGAAAAAGTCTTATAAATTTGCCACACAGTAAGTTTTCTACAAAAATTAGCTAACAATATCATCCAGACCACCAAGAGATTAATAAAACTGTGAATCCAAAAAATAGAGACATTTTAGTAGAAAATAACTGTCAATGGGCACTGAAATCAGTTCTCTACCTAAAAGTACTTAAATTAATTCATTAATCACTATGAGAAAAATAATGTATTCTCACAAATGTAAATAATTTTATTATGATACAGTAACAGAATGAAAAACAGAAAGCAAAATTTCATCTTTTTTAATATGTGTACTATTTTTTATTCTGTTTTAGAATGAAAATAATTTTTTGTGTAAAATTCCATATTAAACTGATAGAAAAGTGGTAATCTTTGGGGGCAATGAGGAGAGGGGCAATGGGAGAAAATTTAGAAAAGCAAAGGACTAAACTTCTATTAAAACGTTAATGTGGCCGGGTGCGGGTGACTCACACCTGTAATCCCAGCACTTTGGGAGGCTGAGGTGGGCAGATCACTAGGTCAAGAGATACAGACCATCCTGGCCAATATGGTGAAACCCCGTCTCTACTAAAAAAAAATTAGCTAGGCATGGTGGTGCGCACCTGTAGTCCCAGCTACTCAGGAGGCTGAGGCAGAAGAATCGCTTGAACCTGGGAGGCAGAGGTGGCAGTGAGCTGAGATCATGCACTGTGCTCCAGCCTGATGACAGAGCGAGACTCCGTCTCAAAAAAAAATATGTTAATGTAAGTCTGGTAGAATTTAAAACACACTATTTGCCTTCCATACATAAAATCTGGTAATAAATATATCAAATGATGTGCAAGACATACCTAATAAAATTATAAGAGTCTTTTGAAGGACATTAAAGATTCAAATAAAGGGAAAGAAACCATGTTCACGGGTCAGAACACCCAATTTTGTAAAGATTTTAATTTTTTTTCAAATTGATCTTTGAATTAAATAGAATTCACTCAAAATCTCAGAAGTGTTTTTTTATGGATCTTGGCAAGCTGATTCCGAAATATATATGGAAGAACAAAGGCCAAGAATAGCCCAGAAACTGCTGAAGAAAAATAAGTTAAGGGCAGTTGCACCAACAGCTCTCAAAACTTATTATAGGCCGGGTGCGGTGGCCCATGCCTGTAATCTCAGCACTTTGGGAGGCTGAGGCAGAAGGATTGCTTGAGGCCAGGAGTTCAAGACCAGCCTGGGCAACACAGCAAGACTCCATCTCTACGAAAATTTTTTTTTAAATTAGCCAGGCATGGTGGTATGTCCCTGTGGTCCCAACTACATGGGAAGCTGAGGTGGGAGAATCATTTGTGCCCAGGAGTTTGAGGCTGCAGTGAGCTATGTTCACATCACTGCACCCCAGCCTGGGTGACAAAGCGAGACCCCATCTCTAAAATCTCTAAAAAACAACAACTTATCACAAAGGTGTAGTGATTAATTACCATAGTGTCACACTGGCTTAGGATAGACAACTGAAACAATACAGATGTAAACACTGAGTCTCTCATACAGGAAAACTTGATGTTTGGCAAAGGCGGCACTGGAGATCACATGAAAAGGGAGGGACAACTCAATAGGTGGTGCTGAGACAGCTGGTTGTCCATATAGGAAAAATAAAATTAAATCTGTGTGTCATACCACACTCACCATACTGCACATATCACAACAAAGGATCAAAGATTTGAGCAAAAGGTCAAAACCTAAAAAATTTAAACATACAGGAGAATGTCATTACAGTCTCAGACAGGGAAGAATTTCCTAAATAACATGTGCAAAGAAGTAAAGAAATAAATGATTGATACATTTGACTACCTTAAAATTAAGAATGTGTGTTCATAAAAATGTATCATGATGAAACTCTCATACACTGCCAGCTGGCATGTGAAGTAGTTCAACCACTTTGGAAAATAGTTGGGCAATTTCTTATGATAAAATGTAAATGTATGCCTATCATATACACAGCCATTCCACTCCTAGGTATTTAATCAAGAGAGAATGAAATATGTGTTCATGAGAAAACTTCTGGGAATGTGGGGTAAGTTCATGATCTTGATTATGTTGATGGTTGATTGTTTCATATGTCTATATGTCAAAATATGATTAATTATACATTTTAAATATGTGTCATTTATTGTATGTCAATTATAACTCAATAAAGGTGTTTAAATAAGATATCACAAAGAAAGTGAAAAGATAAGCCAAAAACTGAAAGGTATCTGTAACACATATAACCATCAAAGAAATGGTAATCATAATATATAAAGATCTCATTGAGCCCAATGAGAATAAAGCAAATAACCTAATTAAAAAATGAGCAAAAGACACAAAAAGGCATTTCACAGATAAGGGACCCAAAAATGGCAAATAAACATACAAGAAGATGCCACACTCTTATTAATAATTAGAAAAAAATATAATTTTAAAATTAAAATACTATACTATTTTACTTCCATAGATTTATAAAAATTTGAGTCTAACTATATAAAGTATAGGCAAGGATGCAGATCCAAAGAAATTCTTATACACTGCTGGAGAAAATTAAAGTGGTATGCCACTCTGTAATCCCAGCTACTCAGGAGGCTGAGGCAGAGAATGGCTTGAACTCGGGAGGTGGAGGTTGCAGTGAGCTGAGATCGCACCACTGTACTCCAGCCCCGGAGAGAGAGCTAGACTCCATCTCAAAATAAATAAATAAATAAATAAAATAATACAGCTTTATACTTTTAAATTGAAGCTCTGAATACTCTATAATTACCCTAGTAATTCTATTCCCAGGAACATGTTTTAGAGAAATCCTTAGATGTGTACTTTTGTAGACACAGACACCTATAGCAATATTCATAACAGCATTATTTAAAATAATAACGATTTTTTTTAAACTCAAATGTTTATCAACAAGAAACAAATAAATTGTGATATTTTCTTTAGAGGGGAAAAACACATACTGGGGCTTATGGAAGGAAAGGGTGGCGGGTGGGAGGAGGGAGAGAATCAGGAAAATAACTACCAGGTATAGACTTAATACCTGGGTGATGAAATAATCTGTACAACAAACACCCATGACACAAGTTCACCTATATAACGAGCCTGATATATGCCCCTGAACTTAAAATAAAGGTAAATAAATGTGCCATGATCTCTCAACAGAAAATTTATCATGATAAATATGAATAAGCCATATCTAAATGCAGCAACATGGATGACTCACAGAAACAATGTTGCAGGAGTTGCCAGTTGCAGAAATCACATAGTGTAAGAATATTTTTTAAAAAAATCCAAAAAATAATAAAATCAAACAAACTATTGTTTAGAAATTAAGTGTATGATAAAAAGTTTAAAACTTGGCCAGGTGCAGTGGCTTATGCCTGTAATCCCAGCATTCTCGGAGGCCAAGGCAGGTGGATCACCTGAGGTCAGGGGTTTGAGATCAGCCTTGCCAACCTGGTGAAATCCTGTCTCCAGTAAAAATACAAAAAAATTAGCCAGGCGTTGTGGCATGCACCTGTAATACCAGCTACTTAGGAGGCTGAGGCAGGAGAATTGCTTGAACCTGGGAGGCAGAGGTTGCAGTGAGCTGAGATCATGCCACTGCACTCCAGCCTGGGCCACAGAGTGAGACTCTGTCTTATTTAAAAAAAAAAAAAAAGGTTTAAATCTAAATTCAAAGGCAATGATAACTTCTAAAGTAAGAATAGTGCTTTCCAATGAAGGGAAGATAAGGGGAGGGCAGGGAAGAAAACATAAGTGCAGAGATTGGTCCAAGTAAGACTCCATTAAGTTAGGTGCTGATGTTCTCATTAAGTTGGGTTCCTACTAAGTTGGGAGGTTCCAGTGAAGTTGGCATTATAATAATAAAGAATTATTTTTATAATTCACATGTCTACATCAATGTTTCATATTAAATGTTACATGATAAAAACATATGAAAGAAAAAATGTGTTTTTCCTTATCATGATAAGGAACAATCAGGAATATATAGATATACTGAAAAATATTTAAAATGCAGTAAACTGCCAAGTAACAAAGAACAATTTATAAAAGACAAAATGCAACTGGAAAATATACAAGGACAAAGATTCAGTCTTTCTAACAACCAAAAATGATAATTGAAGCAGTAAGTTACTGCAAATTAACACATTTTTAATAATCTAGTGTCAGCTATTATACAGTTAAGTGCAGGCACTTAAAATCCTATAGGTGCCATATACTACAATTCAGGAGGCCCTCTCTATCTGGCGGGTACTATACCCACGGTTTCTGCATATGCAGATTCAACCAACCCCAGATAGAAAATATTCAGAAAAAAAAACATAACAACAAAAATAATATGAATTTTAAAACAAACACAGCATAACAACTATTTACATAGCATTTACCTTGTATTAGGTATTATAAGTAATCTAAAGATGATTTAAAATAAACAGGAGGATATGCAAAGTTTATATGCAAATACTATGCCATTTTATAGAAAAGACTCCAGCATCTACAAATTTTGGTATCTTCACAGCCCTGGAAACAATTCCCTGATGATACCAAAAATGATTGTACTACTGAAAAGCGATTTATCAAAGAATTTTTAAAGTATTAAATTTTAAATTTTAAACATATTCTTACATTTTGGCCACACATTTTGGCTCACACCTATAATCCCAGCACTTTGGAAGGTCAAGGAGGGAGGATCACTTGAGGTCAGCAGTTCGAGACCAGCCTGGCCAATATGGTGAAACTCCATCTCTACTAAAAATACAAAATTAGCCGGGTGTGGTGGCGGGCATCTGTAGTCCCAGCTACTTGGGAAGCTGAGGCATGAGAATTACTTGAACCTGGGAGGTGAATGGTGCTGTGAACTGAGATCGCGCCACTGCACTCCAGCCTGGGCAACAGAGTGAGACTAGGGTTCAAAAAAAAAACAAAAACATACACTATGTGTTTATTTGGAATAGTGAGAAGTGATATAAATGTTTAATATAAAATACATTAAGTAAATCATCATGTATCTCTCCAAAGTATGATGTAAAGGCATTAAAGCTGATCATTTTGAAGATTATATAAGAAAAAAAGAGCAATGTTAAAGTTCTTGTTTCCAGTCTGGCATGTAAAAAACTTGCATCTCATTTGTGAGGTACAACAAAAGTAATGCTTAGAGAAAACTTTATAGCACTGAATACACATATTAGGAAAAAAGAAAGATTAAAAAACCAGTTAGCTATCTACCTTAGGAAACTAGAAAAAGAGCAAATTAAATCAAAAGTAAGTAGAGGAAAAAAATAAAAATTAGGAGAGACATCAATGAAATTGGAAACAGGAGATCAATAGAGAAAATCAATGAAACCAAAAGCGGATTCTTTGTAAAGATCAATAAAATTGGTAAGCCTGTAGGCAGACTAAGAAAAAAGAGAGAGAACACAAATTACTAATAGCACACATCCTCCTGTATACTATAAATCATCACCAGATTACTTAAAATACCTAATACAATGCAAATGCTATGTAAAGAGTTGTTATACAATTTAAAACCATTGATTTTTAAATTTCTATTTTTTATTGTTGTATTAATTTTTGTTTTTGTTGTTTTGGGTTTTTTTGAACATTTTTGATCAATGGTTGGTGAATCCATAGATGTGAAACCTGTAGATATGAAGGGCCAACTATATATCTTTTAAAGTTTAAAGAGATTGAATCAATATTTATTAATCTCCCAAAACCAAAAGCATCAGGCCTAAATGGATCACTGGTGAATGCTATCAAACATTTAAAGAAGAAATTACACGAGCTCTTTACAATCTCTTTCAGAAAATACAAGCAGAAGGAATACTTTCTAACTCATTCTATGAGACCAATATTATCCTAATACCAAAACCAGAAAAATATATTACAAGAAAACTATAGATTAATACTATGAATAAACATATATGTAAAACTCTTCAACAAAATCAAATCCAACAATGTATAACAAGAGTTATACACCACAACCAAGTGAGATTTATCCCAGGTATGCAAGGCTGGTTCAATATTTAAAAATCAATTAACATAATCCATCACATCAATAAGCTAAAAAAGAAAAATCACATCATAATATCAATAGTTGCAGAAAAAGCATTTGACAAAATCTAACACTCACTCATGATTTAAAAAACAAAAATCTTAGAGGGGTACTCCCTTGACTTGATAAAGAATATTTAAGAAAAAAAAAATCCCCTACAGCTAACCTTATACTTAATGGTGAGAAACTCGAAGCTTTCCTACCAAGATCAAAAACAAGGCAAGGACGAAAACTGAGTTCTCAAAAATGATGGGATGGGGGTTCATACCTACCTGGTTGTACCCCCTCCCTCCCTAACCGGGCTTAGGCTTTCTTCCCTAAGGGCTTAACAGAAACCAGCCCTTTCAAAAGACTCCACCACTGATATGGACCAAGCAACTGACACTGTACTTCCTTTTTCACCGGATAAGAGACCACTGACCATGAAGCGCTCCTGGTCAGTCCACAGAGAATGGGTAGTACAGGTATTTGTGTCCTCTGGTTCACCTTTTGACATCAGAGGACTCAAAAGTCCACCTTCAGATTATGCTAACACCACTGTTTTTTGTACAGGGGACCCAGGAATGGGCATAAAGCTCAACTGTGCATGTGCATATTTCTTTTATAAACATTCATGAACTTTCCTATGGCTTATTGAGTATGTATATTTAGCCACCTCATTCAGCGTAAATTTCTGTTCCACCTTCCCCTCCCTCAAAGTATCTATTTCTGGCTTCTGGCCAGAGGCTATGATTCCTGGCCTGTCAGGATGGCCATCCTGCAGACTGCAAACCCTTCTGAAAAAAAAGCTCTCCTTCCCAAATTAAAGCATAAAATAAAGTGAAATAAAAGACATGTTCCCTCTTATCACCCCTTTTCAACATTGAACTGGAAGTGCTAGCTGATGCAATCAGACAAGAAAATGAATTAAAAGGTAGACAGATTGGAAAGAAAAAATAAAACTGTCTTTGTTTGCAGATGATATGTTAGTCTATGAAGAAAATCTGAAAGAACTGAACAAAAAGCCTTCTGAAACTAACAAGCAATTATAGCAAGGTTTCAGAATACAAGATTAATATACAAAAGTCCATTGCTTTCCTATATACCAGCAATAAACAAGAAAGAATTTGAGATTAAAACACATTATCATTTATATTAGCATCTCCTCAAAAATAAAATACTTAGGTATAAATTGAACAAAATATATACAAGATCTATGTAAGAAAAACTACAAAATTATGATGAATAAAATAAAGACACTACAAAATGGAAAAATATTCCATGTTCATGGATAGGAAGACTCAATATTGTCAAGACATTGGTTCTTCCCAACTAGATCTATAAATTAAATGCCATCAAAATAAAAATCCTAGCAAATTATTTTGTAGATATGAACAAACTGATTCTGAAGTTTATATGGAAAGGCAAAATACTCAGAAAGAAAATAACGTTGAAGAACTGACACTACTCAACTTCAATGCTTACTGGAATGTTACAGTAATCAAGGCAGTACGGTATTCGCCAAACAGTAGACAAATAGATTAATAAAACAGACTAGCATCACCTGATATTTGACAAATAAGAAAAGGAAATATAATAAAGAAAAGACTATTTTCAACAAATGGTGCTGAAACAACTGAACATCCACATGCAAGAAAAAAAAAGAATCTAGACACAGATGTAAAAAGCAGAACTTTAAAATTCATAGAAGCCGGGCATGGTGGCTCACGCCTGTAATCCCAGCACTTTGGGAGGCCGAGGCGGGCAGATCACGAGGTCAGGAGATTGAGACCAACCTGGCTAACACAGTGAAACCCCGTCTCTACTAAAAATACAAAAAGTTAGCCAGGCATGGTGGTGGGCGCCTGTTGTCCCACCTACTTGGGAGACTGAGGCAGGACAATGGTGTGAACCTGGGAGGCGGAGCTTGCAGTGAACAGAGATCGTGCCACTGCACTCCAGCCTGGGTGACAGAGTGAGACTATGTCAAAAAAAAAAAAAATTTCATAGAAAATAACAGAAGAAAATGTAGATGACTTTGGGCTTTGGGTTTGACAATTACTTTTTGGATACAATGCCAAAGGAATGATCCATGAAAGAAAGAATAAACTGGATTTCATTAAAATTAAAACTTTCTCTTCTTTGAAAGACACTGTCAAGAAATTTAGAAGACAAGCCACTGACTGAAATAAAATATTTGCAAAAGACATATCTGATAAGGCAGCTTATCCAAAATATATAAAAACTCTTAAAACTCCACAATAAGAAAGCAAATAAGCCAATTAAAAAATGGACCAAAGACCTTAACAGACACCCTACTAAAGAAGTAATATAGATATATGAAAAGAATTTCTATATGATATGTCCTCAGATAAATGCAAATTAAAACAAAAATGAGATACTAGTACATACCTATTAAAATAGTCAAAATATAGAACTCTGACACCACCAAATGCTAGCAAGGATGTGGAGTAACGGGAACTCTCATTCATTGTTGGTGGGAATGCAAAATGGTGTAGTCATTTTGGAAGACAGTTTGGCACTTTCTTATAAAACAAAACATATTCTAACTATATGATCCAGCAATCATGCCCCTTAGTATTTACCAAATGGAAATGAAAACTTATGTTCACACAAAAACCTCTACCCAGATGTTTATAGCAGCTTTATTCATAATTGCCAAGCCTTGGAAACAACCAGATGTCCTTCAGTAGGTGGATGAGTAAGTAAACTATGGTACATCCAGACAATGCAATATTATTCACCACTAAAAAGAAATGAGCTATGAAGCCATGAAAAGACATGGAGAAACCTTAACTGCATGTGAGCAGATAAAAGAAGACAATCTGAAGAGGCTATGTACTGTTGGATTCAAACTGTATGACATTCTGAAAAAAAGGCAAAACTATGGAGACAGTAAAAAGGTCAGTCGGGTTGGGAGTGGGGGAAGGGGTGAATAGATGCAGCACGGAGGATATTCTAGGGCAGCGAAGCTGTTCTGTGTGGTACCACAAATGGTGGATACATGTCATCATACATTTGTGTGGGATATTGATGACTGCAGAGGCTGTGCTTGTCTTAGGGCAGGGAGGATATGGGAAATCTTTGTATATAATTCCACTCAGTTTTGCTGTAAGCTTAAAACTGCTCTAAAAAAAGTCTACTTTTGCCATTGCTTTTGGCGTTTTAGTCATGAAGTCTTTGCCCATGCCTATGTCCTGAATGTATTGAGAAATGGGATCTAATTAAACTAAAAAGCTTCTGCACAGCAAAAGAAACTATCATCGGAGTGAACAGGAAACCTACAGAATGGGAGAAAACTTTTGCAATCTATCCATCTGACAAAGGGCTAATATCCAGAATCTACAAGAAGCTTAAACAAATTTACAACAAAAAAAAAAACCATCAAAAAGTGGGCAAAGGATATGAACAGACATTTCTCAAAAAAAGACATTTGTGCAGCCAACAAACATATGGAAAAAAGCTCATCATCACTGGTCATTAGAGAAATACAAATCAAAACCACAATGAGATACCATCTCATGCCAGTTAGAATAGCGATCATTAAAAAGTCAGGAAACAACAGATGCTGGAGAGGATGTGGAGAAATAGGAACACTTTCACGCTATTGGTGGGAGTGTAAATTAGTTCAACCATTTTGGAAGACAGTGTGGTGATTCCTCAAGGATCTAGAACGAAAAATACCATTTGAGCCACCAATCCCATTACTGGGTATATACCCAAAGGATTATAATATCATTCTTCTATAAAGACATTCTACTATAAAGATACACGCACATGTATGTTTATTGCAGCATTATTCACAATAGCAGAGACTTGGAACCAACCCAAATGCCCATCAATGATAGACTGGATAAAGAAAATGGGGCACATATACAACATGGAGTACTATGCAGCCATAAAAAAGGATGAGTTCATGTCCTTTGCAGGGACATGGATGAAGCTGGAAACCATCATTCTCAGCAAACTAACATAGGATCAGAAAACCAAATGCTGCATGTTCTCACTCATAAGTGAGAGTTCAACAATGAGAACACATGGACACAGAGAGGGGAACATCACACACAAGGGCCCATCGGGAGGTGGGGGGTCTAGAGGAGGGATAGCATCAGGAGAAATACCTAATGTAGATGATAGGTTGATGAGTGCAGCAAACCACCATGGCACATGTATACTTATGTAACAAAACTGCACGTTCTGCACATGTATCCCCAGAACTTAAAGTGTAATTTTAAAATGTCTATTTTTTGAAAAGCAACGTTAAAAATATTAAATGAAAAAAATATAACTATGTATGTGCATCATAACAACTTTTTTTTAAATTTTTTTGAGACAGAGTCTCATTCTGTCGCCCAGACTGGAGTGCAGTGGGGTGATCTCGGCTCACTGCAACCTCCACCTCCCAGGTTCAAGTGATTCTCTTGTCTCAGCCTCCCAAGTAGCTGGGATTATAGGTGTGCACCACCACACCCAGCTAATTTTTGTATTTTTAGTAGAGACAGAGTTTCACCATGTTGGCCAGGCTGCTCTCAAACTCTGGCCTTAGGTGATCCACCCACCTTGGCCTCCCAAAGTGCTGGGATTACAGATGTGAGCCACCATGCCTGGTTTAACAATTTTATTTTTAGAAAGATGCCTGGGAGGCCGAGAGGGGTGGATCGCAAGGTTAGGAGATCGAGACCTTCCTGACTAACATGGTGAAACCCTGTCTCTACTAAAAAAAATACAAAAAAAGCAGCCAGGCTTGGTGGCAGGCAACTGCAGTCCCAGCTACTCAGGAGGCTGAGGCAGGAGAATGGCGTGAACCTGGGAGGCAGAGCTTGCAGTGAGCCAAGATCATGCCACTGCACTCCAGCCTGGGTGACAGAGCAAGACTCTGTCTCAAAAAAAAAAAAAAAAAAAAAAAAAAGAGGCCTATACAAATGGCATGGAAATGGCATGGAATTAAATATCCTAAAATTATCATAGCAGTATTGAGATTCTGGTAAGCTCACAAGAAATTCTTTACTTTTCTATATATGCCAAGATTTTCATATGTGAATTACATTTCCTTTGTAATTTAAGAGAGTTAGTAAGAAAATGCAAAACTCATGCTCAAGTGTCTTTTGGCTGCATAAATGTCTTCTTTTGAGAAGTGTCTGTTCATATCCTTTGCCCACTTGTTGATGGGGTTGTTTGTTTTTTTCTTGTAAATTTGAGTTCTTTGTAGATTCTGGATATTAGCCCTTTGTCAGATGAGTAGATTGCAAAAATTTTCTCCCATTCTGTAGGTTGCCTGTTCACTCTGATGGTAGTTTCTTTTGCTGTGCAGAAGCTCTTTAGTTTAATTAGATCCCATTTGTCAATTTTGGCTTTTGTTGCCATTGTGTTTGGTGTTTTAGACTTGAAGTCCTTGCCCATGCCTATGTCCTGAATGGTATTGCCTAAGTTTTCTTCTAGGGTTTCTATGGTTTTAGGTCTAACATTTAAGTCTTTAATCCATCGTACCCTAAAACTTAAAGTATAATAAAAAATAAAATAAATAAAATAAACATGTAATCTGAAGTTTCAAATAAAAAATATGATTTGTCTAAAAAAAAAAAAACCAAACTCATGCTCAAATACTAGGCTTACTTTTTACAAACAAATTAGTTTTACTCTCCCCCAAATCCTAGAAACTTTATAGAGGTTAATACTACAGAAAAGTAACCACTAAGAAAACTGTAAAAAGATGAATTTAAAACCCCATGAGAACTTAGAAAGACTGAAAGTTAAATTTAGTTCAAATGGTAGAAAAAATTAAGAGAAATACTTCCTTAAAATCGTAGGAAGAAAAAAGTTGCAAACACCATAAAACACTATTTTCTTTCCATACAGAATGGTCCCTTTTTGAGTGAGGAAAGGGGGAAAGAACACAAAATCATAAAGCATAGTTTTCAAATTAAGAAATTACATCAAGTTTAACTTGATTTCTAAGGTATAGACAACCTTTTTAAACAAGAGGGCACAAAGGTGGAAGTTGGTATACATATCTATTAGCAGACAGCTGCTTATAATTTTGGTCTAGAATTGGAACGCTACTATTCTTGGAAAAACCAATTGTGCTCAATTTATAACAGATGTAACCAAGTGTTTATTACAGTAAAATGCTAGTCTCTGTAAGTCAAAAGTTCAAGGAATAAACAAGCCATGCATGTAAGCAAAATGACATGTGTTGTTCTGAGCCAAAGAATTCACTGTCATCAGTAGTGGACATTAATTATTCCATTAACTACAGCATTCCATATTTTATTCTACTTGGAAGGAAGGGGGCAAGTAGCTCATTTTCTGTGTAATATTTAATTATGTCATATTCTCATAGATCTGATACATGAATGCAATCATAATGTTACCCTCAGGAAAATAACTGAAATTTCACATGAATCAGCATTCACCCACATCACAGCCTGTAAAGGATGGGGGAAGTATAATTCAAGACATAGGTCATGGTTTCTGTGTATTCCTTAAACAATAACATCAAATCATGCCAGTCTTTCTGCTGAAACTGCCTTCTATGTGCATTCTAACTGGTGGCCTTGTCTCTGTAGTTCCCACTTAAACTTTTCTCACAGACCACTCTTGGAGCAAACTTCCATTAAGACTCTGAATCAGTCACACTGTTTTATTAAAATCTTCAGTTTTTAGGTCCTGCTCCACAGCATAGGCTGAGCCAACTATACCAGGGTGCTGAAGGCAGGATGACAAGAGTCCATATGTGGTTTAGAAGGGAAGAAAACTGCTAAAAACACAGAAGTGGTGTAGTTGAAGACATGAAAGGAAAGAGAACCCATGACATAGGCAGGCCAGAGGGGAGGCACCTTGTATGAAAGGTTGTCATAAAGTTTTGGGTGTAGGGAGGCTCCCTCTGTGTAGAACTAAGGTAGAACCAATGACTTCAAGCAGCTGGCAGGCTTGGACTGGGAGGGCTTAAGACAAAGCCAGAGTCATGGACCAGATATACAAGTCCTCCTGCAAATGGGATAATATGAAGGCAAAGTCAAGAGTTACACATGGCATGTCTTCCTGGTATATCAGTTAACTCAATGACAATTAATTAAAGCATAACTCACATTAAAATAATTACACACCTATTATGGAGGGAAATAAAAAATGTACATGAAGTTTTAAGTTGAAACAGAACGGCTTAAAGAGATTGTAGTGGACTTTCTGGGACCATTTAGGGCTAGCCACCCAAATTATAGAATTAATCCTTCATTCTCTTTTGCCTTTAGGGATATTTAGGGGTAAAATTTGAGAGACTCTGCTAAGTTATCCAGTCTGCCAATCAAAATCTTGACCATCTTTTAACATTATCTCCCACTACTGAAAAATCTAACACCATTGTAAAAATACCTTGGATAATATCTTTTGAAAAAGATAAAAGGCAATGCATGATTTAAAAGTTAAGCATAAGAAATATAGAAAATTGTTAATTAAATAGAATTTAAAATTCACAGAAGGAAAAATTAAAATTAATAACACAATGAAAAATATATACAGAAATAACATTCAAAGTTAAACATTTAGGTGATAGAACTTTTTACCATTTTGGAAAGAGAAAGCACATAGGAATTATCAAATCTTGTTAAAAAAAATACATAAGAAGCAAAGTTTAGGGTTACCAAGGTGATATAGTTTGGATCTGTGTCCCTGCCCAAATCTCACATCTAATTGTAACCCTCAGTGTTGGAGGTGGGGCCTGGTGAGAAGTGATTGGATCATGCAGGTAGATTTCCCATGAATGGTTCAGCACCATCCCCTTGGTGCCGTTCTCATGAAAGTGAGTGAGTTCTTAGGAGTGAGTGAGTTCTTAGGTAATTTTAGTGTGTAGCATCTCCCCGCTTGCTTTCTCTTGTCTCTGCTCCTGTCATGTAAGATGCCTGCTCCCCTTTTATCTTCCGCTATGATTCGAAGCTTCCTGGGGCTTCCCCAAAAGCAGAAACCACTATACTTTCTGTGCAGCCTGCAGAGCCATGAGCCAATTAAACCTCTTTTCTTTATAAATTACCAGTCGCAGATATTTTTATAGCAATCTGAGAACGGCCTAATACACATGTATTTATTGTCACATATGAATTTTAACATTTTTTAAAAAAAATCAGCAAACAGCAAACCTAGTATGTACAACTACAAGGCTTTCTTAGCAAGGATCTCTTTAAAAATGATAAAAATTCTCATTCAGCTAATTTCATAATAGCTTTGAAAAACATAAAAGAATTATATACTCTTTTATGTAACATGAAATACTTGCAATTGGAAATGACTCACGAACCAGTCTTAACTATTAGGAAACTAGAGCTGAAGCAGTAAATGTGCAACAATGAATCTGAACAGCAAAAAGTGGTGATCCAAGATGCATGCACTAAGACTTACTTGTTTTTTTCTTAGAAGAGACCACTATGCCATTATTATTAGTCTATTTTTAAATTTTTATAAAAATCTCTAATAAGGTGATTTTTTTTTCATTTTCCCAGGGCACAGCAGCTAAGCAACAGACAATTAAGCAACCAGAGAAGGAATGGGAATAAGTACACTAATAGAAACCAGAAGGAGCAGCTCACAGTGACAAAGAGAGCTAGAGAAGCTGTAACAAGCCAGATACAATCATCCCAAAAGCACAGGAGTGTGGGGCCAGTCAGTGCAGAAAGAGATGAAAAGCATCAATACCCATAAGGAAGGGGCATGCTATAGGAGAGTCAAGCAGGCTAAAGTGGTCACGGCCATGAGCTTCTCAATATCCATGTGGCCCCAAATTCTAATTTTAGTTCATTACTTTCTGCTGGCCAGTGACTGGTCAAAGAATGGATGTGACCAAGCCTGGCCAATGAGGTGCGTGATGAAACCTATTGAAGGGCTGTCTGATGACACTCGGGAATGGCTTTGGCTACATTTTGCCACCAATCTGAGAGTGAGGCCAACACTCAGGATATGGCAGAATAAAGGGAGGAACAGAGGAACAGCTGGACCCAGGGTTCGAGACCTGAAGCCTACTCCTTAGGAACTGGAATGTGAGAACTATGGTATCTCCTTGCTGAAGCCAGTCTGAAGTGGGATTTCTGTTACATGCAGTCCAAAGCTTCTTACTGCACAGACTAAGCCCAAATCCTGACTTAGCACTATATGACCTGGAACAAGGTACTTCTTTGAGCATCAGTTTCCTCATTGGTAAGAGTTTCCTCACCAATAATTGTGGTATTAAAATGAAATTACAGACATAAAGCATATTATATCGCATTTTTGTTACTTCAAAGGATGGCACATCTTAAAAACCAAGAGTGAAAACAGACTATATTTAAGAAGCTAAATATATATGGAAAATATTTGTATCCAACATCATTTGAATTTACAAATAAAATAAAGGCAAGGATTTTTTCTCTAACAAGACACTAAGTGTTTATCCTAATTAAAGAGCTGATGATAGACTTAATGGAAAACTACTAAAACCATTCTTTTCATATCTATTTTTAAGTTTTTAATTTTAAAAATTATGGTAAATACACATAAAACTCACCATCTTAACCATTTTTAACTGTACAGTTCAATTGCTTCAAGTACATTCTTATTGTCATAGTCCTATCACCCCCACCCACTCACAGAACTCTTTTCATCTTGCAAAACTGAACTGCAAAACTGAGACTCATTATACACATTAATCTCATTAAACAATAGCTCCACATTTCCCCTTCCCCCAGCCTCAGGGAACCACCATTCTACTTTCTTCTTGACTTTGACTACTCTAAGTAACTCATATCATTGGATTCATACAGTATTTGTCTTTCTGTGCCTGGCTTATTTTACTTTGCATAAGTTTTTCGAGGTTCATTCATGTTGTAGTATGTGTCAGAATTTCCTTCCTTTTTAGGGCTGAATAATATTCCATTGTATGACTACATCACATTTCGTTTATCCATGCATCCATCAATGGGACACTTGGATTGCAACAAGGAAATATTTGTAAAAGCAAGAAAGATAGGAAATCTAGTAGGCACAAGAAAATGATAAAATACAGGAAACTTGTACCTGGAAAAGTGAAATTTCAAATATTTTATTAGGAGTACTCACTTTCTGAGCTTCAGGCATTTGGGTTGATTTCTTTTAAACTTAGAACCAGTGTGCTTATGTTAATTTATTTCATTGTCTTAGAAGACAAAAAATATGATTCCTAAATGAGGGAAATTTTCTTAGAAAAACTTTCTGGAATTTTTTTAACAATTTATTTATCTTCAAGGTAACCATACTCAGAGACTATCTTTAATTCTCTTTGTTAGTTTAGGTTGGTTTATGTCACCGAGAACATGGGTTATTTGTTTACTTACACTTTGATAAGCATTGAAAAGGAATACCACCAGCAGTGAAAGCAATTGTAGGAGTTTATGATTTTTTAAAAAAAGGAAAAAGATGCTATGAGTATTTATAACAGTAACCCTGACTTCAATAAATTATAATGTCTTACCTATTATTTTACCCATACACTGTGCAATGCGTGGGGTCCATCAGAGTCAGTCAGGTGAAAGCTGACAGCTCCAATACACTAAATTAAAATAATACTGGGAGCAAGAAGCCCTAAATCACTTTCCAAAATATGCCCAGCAGTTGCTCTTCTTGGGCAGAAGTGTCAAGATGGGATGAAGGAGTGGATTCTCACTGTGAGTGGCAATTTGAAATTCCTAGAGTCACTTTGGAAGTTACATCTGATTTTTCAAGGGCACACGCTCAGGGAAACTGGCTAATTTCCCAAATGTTTTATGAAGTTCTCACATGTCGTATTCTAAAAATGTATTTTTTAATAGGCTTTAAGAAACAGGACTTGAAGACTACTAAAGCCTCTACAGAATTGGGTAGGTAGAAGCTATTATGAATGCCATGAATCCAAAAAGATCCTTAAGGTTTTTGTTAAGTTACAAAGGTGTCAGTGGAATTCATACCTTTTCGTTTTAATTTTCTAAGCAAAACCAAGACTCATATTTTTCATCCCTTAGGGAACAAGAGCCACTTCCCTATGGGTGACTTGTGAACATCAGTGGAATAATTCTGGGCTTAAAGTAGTTAATATACCTACATTGAATTTTTATCGATAAAATTTAGAATTTTTTTCCAATACCAGGACAGACTATTCTTACAGTAGTTCCATGATATGGGGATTCCAATATCTTTTTCATTTAACTAATTATAAATTGAAAGCAGAGAGAGGTAAAGTGTTTGGTGCAAACAAGATGGAGAGGAAGTAACCAATTGTTGGATTCCCATGACCTCTACTTTCATCTTTGGGGAAGTCCTTTTTATAAGGCTGTACCTCCCAGTCCCCTTCATATCCCGCCTCTTATGCCACCCACTCCCAAACCCTCGTTCATTCTATCAGTCTATTCAGCTCAGCCTCAAAAGTGCAGCTCAAAATTAATGTCCACAAAGAGATTTCTTTTAAAAATCCTCAATACTACCTATAATCAGTTTTATTAGTCAACATTTTTCTAGGACTTAGACATTTCCTTGTTATTTACTCAACATTTAGTAAAAATTTTAAATGAATTTTATTTTATCAAGTGACACACATAGTTTTACAATTTAGACATTATTGTAAAGTTTAAAACCAAAATACTATGACAATGCCCCACCCCTCTCTCCAACTCCCCATTCTTCAGTCCTGGAGGCAAACACTTATTTCTAAAATAATTTATTGAGGTGGAAACCACGTAACATAAAATTACCCATTCTTAATTATACAATTCAGTGGCATTTAGTACATTCACAACTTTGTGTAACCACCATCTCTATCTAGTTGCAAAATATTTCCATCATACTAAATTCAAATCCCCTACCTATTAAGCAATTATTCCACCACCCTCCCCCCTTCTCCCCAGGCCCTGGCAACCACCAATCTTCATTTGGTCTCTAGTATTAAACTATTCTGAACATTTCATATAAATGTAATCATACACTATATAGCCTTTTTGTTTGTTTGAGGCGGAGTCTCACTCTCTTGCCAGGCTGGAGTGCAGTGGCGCGATCTCGGCTCACTGCAACCTCCACCTCCCAGGTTCAAGAGATCCTCCTCAGCCTCCTGAGTAGCTGGGACTACAGGCATGCACCACTACTCCCAGCTAATTTTTTGTATTTTTAGTGGAGATGGGGTTTCACCATGTTGGCCAGGACGGTCTCGATCTCTTAACATTGTGATCCGCCTGCCTTGGCCTCCCAAAGTGCTGGGATTACAGGTGTGATATATATAGATATAGCCTTTTATGTCCAGCTTTTTCTTCCTTTTTATTTATTTATTTATTTATTTATTTTTGAGAAGGGGGTCTCGCTTTGTCACCCAGGCTGGAGTGCAGTGGCATGATCCTGGCTCACTGCAGCCATGACCTCCTGGACTCAAACAATCCTCCCATCTCAGCCTCCTGAGTAGCTGGGACTATAGGTGTGTGCCACCACACCTAGCTAATTTTTGTATTTTTTGTAGAGATAGCGTGTCGCTATGTTGCCCAGGCTGGTCTTGAATGCCTGGCCTCAAGTGATCTGCTCTCCTTGGCCTCTCAAAGTGTTGGGATTACAGGCATGAGCCACGGCACCCGGACTAGGCCTAGACTTCTTTCAATTAAGACGTTTTGGGGCTTCATCATACTGTAGCATGTATCAGTGCTTCATTTCTATGGCTGAACAATACTCCATTGTTTGCATATACCACATTTGTTTATCCATTCATCCACTGATGGACATTTGGACTGTTTCCACTTTTTGGTCATTGTCAATAGAGCTGCTATGAACATGTAGTGTATACATGTTATTTGTCTGAATATCTGTTTTCAATTACTTGTGGTATATGCTTAGAAGGGGAATTGCAGGGTCATATGGTAATACCATGTTTAAGGATGCTTTCTGAGGAATTGTCAAACACAAACACAGGTTTATTGTGCACATTTTATCTAACTGAATGATATTTCTTGAAAAGAAGTCTTTGTCTTTAATTATGTTTGCATTTTTCACTTTCTCCTCTCTCTCTCTCTCTCTTCTCTCTCTCTCTCCCCCTCCCTCCCTCCCTCAATCCCTCTCTCCAAGTTGTATGGCCCCAAATACACTTCTGTAGATGTTCCAAAACCTTGTATTAGGTATTTCATCTAAATAAACCTTGAGATTGCTATAAGAAAATATTGTAAAGAATATGGTCCTTTTTAACAAAGAGAAATCCTATCACTTATGTTTTTTCACTAAACAGATCTCTGTAAAAGTTTTTTTTTTTTAGTTTTTCCTTGCTTTCCAGCTCTGCAAATTTATTCCGTATCACAATAGTCTTAATTTTATCCACCCACATCCTCTTCTCCCCGATAAAGGATTTATCAGCAACTAAAACATTATGCAATTTTAAAACTGTTTTAAGCTTGTGAGGAATAACAAAGCAAACAAAAAGATTTAAACATGGAAAAAAACAAACTTGGGACACATCTTTCATTATACAATATTTCCCTCTGACACAAAATTTGCTTAATAAACAAATGGCTCTTTGGAATATTTCTGCTATTCTATAAACTACATTTAAATATTTCCAAAAAGAAACAAGGAGAAATACAAGTGTTCTTGTAAGTACTGAGATATTTAATAGATGAAGGACCATTTCAGAAGCAGTCACTTATTTTAACTACTGTGGCCCCACTTTCTATTGATGACATGCAAGGTAAAAAGAGAGGAAATTCACATATTAGGTTGGTGCAAAGGTAACTGCAGTTTTGGCCATTGGTTTTGGAACTGGCAAAAACCGCAATAACTTTTGCACCAACTTAATAGATTCCACACCTACTGAATCATAAGCTAAGTAAGCTAAAATGGAAGCAAGGAGGACTTAGACGAACCAATAGAAAAGGCTGCTCATTTTTACACTAAAATATGATTCAAGAAAATTATGTAATTGCTATAAAAATGTATTTTGGAAAGATACATCTATTTTAAAGGGATGTGTGTATAATGTTTTATGATCATTGCTATGAGGACCTGAGTCTCATTGTTAGATGAACTGAACTTTTCCTGAACAAGTGGTTTGTTTTCTGATTTTAGAAAAAGTTAATGATGTCACTGATAGTTTTTTCATCTTCGTTTTGGCTCAGAGTTCAAGTCTGAGGCTCATGTTGCCAAGGGTAGAGGATTTCTAGCATACATTTTGCATACTAATTTCATCTTAGGTTTATTGTTTTTCTTATCCCTATTTCTACTGTCATTGAATATATCTTTATTGTCTAGACTTAAATTCTATTAGGAATAATAAGAACATTCAGAAATCAATCTCCTGAACCACCCCACCTGCTACTGGACTTTTGATTTTAGAACTCCAACCTTAGGGGATGTATTTTCAGCAATGTATGTATATTCCATGTTGGGGTGACTTTAGGGTGACCTATATTATTCTGGAGAGTATGGCCAAAACTCGCCTTGTGAGTTCTCCAGTGGCAAAACTCCTACCTCATAGTGTGATAGTGATGCATAAATTAGACAATCCAGGTAGAGTTTAGCATGCTGCCTGGACTATAGTACGTGCTCAGTAATTATTAGCTCTTATTAGCAATTGCATTTTAATAAGTCCCGCTATGAGCTTAATTCAGAGCAAAAAAAAAATCTAAAAGCGGAATTCAACCTATTTCATTTAAAAATACATAAGCACAGGGGACAACCAAGTAGTTCTTAATACCAGGAAGCATTTTAAGTTCACGGAAACCTAGAGATGACAAAAAGGTGAAGACGTAAAGATAGTAAAGCAGGTAACTCTTTCAAAAAGACAGGCTGGGAAGAGAAGGGGCAAAGTAAGGCAGGGGTTTAATCTTGAAGGAGAATGTAGTTTTTGTGTGGTTAGTTGTTTAACATGGATTTCTGTGCATTTTCTTAAAATAAGTGAAATATAAATATAGACTATGACAGGCATGGGAGAGTGACAAGTATAAATAAGCCTTGTATATAAGAAGTTTAAAACATGAGAAAAATGAATAATTAGGATCCAAAAGAACAATAGATGATGACAAAGAAAAAACGTGATGTAGTAAATTGGGGTCTACTTTATAAAGCAATAATTCAAAATCTATTTGTCCAGAAAGAAATCTTTAATAAACAAAGCCACAAGAATGTTTTTTTGTTGTTACATGCATATAAATATATTTGAATATGCACAATAGAGGCTGATCTAAAAAGCTGCTCCTAGTAAGGTGGACCAGCTTTTCCATTGATTTATATCATAAAATCACACCCAGTCTTCTGTGTGTTCAGTCCAGGCTGGAGGTGGGGAAGGGAGGGAGCCTCCAGAGGGAGAAGTTGGTTGTAAATATGATACTTGGAAAGATCCAATCACTTTAATTTTATTCAAGGAAAGACAAAGCAGGTTCACACTGTAAATGCAGGTAGGTATGACTGTATATAGGAAATTTATGTCTTAATTAATAATTGGTGATTTAAAACTTTCACATATTGCATTTATTTAGCCTAAAGGATCCCCTAGAATACAGATACACACACAAACTATGCTGATGAGTTTACATATTTAAAATTACTACAAAATGTATGCATAAGAAACCAATGCAAAGGAAATTCAATGATCCAAATTAAGCCCTATATGTAAATCAGAGCTTGGTTTTAGATAGATTTAAATAAAGCTATTGTTCATTTATTTCATAAAGAGAAACTTTCCAGATGCCCTAAGCATAGTTTTGTTTCATATTGTGTGCACAACATCTATTATGTTCATATATTTTAATGACACATCCTCATCTCATGGAAGTATGTACGTAAATCTCTTGCATGCAGCGTTAGTCAGAACGCTTCCGTAAAAGCTTATTTAAGGAATAAAAGGAATAATATTGCCTTTCAAGACTGAAACATGCTATTTGTATCATTTGTGCCTCAATTTCTGCTTTCTCATCACTGTTAAGGCAAAAATTCGACCATTAACTTGCAAATTGGTGCAATGTGTTTCCCTTTAAAAGAAAACTATTTCTTTTTTAAAGATCATGGCTTTTAAAGGTCATTTTAGTGAACTGAGTAATGACATTTATCTTTTAAATAAAATGTTGTAAAAGTTAAAGTGTCATGTAAGCTTTGCTTTTCTTTCACGGGCAAGTTTAATTTTTAAAATATGGGTAATGTGATTACTTCCTTTAGAATCAGTTCTACCTAATATTTAAAAATATAATATTTGTAGATGAGAAAACAAATCTATCATTTTAACACTGAAATTCTCAAATTTACATGTTAGTCATCACTTCATGCTCATTTTAAATCTCTCTAGTACATATTTGAAACTTTACATGGTGAGTCATAAAAGAAATGTAAAATCTTATAGCTACATCAAAGAGACTCTAAAATTGATACAACTTTTACCATGAGGTCTCATCATACTCAATAGTAAAAAGGTAATAAGCCAAAATAAGTTTTACTTACATCACATATTCTAATGGAATCTCAAGCTCCTCAGAAACTATTTATGATCTAATACGCATAACTGGAATCACAGTCCTTTCATCAATTTTTTTCACTTCTTTACTTCCTTCATTGGCTTAACAAGTGTTGGGCTAAACACCAAAGGGATAAAAATGAAAAGATTTTGTCTCTTCCATCCCCCACTAGGGAAAGGTAATCATGCAAATAACAGTTGCAATGAAATAAAATAACCAAGTCAATACACAGAGCTATGGCAGCCCAGGAGAAGCTCACCATGGAGTAAGAGGAGGCTAAAGTAACTCCATCTTGAATGCTAATCCGCCATTTTGACTTCAGATTAACCCCAATCCCAGGAGTGCCTCTAATATTTCTGCCTTATTTACTGTTCCTTTTGTAAACCAGTACAATCTCGATGTTATCATCATAAACACATACTTACCATATATCCTGCCCTTTGGCAAATTATAGGCTATGATGCACATAGCGTTCTTGTCTTTCCATGAAGGGTCAACTTTAATTGTCCTGCACATTCCCTCTAGAGCTAAAGCACATATACCCTTTTTCTATGGTATATAAGCTCTGGGTCTTGGGGTAATGGTGAGGAGATCTACCTGTCTTATGACTGCCCAAGACCATGCTTCTGCCCATGAGTTCCCCAATAAACCACCCTCTATTGACAAACTGGATTTGTTTGCCCTACCCTTTGGTTTCTCAGCTCCTTTTGTATTTGGGGTTCCCTTCGCAAATATGGCCTTTTCACAAAACAGAATAGAAAAACGACCTCAAGACTTCTTGGAACAGTCACAAAGGGAGAGCAGGAAAAAAACTTTGTAGTCATCTTTAGTCCAGAGGTCAAGTGAGGAGGGAACCAAAGAAGAAGAATATTTCAGGCCAGTGGACCAGCAGGTGAAAAGGCAGGAATCTTGAGGCAGCATAGCGTATTCAGGAAAGTCCAAGTTGCAATTGATTGATTGAGGAAGGACTCTACCAAAGTCTTAGTGTCGCCCTGGCTGCAGGATATGATGGAAGCTACCCTCTGCAGAAATTTGCCCAAGTTCTCATCCTTGCTTGGCTTCTCTTCCTCCCCTGTTCTACTTTCCCTCACTTTCCAGGAGTCTATCCTGGGAGCAATTTCTTCATAAATTACTTGTGCACAAAAATTCCTCTTAGGGTTTGATTTCTGTGGAAGCTGCCCTAAGACAATGGTTAGTAAGCAAGTTATTGCAATAGTTCCAGCTGAAACATCATGAACGCTTCAGCAATATAATAACAAACAGGATAGCGGGGAAGGGGAAATATGTATTTAGAAGGTTGGTCTTAGCAACTGATTGGATATGGAGAAAAGGTAGAAGTCTAGGATATGTTCAGATCCTGAACTTGGACGACTAGCTGGCATCAATCCCTTTGCCAGGAAATATAGAAGGCAGAGAAGTTCTGGTGGAATGAAAAAAGACTAATAATTTCAGATTTGCACATATTAAAGGTGAGGTGCCTATGAAACAGCTGGATGGGGTACCTAAAATGAAAAGTGTATAAGCAAGTTTGAATTCAGAAGAAAGTTCTGAGCTAAGCAGATGTGAATTAGGTTTGAAGTCAAGGTTATAAATGAAATTGTCTAGAGGTGGAAATAGGTGATCATGAGGCATTATTTTGCTGGGGCATACAGTAATCTAAGTTGACTCTTTTTTAGGATGTCTTCAACTCCAGAATTACATCACATATTTTGGCAAAAATTAAAGTCAAACTTTATTACAGATACCAAAAAGTTTTATTGGGTGGTCTTATGTAAGGATAGCTAATAATGATATTAATATCACCATTCAAATCAACATAGGCTCCTAAGACACAAAGAAATTAAACCAAACCTTAGAAACTGACTATTTTAGAGCATAACTTCTATATTAACTGAAAATATGATGTGTAGAGTGGTCAACACAATTTAAATTATTATTCCAAAGAAGCTGTTAAACACCAAAAGGACCATGATAATATTTTCTAACATGCATTTTTAGAGAAGAACATTTTGGTCCATGATAGTCTGCCTAGGTAGAAACTGAACTAATCCATTGGAAGTAAAAAAACAAAATCTCTGATGATAAAACTGAAATGATTAGTAACTAGGAGCTGAAAGCAATAGCTCTTGATATTGGCCTTACGGTCTTAGAAATGGAGAAATAACTCAGTATGATAGTTAGCAGCAAAAAGTCAAGCAAAAACAGTGTTACCAAACCAAAACCTACTCTGAATGGGCCTGAAAAAGTCATCCTGGCTACTGAGCAGGTACGATAGCTTCAAACAGTTCTATTCAGTGGCTTCCTAGTAATCTGCAACCTGCACTCCTATTTTCTAATACCTCAATTCATCTACAACATACTCCTCCCCAGCTCTTTTCCATACTCTTAGTTCATGGCTTGAAACCTTGATCTGGCATTCTACACTTTCACCCTCTGAGACTCCACACTGAACCAAATGCCTGCAAGCCGCATTACATGTTAACAACTCCACCCCCTTGGCTGCTTCAGGTATACCAGAAGCAATTCTGTCTTCTTAAGAGGCAATTAAAACTGAAAAGAGGTAATATGAAAATCTTCTAAAAATACTTGATTGAGAGCAATAAGAAACACGGCATAGTAAATTTATTCTATTCCTGCATTATTTAATTAACTGGTATTTATAGCTATTAGTAATTAGATAACAGTGACATGTACAACTTTATCCTGTATTAAAAAGTAGAACTAATGGCATGATAACACTTGATCTTTCCCATAAACAGGTTCAAAGGCTCTATGAAAAGAAAACTCAACTGCTCCTGACATTTGCAATGAATATTAATTTGGCTTAAATTATTTGTCAAAAGCTTAAAAAAAAGTGCCCTTGAAATAAAGCAGGTTCAAAATAGATACCTGGTAAGTTATAGTTAAATTACAGCACAATCACCTAAAACGTATCCACGAATATTCAATTTCCCATCTGTCTCCTATCTTTTCTGTACTGAGTTGACTGCACTGCTCTGCAATAACTCAGAGTTTGCCAAGATGTTCATTGACTTGGCTTATAATGGTAGCCAAGTCAATGAACATCTTGGCTTGCTGCTGACTATCATACTGAGTTATTTCTCCATTTCTAAGACCATCTCCCAGTCTTGGCAAACTCTAAGTTATTGGTGAGGGGAATGCAGGTGAGGGGAGCATAGGGCTAGGGATGTAAGGAGAGATGCTTATGTTCCTCTTTCTACCTTCCACCCTCAAACTGCAGAGAAGCAAACTTCTACCATAATTTTCTCTTCACCTCTGTGCCAGGTATTTTGATACCCTGTACAGTTTGGCCCTTGACTTTTAGAGGGGTGAAGCCTAGAAACTACATTTCTTCCTTGCCTGTGGGGTCACTAGAAGAGTCCACCATTGAGAATGTCTCACATGAGATTTGGAAGGTGAAGGTCATTCTCTGACAATGTCTGCAGACAGGCAACAGAAGTGGAGTCTGGACTATAGACTTTGGCATCCTCCTGTGACTCACTTAGGGAGCATGTTTCTCTGCGATTCCCACATTTTAGATTTCCTGAAAGTGATCATATCAGGCTTCGTTTCCCATCCTTCAAGGGTTGTGTGAGCCTCTAATTCCTGGAGTTAAACTTCTCTCCACTAAGACACCTTAATTAGCTTCTGTTTCTCTCACTCGTCTTCCCCAGGAGAGGAAGGTGGTTGATTTCATCTGTTGAAGCTTGACATGAACTGGACCATGCTTTCCTGGTGAACAGGGTTACTTTGTCCTTCACTTTCTGTGATGACACCCAGAAGGTTCTCCTTTGTATCTTGTTCCCTTGTAATAAGCACATCTGTGCAGGTCCCCAAACCTTCTACAGTAATTTCCTATTGCTGCTGTAAGAAATCACACACTTACTAGCTCAAAAGAACACAAATTTACTACATTAGAGTTCTATAGGTCAGAAATCTCAATGGACCAAAACCACGCTGTCTGCCAAGAGACTCTAGTTTCTTGCCTGTTCTGTCTCCTGGAGGCTGCTCAAATTCCTTGGCCTGTGGATCACTTTGACCTCTGCTTACATCATCACATCTTCTGTGACCCTCTTGCCTCCCTCTTGTAAGGACCCTTGTGATTATATTGGCTCACCTAGATAATCAAAGGCATTGATCAACCCCATCTCAAGATTCTTAATAGAATCCCATCTGCAAAGTCTCTTTTGCTTTCGGAGGTAAAATAGCCACAGCTTTTAGGAATTAGAATGTGGACATCTTCTGGGGTTAAGGGAACATCATTCCACCTATAATGTCTTCTTTCTGGAACCAACCTGCCAGCCTCATCCATATTCAAGCACACGGTATTGGGGATGGCCCAGAAGATCTGGTGCCTCACTCCTTCTGTATGCACATCTGAGCTTGTGGTGCTCACATCTAGATAAAGAGTAAGAGTCAATAGTCTCACTTTTGATGAAGCCTAAAGCAAATATTTTAATATAGATTTTACAAGGATGTGCACAGAGGACTCTACAAAGCAAAATCACTCTTTTCATTTTCTATCTGGCTAGCAATCTTGCTTCATTGGTTTGCTTTATTGATCAGACCCTAGAGAATAAGAAGGATAGATGGTGACCCGGTTCCCTATACTCATTGTACCCATTCCATAGGTATTTGATGAGCTACCTGGAGATTATTTTGTAATGGCATTTGTTTCTGATGTATCTATTCTGCAATTCAGATTTTGATAAAACAAATTTTTCAAAATCAAGGCACAGCTATATAAATCTTTATTTGAGTAAAAGTTCAACACAACTTGAACTGTCTCCAAAATATAATGAATTTTCCAAAAATACTTTCAACACTTGACACCAAATAGAACACCCACTATGTTTCAACTTTGTATCAGCATAGAACAAAATGCTTTGTAAATTGCTTATCAATAAGGCTACTCTGTTTCTCAGATTGGATGAACAAGTATGCACTATATTCTTTCCATTGTTACAGTTTCTTGAGCCAATACAATCTTCATTATCTACAAAGTCATCTTCAAGACCTTCATAACTGAAGATTTAAATCAATATCAGATGCAGAAGTGTCCTTGGTGACAACAGAGCAACTGTGTTAAAGAGTATAATACCTGCCAGAATGGGAGCTTCTTCAACTGTTTAACTGAGAACAGCATTATTTGATTAGAACACACCAAAGGATTAATGGAAAATTTTAAACTATGTGATGGTAAAGCCAGAAATTACACTGGCCTGAATTGTAATGCAGCTCAGGGACTCCTCGGCCTAGAAAAAGTGCAGTCTGCATAAGGTAACAGAAGGCCCCGTCCCACACCTGCCACTCTATTTTCTCAGTTATTCTCTGAGTCATCCCTTCATTCATTCATGTTCTTTAGTCATTCATTCACTCACTTTGCATCCGTTATCCATCCAACACTGGAATATGAAAGTAAGTAACACACAGTTCCTACCTTCAATTTGCTCACTCTCAACCAGAGAAGAAAATCAGATAATTAACTCTTCACATAATAGGGAAAGTGCGACATAACAGAGTTGTGTTGAAAGCAAGAGAAAATCAGTAATGCTGCCCAGAGAGCTCCCAGCTAGTGACAACATGGCACAATGGCTAAGCTTTCAGACTGTGGGCCCCAACTGCCTGTGACCTTGGGTGAGTTACTTCATCTCTCTAGGCTTTGTATCTCCGAGTTAAACAGAAAAAATGATAACAGTTTAGGTGTAATAAGGACCATACAGGCATAGTAAAAAGGGTTAGATGAGCATAATTAATGCCATATAATTGTGTATAAACACAAGTCTTCATAGTTTCATAGTAAAGCTTAATATCTGAGGAAGGCTTTGAAGAATAGGTAACCATTTTTCCATTAGGAAAGAAGGAGGGGCATTCGGATGAAAGGAAGTTTCTATTTCTTTATTTTTTTTTTTTCTTTTTTGGAGACAGGGTATTGCTTTGTCACTCATGCTGAAGTGCAGTGGCATGCTCTCTGCACACTGCAGCCTCATCCTCCTGGGCTCAAGGAATCCTCCCACCTTAGCCTCCTGAGTACCTGGGACCACAGGTGTGTAACCACCGTGCCTGGCTAATTTTTAAAAAACTATTTTATAAAGACGAGGTCTTGCTATCTTGCCCAGGCTGGTCTTAAACACCTAGACTCAAGTGATCCGCCCACCTCGGCCTCCCAAAGTGCTGGGATTACCAGTGTGAGCCACCGCACCCACCTGAAAGTTTTTATTTCTTGGAGAATTTTCCTCCACTACTGCTATAGCCGAATACCTGAGAGGAGATATCCAAAGTGTCAAGTGGCCGCAGGCTGGTGGGGCAACGGCCAGTCAAAACATCTGGAGGGTAAGCCATGAACACCGCAACAGAAAACTTTATACTTTTCCAGAGCTTCAGAAAGAGCCAACACATCTGCTTCTAGAATAACCCAACTGCCTAGAGGAGGATCCACACTGCCCTTTTTCTCCAGCCTAGGCATAGCCACCTTCCTCTTGGAATTCTTACAAATGCCTTAAAGGTGATGTGGAAGTCCTGGCAATCTGAACTCCAAAACAAAGCTCTAGTCTGTCCACTTCTCACCACTTCACCTTCCACAGACTCCTACCTCAACTCTCCACCTCTGTCTGGCCCCATTAATCCATTCTCCATGAACTAGGAAGAGTCATCTTCTTCATCCATATATGTTTTTTGCATTAGTCCCCCTTTAAAACGCCTCATACCATCCTTAGAATAAATCTGCACTCCTCTTTGAGGAGTTAAGGCCCTGCCTAACTTTTCCACTGCATTTCTCACCATCTTCTGTTCACTCACCTTGTTCCAACCACAGTGGCCTTCCGCAAGGACTGCCTCAAGGCCTGTACATATTGGGCCTCCTCTACTTGGCATCTTGCCCTCTCTCTTCCTGTCCTTCAGAGCTCAGCTTGGGGAAGAGTGAGGGTCAGAGGAAAGAGCACTCAAAAGGAAGCCAGGAAGCTGAGGCTCCCTCTCTGGCTCTGCCACCTCAAGCTCTGTGAGCCAGGATGTCACCCAGTGCTTCTGAGCCTCAGGGCATCCACCTGTAAAATTAGGGGATTGGACCAGACAGATGTGTGTACCCTCCTTCTGCTGCTGTTCAATAAACTTAACCCTGTAATAGGGTTTGGCTATGAGCACACCCAAATCTCATCTTGAATTGCAGCTCCCATAATTCCCACATGTTGTGGGAGGGACCTGGTAGGAGATAATGGAATCACGGAGGTGGTTTCCCCCATACTGTTCTCGTGGTAGTGAATAAGTAAGTCCCATGAGATCTGATTTTATAGGGGAAGCCCCTTTCACTTGGCTCTCATTCTCTCTTGTCTGCTGCCATGTAAGAGGTACCTTTTGTCTTCTGCCATGATTGTGAGGCCTCCCCAGCCACATTGAACTGTAAGTCCATTAAACTTATTTTTCTTTATAAATTATCCAGTCTCAGGTATGTCTTTATCAGCAGCATGAAAATGGACTAATACACCCTGCTTTTCTCCCTTCCTTCCCTCTGTGACCAGCCTTTTGAAAGCAATTTTCAAATCCTTCATTCAATTCCATTTCTCTCTTGCCTCCACTTTGAGTCTCAAAAATGTAAAGAACTGGAATGGAAAGAGCAGAAATCGTGAATGACATTTCCTTCTTGAAGGAAAACCTGAAACCAAAATAAAACTGGTGAATCCAGACAAGGACATTTTAATTTTTGCCTTTAAAAAAATTTTTATTTTAGAGATTTAGGAGGTACAAATGCAGTTTTCTTACAAGGATATATTGTGTAGTGGTAAAGTCCGGACTTTCAGTGGACACATCTCCCAAATAGTGAACATTGTATCTAACAGGTAATTTTTCAACCCTCACACCCTCCCATTTTCTCACCTTTTGGAGCCTCCAGTGTCTACTATTCCACCCTGTATGTGGCCATTGTTTCGCTCCCACTTATAAGTGTAGTATTTGACTTTCTGTTTCTGGGTTATTTCATTTAGGCAATGGCCCCCAGTTCTTCAGAAACAGACATTTTAAAAGTGAAAACACACTGCTCTGAGGATAATGACATGGGCCTATCACCAGACTTCCAGGCCGCAGGTAGCCTGGTTCTTTTTACTTTCTCCTTCCCATTATTTCCCTTCCTCCTGCTCTCTGTGTTCCCCCAGCACTGGCCTTCCTTCACTTCTTCCTAAAGCAGGGCCTTGGGGTATGTTATTCCCACCGCCAGAACACCAGACCAAACCCCTATATTATATGCTCTCACAGCACCAGGAATCTTCCCTTCATCATACAAATCATAGCTGTAATTTTACATTTAGTTTGTAATTATTCTATTGTGTCTTCCTACCCCTTTAACCTATATGTTCTCATAGGACAGGAGTCAGGTCTATTTAAACTTTTTGGTAATAAGTTTACTTCTTATTAGATAGCAGCTGGTGATCAATAAATATTCTGAATGAATATGTGTATAAAAAGAACAGAACAGGACACATTCTTTACATAGGATATACCCAATAACAGGTCCCCGCCTGGTGTCCATGTGGCAGCCAAGAATCTTTGGCCCACTATAGAATCTATTTAGGGTTTTCCTCCCCTCTTCCATACTGCTGACTGGAACTCACTATCAGCCCTAGACTTCCTTCTCTTCCCTTCATCTTACATGTCCCAAAAGTGCCTGAACAGCAGTGTTAAGAATGAAAAATAGAAGGAGAAAGTCACTTTTATCCTGACACTCAAACCAGACAAAAATATCACAAGAAAATTACAGACCAATATCTCTTATGAATATAGACAAAAATTCTCAACAAACTAAGTCCAGCAACATATGAAAAGGATTGTACAACATAATCAAGTAGAATTTATCCCAAGAATGCAAGGTTGGTTTAGTATCAAAAATTAGTTAATATGTAATATTAATATAATAAAGAATAAAAATCAAATAATCATCTTAATGGATACAGAAAAAGCATTTCAAAAAATCCAATACCATTTCATGATAGAAACACTCAACAAAGTAGGAAGAGAAAGAGAACTTCCTCAACCTGATAAAGTGTATTTGTGGAAAACCTACAGCTAGCATTATACTTAATGGTGAAAGACTGGGTGCTTTTACTTCTAAGATCCAGAACAAGACAAGGATGTCCACCTGTGCTACTTCTGTTTAACATTGTATTACAGGACCTAGCGAGGACAATTAGGCAAGGAAGTAAAAAAGGGAGGGAGGTAGAAAAACACATCTAGATTAGAAAGAAATAAATAAAACTGTCTATTCACAGATGACATGATCATGCATAGAGAAAATCCTTTAAAAATCTACCAAAAAGCTATTAAAACAAATAAATTTGTTTAGCAAGGTTGCAGAGCACAAGACCAATATAAAAAAAAGCAATTGTGTTTTCATATACTAGCAATGAACAATTCAAAAATCAAATTAAGCAAACAATTCCATTTACAACAACATTTAAAATAAAATACTTAAAAATCAATTTAACAAAATTTATGTAAAATGTATACTCTTAAAACTATGCAACAATGTTGAAAAAAATTAAGACCTTAATAAATGGAAAGCCATACCATGCTCATGTATCAAATGAATTGATATTGTTAAGATGACATTACTTCCCAAATTGATCTATAGACTAAACACCATTCCTACCACAACCCCAGCTGGCGCTGTCTCTCTGTTTATTTTTTTCTTTTTCACAGAAATTGATAAGCAGGCCCTAAAATGTATGTGGAAACTCAAGTACTGAGATAGCCAAAACAATCTTAAAAAATAAGAACAAAGTTGAATAACTCACAATTTCCAATTTAAAAACTTATTTCAAAGCTACAGTATCCAAGATAATGTGGTACTGGCATAAAAATGAACATACAGATCAATAAAATAACATTAAGACCCCATAAATAAACCCTCACATTTATGGTCAATTGATTTCAACAAGGCTGTCAAGAAAATTTGATTACTTTTCACAAATGTTGCTGGGACAATTGAATATCCACATGCATAAAAATAAAGTTGAATCCCTTCCTCACACCATATACAAAAATCTTTACTTAAAATAAAATGTAGACAAATTAAGAGAGCTAAAATTACAAAACTTTTAGAAGAAAACACAGGAATAAATCTTAATGAATCTGCATTTGTTGCACAAGCAACAAAAGAAAAAAAACAGATAATTGTACTTCATCAACATATTAAAACTTTTGTGTTGCAAAATAAACCATCAGGAAACTGAAAAGAAAACCTACAGGAAGAGAGAAAATATTTGCAAGAAACTTGTACCTAAAATAAAGAACACTTAACAACTCACTCAATAATAAAAAGACAAACCAATTTAAAAGTTGACAATGAATTTGAATAGACATTTCTCCAAAGAAGATATGCAAATGTCCAATAAGCACATGAAAAGATACCTAACCTCATTAGTCATTAGCGAAATGCAAGTCAAAACCACAAGATACCATTTCAAATCCAGAAAGATGACTATCCTCAAAAAAAGAGTTAAGTATTGGCAAAGATGTGAGGAAAATGGAACCCTCATATTGACAGCAAGAATGTAAGATGATGCAGCTGCTCTGGAAACCAGTTTGACAGTTCTTTAAAATGCTAAACATAGTTATCATATCACCCAATAACTCCACTACTAGGGGTCTATCCAGGAGAAATACAGACATATACCCATAAAAAGACTTGTATTTTAGTCTTTATAGCAGCATTATTCATAATAGCCAAACATTGGAAGCAACCTAGATGTCCATAAACTGATAAATGGACAATAAAATGTGGTATATCCATACAATGAACTTTTATTTGGCAATAAAAAGAAAGGAATTAATGACACATGCAACAACACAGATGAACAGTTAAAACATTACGCAGAGTGAAAGAAGCCAATCACAAAAGGATAAATACTGTTATGATTCCATATACATGAAATGTCCAAAATCAGCAAATCCATAGAAACAGAAAGTAGATGAGCAGTTTTCAGGGGCTGACAGGCTGGAAGGTAAGAAGGGAACCGCAACTACTGGGTAGGGGAGTTTCTTTTAGGGGAGATGAAAATGTTCCAAAATTAGATAGTGGTGGTAGTTGCATGACCTTATAAATTTGTTTTTAAAAATGCAACTATACTCTTTAAATGGATGAATTGTACACTATAAGAATTATATCTCAATAAAGCTGTTTTTTAAAAAAGAAAGGAAAGAAAAAAAGAAGCCCTGGGGTCATATTTCTCCTTATTTACCACTGAGCTCACTATATATATATATATATATATATATATATATATATATATACACACACACACACACACACACACACATACACACACACATACATGCATATATGTGTATGTGTGTGCATAATACAAAGTACATACACACATATATATTGTGTATATATATATAGTATATTGTATATATTACACCAGTCCTCGGTTTCCAAAGACCCACCCTGATGTTCTATTCCAAGGATCAGCAAATGAAGATCCACAAACCCAATCTAACTCTCAACCTGTTTTTGTTTTTGTATTGCTCTTTGGCAATACAAAAACAAAAATGCAGTTTTTACATTTTCAAAGGACTTTTTAAAAAATAAAAAAGAGTATGTGACAAAAATCAGTGCGGACTGCAAAGTCTAAAATATGTTTGCTCTCTGGGCCTTTATACAACAAGTTTGCTGACCCCCTGATCTATACCTTTTATTTTCTCTACATTTACCAAGAAGAAAAGGGGAGGAGGAGGAGGAGAAAGAATAAGAGGAAAACATACCCTTTCTTTTACATCATTGTTAGCCGTGAAAACAGTGCAGTATGGGGACCAGTTTGTACATATTCACGAGAGCCAACTGTTAAGTTTTTAAGACTTTTTAAGTCAGTTGATGTCATGTTGTAATTGGCCACAGCAGAAATATTTACGATACAGAAATTGGCAAACAGTTCAAATCAGGGCTTTTTTCCCCCTGCAGAGAGCCAGCGTATCTCAAATAAAAACCTTCCGAAAATCTTGTCGTCTTTGTACTTTTCAGAAATCAGAGAACAGGGAAGAAACCTACAATCAGATTTTTAGTCCACAGGGAATTTGCAGATGGGACGCCATGGTATAAAGCTAGGTGCAGATCAGGAAGTACATAGGGCAATGTCCCGTTCTTGCAAAGAAAAGAAACTTCAGACTCAAAGTGTCTCTCTGATCCTCCCTCCACCACTCCCACACTGCACTTTCTTTGCTGGGACATCTCTCTGCTCTATACATATAGGTGACCGCCAGGAGGGTCTCCACTCCCGATCTCTGGAGACTGCTGAGAAGGAGAAGCGCCCAGCCCACATGCCAGGACTATAGCAGGTGAAAACAAGTTCCTGGCATTAACCAGGGCATGGAGGGAAGATGTTCTAATCGCCACTAGGGGGAGGGCTGGTCACACTTTGCATCAAGGAGCCCGAGGGACCAGAATACAGAGGGCAAAAAAAGGCAACCAGAAGCGCTTTGGGAGGCCGAGGCGGGCGGATCACAAGGTCAGGAGATCCAGACCATCTTGGCTAACACGGTGAAACCCCGTCTCTACTAAAAATACAAAAAATTACCGGGCGAGGTGGCATGCACCTGTAGTCCCAGCTACTCCGGAGGCTACATTTTATTAACTTAATATTATTTATGTTAATTTTTAAGTAGCAAATAAAGTGGATTCGATATTGTCTGTTCAGTAGAGTGATTATATAAGTATGTTTTATATATGTATCATACACAACAAAATACAATATATTTGTGTGTGTGTGTGTGTGTGTGTGTGTGTGTGTGTGTGTGTGTATTCTCCTGTTCTGTTAAGTAAACTAGCAAGGAGTCAAGGAAGAGATTACTTACAAAAATGCCCAACCTGAATCTTCATGGTGTAACATGATGGCAATTAAGATTTTATTAATTACAAATTAAGACTCATTTTCCCATATGAAAAAGCAAACTATAGTATTATTTTTGAATGCTCAGCCATAAATTAAATAGGTTTCCCCAAGGCAGCTGGAAACCTACATTCCACATATAATGTTGTTTCTATTAGAAAATACTTCCCAACAACCTACTTATGAAGAGTGTTCAGAATAAAATGTGTTTATGAACTAGGCAAAAGAAAAAATAATGTGTACCCCTTAGAAAGTCACTCCCTCTTTCATTTCATTGTCTCATTGTATGATTATAACTGGAGTCCAAATTCCTCCCACCCACCCCAAGTTCTCTGTTCACTTCTCTTCTCTCCCTCTTCCCTAAAGAACTGTACTGTCTGCATCTCTTTTACAGTTACAATAAAATGAATTTCTCATAGATATGCTGCACTTTAAGGTTGTTGGCCCCATTTTTGCTGCTGTAGTAACTTTTCCTGGCTCCAGAAAAGCCACTGTAATCTAATGGAAATTGGACAAGGTCATGGAGCAGGCTAAGAAAAGACCTGGTAACCTACAAGTACTAAACCCAAGGCTCTCTTTCTATTTCTAGCATGAAAAATGGGCACAACATGACATTTTTCTCTGGTAAAGCAAAACCATTGTAAACACTCAGGACTGAAGGTGCTATTTGTGGAGTCAACTTCTAAAATTTGACTGCTTTGAGCTAGTAGGAATTACGATCTGTATAGTATGCTAATTTATACATAAATGTAATAAGGTACTAAACTTTAACACGTACACGCAATATCTGCTCACAATGTCCTGGTAAAGCTGTGAAAATATCCTATCAACCCAGACAACAGGGCATTTAAACAGCTACAGGCTATTATTAAGCAAGTAAGAAGTATTTATTTAGGCTATTTATACAGGCTATTACTAGCCCTAGGGAGGGCTTTACAGGGGTCATTTTATTATTAGTTTTTGTTGTTCATGTAATGCTTCATTGGTTAATTGATACGACCTCATAACTCCTCCAGCTAAACTTTGCTGGTTCAGGAGGCCATCAGTGAGAACAGCTATGTTAAGACCAGCAAGAGGCAAACCCAAAAGTGAGAGACAGGAAAGTTGTGAAAAACCAAGACAGGTGGCCAACCCATTTGAGGACGACTTGCATGGACATGAGAGAATGTGGCTCTCTCACCCTGAGGATGAAAGGCACAACCGCAACCTTCCAGCATCCCTAAGACAGAAAGTATTTCACGGAAAGGATTATGCCATATCTTGGAGAGATAAATGCATTTATTTCCTACTTATCTTCAGCAGCAGATGTAAACAGCCATTGGGACTTCTTCAAAGTCATTTCCAAAAATAGTATTAGGGATTCTAGAAGAGTTCTGCCTCTGACCACAATTCTGGCCAGAAGAGGGACTAAAAGGCCAGGAGAACTGAGATGACACCATAATAATAATGTCTTATACTAAATAAACATGTACCAAGTGCCAGACGCTGTGCTAAACACTCAATGTGCATGGTTTCATTTAATCATAACAAGACTCTATGATATAGGTACTATTTTATTCCCATTTATTTATTCAAGAAATATTTACAGACTACCTTCTATGTGGCAGGAATTGTTCTAGCCACTAGGGATTCAGAAATGAGCAAAACAGAAAAAAAAAATCTCTTCCTTTATGGAGTTTACCTTCTAGTAGGGGAGAGAAACAAAAGATGGAAGTGAATCAAATGTATGGAATTTCTTATAGCCAAAGAGCTAAAAGGGAAATTAGTGCAAAAAAGGATAGAAAGTTAGATGGATGTAATTTAAAATAGTGTAGCCAAGAAAGACCTTATTGAAAAGATGAACTTGAGAAAACATTTGAAGGAAGTGGAGAAGTCAAGCAGGTTATCTGGAGAAGTTCAAAGATAAGTTCAAAGTTACTTAGATGACAGCAAGTGTGGTGTGTTATTGGAACAGGAAGATGGCAATGTGGTGGAAGCATGGTGATTAAAGAGGGAAGTTGTAGAGAAATCAGAAAGTCAGAGCAGGTAGATCATGTAGAATCTTATTTGTAATTGTAAGGGCTTTTTTTTTTTTACTATGAGAGAAATGGGAAAATATTATAAAATTTAAGCAGAGGAGTCACATTATTTGCCTTATGTGTTAGTAGTATTGCTGTGGCTGTGTATGGAATCTAGACTTTGGGGGTGGTACAAGGATGGAAGCAGAGAGAGGTTGGGAAGTCACTGCAATAATTCAGGGATATGACTGCAGCTTGGTCTCGGCTGCCAGGAAGGGATGTGGTGATAACTGGTCAGATTGGGATTACATAATGAAGGCCTAGCTGCAGGATTGGTTAATGGGTTGAATGCTTTCTGTAAGAGGATGACTCCGAGGTTTTTGGCTCAAGTAATGACAAAAATGGGGCTGCCACTTACTGAGAGAAGGAATAAGTGAGAGAAGCAGGGAGCAGGCATATTAGGGTCACGTCTATCCATAAAGTAATGTTAGCAAAGGAAACAGTACTTCACAGTTAGAATCTTTAGAAGGCTGTGGCTCTCATGATTAAGATTCCAGTTCTATCTAAGTGATGCATACTTCACTCACTCATTCTTTTATTCATTTACTCCTTTATTCAACAAATTTTCATCAAGTGTCCATTGTGTGCCAAACAGTATGCTAGGTCTTAGACCTGTAGTGAGCAAGAAACACTTGGTTCCTTCCCTTCTTAAAACTTACGATCTGGAGGAAAAGCAATTATATTAAGCTATAAAACAAAACAAATAAAAAATTATTAATAAAGAAAGCAATGGCTGGGCACAGTGGCTCATGCCTGTAATCCCAGCACTTTGGGAGGCCAAGGTGTGAGGATCACTTGAGCCCAAGAGTTCGAGGCTGCAGTGAGCTATGATTGAAATGGTGCACTCCAGCCTGGGTGACAAAGAGAAACCCAGTCTCTAAAAAAAAGGAAAAGAAAAAGAAAGGGAAGTATTGGACAACTTCAGTAATTTGCCCATAGTTGCATAGGTGGGGAGAGACAGGGTTGGAACTTGACACAGGTGCCTCCTTCCAGAGTCCACATGCTCACTTTATGGAGTGATCAGATGCAAGCACCATCCAATGGAGAAGAGAGCACAAGCAGTCAAAAGGAGCACCAATACCACCCAGGAGATCCTGACCATGGCTGTGTCATGAAAACTACAGAACGTTTTCTGGGCCCAAGTTCCCTCATCTCTAAAATGAACCAGATGGTCTTCGCAGTCCCTTCTGTGTCTGAAACTGTGATTCTTTGATGTACATTGGTGTCCACATGTAGGAAAGAAGATGTGGGGAACACCCAGTCCAAGCTTCACTGACTTCACAGCTCTGCCTAGGACCAGGCCCGTGTCTGAAACTGGGAGCCACAGGACCCCAACCAAGTCCTTTGCTGCCCTGTCCTCAGAAGGACCTGATCAGGCAGAAGGAGCAGTGAAAGTAGGGGGTTGGCATGGGAGACCGCTCTCAGAGATGGGAGCAACTGGACGGTGTGAGCCAGAGAGAATGAGAGAAAAGACAAATTCAAGGATAGCAGACCCAGCCAGGTGCAGTGGCTCATGCCTGTAAGCCCAGCACTTTGGGAGTCTGAGGCAGGAGGCTGTGCCTACAAAAAGTAGCCAGGCACGGTGGTGTACACTTGCAGTCCTAGCTACTTGGGAGGCTGAGATCGGAGGATTGCTTGAGCCCAGGAGGTTGAGGCTACAGTAAGCAGAGATCATGCCACTGTACTCTAGCTTGGACGATAGAGCAAGACCCTGTCTCAAAAAGGAAAAAAAAATAGGATAGCCGATCCGTTAGACTGCCCCTGGATTTAGGTATCCTGAATGTGTGATTTTTCTCTTAAGCCTACGGTCGACAACATAAGGGACTCATGCATTTGAGTGTGATCCTGGGAAATGCAGACCCTTCACTATTTTGGCTCCAGTTTTCTCATCTGCAAAATGAGGCCAGATATTTTCTAAACTCGGTAATCTACGACCCCACATTCCTATAACCTCAGCATTTCTGTCCCTTAACTAAATTTCCAAAATAAACTTCTGCCTCCTAGAGTGTGCTTCTTGCCAAATTTCAAGACTCACTCAAATTGTCATTTGATCTAACAGTGCAGTTCTGGAAATAATCCAAATCAAAGATCTACCACAGAAGAAACATCTCAATGTTTGGTTAAAGAATTCCAACATTTAGCTACCATTTTTAGTATTTCTTTACATTTACTTCTACAATATAAATTTTAAGCCACCATAAATTATCCACAATCACAATACTCTTCCTAGAGCTCTGATGTCTTAAATATCTGCAAGATACTCAATAATGGAAAATATACTATTTTTTTCCTATTCACAAATTACAAATTGCTTCTCAGTGTTGGTATACTAAATTAATGACATTAACTACAGAATACAAAGCCCCAAACAAAGCAATGCTCTACATCAACATATTTTGATTTTCAGTGCCTAATTAAATCATGTAATTACAATAATCTCATTTTGTAAGTAGAGAAAATAAAATTTACAAATATTCTACAAATTGCCCCAAATCACATAGCACTGAAAAGTTTCCAAAAACTAAAACCAGTATTAATGCCTATAAACTCTTGACTCAAATTACTGAGTTATAATTATCATTGATAAACACTGAAAAAGGAGTGCAAAAGTAAGTAGTTTTGTTGTACACTTTTTTTTTTTTTTGAGACAGGGTCTCACTTTGTCAACCAGGCTGGAGTGCAGTGGCACGATCTCAGCTCACTGCAGCCTTGACCTCCTGGGCTCAAGCGATCTTCCCACCTCAGCTTGCCAAGTAGCTGGGATCACAGGTGCACATCACCATGCCAGCTAATTTTTTTTTTTTTTGTATTTTTAGTAGAGACAAGTTTTGCCATGTTGCCTAAGCTGGTCTTAAACTCCAGAGCTCAAGCGATCTGCCCACCTCAGCATCCCACAGTGCTAGGATTACAGGAGTGAGCCACTGTGACTGGCCTTGTTGTGCACTTTTAAAAAACTATGAAGCCTTAGTTTTCTGAAATAATGAATAATGAAACTAAATTTGGCAGGGGGTGGAGGGGGATGGAATCCTTATTACTCACCTTGGAATTTATCACCTTCTACCGTACTGCAATAGTAACTTGGGCTCAATTAATAAAACCAAGGAAAGTCTTCCATATATGTGTTTAATCTTCACTAGTAAAATCAATATATGCATATTTTAATGAGGTTTAAATGAAGTACGTTTAAAGCACAAGGGTATAAATTCATACATTAGTAGCAAAATATTATTAGATACGTGAAGGAATTCTTATAATCCTAAAGTATTTTTCACCCATCTGCCTCACTACCTAGACACATTCCAATCATCTTATTATCAACACAGCCACATGAGAAGGGTATTGTGATCTCTGCATGGTAAGTTAACAGAGACTCTGCTCTAAAAATGGCATTTACAATCTAAGTGTTCAGAGATGCACGTATTTCATAGAGAACGGAGATGGGTGCTGGTAATTTCCATTGCATAAAGATAGAAAACAAACACTTGTTTAAGGATATACACTTTCGAACGTTCATGAACCTTATTTTCTCTTCCCTCTTGCCTTCTCCAATTCCCTTTATTTCAGTCTCTTCTTGACATGTTCCCCTAGCATGACAGTTTTCGTTAGGTTACTTTTAACTATGCATAATTCATGCATTCATTTATTCATTTAACAGTACTTGCTGATGACCTACTATGTGCAGGTGCAGTGGTGGTCTCTGGGAATCAAAGATGAATGACAGTATCCCGCCTTCAAGGAGGATACCGTCTTGCAAATATTTGTCCATACACTTAATGGGCTGCGAGTGTGAGTCATTGTGGTTAAAACCAGGTAGCACCTGCCCTTCCCTGTAGAGCAAGCATCTTCACCTTCTTTCCAAACCACTTCTAGCACAGACTGTAAGCTCCCAAAGTGCTGAGACCACACATGAATCATCTCTGTTGCAGGAGCATCTAGCACAATGTCTGGCACATACATAGTTGGGCCCCATAAAGTGTATGGGAGGGATGGAGTGAAATTGGGTGACCAGGATGCATTACAAATGACTTTTGTCTTCAACTCAATTGAATCAGTTTTTAATTAACTATCTCCCTCTCTCTCCGAAGTGTAGACTTGGTATCAGAAGCTAAGTGGGATTTCCATTCCCGAAGCACAGAAACTCCTACTCTCGGAGAAGATGCCTTAGCCACTTTCCTAGGATCGTTTCATCAAATTTAATATCAAATTCCTGAGAACCCTCCCCAGGTGAGAGCAGGGTAGGCGAGCTGGCCCACGCCGTCCTCGCCTGCCCTCTGCAGGGCTCTGACCCTAGGACGAGGGCAGATTCCAAGAACTTTTTTCCCCTATGAGAAGTAGGGTCAGTTAAAGAAGAAAACCTCCTTGGGAGAATCCCATTAGGAAGGAGAGAGCCCAAAAGAGCTAAACATGCCCCCGAAAAGAAGTGAGCAGAATGTCGAGGGTCTCGAGGGTCTCTTTTGAACAGACAGGGTCTCGCCCGCCCTCGAAGCAGCTCAGGACAGTCCGGGGTCTCGGAGGACCCGCAGCGGCGCGGGGAGAGCGGCGAGCGGGGAGGGCAGCCAGCCGGAAGGCCGGCCGCTGTGGGGGTCACCCTGCTCCCGGGCGCTGTCGCCCTCCGCGAAACCTCCCGATGACAAGAATTAATGACCAGCTTCCAAAGGCGCCCAACATCAACCGTAGCGACCCTAAGCGTCACATTCGCCTCCTGCCTCGACCTCTGCCGCCTCCGGAGAGTCTGGAGCGTCTCAGAAGACCCAAACCTCCCACTCCGAACCCCCAGCTCCAAACTCCCCAGTGTCCCCACCCTCCAGCCCGTCTCGGGGCCGGTTCTCTCTCTCCTTGCCCCTGTCTTCCAGCCATCAGAAAGAGCAATGCCCTCTTCGCAGCCCCGAGTGAAAAACGAGGCAACATCCTAGTCGCACCTATATAAGCCCCTGGCTCGCCACTCCAGGGGGGCACGCCAAGGTCACCAGGATAGGTGTGACTGCCTCCACCTTCACTCTCCCCACATCCTTCCCTTTCTGAGATCCCCGGGGTCCGGTTCCTCTCCAGTCCCTCCTCCCAGTTGGGGGTCTTCTCCTTTTGGCACCCCATCACCGCACCGGGACCCCTCCCGGCCTGGCCCTCCTGGGGGGGTCCTTGCCCTCTCTCGAAACGCTCACTTGCTCTCCCGCGCAAGGCTCCCTTGTAAGTCTCCCCTCGGTTTCCTTATCCAAGGAGGGGAGATGTGCCTCCCACTCGCGCTGGGGGAGCGGCGGGGCAACCGACGCAAACTTCTGCTGCACTTACTTCGGGCCGAGGCTGCCGCCCCCTCGCCTCTCCTCGCTCTCCCACTGGCAGCTGCTCCGCGGAGACCTGGAGCCACCTCGCTCTCATGCCCCACACCAGCGCAGCTGCGAAATGCGCAAGAGGGGGAAGGGGTATCTCCCGGGCGAGCGTGCCGGGGGCCCGAGTCTGGGGCCGAGGTTCGGCCGCCGCTCGCGGCTGCCAGCCGAGTGGTGGCCTCTTCTGGCAGCCCGGGGATGCTGCGCAGGGCGCTGCGCGCCCTGCTCCTCCGCCGGGTCGTTTCTGCCCGACTTGCAGTTTCAGGGCATGCCAGGACTGCAGCACCCTCTCCGTCCTCCCCCGGAAACGACTTTCAATTCACCTGGAGGCTCTCGAGGCTCCCCCGCGGGCGGGTAGCGTGACAGTGGGTGCAGAGGAGAGGGAGGAGCGCGGGAACGGCGGCGGCCCCAGTGCGCCTCCCGCTTGCTTGGCGAGAAGCGCGCAGCCCTCTCCAGCCGCTCTCTTCTGGACTGCAGTCCTGACGTCACCCCCACCACCCCCCACCCCGCGGAGGAGCGGCGCGGAGGGTGGGGTGCAGGGAGTGAGGACGCGCGAGTGTGAGCTGGAGTGTAAGCGCGTGCGTGTGCACGCGCGCGTGTGCCCTGCAGGGCTGGGGACGGATGGGAACCGCGTCTGGATCCTGTGAGGAGCCAGAGCTCGCTCCCTGCAAACGGGCGCCGAGGGGCTGCCGCGAGCAGCCGGGGGCGCTCGCTTCCAGGTCGGGGCGGGGATACCAGGGAAGCAGAGTTTGGAGGCGACCGCAGGAAAAGGAAGAAGGCAGTACGGGTAGTTGGAGAGCGGGAGTTGGGCATTCTCTTTCCCCAAAGTTGGAGGCTGCACAGGATGCCTTTAAAAAGCTGCGCTAGAGGTTTAGGGGGGAAGAGTGGGATAGACGGTGTGGGAGAGTTGGTTTCCACGCTCCTGTAGGAGGGAGTTCGGCTTGGGGAAGAAGAGCTCAGAGTCCTTTCAACCTCCACCCCCGCGGCAGGTTCCAGCAAGGCAGCCAGCTTCGGTGCGCCAAGGGCGCCTCTAGCCTACTCGAAGCAAATCTCCAGCCCGGGGCCCCTGTCTACTAAGTTCCTGCAAAGAGATCAAAGGGGCCAGCCTTTTCCACCTGAGTCCCCTCCCTGCGTGAACCTCCGCCAGAAGCTGGGCGAAAGCACTCCGAACAAGCGAAAGGGGTCAAGGCCGAGGCTGGATTCCAGATGCAAGAGGGCCCCGCCCTTGGGTCCTGGGTCTGAGGTCAGTCGTAGGGGTGACAACTCCAAGCAGAGTTCCTTGAGCTCATCAGTGAGGCTACATTTGAGTTTTGCCATTCCCCGGGACCTTACACTAGAAAGCGATCCACGTTGTCACCCAACTTTACTGGTTCTCTGAAATTGTCTTGGGGGCCAAAAATAGAAGAGACTTTCTGCGAGAGAGCCAAACGAAGGTTCGTTAGGTGGTGCTGGGATGGCTAGAGGTTGTTCCTTGTTCCTGGAGCGTTTGTCCCTTAGCAGAGACCCAGACATCCTTGAGGCTGAGTGCCTGGTTCTGTGCGCCTTCTGCGCACCTCTGCCGGCTGCCGAGTGACCAACCCGGAGTTGCCCGCCCGCCGCCTCCCGGCTGGAGCAGAATGTGCAATGCGCCCCAGCCCGCGCCAGATCCGCCGTCAGCATCGAGGCATCAGGAGCGCTCTGCAGTGATCTCCAGTGCAGCCAGCAATTTTGCCACCGTCGAGTGGCAACGGTTTTTAACTGCGAGCGTCTTGCTTCCTGAATCCAGACACTGTTTAATCGCCAAGATGACTTTTTATTCATTAAAATATTTTTAATGGAAAGGGTAGAGAGTGGGAAGTGGCAAGTAAAAGAGGCAAAAATATTCTCCATCCACATACACTGTTTTTCAACCTTTTTAAAGTTACTGAAGTAGAGTCAGATCTGGATGAAGCAGCAGAAAGTTTCATTAACACTCTTGATTCTCAAATGGAAGCTCAACAGAATAGAAGCAAGCCTGAGATCCTAGTCTACTGTCTTAGGTTTAATGATCTTAAACACTCCCGCATTTGAAAATTCAAATTCTAGCTAATTAGACAAAATTATGGATATCCTTAACGATGCATTAGATTTCACGAATAAATAGAATAATTAAAATAAGTAACGTACAGCCCAGCATGTTCCTAATTAGAACAAAGGAGTACTAGAGAAGGCTGTAGATTCATTGCCCCGAGGGCTTCTTGCAACTGTAACCGTCCTATTTTTTAACGTGCAAATGTGAAAGCACCCTGACATCATGAAGGAATTACATAACTAGTTCCTCGTTCTGCATCTTTCAAAAGCAGCAATTTTTCAGTAGGAATCACTGTTCCTGAAAATGCTAATTCAGATTGATAGTGTGGGAATAGGCAAGTCATTGACAAATTAAAGGCATGATTTGAAAACAAAATTGTCAAGAGGCAGCTATGCTGGTACACAGGAACCTTCTTTGTTGGGTCACAGTTTTCGTTCCAAGCGTTCAATGCAGCAAGTAAGTGATGCCATATTAGCAGGTATCAGCCTGGCTAACATGCCACAGTAAGTAATGCTTATTTGATGTGGCAAGCCTAAGCCCTCCTTCCTTATTTCCCACTGCCTTCTGTTCACAACTCTACAACAACTGTTTTACTTTCTGATGTGATTGGTTGTTTGTATGTCTGCCTTCCTTCTCAACTTACAAGCTCCTCCAGGGCAGGAATTCTGTTTTTCTTTTCTTAGGACCCAGTGCAGTGCCTGGTATAAACAGCAGGCACTTAATAAATATATGTTGACTGAATTATTTTTTAAAGAGTATAACATAACATTTTAAAATCTGTTTTAAGCTGAACCCTATAGCATATATGTGAAACAAATGTGTATATACATACACATATTTACACATATATACACATGTGCACGTATATACACATGCACACATGCATATGTATGTATGTATGAAACTGAAAAGATGGAAAGGGGAAGAGAAGAGAAAAAAGAGGGGAAAGAAAAGGAGAGGAAAAAATGAACTCTGAAAACAGTAACTACCAATGGCTAAACAGTGACTCAATCTGAGTGAGGATTTGAACTGTCCGTAGAAACATCACTTGCTGCCCTTAACCTGTGAGATTTCTTTCGCATTGGTCTATTACCATGTACATGTTTTAAATTTTGGGGGTTTGGACCTCAGAAGCACTGTTCAAAGTACATTACAAATATTTCCCATTGCTTAGGAAGCAGCACATCATTTAAGTTGGGTATATGTGTTGGTGGTGAGTTCAGAAACACTGTTAGCTCAACGTGCCCTGGACTGTGCCCTAATCAGTGTGAGGAGAGTCAGAGTCCAGCAACTGCAATTATAGCCCAACAGGCCACAGGCCAATGTTTATGACTATGCTCTCAAACACAAGCCGCTTATGGCCAGGTGGTTCAATTGTCAAGCACAATAAAGGGACCAGGTAGAAAATTAGCCACACACACACACACACACACACACACACACACACACACACACACACACACACGTACATCAATCCATAGCTATGGAGCCAGAACATCATGTTTACAAGGAAGGAATAGCTCTGTTGGGTGTCAAAGAGTAGGGTCTTGGAGTGGGAAGGTAACTACTTTAATACTGCAGTGGCTTTTCATCACATACTCCATAGCCATTAAAGCTTCTAAGCCAAACCCTCTAGCAAATACATGTTGGCAAAACTATGGAGAATCATAATTCTGTCCTTCTAGAAGCTATCTCCACAGCAAAACAAGCTCCCCCTATCCTGGAGGCAGCTTCTCATTTTCTGTAACACAAAAGCAAATTTTAAAAAGACAAGAATAAGAATAAAAATTAATTATTTCTCATAGGACTTACCTTCCTATAGGCCCCTGAAAACCAGTTAGCACCAATCTTGTACATATTTATAGCATACCTATATATACGTATTTGTATATGTAGCTATACATATATGCATATATATGTATATAGACAGAGATACACACATATATATACACCACTTATAAAATATTGCCAAAATGATTTTAATAAATCTATTCAATTATGTAGGTATGTTTCTAGAGTGACATTTAGAAGAGGGCTAAAATAGCTCATCATAAAGAAAACATGATCAAAACATTTTAAACACTTGTTTCAGAGCATAGCAAATTTGGCAAAAAACACTGGCATTTGCCTGTAACTTCTCTCAGGACTTGAGCTGGCTCTTAATATTTTATGCTTCATGATATATTAATAGTTTTGTATTTGAACGGCTTGTGTAGTGCCCTCTAATCAGATAGAGTTAACCCTGAAGACAAAAATCGAAGTGGCCAATTCCTTTTTAAGGAGTCCTAAACTGATAAGAAGGCCTAAACTGATAAACTCAATAAATTCAAATTTCAAAAATATCATAACCAAAACAAGTAGTTGACATTATACATTTATAAATAGTACTCCCAAGGTAGTGCCAAGTTAAATTTCATACTAAAATGTTAATGAAGAAGCATTTAGATAACCAACTATTTTGTGGATAATGACAGATTAGCAATAATTTTGTGATGAAAGTTGGACTCGGCTATTATATTTAGAAATAAGGACATTTTACTTACACATATGTTTATATGTGGTAACTGTACTTCATCATAGATTTTCGTATGGAACTTACAATAGACCATTCCCTGAATCTTTTGTGATATATGGAACACTCTTCCTAAGTGGACTGCACTGACATCAAAGAACATCTTTGTGACATTATCAAACCTAATGATCAATAGTAAAAGGACAATTCATTGTTGTTTCCAGTTCAAGTTTTAAGAAGGGCTTCCTTAAAGGGTAGATCGTTACGTGTTTTTATAAAGGGTACCTCTATATGTAGATTTGCTTATCTGTGAAAGCACTGCCGCTAGTTGCAAAGTTTTCATTTTCCCCATTACTGGGTCAAGAAAAGTCCTAGCCAAGAGAATGGATTTAGAAAGTCTGTACCTATCAGACTTGGTCTCTCCACTCAAAGAGCCCACAGTCATCTTTTCCCCCCTTTTTTGTGAACTCCCTGTGAGTTGTGCTCTGGGAACTTGGAATGCAGACCTAGACCTGGGCAAGTAGGGGAGAACTGAATTTATGGGAACCAGTTGGAATTTCTCTTAATGTTTCAAGAAGTGTTTTTAGATGGTTTTAGTTACAGTACTTTGGTTCTTCTTGACTTCTATGGAGCAACTTCAACCTAAATCTAAAAGAACAGTTGCTTTTATCCTTCAGTTCTTCAAAAACACTTATTTAACACAATTTCATGCCTAGTCTCTTTCCACTTTTGCAGAGTAGCTTTTTTTCATTTAAAATGTCTAATTCAAGCAATTAGAATTTAGGCACCTCTGGGCACCTTGTCTGCCTACGTGTTTATAAAGCATTATATATACTTACTGCACTCTATAAATAATAACAGTAATCACCCTCTATACAAAATTAGAATGTTAGCATATTCAACCAGTCTAGTATGCTGATTTGCTTTAGTGCTTTATAATTATCTCATGAAACCTATGGTAAAAATGGGCACTACATTATACAATCTTCCCAAAATATGTTACTATATATTCTGGCAAAGAGATGCACCTGCAGTTTATCCCCACCTACCTCTGAGATACAGAAATGGTAGGATGATACTTAAGTTGTATTCATGTTGCAAACTGTTCCAAGTAATCTTTTCAGCCTTTTTCATCCAAAAACCCAGCCAGCATTTAGTATGGTTAAGATATCTTTGTCCAGGAGAAGTAACTTGAACAAGAAGATGGCAATGTATAATTTGCCCCCACATAAAGGATAGCTTGCAAATTATAGACTGCAACATTTAGATAACCAACCACTTTATGGATGATCACAGATTTATCACATGAAACATAGGGCCTAGGGGCAATTATGTAAGCTTTAACCAGTGGTAACTACCAATGGCCACCATTGTAAGCTGTCTGAGTTTCCATTGTCTGATTAAACAGCAATCAGAAGAGTAGCCTTGACTTTGTTGGAAAAACAGTGAACTGCCTCTCACTTTCAAACTCAGAGAAGAGAGCAAAGGCATTCCTGAAAATACAGAAGGAAAAAAAAAAAAACTCTTGGTTTGTGCTAAGCAGCGCTACTTGTCTCTTGCTGCAACAAAGGTGCCAGGTTGAAGTAATGAAGTTAGTACTGCAGCTGAAATCATTGAGCAGATAGGTTACACATCCAAAATACCCATGCCGTCTGAAAATAAATAGTGTGGAAAGAACGGCAGTACATAAAATTGAAAATCTCACACCATTCCACTACCTAAAAAGAGGGAGCTCCCTGGCTTCCCTGCTTTTTGCCTAGGGTTTTGCTTCTGATGCGGTCATGTTATTTTAATGTGCCAGAATAGAAACCTTGGCCAGAGACTTAGGCAGTCAAAAAAATTCCATTGTCTTAAGCTGTATATTTATCCTTCTGAATTAATTGAATATAGCACCATATAGTAAAAATGCCTCTGACACTGCTTCAGAAATACCTAAGGCAGAGTTCTCAGAAAGAACTGCCACAGAGCCAAAATGTTGGCAGAGGCGCTGAGTCTGCAGTCGGCAATCCTAACTCTCCCGCTTCTCTCTGGCAGAACAAAATCCATCGATTTTTACAGCACATGGAGTTTACCTTGGAGGAAGTTATCATTTGAAACATTATCCAATCCACCAACATAATCATTAGGTATGTATGTCTTCACTTGCAGTTGCTTAAAAAAAAAAAGGGGGCCATCTTGAATTAATCCTCAGATTTGTGTGTAAAAGACCATAGCAAATGAGAAATGCAAGGCAAAACGCCCTCCAGGAAGTTCCCATTAAAATGATGAAAGGAGAAGTGTACAGTAACTGCAACTGTTCTCCAGCAACTATTTCTGAACTTTTAAATGACTTATCTTCTTCTTAAAAAACCATCAGAAGACATGTGCTGTTCATGGCTGGGCAGGAAAAAAATGTATTTCAAAGGAGAAATAGTTAGACATGTGGTATGGGTGGGTTGAGGTGAGACAGGGTATCTTTCTAGCTTGAGTTTAAACTTGCATCCCAGAGGTCTATTGATAAGAGCAACGTATCTGTCAAAATCCGCACAACAAACAAAAAGGACTCTAGGTATTTTATGAAAGCAGTAATATACTGTCAGGAATTGGGTGCTCACAAAATCATTGCAGGATCTAGAGGAAAATGTTCTGACCTGAGTCTCCAGAAACGACATGCCAAAAACACAGAGCTGAACTCCTAGGCCAGCCACAGCTTTCAAGGCTGCCTCTGGAGCTCTGATCGTGCTACACCTCTGATCATGCTACACATTTGCTTAGCTGCTGCAGGTGCTCCTGGACCTCCAGAAGGCAGGAGATTACCAGTGCAGAGCAACTGTAATTCATGCAGTCTTCCTTGCCAGCACAATCAGCCAAAGCTGGCAGGAAGATGGGTCTTGCCTCACTTCTTTTTTTTTTTTTTCTGAGATGGAGGGAGTCTCGCTCTGTTGCCCAGGCTGGAGTGCAGCGGCATGATCTCGGCTCACTGCAAGTTCCACCTCCCGGATTCGCCCCATTCTCCTGCCTCAGCCTCCTGAGTAGCTGGGACTACAGGCACCGGCCACCACGCCCAGCTAATTTTTTGTATTTTTAGTAGAGACGGGGTTTCACTGTGTTAGCCAGGATGGTCTCGATATGCTGACCTCATGATCCACCCGCCTCGGCCTCCCAAAGTGCTGGGATTACAGGCGTGAGCCACCGGGGTCTTGCCTCACTTCTGCCATCAAATTCGTGTGTCTGGCTGGTGAGTCTTGCCTGGAATCTAGAACCTTAGATAAAGGAGCCTTGGGAAATGGAGTTTGAGCTTTTCCAACTTCTCCTTTTAGGGGAATGGAATGGAGATCAAGGGAGTCAATGAACAGCAGCAACCACCAGTGGCCAAGAAAGATCTTACGCAAGCATTCACCCCATTCCCAGAAAGGAGGAGTTTAATGATGCTGGGCTACAAGCAGGGAAGGAATCATTCTGAGAACAATAAATGTCTATCACTCAGGTGATTCTCTTACCCCAGTTACTTTGTGTCAGGGTCCTTGAGAGAGAAAAATACTATCCTAGTGTAACTGAGACTCATTACGTAAAACCCCTAGTCACTAAGCAAACAAAGCAACGGTGCTGTGAGTCTCAATAATGGTGTGTAGATTCATGGGGGAGAGAATCTTCCTCCTAAGAAAACTCAGCAGACAGAGCAGACCAGGAAGACCATTGAAAAGTGGCAGCACGAGCAATACTCCTGTTGTCCACAGGATGGATCTGATACAGCAGACCAGCTAAGCAGAGAAGCACCATCCCTGGGAGATGGCACCAGTGCCAGCAGCAACTCCATTTAGGAGGGAACTTCCCAGTTTTCAGTCTCCGGGGCCAGAGAACCAGTGAAGAGGAAACCACGAGCTTCACAAGGCAGCTGAGAGAACCTTACATGAGGGAACCTCTGCAGAGGTTCACAAGTAATTGGGGTATAGTTGAGGAGGGGGTGCTGAACAGCCAGGTGTGATGGTGGCCAATTAGGACAACAAGCCAAACTGACAGTGACAATCAAGGCTTTGTTCACTTACTGCAGCAGTGCAGGCAAAAGGCAAAAAGGGCCCCACAGAAGAGCTCTGGGCAAGCATCAGGAGGATCTGTGCCAACTGGGGAAAATCATCTCACTAAGGAGTCCTGAACAAAAGGCTCCTGCCTTTTTATGAAAGCACAGGTGGGAAGGAAGGAGGTCAGGAAGAAATAGGAGTGGAGAAAAGTGCCTGAGTCAAGCCCTCCCCTCCCATAAGGAGGTCTCTGAATGGAGGTGCCTGGGCTAGACTTGCAGATATGCAAATGAGCATGGTAGACCCAAGGGCCATGAGTCTTTCACTGCAACCGCCTTCAGAAAACTGCATTGCACTGGCTGTGCTCCAGGTCTGGGAAGGAAGGGCAGCTTCCCCCATGAGGCCTGCCAGCAAAGCCTTTGTAAATGTCTATAGTCAGACATGAAAGATCATACAGATGAGGCCAGGCGCGGTGGCTCACACCTGTAATCCCAGCACTTTGGGAGGCCGAGGCGGGCAGATCACAAGGTCAGGAGATCGAGACCATCCTCACTAACACAGTGAAACCCCGTCTCTACTAAAAACAAAAAAAAAAATAGCTGGGCGTGGTGGTGGGCGCCTGTAGTCCCAGCTACTCAGGAAGCTGAGGCAGGAGAATGGCATGAACCCAGGAGGCAGAGCCTGCAGTGAGCAGAGATGGAGCCACTGCACTCCAGCCTGGGCAACAGAGCAAGACTCCATCTCAAAAAAAAAGAGAGCATACAGATGATTTTGGCCTGGAGCTGGACTCCTCAAGGGGAGGCAAAAAGTACTGCTATGATCTGAATGTTTGTGTCCCTCCAAAATTCATGTTGAAACTTAATCCCCCATGCAATAGTGTTAAGAAGTAGGGCTTTTAAGAGGTGATTAGGTCATGGAGGCTCTCACCTAATGCCCATTATGAAAGAGATTGAAGGAGCCTATTTGACACTTTTTTGCCCTCTTTCATGTGAGGAGACAGCAACAAGGCACCATCTTTGAAGCAGAGAACAAGCCTTCACCAGATGCTGAACCTGCTGGTGCCTTGATCTCCTTGATCTTGGACTTCCCAGCCTCCAGAACTGTAAGAAGTAAATTTCTGTTCTTCATCAATTATCCAGACTAAGGTATTTTGTTACAGCAGCAGGAATAGACTAAGATAAATGCTCTTTAGGTGAAGGATTAAAGCCCTGTAATGGAGTGTGGGCACAGAATTATATAAATACTGTATTTTGTACTGATGGTCCCCAACTTATGATTCAACTTTAGGTATTCTAACTTTACTATGATGCAAAAATGATACACATTCAGTAGAAGCTATACTTTGAGTACCCATACAACCATTCTTTCACTTTCAGTATTCAACTACATGAGCTATTCAACACTTTATCATAAAATAGGCTTTGTGTTAGATGATTTCATGCAACTGTAGGCTAATGTAAGTTTTCTGAACATGCTTAAGGTAGGCTGGGCTAAGCTATGATTTTCTGTAGGTTAGGTATATTAAATGCATTTTCAACTTAGGAGATTTTCAACTTATGATGGATTTTCCCAAATGTAACTGCATCATAAGTCAAGGAGCATCTGTACATATGTGTATGTGTATGTTTGTGTGTGTGTGTGTGTGTGTGTGCCTATTAAATCTCTGTTCTTGTTCTTGTGGTGGCCTAGAGAAGCAGATTTTATATTTTAAACTATACCCACATAAAGCTATATTAAAAAGTATTCTTTTAGAAATTCAAGACACCTATAAAGAAACGTACTTTTTCTTCAAAGCTTGCTGGCTTATCTGCTCCACACGACTGCCAGTAATGCCTTAAATTATAACCACAATGTTAACAATGAGTCTGATGTCTAAAATTTTTTCCTGGGACTTCTGAAATCTTTAAAAAGGAAAAAAAATAACTAACTCAGGAAACCAGGTAAGGGAAAATCCCTGAGAACCAAGCACTAACTCTTCTTGAAAGACTTCCAACAAGGTGGTTCCTGTCTGCCCATGTGATAATCACAGGTAGTCTGTCTTTCTCCATTTTCTTTATGACTCCCTGGGAACCAGTGCAGAGTGGGAAAAGAGAAATAGGTTATTTCTCCTTAGGCTTTTTATGAAGTCATCCCTTAGGTTATTTTTCTGTTTTTGTATTTTGTCTTCCTGATGATGACCTACGCACACGTTTTTGGAAATCTTTTTCCAGTGAATCTGAGGGAAATGGAAATGGGCATACTTTCTGAATTAAAACACAGGCTTCCCTAGTCTTGACAACTAACAAAAGGATTCCTATACTTCCAAGGTAGAAAGTTTATTTTAAAATACAGATCGTGTCCTATAATTTTATGTTTTATGCTAGTATTTGGCCTACATGGGAAGTGCATTATGTTCCTGGCCGCTCAATATTTTTGATATTTTTGAACACTCTTAATTTTGGGTGAGTTCTACCTTGTCAACATTTTTAAAAGTCTCACTTGCTCAACCCCTTTTGCAGTAGAGCATAGGCAGATAACTTGGTGCCAGTAGCGTGCTTCATCCACAGGCGACTGGAAGACAGGAAGGCAGAAATGGAAGGTTCTCTTACAATATGTGTCATGGTATAACATCACTTGAAGTTAAAGTTAAACAGGTGTACTAAAGATAAAGATGTACACTATTGTAAGTTAAATAGGAATATTAAGTATCCCCAAGCAATTGTTGAAATAACAAAAAATCATATTGAATAAGCCAACAGAGAAGATAAAATGGAACTGTAAAAATATTCAATTAATTGAAAGAAAGAAGGAAAAAGTAAAGGAGAACAAAGGACAGATGAAACAAACAACAAGATGGTATATTTAAATCTAACCATGTAATTAATCACATAAAATTAAAGAGTTTAAATATCCTAATTAAAAGAGCTTTCAGATAGGCTGAAAATGCCAGATTCGACTATAAGCTGCCGACAAGAAACATATTTCATTTATTTTTATAACTTCAACTTTTATTTTAGATTCAGGGGGTACATGTAGAGGTTTGTTCAACCTAAAAGGGTTTTCCTTTTAGGACAAGCGGTAATGGCAAGGAAAAAGTCTTTACAAGGAAAATCAGTGCTGGCAGCAGGAGTGGTTGAAGCCAAGATGTAACTCAAGAAGGCAATATATCTCTCCTTCTATTTAGATCTGTTAAAAGTTATCTCTGCATGGCTTATAATTTTCAAAGTTCATGTCTTGTGCATTGTTTTTCATTTATCCCAAATATTTCACAAGTTTGGTGCTGTTGTGAATATGATTTTATTCCAATTTTTGATAGCTCATTGCTGGTAATAGAAACACATTGACTTTTGTCTTTTTTGTATCCTGTGAGTTTTCTAAGCTCACTTATTAGTTCTAGTAATTTTTTTGTATACTTCCATCAGATTTCCCCCATAGGTAATCAGGTTATCTGTGAATAAAAATCATCTTTACTTCTTCCTTTCTGATCTTAATGCCTTTATTTTTTATCCTTGCCTCATTGCACCAGCTAGAAACTCTGTATGATGACGAATAGACACAATGAGAGTAGGCATTCTTGCCTTATTTTTTATCTTAGGGGGAAGGCATTTAGTCCTTCACCATTAAGTGTGAAGTCAGCCATAGACTTTTCCTGTATGCCATTTATCTAATTGAGAAAAAAATTAATCAGGAATGAATATTGAATTTGGTCAAATACTTTTTGGGGGTATATTGAGAGTTATACGATTTTTTTAATTTGTTAATATAAATTGTGTTGATAAATTTCTAAATGGTAAACAGACCCTGCTTAGGATAAACATGACTTGGTCATGTTTCTAAAATACACATTGTTGAATTTGACTTGCCAAAGTTTGGTTAAGAATTTTGCATTTATGTTCATGAGAGATATTGCTCTGTAGTTTTCTATTTTTGTCATATATTTGTTGTGTCTGGGCATAAGAGTAATGCTGTCTACATAGGATGACCTGGGAAGAATGCCCCATGCTTCTGCTTTCTGGAAGAGTTTGTGCAGAATTGGTATTACTTCTTCCTTAAACGTTTGGTAAAATTTACCAATGAAATCAAGAAGGCCTGGAGTTTTTACTATGTATTCAATTACTTTGATAAATACGGGGCTATTCAGGTTATTTATTTCTTCTTAGAGAGCTTTAGTGGTTTGTGTCTTCCAAGGGATTTATTCATTTCCTTGAAGTTGTCAACTTTATTGACATAAAGTTCTTTATAATATGGCTTTATTATCCATTTAATATTTGTAGAATCTGTAGTTATGTTACCTCTTATTTTTGATATTGGTAATTTGTGTCTTTTTTATTCCTGATAAATATGGATATATGTTTATCAAATTCATCAATCTTTTCAAAGAATCAGCTTTCATTTTATCTATTATTTTGTTTCCCACTCCAATATTTGCCCCATTTTCCGCTTATTTTGAGTTTAATTTACTCTTCTATTTCTACTTTCTTAAGGTGGAACTTGAGGTCTATGATTTAAGACCTTTCTTCTTATCTAATAATATAGACTTTTAGTGCTATAAATATTCCTCTAATTACTGCTTTAATAGTATCCCACAAATTTTTATATTATGTGTTCTCGTTTCAGTTTAGTACAAAATGTCTTCTAATTTCTTTTTTATCTCGTAAATAACCCATGAGTTTAACTGTGTTGTATACTTTCCAAATACTCAGGAATTTCTGAGAAAACTTACTGTTATTAATTTCTAACTTAATTCTATTGTGGTCAGAGAACTTGTTGAGATTTTACTGTGGTCCAAAACATGATCTATTTTGATGAATGTTTCATGAGCATTTGAAAGGAATATATATTCTGCTGCTTTTGAATGCAGTATCATATAAATATCAATGAGGTAAGTTACTTTATGGTGTTGTTCAAATTGTATACATCCTTACTGATAATCTACTTGTTCTGTCAGTTACATTCAACTCTATCACTACATTTGTGGATTTCTCGATTTCTTTTTGCAGTTCTATCAGTTTTTGCTTCATGTATTTTGTAGCCCTTTTATTAAGTACACAAAAATGGAATTTGTATGTCCGAGGATTTGAGGGTTTTTTTATTTTATTATTATTATACTTTAAGTTTTAGGGTACATGTGCACAATGTGCAGGTTAGTTACATATGTATACATGTGACATGCTGGTGTGATGCACCCATTAACTCGTCATTTAGCATTAGGTATATCTCCTAAAGCTATCCGTCCCCCCTCCCCCCACCCCACAACAGTCCCCAGAGTGTGATGTTCCCCTTCCTGTGTCCATGTATTCTCACTGTTCAATTCCCACCTATGAGTGAGAAGATGCGGTGTTTAGTTTTTTGTTCTTGCGATAGTTTACTGAGAATGATGATTTCCAATTTCATCCATGTCCCTACAAAGGACATGAACTCAACATTTTTTATGGCTGCATAGTATTCCATGGTGTATATGTGCCACATTTTCTTAATCCAGTCTACGATTGTTGGACATTTGGGTTGATTCCAAGTCTTTGCTATTGTGAATAGTGCCACAATAAACATACGTGTGCATGTGTCTTTATAGCAGCATGATTTATAGTCCTTTGGGTATATACCCAGTAATGGGATGGCTGGGTCAAATGGTATTTCTAGTTCTAGATCCCTGAGGAATCTTCACACTGACTTCCACAATGGTTGAACTAGTTTACAGTCCCACCAACAGTGTAAAAGTGTTCCTATTTCTCCACATCCTCTGCAGCACCTGTTGTTTCCTGACTTTTTAATGATCACCATTCTAAATGGTGTGAGATGGTATCTCATTTTGCATTTCTCTGATGGCCAGTGATGGTGAGCATTTTTTCTTGTGTTTTTTGGCTGCATAAATGTCTTCTTTTGAGAAGTGTCTGTTCATGTCCTTCGCCCACTTTTTGATAGGGTTGTTTTTTTCTTGTAAATTTGTTTGAGTTCATTGTAGATTCTGGATATTAGCCCTTTGTTAGATGAGTAGGTTGCGAAAATTTTCTCCCATTCTGTAGGTTGCCTGTTCACTCTGATGGTAGTTTCTTTTGCTGTGCAGAAGCTCTTTAGTTTAATTAGATCCCATTTGTCAATTTTGTCTTTTGTTGCCATTGCTTTTGGTGTTTTAGACATGAAGTCCTTGCCCATGCCTATGTCCTGAATGGTAATGCCTAGGTTTTCTTCTAGGGTTTTATGGTTTTAGGTCTAACGTTTAAGTCTTTAATCCATCTTGAATTAATTTTTGTATAAGGTGTAAGGAAGAGATCCAGTTTCAGCTTTCTACATATGGCTAGCCAGTTTTCCCAGCACCATTTATTAAATAGGGAATCCTTTCCCCATTGCTTGTTTTTCTCAGGTTTGTCAAAGATCAGATAGTTGTAGATATGAGGTATTTATCATTATAGAATAATCCTATATTTTCAACATAATATACTTTTCTCTAAATACTTTTTTGTCTAATATTAACATATTCACTCCAGTTTTCTTTAGAATAGCACTAGCATGGTACACAGCTTTTTATCCTTTTACTTTTAACCTATTTTGTCTATATATTTAAAATGTGCTTCTTAATGTGGTACATAGACACCATGGAATACTATGCAGCTATAAATAAGGATGAAATCATGTCCTTTGCAGCAATATGGATGCAACTAGAGGCCATTATCCTAAGCAAATTAACACGGGGAAAAAAAAATACCATATGTTCTCACTTATAAGTGGGAGCTAAATATTGGGTACTCGTGGACATAAAGATAGCAACAGTAGATACCAGGGACTAATAGAGAGGAGAGGAAGGGACGGGGGCAAGTGTTGAAAAACTAATTATTGGGTACTATGCTTACTGTCTGGGTGATGGGATCATTCGTATCCAAACCTCAGCATCATGCAATACACCTGTACTTGTACCCACTTAATCTAAAATAAAAATTGAAATTATGAAAAATGAATGAAATGTGTCACTTGTAGGCAGCTTATAGGTGAGTCTTGCATTTTTGGTCAATCTGAAAGCTGTCTTTTAATTAGGATATTAAAACCCTTTAATTTTATGTGATTAATTACATGGTTCGATTTAAATCTACCATCTTGCTGTTTGTTTCATCAGTCCTTTTTCTCCTTTTCTTCTGCATTCTTTCAATTAATTGAATATTTTATGGCTCCATTTTATCTTCCCTATCGGCTTACTAGATATGATTTGTGTTGCTTTAGCAATTGCATGGGGATATTTAATATTCATATTTAACTTACTGTACTGTACATTTTATCTTTAGTATGCTTAACTTAAACCTCAAGTGATGCTATACCATAACACATATTGTAAGAGAACCTTACAACAGTATACTTTCATTTCTGCCTTCCTGTCTTTTGTGCTATCATGGGCATACATTTTATTTCTGCTTGTTTTAAACTCCAAAATATATTATTTTTTTTCTGTAAATAGTCAATTATCCTTTAAAGAGATTTAAATAAACAGAAAAGAAAAAGGACTTTTATCCTTACACACATAATTACTATTTGCAGTACCATTTTTTCTTTTTTCTTTTCTTTTCTTTTTTTTTTTTTTTTTGAGACAGAGTCTCACTTTATCACTTACAAGTAGTGCAGTGGTGTGCTCTTGGCTCACTGCAACCTCTGCCTCATGGGCTCAGGAGATCCTCTCATTTCAGCCTCCCAAGTAGCTGCTAGGACTATAGGTGTGTGCCATCATGCCTGGTTAATTTTTCTTATTTTTAATTTTTTTTTTAAGAGAGATGAGGTCTTACTATATTGCCTAGGCTGGTCTCAAACTTCCGGGCTTAAGCAATCCTCTTGCCTTGGCTTCCCAAATTGCTGGGATTATAGGTGTGATCCACTTCAGTACAGGTGTCCAGGCTTCAGTACTTTTTATTCTTTATGTGCATTCCATCTGTATTTTTATTATGTCTGAAGGTCTCCTTTAGCATTTCTCACAGTGTGTCTCTAGTGGTGATGAATTCTTTCAGCTTTTGTATGTCTAAAAATGTAATTTATTTCGAGTTTCTATTTAAAAGTTGTTTTCACTGAGTATAAAACTCTTGATTTGAGGTTTTTTTTCTTTTTTCAAGACGGACTCTTGCTCTGTCCCCCAGGCTGGAGTGCAGTGGCACGATCTTGGCTCACTGCAAGCTCCGCCTCCTGTGTTCACACCATTCTCCTGCCTCAGCCTCCCAAGTAGCTGGGACTACTGGCACCCGCCACCACGCCTGGCTAATTTTTTGTATTTCTTCAGTAGATACAGGGTTTCACCGTGTTAGCCAGGATGGTCTCAATCTCCTGACCTCATGATCTGCCCACCTTGGCCTCCCAAAGTGCTGGGATTACAGGCGTGAGCCACCGTGCCCGGCCAATTTCAGTTTTTCTTGACGGCATTTTTTGAGTATTTGAGAAATGTTGTTCCGCTATCTTCTAACTTGGATTGTTTCCCTTGAAAAATATGCTGTAATTCTTTCTGTGTTACTCTCTACTTAACATGTCTTTTATTCTCTGGCTCCTTTTGAGATAGGCTCTTTATTACAGTTTAGAGAATTTCATCATGATGTGCTTTGGTGTAGTTGCCTTCATGTCTTTTGTGTTTGGAGATCATTGATTGTCTTGGATCTGTAAAGTTTTTGTTTTTATGAAATTTGATAAAAATTCAGCCATTATTTCTTCAAATATTTTTGTTTTATCCTTTATTTCTTTTATAGATTTCAATAGATATTATTCCGTATCTCAGTGATTCCGTTTTCTACATTTTTTGTCTTTTTCTGTTTTTCATTGCATAGTTAACTAGTTATATCTTCTGCAATGTCTAATCTGCCAATAATTCTATTTAGTGAGTTTGTTTAAATCTCCAAGTATAGCTATCATCTCTAGAAATATGATTTGGATTTCTTGTTTATATCGTATCTCTACTTAACTTGATCTTTCCTCTAGCTTTTGGGACATCTGGCATACAGTTATAATAACTGCCTTTATGCCTTTGTCTTCTAATTCTAACATCTGTTTAAGTTCTGGGACCATTTTGATTGACCAAACTTTTATCCTCATATGAGTCATATTTTCTTGCTTCTTTGCATTCCTGGTAATTTTTTATTGGATGCCAGACATTAAGAATTTTGTCTTGTTGTGTACTGGATATTATTGTATTTCTCTAAGTCTTCTTGTGCTTTATTTTTGGATGCAATTAAGTTATTGTGAAACCACTTGATTTGTTTGGATCTGGCTTTTCTGATTTGTTAGGCAGGTCCAGAGTAATGCCAAGTTTAAGCCTAATTATTTTCCAATTCTTATGCAAGATCCTTTGAATGCTCAACCCAATGCCTTCAGAATTTATCAGTTTTCCATTTCACCTGATTGCCACAGGCACTTTTTCAGACTCTGTGCGAATGCCAGCTATTGTTCATGCTAATCTTTGTAAGAGGTTCTTTCTCCTGACACAGGGAGTTTTCTCACATGCAATGTGTTGATCAGTACTCTCAGAACATTTGAAAAGCACTGCCTGGAGATCTCTGGCATTCTCTCTCATGCAGCATTCTCCTCTGTTCTTCAAACTTTAGCAGACTTTGTGTCCCCAGATCCCTAGCTGCATCACTTCAATTCAAGACTTCTGGGCTCCCTCTGGGTTTTTCTTCCCTGACTAAAACCTGAAAATGCACCATTAGCAATAAACTGAGGCAAGCATAACACTCACCTCATTTGTTTCCCATTTCTCAAGGAAAACTATTCTTTATTGGCTTATATCCAATGTCTTGAAAACCATTGTTTGACATATTATTTCAAATGTTCTAGTTGTTTCTGTCAGGAAAATACAGTGCCTCTAATTCCATCTTGACAAGAAGCAGAAGTCTCAAGTTGAAGTCTATTAGATAGTGCATGCTAACTTAAGACACCTTTGCAAAGTTCTCTTGACTATTTCTAGGAATATCTAAGAGATGTCTTGCATGTGTCCTCCACTATTATCTGTACTTCTCCACCAGAGACCTAGTCTCACATGTGGCAGTCCTTATCAAAATCCCAAGTAAATTTCGGTAGATATCAACAAGGTGATTCTACAATTTACACGGAAAGGCAAAGAGAAGAACCATAAGAACTTTGAACAAACAGAACAAAATTGGACAAACAAATCCTAACAATGACAATCCTGGTGAGGTTGCCAAGCAACTGCAACTCTCATTTACTGCTGGTGAAATGCAAAATTATACAGCCACTTTGAAAACCAGTTTGTCTGCTTCTTACAAATTTAAATAAATATGCATTTACCATATGACCTAGCAATTTCATTCTTGGGGATGGGATTAAAATGAAAATTTATTTTTATACCAGTATCATATGCCAACATTTATGGTAGCTGTATTCATAATCACCAAAAACTGGAACCAATCCATATGTTCTTCAACAGGGGAACAGATGAAAAACCTTCAGGTAATGGAATACTACTCAATGACAACAACAACAATAAACTGTTGATATACGCAATAGAATGGATGCATCTCAAATGCATTACACCAAGTGAGAGTAACCAGACACTAAAAAGTAAATAAATTATTTCATTTGTGTGATATTCTGGAAGAGCAAAACCTTAGGGATAAAAGGATTAGTAGTTGACAGTGATTAGGGCTTGGAGGAGGAGTTGAAAACATGAGGGTATTTGGGGGGATGATGACACTATTTTGTTTCTTGACTGTGGTGATGGTTTGTGACCCTACATTTGCCAAAACTCACAAAACTATAAACCAAAAAGAGGGACCCTACTGTATATAAATTTAAAAATTGAATTTAAAAATCTATATGCTGAATATTGAAACACCCACCACTTTTTCATGACTCAGCTCCAAGAATGCAGGCAACTAGGCATATTCCCCAAGGCTGGAGACTGGAAAATTCTTCTCTTGAGATATAAAAAGACGGAGTGGAGGATGAGGGCAAGATTTGCATGTACTGACATTTGAGAAAATTATCCTGAAACAGCTGGGCCACTACTATGAAACTCACATGAAGTCCCGGTAGATATGTCCTGCCTGTACACACATATTTCAAATAATGTCTTAGTATAACCTGGCATCCTATAAGTCATAGGCATTTGAGGAAAGTTTTCAACATGAAAAACAAAAACCAATACAAACCCAAAAGGGAATAAAATTCAGTGAAAATGAGATGATGCACAAAGTTGAAAAAAATTTAAAAACCTGTATTTAATATTATTGAAGAGCTAAGAGAATATATTGACAATAAAAAAGACACAGCAATTAATAAATCCTGTTAATTAAACATAGGGTCAAAAACAAATATCAGAAGGTCTGGAAGAGAAATTGCAGAATATCTCCTAGAAAGTGGAACTGAAGCAAAAGAGATAAAAAACAGGAAAGAAAAATTTTGGAAAGTTACATGATTAATTCAAAATCCTGAATTCAAATAATACATAAAACAGAAAAAGAGAAGAAAACAGAGGAGAAAAGATTTAGCCAATAGAAAATACAAAGTATTTCTGTAACTGAAATTATGAATCCAGCAGAATCAATAAGAAAGGACCTAAGTGAAATGTGTCAGAATGATTTTTTAAAACACAAGAATAATTAAATTTAAAAATAAATAAGATCCAAAAAGTCTGCAGACAGAAAAGCCTGGTTGCATTCAAAGAATGAAGAATCAGAATGACATTATACTTCTTATCTAAGACATTGGAAGCCAGAAGATGATGGAGCAGTACCTTCATGTATTCATGGATATGGATTCATATCCAGCTAACCTATCTAAAGTACAAAAGTGATTAAAGATGACATTTTTAGACATTCAAAGTCTCAAAAGTATTACTTGACAATCTTCATGCACTGTTTCTCAGGAAATTACTAAATGATGTGATATAGAAAAATAAGAGTCAAGAAAAACACCAACAGTAAATCTAAGATGTAGAGCTCCTCGTACAGGGGTGAAACTAAAGGGATTCTCAGTATGCCATCTCTGCAATAGGCCAAATCAAACCATCCAGATTGGAAGAGGAAGATAAAACAAATATGTCTCCATGGGGAATCAAACTGGAAATAATAGATTACCTGCTATGTTTTACCATGTGGAAAATGGTACCAAAAATAATATCACAGGTTTTATAGTTCTTTGACACGTTTGAGAAAAATTTGTGATGGAAACATTAATACTTATAAATAAAAACGAAGCAAATGTCAACTCCAAGGAAAACATACAGTTTCCTTATTTAAAAAGAATACAACCATAAAACAAGATTTTGCCCAGCAGCAAATAATACCTTCATAGCCATAAAACTGTAACACTGATTATTGATTTTATTTAAAATATATTATGTAAGTATATAGAAAGGATGAAGGAAGGAGGGCATGGAGGGCTGGGATGGTCTCATAAGAGTCGCAGGTACTCTCCTTTCATGCCAGGTACACAACAATGTCTAAAATAGAAAAAAATCAAAGTGAAAGTAGTATTTAAAATTATATAGATGATCATCAGAAGAAATAACTAAAAAAAAATGAAGAGGTTGCTTCTGAGATGTCCAACTGACAGATTAGGGCAAGAGAGTGCTATTCTTTATTAGATGTTTTAACTAAAACAAAAAACTCCACACATGCTTTACTTTGATAAAATTATAATTTTAAAATTTTAATTGCAATCGCCTATTGTGAGAACGTCAGAGTGGAAGACTGCAGAATAATATTTTTGGAGAAAAGGGAAGCTGTTTTCCGTTTTTCACATTTGCCTAGGCACAGAGCTAGCCCTGATAGTTTCTAGGGAAGAAAAGAAGCACAGCATGATTCTTAAGTTTCAGACTTTCCTTTTCTTACAACATCGTTTTCTTTACAGGAAGCAAAGGTATAAGAACTCCTATGTTTTAAAGTTTTCATTTTAACTGTATTTTCTTTTTTGTGGTCTTTTTAAATAGAATTATTTTTCTGCCAACATCAAAGTGCCAGTCACCTGGCACTTTAATGCCAGCGCAGTTCTCTACCCTAGACAGCTGACGACCAGCCTATATAATAAGATTGGCCCTGACATTATGAAATTGACATAACTAAATGTCAACATAGATAGGAAAATGTGGAATCAGGTTTTAGTAGCATCAGCCTTTAGACTGTCCAAGAAAAAAAATTCTGCTCTCTGAAAAAGTCCCAGAATGACATCTCTGAGGCTGAAGTCCTATGCCAAGGTCCATGAGCCTTCAGCGGTGAAATGCTTGGTGGTGGGTCATGTGGTGAATTTTATAGACTCCACAGAGACTTCTCAGAGAACTCCAGGGCTGGCTTAAAATACCTCACACCCCTGAGGATGTGACTAATAAAATAAAAACATGCCTTTGAAGGTCTCCAAGTACCTTGGAGACAAATTAATTCTGACTTGTGTGACATTTGTTGGCTCAGACATCTATGAGTTTCTCTTATTAGGTACTTTAAGAACACAGAAAATATGGATATTATTAGGGTAGTTTATCACAAGTGAGTCAGGTGAAAAAAATTACATTAAATTTTACTTGTAAAAAATATATAGGTAAATTTTTTTAAAAAAACAGACAATTAATCTATGCTTTCAAAATTCACTGTGATTTGTTATATAGATGGCCTCTTATTTTGTCCAAGTTTTTTTTTCTAAATTTCAGCTTTCTTTTTTCTGGTCTTCTGAATTTTTTTTAATTTTTTTTCTCTCCGAAGCTATTTGGAAGATAGATATATTTATTTCTAGTCTTCAAGAAGTTGTCCTTAAAATTTTAACATGCTTAAATGTTAAACTCTAACACTAATCCATATCTTTATCTGCCTCCTGAGTAATAGAAGGACTTAAGATGCTTAAATCCAATCACCCATCTCAAAGCTTACACACCCTTGTCATCAAGACTTTTACTTTTTATTGTGTTTCTTTTATTTTCATAAGTTATTTATGTGGGTGAAACTGCCACCCAGCCTAAGAATTGATAACACCAACAATGCTATTTATGAACACCTTTCTTTATTCCATCATATATGATTTAGTCTCTTGCTCAAAGGTAATAACTACCTTGACTTTATTAATCTTTTTTCATTGTTTTGCTGTTTTAAAAGTCATTTTCTCACATATATTTGTGTGCCTTAAAAAATTTACTATTGGGGGTGGTTCCAAGATGGCTGAATAGGAACAGCTCCAGTCTACAGCTCCCAGCGTGAGCGACGCAGAAGACGGGTGATTTCTACATTTCCAACTGAGGTACCAGGTTCATCTCACTGGGGATTGTTGGACAGTGGGTGCAGCACACTGAGTGTGATCCGAAGCAGGGTGAGGCATCGCCTCACCCAGAAAGCGCAAGGGGTCAGGGAATTCCCTTTCCTAGCCAAGGATAGGGGTGACAAATGGCACCTGGAAAATCGAGTCACTCCCACCCTAGTACTGCGCTTTTCCAACGGTCTTAGCAAACACCACACCAGGAGATTATATCCTGCACATGGCTCAGAGGGTCCTACGCCCACAGAGCCTGGCTTATTGCTAGAACAGCGGTCTGAGATTGAACTGCAATGTGGCAGCGAGGCTGGGGGAGGGGCGCCCGCCATTGCTGAGGCTTGATTAGATAAACAAAGCAGCCAGGAAGCTCGAACTGTGTGGAGCCCACTGCAGCTCCAGAAGGCCTGCCTGCCTCTAGACTCCACCTCTGAGGGCAGGGCACAGACAAACAAAAGGCAGCAGAAACCTCTGCAGATGTAAATGTCCCTGTCTGACAGCTTGGAAGAGAGTAGTGGTTCTCCCAGCAGGGAGCTTGAGATCTGAGAACGGACAGACTGCCTCCTCAAGTGGGTCCCTGACCCCTGAGTAGCCTAACTGGGAGGCACCCCCAAGTAGGGGTAAACTGACACCTCACACAGCTGGGTACTCTTCTGAGACAAAACTTACAGAGGAACGATCAGGCAGCAACATTTGCTGTTCAGCAATATTCACTGTTCTGCAGCCTCTGCTACTGATATCCAAGCAAACAGGGTCTGGAGTGGACCTCCAGCAAACTCCAACAGACCTGCAGCTGAGGGTCCTGACTGTTAGAAGGAAAACTAACAAACAGAAAGGACATCCACACCAAAACCCCATCTGTATGTCACCATCATCAAAGACCAAAGGTAGACAAAACCACAAAGATGGGGAAAAAACAGAGCAGAAAAACTGAAAATTCTAAAAATCAGAGTGCCTCTCCTCCTTCAAAGGAATGCAGCTCCTCACCAGCAACGGAACAAAGCTGGAGGGAGAGTGACTTTGACGAGTTTAGAGAAGAAGGCTTCAGAATATCAAACTACTCCGAGCTAAAGGAGGAAGTTCGAACCAATGGCAAAGAAGTTAAAAACCTTGAAAAAAAATTAGACGAATGGCTAACTAGAATAACCAATGCAGAGAAGTCCTTAAAGGACCTGATGGAGCTGAAAACCACGGCACGAGAACTACGTGACAAATGCACAAGCCTCAGTGCATTTGTCAGTGATTCCAGCTGATGCGATCAACTGGAAGAAAGGGTATCAGTGATGGAAAATGAAATGAATAAAATGAAGCTAGAAGAGAAGTTTAGAAAAAAAGAATAAAAAGAAATGAACAAAGCCTCCAAGAAATATGGGACTATGTGAAAAGACCAAATCTGCGTCTGAATGCTGTACCTGAAAGTGACAGGGAGAATGGAACCAAGTTGGAAAACACTCTGCAGGATATTACCCAGGAGAACTTCCCCAACCTAGCAAGGCAGGCCAACATTCAAATTCAGGAAATACAGAGAAAGCCACAAAGATACTCCTCGAGAAGAGCAACTCCAAGACACATAATTGTCAGATTCACCAAAGTTGAAATGAAGGAAAAAATGTTAAGGGCAGCCAGAGAGAAAGGTCGCATTACCCACAAAGGGAAGCCCATCAGACTAACAGCAGATCTCTTGGCAGAAACTCTACAAGCCAGAAGAGAGTGGGGGCCAATATTCAACATTCTTAAAGAAAAGAATTTTCAACCCAGAATTTCATATCCAGTCGAACTAAGCTTCATAAGTGAAGGAGAAATAAAATACTTACAGACAAGCAAATGCTGAGAGATTTTGTCACCACCAGGCCTGCCCTAAAAGAGCTCCTGAAGGAAGCACTAAATATGGAAAGGAATAAACGGTACCAGCCACTGCAAAAACATGCCAAATTGTAAAGACCATTGATGCTAGGAAGAAACTGCATCAACTAATGAGCAAAATAACCAGCTAACACCATAATGACAGGATCAAATTCACACATAACAATATTAACCTTAAATGTAAATGGGCTAAATGCTCCAATTAAAAGACACAGACTGGCAAACTGGATAAAGAGTCAAGACCCATCAGTGTGCTGTATTCAGGAAACCCATCTCATGTGCAGAGACACACATAGGCTCAAAATAAAGGGATGCAGTAACATCTACCCAACAAATGGAAAAAAAAATGCAGAGGTTGCAATCCTAATCTCTGATAAAACAGACTTTAAACCAACAAAGATCAAAAGAGACAAAGAAGGCCATTACATAATGGTAAAGGGATCAATTCAACAAGAAGAGCTAACTATCCTAAATATATATGCACCCAATACAGGAGCACCCAGATTCATAAAGCAAGTCCTTAGAGACCTACAAAGAGACTTAGACTCCCACACGATAATAATGGGAGACTTTAACACCCCACTGTCAACATTAGACAGATCAACGAGACAGAAAGTTAACAAGGATACCCAGGAACTGAACTCAGCTCTGCACCAAGCGGACCTAATAGACATCTACAGAACTCTCCACCCCACATCAACAGAATATACATTCTTGTCAGCACCACACCGCACTTATTCCAAAATTGACCACATAGTTGGAAGTAAAGCACTCCTCAGCAAATGTAAAAGAACAGAAATTATAATAAACTGTCTCTCAGACCACACTGCAATAAACTAGAACTCAGGATTAAGAAACTCACTCAAAACCGCTCAACTACATGGAAACTGAACAACCTGCTCCTGAATGACTACTGGGTACATAATGAAATGAAGGCAGAAATAAAGATGTTCTTTGAAACCAGCAAGAACAAAGACACAACATACCAGAATCTCTGGGACACATTTAAAGCAGTGTGTAGAGGGAAATTTATAGCACTAAATGCCCACAAGAGAAAGCAGGAAAGATCTAAAATTGACACCCTAACAACATAATTAAAAGAATTAGAGAAGCAACAGCAAACACACTCAAAAGCTAGCAGAAGGCAAGAAATAACTAAGATCAGAGCAGAACTGAAGAAATAGAGAGACAAAAAACCCTTCAAAAAATCAATGAATCCAGGAGCTGGTTTCTTCAAAAGATCAACAAAATTGATAGACCGCTAGCAAGACTAATAAAGAAGAAAAGAGAGAAGAATCAAATAGACACAATAAAAAATGATAAAGGGGATATCACCACCAATCCCACAGAAATACAAACTGCCATCAGAGAATACTATAAACACCTCTACACAAATAAACTAGAAAATCTAGAAGAAATGGATAAATTCCTGGACACATACACTCTCCCAAGACTAAACCAGGAAGAAGTTGAATCTCTGAATAGATCAATAACAGGCTCTGAAATTGAGGCAATAATTAATAGCTTACCAACCAAAAAAAGTCCAAGACCAGATGGATTCACAGCCGAATTCTACCAGAGGTACAAGGAGGAGCTGGTACCATTCTTTCTGAAACTATTCCAATCAATAGAAAGAGGGAATCCTCCCTAACTCAATTTATAAGGCCAGCATCATCCTGATACCAAAGCCTGGCAGAGACACAATAAAAAAAGAGAATTTTAGACCAATATCCTTGATGAACACCAATGCAAAAATCCTCAATAAAATGCTGGCAAACCGAATCCAGAGGCACATCAAAAAGCTTATCCACCATGATCAAGTGGGCTTCATCCCTGGGATGCAAGGCTGGTTCAACATATGCAAATCAATAAATGTAATCCAGCACATAAACAGAACCAGCTACAAAAACCACATGATTATCTCAGTAGATGCAGAAAAGGCCTTTGACAAAATTCAACAACTCTTCATGCTAAAAACTCTCAATAAATTAGGTATTGATGGCACATATCTCAAAATAATAAGAGTTGTCTATGACAAACCCACAGCCAGTATCATACTGAATGGGCAAAAACTGGAAGCATTCCCTTTGAAAACTGGCACAAGACAGGGATGCTCTCTCTCACCATTCCTATTCAACATAGTGTTGGAAATTCTGGCCAGGGTAATTAGGCAGGAGAAAGAAATAAAGGGTATTCAATTAGGAAAAGAGGAAGTCAAATTGTCCCTGTTTGCAGATGACATGATTGTATATCTAGAAAACCACATCATCTCAGATCAAAATCTCCTTAAGCTGATAAGCAACTTCAGCAAAGTCTCAGGATACAAAATCAATCTGCAAAAATCACAAGCATTCTTATACACCAAGAACAGACAAACAGAGAACCCAATCATGAGTGAATTCCCATTCATAATTGCTTCAAAGAGAATACAATACCTAGGAATCCAACTTACAAGGTATGTGAAGGACCTCTTTAAGGAGAACTGCAAAGCACTGCTCAACGAAATAAAAGAGGACACAAACAAATGGAAGAACATTCCATGCTCATGGATAGGAAGAATCAATATCATGAAAATGGCCATACTGCCCAAGGTAATTTATAGATTCAATGCCATCCCCATCAAGCTACCAATGACTTTCTTCTCAGAATTGGAAAAAACTACTTTAAAGTTCATATGGAACCAAAAAAGAACCCGCATTGCCAAGTCAATCCTAAGCCAAAAGAACAAAGCTGGAGGTATCATGCTACCTGTCTTCAAACTATACTACAAGGCTACAGTAACCAAAACAGCATGGTACTGGTACCAAAACAGGGATATAGACTAATGGAACAGAACAGAGGTCTCAGAAATAATACCACACATCTACAACCATCTGATCTTTGACAAACCTGAGAAAAACAAGCAATGGGGAAAGGATTCCCTATTTAATAAATGGTGCTGGGAAAACTGGCTAGCCATATGTAGAAAGTTGAAACTGCATCCCTTCCTTACACCTTATACAAAAATTAATTCAAGTTGGATTAAAGACTTAAATGTTAGACCTAAAACCATAAAAACCCTAGAAGAAAACCTAGGCAATACCATTCAGGAAATAGGCATGGGAAGGACTTCATATCTAAAACACCAAACACAATGGCAACAAAAGCCAAAATTGACAAATGGGATCTAATTAAACTAAAAAGCTTCTGCACAGCAAAAGAAACTACGATCAGAGTGAACAGGCAACCTACAGAATGGGAGAAAATTTTTGCAATCTACTCATCTGACAAAGGGCTAGTATCCAGAATCTACAAAGAACTCAAACAAATTTACAAGAAAAAAACAAACAACCCCATCAACAAGTGAGCAAAGGATATGAACTGACACTTCTCAAAAGAAGACATTTATGCAGCCAAAAGACACATGAAAAAATGCTCATCATCACTGTCCATCAGAGAAATGCAAATTAAAACCATAATGAGATACCATCTCGCACCATTTAGAATGGCGATCATTAAAAAGTCAGGAAACAACAGGTGCTGAAGAGGATGTGGAGAAATAGGAACACTTTTACACTGTTGGTGGGACTGTAAACTAGTTCAACCCTTGTGGAAGTCAGTGTGGCGATTCCTCAGGGATCTAGAACTAGAAATACCATTTGACCCAGCCATCCCATTAGTGGGTATAGACCCAAAAGATTATAAATCATGCTGCTATAAAGACACATGCACACGTATGTTTACTGCGGCACTATTCACAGTAACAAAGAGCTGGAACCAACCCAAATGTCCAACAATGATAGAGTGGATTAAGAAAATGTGGCACATATACACCATGGAATACTATGCAGCCATAAAAAATGATGAGTTCATGTCCTTTATAGGGACATGGATGAATCTGGAAACCATCATTCTCAGCAAACTATCACAAGGACAAAAAACCAAACATCACATGTTCTCACTCATAGGTGGGTATTGAACAATGAGAACACTCGGACAAAGGAAGGGGAACATCACACACCGGGGCCTGTTGTAGGGTGGGGGGAGGGGGGAGGGATAGCATTAGGAGATATACCTAATGTTAAATGACGAGTTAATGGGTGCAGCACACCAACGTGCCATATGTATACATATGTAACAAACCTGCATGTTATGCATATGTACCCTAGAACTTAAAGTACAAAAAAAAAAAGAAAAAAAATGTACTATTTAGATTTGTGTGTTTTTAGACTTTACAAAAAGTTTCCTAGGTAGTCCTCTGGAATGAAGATGTTTTCATTTGACCTGATGTAATTAAGAGTCATCCACATTTTTATGCTCCAGATTATTTTTTACTGCTGTATAGTATTTCACTGTATGACCATTTTGCAATTTATTTATCTAGTGTCCTGACAATGAGCATTTGATTTAGGGCAAATGTGGAGATGGGCATTCAGCTACCCTTTCAAGAGAGAACTTGTTTTGAGGAGCCAAGTTAGCTGACATCCTTTAGTGGCTGCAGGATTCCTACAGAGGTCATGGTCTCTCCCAGCTACCCCCAACCAACTGCTGAGCACCACAAGGGCACTTGAGTCAGGCTCTTTCTGTCCACAGCAGGTCTCCTCTGGCGTCCTTATCAGACTGGTAGAGACTTTCTGTGAGCTGCACTGCAGTCTGAGGATCTTCTTACCCAGTATTTTCTTCCTCTCTCTTTCATAGGTATCAGACCTGCATCACAGTCTGAAGTAGCTCTCTGTCTACTCCTGAGACCCCTCCCTTTTATGCTTCATGAACATTTCCCCCATAAATCCCTTGCACTTTTAATTCACTCATAGTGTCTGCTGCCCAGAGGACCCAAATAAACAGGGTTAGATGTTTTGCTATCACAACACTATTACTGTGAACATTCTGGTGGGCAAGAATAATGCCTGTGTACAAGAGTGGAATTGCTGAGCTGCAATGTGAGTAAGTTCAACTTTTCAAAATGCTAAATTGTCTTTCAGAGTTTTTTACCAAGTTACATGGCCATCAGCAATGTGTAAGAGATTCCGCTAAGATGCTACAACACTTGGTGGTGTCAGGTTTTTTAATATTTGCCAAATGGGCATGGTGGCTCACACCTGTAATCCTAGCACTTTGGGAGGCCAAGATGAGAGGCTCACTTGAGCCCAGGAGTTCAAGACCAGGCTGGGCAACATAGGGAGACCCTGTTTCTACAAAAAAATTAAAAAATAAAAAATTAGCTGGGTGTGGTGACGTGTGCCTGTGGTCCTAGCTATTCTTGAGACTGAGGTGGAGGAGCGCTTGAGCCCAGGAGGTTGAGGCTGCAGTGAGCTATGATTTTGCAAGTACATTCCAGCCTTGGTGGTGAAGCAAGACCCTGTCTCAAAAAAAATGTAAATATAAAATTAAACACTTGCCAATTAATTAGTATAAAATGATATCGTGATCTTGACTCACATTTCTTATTTACTGAGCTTGAGCATATCCTTTTGTCTATTGACCATATGTGTTTATTTTACTATGAAATGTCTATTCATGTTCAGATACATACATACACACAAACACAAACACAATCTATCTTTCGGTCATGTGTATTGCAAATAACCTCTCATTTTATAGCTAATTATTTCATTTCACTTAAAATGCCTTTTGATAAAATATAAGTTATTAATTTTAACGTGGTTGAATTTACACTTTTAAAATATTATTAGTACTTTGTCTAAGCCAGCTTTTCATACCACAATATGTTCATCTATATTTTCTTCAAATATATTTTTAAGGTTTTTGTTAGAAAATGAAAACTTGTTTAGGAAAGGATTCATTTTAATCTTTTTTCTTTTCAAACAAAATAGATGATTTCTTGACTGAAATATCAAGGGGTTGCCATTGTTCAAGTCATAACATCCAAGCTCATGTGTGCAAAGGCAATAGCAACTATGATATGACTTCCGTCCGGTAGCTATTGTAAGTTACCATTGATTGTAAAAAATGTTTGTGTTAACCCTGTCTTTTATTTTCTGTATTTTGATGCTTTGATATCTGGAGCCTCGCTGACCCAGGGGGGACTTCCTCTCCCAGGATTAGGTAATTCCTAGAGATAGTAAACAACTTATTTCATTCACTTACTTTGTTTCAGTTACAAGCTCCTTTCAATGGAAGCCATTCTCCTGATCTGCTGGTGTTGCCATAACTAAGTAACAATAAAACTTATCTTTCAAAACAGTATCTTGAATCTAGAGATGATAAATGTTAAAAAAAAATTGGTGCCTTAGAATAATCTACAGAACTTTAAAAGGATTTTAAATTTTTACATCAATTAGCAAAACAGTTCTACAGTTAATATCTTCCTAGTATTGTTGATATCTGATTTGAGTATCAAGGTCAAACTGCCCTCACAGAAGGAATTTGGGAGTACTGTCTTCCCTCCGCCCCCACCCCATGTATCTGGGAGAGTTAATAAAAGATTGGAATGATTTGCTCCTTAAAAGGTTGGTAGAGCTCACCTGTAAAACTGGTTCTGAAAACATTTTTAGCTATTGCTTTATTTAATACTCAGGTATAGTTAGTTATATTTTCTAGGAATTTTTCTACTTCATCTAAGTTTTCAAAACATATTAGAAAAAATGTTATTGATGGCATTCTCTTTTCTATCTTTGCTGCATTTTTATTTATGTCTTTTTCATTAATAGTATTTGTTATTTGTGTTTTCTTTTTCTTTAACATTCTTGGGAGATTTTTCTATTTTTACATTATTTTCAGCCAATCTATGTTTGCCTTTTTTGATCTTCTTCACTGTATCTTTTTCATTTTCATTGATTTCTGCTCTTATTTTTATTATGCCATCTTTTATCTTATTGTCTAACTTTTAAAATTAGATATTGCATGGTTTCAACCTTCTGTTTTTCTAATATACATTTTCTGCATATAAATTTCCCTTGGAGGGAAACTTGTGTATTCCACAAGTTTCACTATACAATATTTTTTATTATTTAGTTTTTAGCATTTTAAATTTTCATTTTGATTTATCTTTGACCTATTATCTAATTTCCAAATTCCTTTAAATTTTTAAACTTTATTGTTTTATTGTCTAAATTTTGATTTAATTGGGTTGTAGTCAGAGAATGTGGTCTATGTGATAACCGTTTCTTGAAATTTTTCAAGATTTGCTTTATATCCTAGTACATAATTAATTTGTAAATGTACGTTGGAGAATAACTTATACTCTTTAATTGTAATTCATATTGCCCATTAGTTAAGCTTGCTAATTGTTTCATTCAAATTTTCTGTATTTGCTGTTATTCTTGACCTATAAATAATGAGAAAGTTATGTTGAAATTTCTCACCCTGAGGTTGTATATGTCAATTTATTATTGTGGGTCTACTAATTTTTTTCACATATTTTTGGTCTGTTATACCAGGTGTATATATAGCTATCCAATAATATACTCTGTCTCAAATAATACACTGTTTTTTAAAAATTCCCAACCACTGCCAACCCATCCCCCAGCTTAGATTCAATTTTTATTCAGTCTTTTAACTCAATATTGTCTACTGTCAACCTCACAAATCAGACATCATTTTATATTAGTACTATCAATATACATTAGATCTTATATTTATCATTTTGTTTATATGCCATTTTTTCTTACAGCTCAGATCTTCTTTTGGAGATTTTTCTCCTTGCACTTGAAAAACACTTTTTGGAAATTCTGTAAGTGAGAAAACATTGGTGGTAAATCCTTTCAGTTTTATCATACAGAAAATATCTTCTTCATGTTTGTAAAAGATAGTTTTCCTATGGATGCAATTCTTGGGTTCTTTTGTGGTTTTTTTTGTTTGTTTGTTTTCTTTTGTTGTGTTGTGTTTTTGAGACAGAGCCTCATTCTGTCACCCAGGCTGGAGTGCAGTGGCACGATCGCAGCTCGGGTTCAAGCAATTTTCCTGCCTCAGCCTCCTGAGTAGCTGGAATTTCAAGGGGGCACCACCACGCCCAGCTAATTTTTGTATTTTTAGTAGAGATAGGGGTCTCACCATGTTGGCCAGGCTAGTCTCAAACTCCTGGCTTCAAGTGATCTGCCCACTTCGGCCTCCCAAATTGTTGGAGTTATAGGCGTGAGCCAACAAACTGGCATTATTCTTGTTTTATATTTCCATCTATACTTCGAAGATTTTAATATTCTACCATCTTTAGGCTCCATCACTGCTGTTGACAACACAGCTTTCAATCTAATCATGATTTCTTCTTGGGTAAATTGCCTTTTTTTCCCATCTTTGGCTGCTCTTAACTACTTCTTTGTGTTTTCTGTGTTCCATAGTTTCACTGAGACAATTCTAATTATGGATTTTTTGTATTTACCTAGAGAGACATTTGTTGGTCTTTTGAATAGGAGAGATGTATTTTTCAACAATCCAGAAAAATTCTCAGGAATTTTAACCTCTCTCTTTTATATTTTGATCTGTTTCTCTAATCTGGAGTCCTCATAATTCTCTTTGGCTATGTTTATTTAGCTCTTCAGCCATACCATTAAGTTTTCCATTTAAATCATTTTTTTTAATTTCTAGAAGTTAAAGTTGATCTTTGTCCAATTTGCCTTACTCTTTTAAAAACTTCTATTTTAAAAAATATATTAAACCTAGTTGTTCTATTTATTGCCTTCTATACTTCTTCGTGGGTCCAGTTCTGTGTTTGTTATTTCTACTAACTCTCATTCATATTGGCTTGTCTTTGTATGTTCAGGTTTTTGTTGTTGTTGTTGTTTGTTTTTTGTTTGTTTTTTAAGGGCTTACAATTGTAGGAACTCTCTTTTATGGGGGTAGGAGGGCTGAATGGAGGGCGCATTACTCTAGGAAGAATTTGTCTTTACTTCTGAGGTCACATTAGGCAATGTCTAACCAGGGCCTCATTTATCTTGGGATTGCCTACATGACGCAAATAGTGCACATACAAAGCCTAAAACCCCTTGTTATGGCTGAAATATTGGGGGAGATTATTTTTTTTTTTGACGCCCACCCAAAATGGAAGCTAAGAGTTTTCTCTGCTGAGTCTTCTGGACTTATTTTCTTCTTATTCATCCTTTTTCTTAGATATTAGCATGTCCTAACTCTCTTTTAGGAAAGGCTCTAAGAATGAGGCTCAATAAATTGTTCTCAGACATTGCAGCAGTTTCAGCAAGCCATACACACCTGGTTTTCTCACTTTATCCCTGATCCCAAGAATTTTCTTGACTCTCCAATTATACGACTTTTTATAAAACATATTTCTGGATGTGGTGGCTCATCCTGTAATCCCAGCACTTTGGGAGGCTGAGGCGTGCGGATCACTTGAGGTCAGGATTTCAAGACCAGCCTGGCCAACATGATGAAACCCTGTCTCTACTAAAAATTTGAAAATTAGCTAGTCATGATGGTGGGTGCCTGTAATCCCAGGTACTTGAGAGGCTGAGGCAGAAGAATTGCTCAAACCTGGAGGCAGAAGTTACAGTGAGCTGAGGTCACGCCACTGCACTGCAGCCTGGGTGACAGAGTAAGACTCCATCTCAAAAAAGAAAGAAAGAAAAGAAAAAAGAAAAGAAAAGAAAATGTTTTTCTCCTGGTAGTTTTGGATGACTTGTTGTAGGATTTTGACATATCTATTCCTACATATTACTGTACATATTTTTGACACATAATTAGAGAGTTTCACACATATGCTCCTGTAGTAGAATGGGCAATTAAATTCAAATACCATAAACTGGTCACATTCTTCTAGCTTGAATATAATCAGCATTCATATTAATTTTTTAAGTGACTTAGGTTTAAGCTTACCATCCTAAGTCTGGCCTCATTGCAGAGTTGAACCAGCCCTCTCCAGCACCATTCTCAATCTGCAGGGGAGAGTCTCTGGTCTAGCTTGGATGATGTCAGGTGTGCATCCTCACAATCAGCCAGGTCCTGGGACTGTCCTCCAGTGTGGGTGTCACAGTTTGGCTTCTGCGGATGCTGAGATCATGTTTGGGAGCAGGGTGTTTATAAGAAATCAACACCTGCAGAAGGGAGGTGGAAGAAGCAGGACTGGGTGACGAGAGAAGCTGAACTGGCATGCAGACCAGACAAGGACTCAGTCAATCCTCAGAGTTGTCCCCATGTGGGTCTTTGTGCCCTGAATGATCTGCCACTAGATGCAGGCCACCATGGGAAGGGCATGCCCTGAGAGAGGAGATGCTCTACAGCTGAGGCAGCCCCTGAAGGAGCTGAGAGCACTCCCAGCAGCTGGGGCAACAAGTCCCCCTGAGTGAGACTGAGATGCTCATTCCTGGGCCCTCCACATGCACCTCATAGCACTGGCCTCAGAGTGTTGTTAGGAAGAAAAAAAAAATGGGTTACAAAATGTGAGATATGGTCCATAAAAAGGACTCAGTAAATGCTGTCTTCTGATGACATTGATGTTAGTTTCACCTGATTTCACCAGAAAACTGATGTTTGTGAGCACTTTTTTTTTAAGATAGGCTGGAGTGCAGTGGTGCAATCTCAGCTCACTGCCACCTCCACTTCCCATGTTCAAGCAATTCTCATGCCTCAGGCTCCCAAGTAGCTAGGACTACAGGCACCTGCCACCACAGCTGGCTAATTTTGGTACTTTTAGTAGAGATAGGGTTTCATCATGGTGTCCAGGCTGGTCTCGACCTCCAGACCTCAAGTGATCTGCCCATCTTGGCCTCCCAAAGTGCTGGGATTACAGGCGTGAGCCACCATACCTGGCCAGGAAGACAGATGTTGGGTATAGATAAGCCACATGGTGTGGCTCACCCAGGCCTTGCACCCCACTGGCACAGGCCATCCCCTTGTCAGTCACTTCAGCATCTGGGGTAGAATACCATATATGCACTTGTATTTGGAGGGCGGATGTGGTCTACACATTTTGTAAGTATACATTGGCCATTTGAAAGTCTGGTTCGTTATTCCTCAGCCATTGCAATGAAGCAATTTTCTGCTTTTGCAGCGCCAATAATAACTATGTTGGCAAGCCTGTAGTTCTGATATCCAACGTAGCAGAAGAAAAGTCTGTCTTAGCTCTTAGAGAGAGACCAATTTGCCTTCTGTATGTTCTCCTTAGACCTCCAGCAGATTGGATGGTGCACACCCACATTGAGGGCAGATCTTCCCAGCCTAGCCCACTCAGACTCATGCATTAATCTCTGGAAAAGTCCTCACAGACACAACCAAAATAATACCTACTAGGTATTTCTTAACCCAGTCAAGTTGACACCTAAATTAAGTCCACAAGTTCATCCTTTATCAGTTGGCACCCACATGCATCTCCTTAAACCACGATTTCCAAGTAAAGACAAAAACAAGTTAATAGTTCTGCCTAATATGATGCAACTATCCTTCATACTGTTGAAAACACACTAATCCCTTCTGCAGAATATGGCTTTCATGATTTCAATATTATGGATTTTAATCTTTCAGGAGTGTGATTTTAGACATTAAAGATTTTAGTTGTTAGGGGTATTTAGACTTTAGGGATTTGATCTTTAGGGATTTTGCTCTTTTGGGATTTCAACATTCAGGATTATGGCATTTGGGATTGTGTCTTTTGGAATTTGATGTTTCAGGATCATGATCAGCACTGGTCTATGCAAGAAACAAGGCCAGGCTGAGCTGTTCAGGGGACAAGACGCTGGCAGGTCTGAGACTGGTCTAGGCTAAACACAAGGATGGGGACTACTACTGAATGGGGCATATCTGAGGCCCAGTCATGGGTAAAGACCCATGGCAACCTCCCTGGGCAAGATGCAATGAGAGTTGTGACTTCCCCAGAGTCAGAAGGCCAGGTCTGAAGCAAGCTCCAGGAGAGGCTTAAGTCAGTTGAAAGCTTGAAGCAATTGGTGATTCAGCTAGGCAGTTCAGGCTTCCCCAGTCAGCTCTTCTCCTAGGGCTCGTCCTTTGGGGTCTTAAAGGAGCTAGGCCTTTTAAAGTAGGATCTGATCCCCAGTAAAGAGAAATGCATCCATTTTATCTGGAAGCCTTTAGTGCCTGGGTCATATGGCAATTTCAACACAAGAAGACTAGAGAAAAGGATGCACTAAATCCATTACAAGCTGTGTCAATATCCTCTGGTATGTCTCACCAGGTTCTTTTTCCTCTAGGGCCAAACTTTCTAGGATTATACCAAAGATACCTATAATTAAGCATTGACAGGTCATCAATGTCAACTTGTAAGCCTCAGATGGCGACTTGATGGAGAATGTCACTGAGCAATGTCACTCATTGTATGTTGTGAGAGTGGAAGAGAATTCCAATTGTAATTCACTCAATGAATATGTACTGAGTTCTAGGGTCCATGCTAGACTTGGGAGCTACAAATTTAAATAAGATTCAATCCCTGCCTGGGGGAACCCAAAGGGAAGAGGTGAGATTTTGTAATCACATAACAGAAAGCAAAAGGGATGGAAGGTCATGATGACAATGGGAAGTGAAAGGATTGTGTGCAGCCTCCTATCTCCCATGCTTTCCCACATTCCTCCTCTTCCCATCACACAAAAACACAGAGCATCAGAAAGAGTCCCTCATGCCTCTCTTGAAACTGCTTAGGTAGAAAATAAGTTGGATACACAACAAGAATGAAACTCAGTGGCTTTCTGTACAGCAAAAGACCTGTCATACTCCAATTGACCCAGGGAGACAAGACTAGGAAGGGGAGAGCCATGAAGCTAGGATCCTGCTGTGGCAGAACAAAAATGGAATTCCTGGGGGCTTACAACACACAGAGCAGGAAATAGGATGCCTCATCAGGAAATGGCAGTGGGCTTAAGTTGGCCATGAACTTATTGTCAAGGAGTCTGGACCATATTTGGAGGATAATAGAGAGCTGTTAGGGATTAACAGCTTTTAAATGTCAATGAGACAGGAGTGCAGTGTATTAATTCAAGATGAAAGATTGAAGAGATGGAGACTAAACACACCCCATGAATTCTTCCATGGCTCCACCCAGAGTGGCTGACTCTGACCCCCAGAACTACAGCTACTCAAAGATCCTCCCAATCCAGTGATTCTCCCGGCCACTGCCTGGCCAAGGTGGCCGTCCCAAACTCCTGAGGGGCTTCTTGGCTGGCTTTCTGGGAGGAGCCCCTCTGAGGTCACCTGAGGCCCCCTGAGTTCTATCTTCTTTAAAGAAGCCTGCTCCTGCTGGGTACCCTCTGTTCCCTGATACACCAAACCTGAAAGCTGAAGATTCTCTTTCCCTAGCTTGTCCCTTCTTCACTGGTCTCAAAATAAACTCATGGACCAAATTCACTCTTAAAGGATTTACCAGAGTCTCTATAGGGAAGAGGGAATTTAAAAAATAGTAAGATGGAGTAGTTATGAGCTCAGGGAACCCCACGGTGTCCTCACAATCAAGACATCTGACTCCCATTCTTAATATCTAGGAACTTCAGAAAAAGCTCCCAAGTTTCCAAGAATTCATACTTCAAGCCTCCCTTTTCCACCAATTCCAGATGTAGTGGGAAATCATCTTCTGTTCCCACAGCCCTAGTCTCAGAAACCCCTAATCTAGCTCTGGCCCTGCCTATGTGGCCCACTTTTGGCTCTAGTGGGGTTTCTACCCTCTCATTACCCTCTCACATTTGTATTTTTCTTCTCTTTTATTTCCCACAGCCCCAACTAAACTTCTTCCCAACAAAAAGTAGTTTCTATGTCACAGGCAGTTCCCAAAACACCCTGTAGGTGACTCCAGTATGCCACCAGTAATAAGAGGCTTACTTGATCTTTTGACCAAGAAGTCTTCACCTCAGGAAATTTCAAATAAATATCAAGGTTTACTTGCTTTTTTGCTTTGCTGTATTTTAAGATCATGGAACAAATCTGAATTCTGAGACCAGCCTCTTACAAAAGCAAACTGTCATGGAGGGGCAAAAGACCTTGAAAAACCTGCAAGGGTCTTTAGAAAGGAGAATGAAGATGTGACAACTTAAAATGATGATATTATTATTTCTGCTTTGAGTCAGCATACTACCAGTAAGCTCTTAAAGCATGTTTATTGCCTAGCGGGGTAATGCTCTTATAACGTTTCAATGTGCAGCACCACATTGTACCCAAAGGAATAGGATTAGCTGTGGATAAACATGCTGAAAATTCTTTATCATTTGCAGAAGAAAGAATTTTCTTTTAGTTACAATTCTGGAAGTAGAGCCAACTTATTTTCAATGGCTTCTTCAATTTAAATGAGATTATGCGTTTCTGAGCAGTTGAATAAAACAAGGAACCAGTGTCAAGCCAAAGCACCTTAAAGTGGAGAAAAGTCTAAATTATTCAATAAGGGTTTTATCTTTCATTTGTTGGATTTGGATAACTCCACTGGAACTCACTGAGACATTCTATGTCCTAGATTAGAATTTTTTAAATATATTTAAAAAGACATGGTTACTGAAATATCCACCTGATAAATTATTCTCATTTATAAGTATAGTAGACATATATCTTAGACTTCTCTGGGACAATTCCATTTTCAATGTATTTTATTCTTTCCTATAAAGGCAGCATGTTCAATGTTTAACCAAACTTGATTCCATATTATTCAATTTAGAGATTAGAAAACATCTATCGCTGGACCACCTGTTTTAAGTTTATAAAATAAGGGCGCCATGAGCTCTCATGAGCTCTAATGTAGTGATATTCCACTACCTTTATAATACTCAAGAATCTCAGCTAATTTAGCTTAGATTTACAGAAATCATTAGGATGTAAAAGCATTTGTAAGGCAATGTAATTTATCCTTCTCTTTCAGGTAGACAGTCACACCTGAATCGTCCCAGACTAATGAGAATTCATTCTGTTTCTAAAGACATTCAGAAAATTAGATCAACAAGCCTTTTCCATTGCACCTTTCCTTTCTGAATACACGGTCATCATGTTCTATTAATAGATGAGAAAGAAAGTCAAGTTCTAGACCTGGTCATCCCATATTTGTAGTAAAGACTGTTTTTCCCGTAGCTAGCTGGTGATAGGGTTTTAGGGTCCACAATCTATTTACTTTTTTCTAAACCATTCTGAAAGTCAGCAAAAATGACTATATATCCTATTAACAAATTTGTCACACCGTAAAAGACCTTGCTGTGTCCCTTTGCTATAATTTCTCTAGCTGACTTCTTCCTCTATAGCCTCAAGGATGCCCTTTGCTGCTATATCACCCATGGGCTCTCTGGAACTCTCCATACCCAGTAAATAAGCTTCCTAGTAACATTCACTTAGTCACTGAACACTTGCTCCATTGCCTTCGTTAACTGAAATCCACCTCTACTCTGAAGGACACTGCTTTCCCACAGCCCTAGCCATGGGAGACTGCGCACGGAGACCCCAGCGCTGTTCTGCGGTCCAAAGGTAGAGGTGGCATTATTTCTCTGCCTTCATGTAAAAATGCCCACATTTTAATGCTCATGCCATCCTACTCTTTCTAGGACACTTACTCCTTCTTCTTGAGGTTCATTTCTGAGGTCTTAACTCTTTATTTATTAATTACATCTGGCTCCCATTCCTCCTCTCTCCCAAGTCTTGCCATATTGTTCATTGTTAATGTGGATGGCCATCCAGCACCTCATCGCCAATGACATCCACCTCTAGCCCTTTTCAGCCATCTATTAGCATGGCCACATCATGGATCTAGGGGTCACATTTGTGCCTCTGAAGTCTTCAGCTCAAATTTTTTACTCTCTGACCTAACTTGCTCTTCTAGGTTGGTGACGTAGGTTGGTAACCTCGTATTATAATCTAAAGTAATTCCTTGCCAGCTTTCTCAATTTTTTTGCACCCAGGACTTCTGCAGTGACTGTTTGGGGAACTCCAACCCTGGACCTATAACAATACATTTTCTCCATACCCAGATAAATGAGCTTCTGGAACTGCAGTTTGGAACCATTTCAAACCCACTATCTTCAATTCCAGCTGTGCCCTCTGTCTTACCACCAGGAGGTCCCTTATTATTGGCCACTCCCCAGTCATTTCAGAACAACCGTATTCTCTCCACATCTTCCCACCACTCTGCTCTTTCATTCCCTCCACTTCAGTAGACCCACTGGTCTCTTGCTACTTGGCGAAAATTGAATCTATCTGATACGACTTTCCTCAAATTTTCTCCTTCCCTTTATAAATTATAGCTTCTCTTGCACCCATCCTTGCCTTGTGTCCTCTAATCTCAGGCAGTGAGCTACAGTCCATGTGCTCCCGACCTTATCCTTTATGTCAATTTCAGGGCCCTGAACCCTCAGGCATTTTCAATTTACTCTTTGTTCCCCAGAGGACAAAGTCTATATTTCCTATCATGACTTATTCCAAGTCACTTTTTTTCACTCTTAAGCACTCCTCTGTGCTCTAGAACTGCATGAACCAATTTGGTATCCACTAACCATGTGTGGCTTTTTAATTTAAATTTATAAAAATTAAATAAAAATTCAGTTACTCAGTTGTACTAGTCACTTTGAATTTTTTTAAGTATATTTTTAATTATTATGGATACATAATAGTTGTATATATTTATGGGATACCTGTGACATTTTGATACAGGCATACAATGTGTAATAATCACATCAGAGTAATTAGGGTATCCATCACCATGATTTCTTTGTGTAAGGAAAATTCTAATTTTACTCTTTTAGTTTTTTAAGTTAAAAATTATTGTTGACTGTAGTTCCCTGTTGTGCTACCAAATACTAGACCTTATTCATTCTAACTATATTTTTGCACTAATTAACCATCCCACTTTGCCCCTCCCTCTCTGCTACCCTTTCCAGCCTCTGGTAACCACCATTCTATCTTCATGAATTCAGTCGTTTCAATTTTTATTTTGCACATATGAGTGAGAACATACAATATTTGTCTTTCTGTGCCTGGCTTATTTCACTTAACATAACTTCCTCCAGGACAATCTGTACTAATCCATTCTCACACTGCTACAAAGAACTGTCTGACACTGGGTAATTTACAAAGGAAAGAGGTTTAATTGACTCATAGTTCTACATGGCTGGGGAGGCCTCAGGAAACTTATAATCATGGTTGAAGGGGAAGCAGGCGCATCTTACATGGTGGCAGGCGAGAGAGAGCATGAGAGTGCAGTAAAAACTACCATTTATAAAACCATCAGATCTCATGAGAACTTATTTACTATCATGAGAACATCATGAAAGGAACTGCCCCCATAATCTACACTTCCCACCAGGTCTATACAACACCTGGGGATTACAATTCAAGATGAGATTTGGGTGGGGACACAAAGCCAAACCATCTCACCATCCATGTTGTTACAAATGACAGGATCTCATTTTTTTTGTAGCTGAATAATATTTCATTGTGTATATGTGTCACATTTTATCCATTTAGCCATTCTTTTTTCTCTTTTTGTGTGAGACAGGGTCTCTTATATTCTGTCACCCAGGCTGGAATGCAGTGGCATGAACACGGCTCACTGCAGCCTTGACCTTCTGACCTCAAGCAGCCCTCCCATCTCAGTCTCCAGAGTAACTGGGACTACAAGTGCATAACACCACAGCTGGCTAAATTTTTTAATTTTTTGTGAAGATGGGGTCTTTCCATGTTGCCCAGGCTGGTCTCAGACTCCTGGGCTCAAGCCACGCTCTGCTTTGGCCTCCCAAAGTGTTGGGATTATAGATGTGAGCCACTTCACTCAGCCAATTTAGCATTTTTTAAAGTGCCCATGGCCATATGTGGCAAGTGTCTCTATTGTGCTAGATACACAGACATAAAACATTTCTATCACTGAGGAAAGTTCTTGTGGCCAGCAGCACTGGTCCTGTTACTGAAAATCTTGCACCTGCTGAAATGGCCAACATTTCTTGTGTCTTTAGATCATTGCACCTCGAGATGTAATGCCTGTCCCTAGATCATAGCATTCAATCTGGCCTCCTAGATGTGTCATTATGTGGGAATCCACTTCCTGAAACAACTTTTGGTATTGTTGCAAACAAACATTGAATTCCTTCACATCAATATTTATCTTCATGTGGTAAATAATGTGCATTTCAGGCAGCAATAGGTGTACTGTTAAGATACCCATGTATTTTTTTCTCCAATAAAGAACTAGGAAGATGCACTGACAGGAGATAAAACATTCTACCTTCAAGGAGGGCCTTTTGATCCCATCATCCCAGTTTTTCCAACTCTCCATATAACCAAAAATTAAATGGTCATCGTAGGTAAAGCAGTCACCTTACCTTCTAACTTATTACAGATTCTCCTTAGAATATCTTTTTTCAATTATTTAAAAGAATTTACAACAAACTTCCTAATTATCATTGTTGAAACATTTTAGCATATCCAGACAATGAAACTGTCATGCAGCAGAGAGAATACTTGGATATTCAATGACAACATAACTGTAGGAAGAGTTCAACAGCTGTTGCAATGAGAAAGTAAAAAAGTGAATTTTTTTTTTCAATTCTCAATATCCCGTTAGATGAGGTCTTTGCTGTGTGGTTTGATTATTTCATTTAAGGTGAATTCTTAGAAGATCAGGAATAGCAACACTGAGATATAAGGCACATTCCAAACCCAGATTCAAGGTTGTGGTCATTGCTGATCATTTTGAACACGCTCTGTAAATATCAGCACTGAAGTGGGAGATGGGAGACTCCAGCTCTGCCCTCAGCTTGCTGTGACCAAGCAGTTAACATTATTCAGCTTTTGGGCCTCAGTCTCACTATGTGTGAAGCAATAGAACTGCAACAGATTCTCTTCAAGCATCCTGTGCATTCTCAAAGCAATGATGTTGCTGGGTTGCAGGTGGGGAAGGGCATTCTTTATTTTTTCTTTTGCTTTTTTTTTTTTTTTTTTTTTGAGATGGAGTCTAGCTCTGTTGCCCAGGCTGGAGTGCTGTGGCGCAATCTGCGCTCACTGCAAGCTCCGCCCCCCAGGTTCATGCCATTCTCCTGCCTCAGCCTCCTGAGTAGCTGGGACTACAGGCGCCTGCCACCATGCCCGGCTAATTTTTTTGTATTTTTAGTAGAGACAAGGTTTCACTGTGTTCGCCAGGATGATCTCGATCTCCATATGCAATCAATACTTTCTTAATTTTCTGTAAGGAGCAAAGTAAACCCAACAACGAGTTCTCCCTGCAAGATAGCCGCCACTTAATTCTTTGTGCCTGGATATTCTCAGGTCTTCATCACTTGCAATTGGAGAAATACGTATGGGTGCAATGTATCTACAGGAAAAATTGGTAGAGATGGGAAGTGAAGGGTGTAGGAAGTGTAGATTGCAGAAGAAGAGCAGTCACAGGCTAGTGCGACCTCACTAAGACCAATGGGCATCACCTACTGTCTTCAAATAAGTGATGTTTCCTTTTATCAGCACATGCTTTTCTTCCTTCACCTTGGTTTGTCATTTGTACAAACTGTTGTATTCTGGCACCTTTCCAGCATAAAGTACTCTTAAAAGATTACAAATATACAAACATTATTTATAAATGCAATTTCGAGAATATTTAATTATTTTAATGCCTCTTCCAAGAGTACATGCAGAAGCTCAGGTATACTCAAAAGTTGCATTTTGGATGTTTGAAGCAAGAAGGGTAGATGTGAAACGCTGCTTTGGTTTACTATTTTTTTCAGTATTATGGTGATAAATGAATGGAGAAAAGGACACACTCCAAGGTGGAGAAAAGAGTATTTTTCTTCTGCGATATGAAACTTCTAATTATTTTAAATGTGCGACTTGGTCAACTTAGAACCAGGCCATCTCGAAGTAAAATAAAAAGAAATGAAAATTGATGATGCAATGGTTCAGTGCCCAAAAATTTAGTTATTACAAGTAGAGTATAAAAACCTTTCTAACCTAAGTAGTTGAAACTTCTGCGGTGTGTGTGTTCATGTGTTCAGTTGAAATATCATTGTGCAGATTATTTTCTTTGAAGACAAAAATAAAGGTTAATTTTAGTGTGCTTTATAGATAGGTGCATTCTTTAAAGAGCTAGACATTAATTTAAGGAATAACAGTACACAAACTGCACCCATCAACACCACACACTTCAATTTTCTCTTCTCCAAATAAAAATAAAGAAACCTGTTTTGCTTTAAAATGATTCTGAGTTAACACCCTTAAGCAAATCTAGCTTTCTAAGCACATTGATGAATCCATACATTTAGGTGGCCCCTATATTTTGCTAGCCCCTGAGAAGAGTCTAAGACCCAAAGGGGAAAAGATGACATTTCTACCTTATCACATGTACACAGATATCAAAAAGCAAAATGTATAAACTACTAGATATCTATTAATACTGCATTGATTTAGATAAATTACACTGCATACTATAACACTGTTTAAAAGAATAAGATTATCTGTAGGAATAAATAAATATATTATTAAATTTAAAAATGTGCAACTGTATACTAATATTCTCCTTGGTAAATATACCAATAAATTACTATGATATAGTGTATATACATGTATATGTATATGTGTGTGTGTGTGTTTATGATGTAAAACTGATGCTAAGAGCTATCACTGGAGACGAGAATAAGAATAAGGGAAAGTTTTATTTCCTACGTATTTTTATGCTATACTTTTTTCTATGTCCAGGTATTACTTTTATTATCAGAATATTATACGTTTTTAAATAAACTTCATCAAGGACTCTTTGAGACAGACATGGCAGCCTCACCTGTAGGACTCATTCCTTCCCTCCCCTACTTTCCCACTGAGGCAAGATGATTCTACAGGAGAATAAACTCCATGACTCTGCTGTAAGCCAGGGTACGATGGCAGCATATACACGAGGACTGGGAAGTTCTCTGGAAGATATGTTTGTGTGTGTGTGTGTGTGTAAGCAGAAAGGGGCATGGTGAGAAGTGAATGATGAACCTACCTGCCAATTCACCATTGTCTTGCTCTGGAGGGAGAGCCTGACAAGAAAGCCAGTGCAATGAACTGAATGTCTGTGTCTTCCTAAAATTTATATATTGAAATTCTGACCCCAATGTGATGGTATTAGGAGGTGAGGCATTTGGGAGGTGAATAGTTTATGATGGTGGAGCCTTCATGAATGACATTAGTACCCTTATAAAACGGACCCCAAAGAGCTCTCTTGCTCTCTATCTGCCGTGTGAGAATACAATGAGAACTTGGCAGTTTGCAACAGGAAGAGAGCCCTCACCAGCACCCAACCATGCTGGTACCCTGACCTCAGTCATCTATCCTCCAGGACTATGAGAAATACATTTCTTTTATTAAAGCCACCCAGTCTATGGTACTTTGTTATGGCAGCCCAAACTAAGACAGCCAGCCATAAAACATCCCTCCCCTTCCTTTCCACAACCTCATTAACGTGGGATAGGACAAGCCCAGAAAAGGTAAAGTCAAGTCCTGAGCCTCAGTCTCAGGTTGGAACTCAGAGAAAAAGTTTCAAATCAAAGCATAATTTACAAAATGTTAGTTTATCAAACAAAATATGGTGAGGAGTTCTATGTATTCACAAGATATACAGACAGAGCAGGAAAAACTACCAACGTTACTATTCAATATGAAGGAGGTTTCCATCTAAACTGATTTTGGAATGCCAGGGATCATGTGTGAGCAAAAGTGAAATTCCTGAGCTGTATTCTCTTTTTTTTTATCCCTAAGATAACAATAACAGTGTTATTATACCATAACAAAAGCAGATCATTTACATTTTTGCTTACCCTGCTGCCTGGATCTGAAAGGAGGAACCCAGGGCAGCCTGGGAGTTCAGAGAAGGAAAGGGTTAAGGGGCTCAGGGAAGTACTGTTTACTATCCAGTACCCAGGTATTTAAATATTTTCACATTAGACATGGCCAGACTTCTGCGTGCCAGCTGACTGTCAAATCTATGAGTGGGCATTCTGCAGTTGGAGCTCACGAAATTTTCCCATGACCTGCTTGTACCTACTCTACTATATGTAACTCATAGAAAATAATCTCATTCAAGCTATGGATTTCCCCTCTCCAAGTGCTTCTGCTACAGTCACCATCCATATGCTTATAGTAAATGTTCTTTGTCATTGTATTTCACTCAACATTCCTTCTACCCAAAGAACTCACTTTATATTAAAAATAAATGTGACAATGGGCTCACTGTTCTAAGATTTATGAATCTTACCATATTTTCCAAACACCTTATGCAATGCTGGATGGTCCACTGAAAACTCACTTATGCATCTGCTGAAAGATAACACCCAGTGATATTGGGGGCAGTCCTACGTGATGGTGCCAGCTCCCTGAAGATTAAATAGGAGCATCAGGGAGTCAAAGATGTGACATGGAAGTGGCTTCTTTTATGATTATATCTAATTATTCACTTGAAAACATTTTGCTCCCCATTCCCACATATTTGACCTCTGCTGGGTTAAGCACCTCATTTCCCAATGCAGGGCTACTTCCACCAAAGACACAACAATGGTTTCACTGAACTAAATGGTGAGTTAGCCACTTGACGCTACTTTGGGTTTCTCATGCTACTGAACTGATAGACAAAGAAGAGGTTTACTGCTCTAGCTTGGCTGATGGACCTTGATTATCAAGCAGAAATGGAGTTACTGGGGCATATCAAAGATAGGAAGGAGTATTTATAATTCAGAGAATTCCCTGGGGTGTCTCCTAGAATCTCTAGGTCCAATAGAAAAGATGAATGGAAAACCATACAACTCAATACAGGCAAAACCAGGAAGGACATGGGCACTTAGGGAGAAGACTTGGGTCAGTCTGCCAGACGTACAACTCTTACCACTGAGTTGCTGACTGAGAGTGAATTGATCCATACAATTGGTAATGAACGAAGGAAATTATAAATACCAACTGTGTTTTTATGACCTGTTGCAGGACTGAGGACTATCATAATAGCTGCACATATTTTTCTCCTTGCATTGTACAAATGTATGTATTAACCAATTTTGTATTTTCTCTTCTCTGTTCTTCATTCTGTTTTTTTGAGGTTGTGGTTAACTGTAATTTAATTTGGGTTATAGGATAGCAAGATAGGTTTATGACTGAACTAGAGAAAAGAATGATCATCAGGGATGGATACAGCTTTTGATGGGATTTGGGTCTTTTCTTTGGGAAGAGGGGAAATGTGTTTTATTTGTATGAGGCAGAGTTGTGTAACGTTGGGTGGGAATACACTGTTGCCAACGTGGGCATCTGGAAGATTTCCTAAGCATACAAACTTGTTTATGAATACTGAGTAGTCGAAATTTTAGACTGTGAGAGATAACTGGTTTGGCTGTCTTAACTCCTAGTTCATTCCTTTTTTCTATGTGAAGATATTAGAAAGCTAAAAACTTTATTTCTCACACTCTTGCTGCTAGGTTTCTACATGTAAACTTGGTTCTGCCAATTAGATGCATTTTTCTTGAGCTTTTTTAAAGGCAGAAGGGAGGAATGCACCATCCCTCTGCAACTGTATGGACCCACAAGAAAGCTCTAATGGGTGAGAAGGTTTGCAGTGGGCAAATTTTATAATCCACTGTCTTGTCACCAGTTCCATGGATATGGGTGCTGGCCCCAGTTCTGGTAGCAGTAGCAGCAGCAACTGCCTAATCCTAGAGTCACATCAACAATGGTTAAAATTGAAGTAAAAGTTCCAACAGAATAAAACCTGTCTTCTACATGTATAATTATTTTATTGACAACTTACTTCTATATTGAATTCTTTCATGTTTGGAAAACCTAGAGCACTTTCTATTCCCTAGATTAAAGCCCAGCTGACACATGTACATGAAACACTTGTACATGTACTCACTGGAACATTGTAATAACTTCAAAACAACAATTACTTACCTGCCTAGCAACAGGGGAATGGCTGAATACATTATGGTGCATTCGTACTATGGGATGCCACAGTTCAAACAAGTAAAGTAAAACTATGCATACTGACATGAAAAAAACTCCAAAGCATATTGGTCAGTTTTTAAGAAAGGATGTTACATAATCATTTAAGCCACACTAAACTATTTATTAAAAATATTGCATATACCTATATAATTGGGTGTATAGGCCATGTATCATCATATATTTGCAAAGATATATACCAAATTTATAACAGTAATACCTTCTTTGGAAAGCACAGGCATTGCAGGTGGTGATAAAAGACTTTAGGTGTATGTAGAAGGATTAAACTTTTACAATTAGAATATATTCCTATATTACTTGATGATTAAAAATACGTACTTTAGTAAGAATTTATTATGGTTTTGAAGAGTAAAGCAATAATATACATTTTAAAATAAAAGTGTATAATATTTTTTAAAAATAACCTGGAGCTACTTAAGTAAAATCTAGGAAGAGATTGGAGAAAGAGGGATGTAAAACATGTTAATTCTTTTTTTTCTTGAGACACAGTCTCGCTGTGTCACCCAGGCTGGAATGCAATGGTGCGATGTCAGCTCACTGCAACCTCCGCCTCCCGGGTTCAACCAATTCTCCTGCCTCAGCCTCCTGAATAGCTGGGATTACAGGTGCACAGCCCCACACCTGGCTAATTTTTGTATTTTTAGTAGAAACAGGGTTTCACCATGTTGGTCAGGCTGGTCTCGAACTCCTCCCTTCATGATCCTCTTCTTTGGCCTCCCAAACTTTTTAGCTTCTTTGGGAAGGAGTGGGAGACAGCATGAGGTGAGTAAGTAGATATTATTTTGTTCTTTAGAATGGCAGAGAAATGTGAGTTCAAACATATTGTTAATGTAAAGATAACCAGGAAAATAGAAATTGGACATGTAACTTTCAAATCACTAGAAAGTATCAAAGGAAACTTTGATAAGACAGCAAGGGAGCAAAAGAAGCTAGAATACTGCATTTCATCTGCTTTTAAGAAAAACAAAAAGAAGTTAGAATATATAGCAAAGAGATAATTTTCCAGGAAACTGTAGACTCAAGAGCACAGCAGATTTGCATAGCATAATAACCAAGAAAGAAACCAAAAATGTTAAAAAATCATGAGGAAAAGAAAAGAAAGACAATAGACCCTCATGGTTTAGGAGCAATGTCTCTCTATTCATCAAAGGTTTAATTAAAGCCTATGTTATCTGTGCAATTATAGAAGACAGAAAAATTGGAATGTTCTCCAGTTAATTTTATGAGGTTACCACTACCTTAAAGTTAAAAATTAACAAGAACATAATAGATGTGAACAAATAAAGACAAATATTGTTTATAAATATAGTTGTAAAAATCCTACTAAAACATTATCACATTAAACCCAATGCTATGTAAACCCCAAAGATGAATGATTTCCAAGAATTCATGAATGAGTCAACTTTAAGAAATCTATGTATTTAATTAATCAACCGGGTTAAGTAAGAAAAGTCATATAAATGTCTTGATAATTGCCACAATGATATTTGATCAAATTCAATATCCAATTCATAGGGAAAAAAATTATTAGCAAGCTAAGGAATAAAAGGATACTTTTGTACTCTGATAAAGGTTATCTATTAAAAATAAATAGTAAATATCAGAGCTAACAGGAAACCATGACTGGCATTCCTACTGGAGCCCAGATTAAGACAAGGATAACAGCTTTTAAAACTAATTGCCATTATCTGATCATTATACATTATTATGTATCAAAACATGACTATGTACCCCATAAATATGTACAACAATTATCAATTAAAAACTAGATTTTAAAAAACCATGTATTACATTATTCTGGAATCACTAGAAATAAGAAAAGAAATAAGGTACAAACTTGCAAAATGAAGAGATAAAACTAAAATTATTTGCAGATATATAATTTAGTGCTAAGAAATACAAGAGCAAGAACTAAAGATATAGCAGAACTAAAGAAAGGTCAGAAGTAGGCTGACTGCCAAAGGTGCAAAATAAACCTATGAATGTCAATTGGTTTTTCATGTGACAGCAAAAACAAAAAAGCTTCAAATGGAAAAAAGACCCATTTGCAACAATAAAAATATTATAAAATACCTAACAGGGAAATGTACAAGTCCTGTATGGAAGAAACAACACTGGAGAGTCTCTTTTAAAATCTTGAATAGAGATATATATTAGATATTCCTGGAAGGGAAAATTTAATCTTGAAAACATTAAATTTTCTCTCCAATTTCATCCCAAAAACATTAAATTCTCTCTCAAATTAGTCTATAAATTAACATTCAACACTTAATTGCTTCCTGCTTTAAAAATTATTTTTGAAGCAATCACATAGTTATAGAAAAGTTGAATAATCAATGACCTGTATTTTTTCTGAATTATTTGAGGGTCAGTTGCTTTCCTGTTTCCCCATCATCTAAACTTTGAATGTATATTTCTTCAGAGAAGGATGGTCTACATACTGGCAGTACAATTATTATGATTGAGAAATTAACATGGATATATTACTACCATCTAATCATCAAACCCAATATTCAAGTTTCACCAATTGTCTCAATAATATTTTATAGCTGCTGGGTATGGTGGCTCATGCCTGTAACCCCAGCACTTTGGGAAGCTGAGGCAGGGAGATCGCTGGAGCCCAGGAGTTTGAGACCAGCCTGGGCAATGTGGCGAAACCCCGTCTCCACAAAACAAACAAAAATTAGCCAGGTGTGGTGGTGCATTCCTGTAGTCCCAGCTACTCGAGAGGCTGAGGCAAGAGGATCACTTGAGCCCAGGAGGTAGAGGCTGCAGTGAGCCGAGATTGCACCACTGCACTCCAGCCTGGGCAACAGAGTGAGACACTGACTCAAAAAACAAAATTATAGCAAAAACATTCAGCTCAGAATGCATGGCATTTCATCATAGTATCTCCTTATTCTCCTTCAGTGTTTAACAGTTCCTTAGTTTTCCGATAACTTCATGATCTTGATCCTTTTGAAGACTATTGGCCAGTTGTTTTGTAGAGTGTTCCTTACACTGGGCTTGTCTGATGCTTCCTTAGGACTGAATTTAAGTAATGCATCTTTGGTAGGAATAACATAGACCTGATGTCATGTTCTGACTTTCTCCACTGGGGCATCCCCGCTTTGTGGAAACTCTCCATGCCCTACTCAAGCTTTGTCATGCAATACCAAGCAATAGCTATGCAATGGTTCCCTCTTCCCCTTATTTGGGCTCTGACACTCCACTCCAGACTTCCCCTCCATGTAAACACTTCCTTAGCCTGCTCTGTCTCTGATGTGCCCTGGCAGGAGTCCATAAATGTAATGCAATCTCAACCATAACTCCAAACAAAATCTTTTCAGAACTGTAAAAAAAATGCTAAAATTCTACTTGAAGAACAACTTGAGATCGACCAAAATATGTTTGAAAAAAGATTGAAAAGACCTACTTTATCATATATTGCACCATATTGTAAAACCACAGAAATTAAAATAGTTTGCATCTGACTCAGGAATTGACAAATCCGTGAAAAAAAAAAAAACAGCATAAAGAAGCAGATTGAGGAAGATCATCATATTTATAGTCAGCAAAGAAATAATAAGTTAGCTAAACATTATTTAACTATTTAATTGATTTGGAGAAAAGCATTAATGAGCATTCTATATTATAATTCGCACAAGTTTTAAGTGTAAAAAACAAATTATAAAGTAATATTGATTTATAATATTAAAATTCTGGGCTGGGAAATACCTTGATGGATATAGCAAAAGGAAAATGAAAAGATCAATAAATTAGAATATCTATAAATATTCTGTATAGTAATAAAACAAAGATAGTTCCAGTTCACCACAATTTTTCATATGTAAAATGAAGGCTCTGGAAAGATGATTTTGAAGATCATTTCAAGCTCTAAAATGATATTCTCCATATTTTATGCATAGGATTGTATTTAAATTGTATCTGTATCTGTGTCAGATCTTTCATATAATGGAAGTTAAAAAAAGGTAAAATCCACAATTAGTTTTACACCAACCTAATATTTGAAAGCAAGATTTCTATTTCATTTCTTTCATGTGCCTTTTACATAGTTATTCAAGCGGTGGTCATTGTTGTGGGTTGAACTGTGTCCTCCAAAAAGCTTGGTTGAAGTCCTAAGTCCAGTACTGAAGTGTTTTGGGTTTTGAATTATTTTTTCAGATTTTGAAATATTTGCATATACATAATAATATATTTTGAGGATGAAACCCAAGTCTAAACAAAAAAACTCATTTATGTTTCATGTACACCTTATACACATAGCCTGAAGGTAATTTCATGCAATATTTTAAATAATTTTGTGCATGAAACAAAAATATGTATACAAAGCAAAGCTGTCACTATCTCAGTCACCCAATGTGGACAATCTGTGGTTGTTAGACATCACCATCATCCTGATTGTTAATTTATATGCCACAGAAAAGCAATCATTTTCTTACACTTCTTCAAACGTAACAGTGAAAAACATGATATACCATCAACGCAGTAAAAAAAAAAAAATGTGCTCAAGGTAGCTAAGCAGCAGAGTAGCATCATCAGAATATCTGCATCGGGCAACAATAAACAGCAACAGGCTTTTAGTCTCCATTAGTCTCCACCTATAATACTGTGTTGTGATTAAAATGTTACTGTACACTGTATTTTTTAAGTAAAACAAAAACATCAGGAGAAGTTGAGGGACCAGGAAGTGTGTCTTCTAGGGGTGAGGAGGCATTCTACTGTGGCCTTTTAAAATGTTCCCTCCATAGTCATATGCCTCCTTGACAAGGGTTTTTGTCCTGGAAATTGCTCTTTGATTTTATAAACTGGTGTCATTTCTTGTCCTGTTATGAATACATGCTGCTCTAGTCCTTCAACAAGCCCATTATACATTTTCACCATGTCATCTATAGGCACTTTTGCTTCAGTGTTATCATCATCTTCATCATCACTATTATCACTGTCACCCTGATTCAAAACCATTTTGGCTATTTCACCATTGTTCAATAAATGAACACCTGGAGCCTCATTATGGATGTTGAAAATCTTCAATATCCACTTCTCCCAGCTTACTAACGGACTCTGAAGGTATAGTTTTTGCATCTGTAAGGAGGTCATACCATCATTTTTCTTCCTCACTTAACATAAATAATTATCTTGCTCATCATCATCACTTAACATAGTTGCAGGACAGAGCGTGTTCCAGGTATGCACAACTGTGTCTTTAGTCATTGTGTTCCAAGTATGGGCAACCACATACATGACATCTTCATGCTAAGCTTCTTTTGAAAGCCTTCTATCATCCACGCCTCTGTTCACTGCTGCTAGCATGCTTCTCAAGAAGGTGTTTTTACATTTATTTCTCATTGATCTAAGAATACCCTGGTCACATGACTGAATTAATAAAGTAACATTTGGGGTAAAGTACATGGCATAAACATTTTTTATGAGAATTTCAGCTGAAGGATGAGCAGAACAGTTGTCAAGAAATAACAAAATCTTTCAGTCACCATCTGGTCTAGCTTCCCTGCGATGAGCATGTATCACTGGCACAAAATGTTGGGGAAACCAATCAGAAAAGATGTTCCTGGTGACCCATGCCTTTTGTTAGCATAATAGGCTGATAAGAAAGTCACTACTTCATGGCTTGAAAGGAGCAAGGATGCAAGCGTTCCTCTATTACAGCAAATTTACACTTATGTGTGCTTGCTGCATTAGCACATTCTAGCACAGTTATTCTGTCCTTGGCACCCTTAATTTTGTAAGAGCTGTTTAATTGCCTGTAGTATCTTTCTGGGGTAATAACACAAAAACAGTGATGTTTCATTAGCATTATAGACTTGTTCTGGCATCAGATTTTCATCAATGATGACTCTGGCAAATTCATCAATGAATTTCTCTGTTGCTTTGTGACCAGCAGATGCTCTATCACCACAAATCTTCAGAAATTTAATGCTGTGTCTTTTCTTAAATTTCTGCAGCCAGCCTGTTGAATATTTATAATTCCCTTCAATTTTCAGTTCATCATGATAGATCTTTGCTTGTTTTATGATCAGCAAACAATTAAGTGGTGTGTATTCACTGCGATGCTGATGGATCCTCCCTTTCAATACACAATGAAAATCTTCGCTTTTAGTTTTATGCAGTGTTTTCCTATTTTTCATTAACGTCCATTCATCACTTTCAGCATAGAACTGCAATCGTTTATCTTTCTGTTTCCTCAGGTCATTTATGGTCATCTTTTTTTCCCTTGGGAGCATTGAATAAAATGTGTGTCATGTGCCTGCATTTTAACTGCAACTCGTCACATGAGGTCTAGTGTGCAATGTAATTTTCCACTTGTGGTGTCACGTCAGCACTCAAAAAGTTTCAAATTTTGGAACACTTTGGATTTTGATTTTTCAGATTAGGGATATTCAATCTGTACTGTGAATATGACCTTTTTTGGAAATAGAGTCTTTGCAGATGTAATCAAGTGAAGAGGAGTTTTTACTAAATCAGGGTGGGCTGTACATTAATGACTGCCTTCCAAGAAGAGAAGGATCTGAACGTACGAAGGCACATGGAGAAGGCTACGTGAAGATGGAGGCAGACATTGGAGTGATGAAGCCATGAGTCAAGGATTGCTGGGAGCTATCAGAAGCTGAGAAGAGGGGCAAGGAAGGATTCTTCCCTGGAGCCTTCAGAGGGAACATAGTCCTGATGACACCTTAATTTCAGACTTCTAGCCTCCAGAACTATAAGACTAAACATTTTGGTTGTTTTAAGCCACATGGTTTTTGGTACTTTGTTACGGCAGCTCTGGGAAACTAATACTGTCACCCAGGTAGTGTTATTTCATTTCTATAGGTAGTCAGACAGAGAACAATGACTTAGAATGCTTATGTTTACCCATTAATGTTTTCAGTGATGAAACTCAACAATTGCCTACTCCCAAGTACATTCTCTGCAATTCTCAGATATGAAAAGTATTGGCTCCCCTCCTTTTTATTAGAAATAAGACTCATCAGACTTGTAGCACCACTATTTTCCAACTGCTTCCCTCGTCCTTTAGAAAGCATCTCACTCAGCACCTGTAATCAGGACTCCATCTCAAACTCAGTAAAAGCCAGTCCCAGCCTAATGCTGGCATCTCCTGTTTTCTCCAGGTTGAATTGCTCTCCTGGATATGGGACCCTGAAGTAGTTTTCTCACTTTACCAGGTGAAAAGTGCTACCTGTGGGATATGTTATAACTTCTGAGGTTTGCTGTGTTTGCACATACTCATTTGAATTATAACCTGCTTTAAAGGAAGATGTAATATTTTTAGAGGCAATTCCTAAAGCCAAGAAAGAATTGGTATTTGTGTTCGGGAGAATATATATTCATACGCTTTTTATAAGTCTGACATCATGTCATTAGATCTATCTTTTCTCTAATTCTTTTTCTATGTGCTATTATTTTAAATGCAGGTCTATTTTATATTTCTTTTTATTCCCTATTCCACTTGCCAGTGATTCTTCTAAAAATACATCACATTTTACTACAATTTTCCACAAGAGAAAGAATATTACTTTACCCCACAATGGATTAACTCCCAGACAATTGGATTATCGTTAATTTTATGTCATCGTTAGTGAAGTAAAACTCTTACTATTGAATTTTATTCATTATATATTATGGTAAAGTAGCTACTAACAAAGGTATTTTAAATGAGTATTTATATCCAGAGATTTATTATAATTACCTAACCCTAGAAAAACGAACAAGAAGAGTTTCACTCACACATTGCAAAATGACAGTCCATGAGCTGAAGAGAACTTACCAATGTGTTTGTTAGGCAAGCAGAATGGTTTTATTTTTATTTATTAATTTATTTATTTTAGACAGAGTCTCCCTCTTTTGCCCAGGCTGGAGTGCAGCAGTGTGACCTCGGCTCACTGCAACCTTCATCCTTTGGGTTCAAGCGATTCTCCTGCCTCAGCCTCCCGAGTAGCTGGGACTACAGGTGCTTGCCACCACGCCTCGCTAATTTTTGTGTTTTTAGTAGAGATGGGGTTTCACCACCTTGGCCAGGCTGACCTCGAACTCCTGACCTCAAGTTATCAACTCACCTTGGCCTCCCAAAGTGCTGGGATTATAGGTGTGAGCCACAGTGCCCAGCCACAGAATGGTTTTAAAACAGAGTATGAAATACTTTCAATATTTAAAAGTTAGGAGATTTCACCAAAACAAACTACTATTTCTGTCTTTTGGGAAAAATTCAGAAAAGACTATTCTGGACCCACATTCCCGCATGGTAGCAGTTGGCTAGAGCTGGGTAGGAGTGGCACCCTTTGGAATGAGGCCTGTGCTCTCCCATTCGCCACAGTCCCCACCATTCGCTACTGTCTGGCCCAGCATACCTCATCTACTTATGTTACCTGTCTCACTCCTACAGGCATTGGAGTTGGAGACCATTAGTATAGTGGACTATAAAGTCACTTCATTTTACTTCCCTCTCTGTAAAGTATCTTCATACATTTTTGCTTAGTCCATTACAATGCTTTTAAAATATCAAGGAGGGGGAGGAAAAGATAGAGACAGAATGCAATTGAGAGACAAGGAGAGAGTACAGATTGCAGACTCTTCTTACAAACCATCTTAATGCATTGTGTGGCAGTACCCGAGAGGGAGAGACTGATGGAAGCAGAATTCTCCAGCCTCCTCCCAACTAAGAGGTCAAGTAATTTGCCTCAGGTAACACAGCTAGCTGCATAGTCCTGCTTGTGATCAAATGTACGGGCTTCTATTTTCTGCAGCGTGATGGACTAGGGAAACTAAACCACCCTCCTACTGAAAACAACCACAATTGTTCAGTAAGATAATGAGTATAGTAGTAATAGCAACTAATAGTTATGTAGCAGTTATTTTGGGCTAGGTACACAGCTCTTAAAATCTATGGGATTCATACAAGTAAAGAAATAGAGGCATAGGGCATTCAAGCAATACAACATCATGGCTGAATTATGGGTTTGAGTTTGCAGTTAGACTTAGGAGACCCAAATAGCCTTTTATCAAATATTCTGTTGACTTAGAATTATAGAAGGATCCCAGGCAGCAGATACATCAGGTGCAGCATCTTTGTCTCATCGACTGACCCGGCATGAGGCCAACTACACAATTCTCACCCACTTACCCACATGGGGCTGCCAGAGACAACAGGCAAGGTGTGTAGGTCACCTTGACACACAGAAGCCACAGCCTCCATATTTCGCCAATCTTTTAAACCTCTCTAGTTATGAGGATTCACGTGCTGTATGCCAGCTAATACCTCCCATGATGCAAGTGTTGACTGTCATACAACAAACAAGTAGACACTACCTTCCCTGTTCATCTGAGCTCTGCTGTTTTCTGCAGGCCTTCATCAGCCCAAGCCTGATATAACTCTTTACTCACAGGTAACTTGTCCAAATGCCAAAGTGCCAAACCCTGGCCACTGTTGCTTCCATTTTGTAGGCCGTGCAAGGTCAAGGACTAAGAGACCAAACCTGGAACCTGCCTAAGGTAACAAGAGAGACTGATAGGAGCCCTTACAGGAAGCCAGGACCCTAGAGAGATACACAGTCAGGGTAAAGGTGAAGTAGAAATAAACTTGCCCTGCAGAAGGGAACAGAAAAGAAACCTGGTTGTATCAACCTTGCTTCTGACTAAAAGGAGAAAAAATTTCTTCTTATAATTCCTAACTGCAAGCCCACTAATAAAGGTTGGTGGCTCTCATTGACACTGCTGGACAGCAATAGTAAGTGCATCAGGACGCCTGTGACTCAGGGTAGTGTCCTAACATCATTGTATTGTGCAGGAGAAAGGTAAAGATAATGACTAATTTTATCTTATTTATTTACTGAGACAAGGTCCCGCTCTATCGCTGGAGTGCAGTGACGCGATCTCTGCTCACTGCAACCTCTGTCTCCCGAGGCTCAAGCAATTCTCCTGACTCAGCCTCCCAAGTAGCTGGAATTACAGGCACACACCACCACACCTGGCTAATGTTTGTATTTTTAGTAGAGATGGGGTTTCACCATGTTGGCCAGGCTGGTCTCAAACTCCTGACCTCAGGTAATCTGCCTGCCTCAGCCTCCCAAAGTGCTGGGATTACAGGCGTGAGCCACGGTGCTTGGCTGATAATGACTAATTTTAGACTTTATTAAATATAGTATATTTCTAGAGTAACCATAATAAGTAGAACATTTTATTTCCACAGTAGTAATGCAAAGAAAGGCAAGAGAGAAAAAGGAAAAACCAAGAGTTCTTTTACAAATAGAAAACACAAAACAAGATGGCAGGTATACGCCCAAATATATCAAAAGTTATAATAAAAGTGGACTGCACTCTACACTTAGACACAGAGATTATTGGGCTAGATTAACAAAAATCCAGTGATATTATGTGTGTAAGAACATTATAAAAAGGAGTCACTAAAATTTTTTAAAAGGGAAATTGTATACCAGGCAAATAACTAAAGAAAAACTGGTATTCATTTCTTTCTTTCTCCTTCCCTTTCCTTCCTCTCTTCTTCTATTTCTTCCTTGTCTTTAAGGAAGTTGCCCCACTGAGGTTGGAGGGGGGAAAATCAAATGTGGTAAAATCCTGACAATTTGGGGATCTGGGTGAAGGAGACATTAGAGCATTTGTATTCCTTATAAAACTTTTTTGTAAGCTTGAAATTATACTACTCTAAAATAGAGCTGGGGGGGAAGTGGATATAATTACTACATTCATATAAAAAGGAAAAAAGTGTTTAATGTAGAAAACATTACTAGAGTTTTATAAAGTCCCTTACTAAATATGGGGAAGAAATGATTAAATTCAGCATAACAGAACCCCAAAATAAAGAGAAAATTGACAGAACTCTAAGTATAAATTGACAGATCCACCCTTGTAGTGACACATTTTAAATCTCTGTCTGTCATTTATGGATCTGGCAAAGAAAAAACCCAGAAATGATAAAATATTAAAGCAATACAATTAACAAGCTTGATTTAATGAACAAAGTGTTGCCAGCACTAATTGGATAATACATGTTAATTTCAAGCAAAGAAAAAAACATTAATTAATAAGCACCAATCACATACTGGGACATAAATTTTCAACACATTTCAGAGAATACATATCACACAGACCACATTCTCTGACCAAAATGTAATTTAGAATAAATAGCAAAAAGATAGCAAAACTAGAAATTAGAAAAATCCCAATTCAACACAACTCATAACTCAAATAAGCATACTAAAATGTGTAAATATTTAGAACTGAATGATAATAGGCTGGGTGTGGTGGCTCATGCCTGTAATCCCAGCACTTTGGGATGTCAAGGTGGGCAGATCACTTGAGGTCAGGAGTTTGAGACCAGCCTGGCCAACATGGTGAAACCCCATCTCTACTAAAAATACAAAAATTAGCCAAGTGTGGTGGTGCGCACCTGTAGTCCCAGCTACTCAGGAGGCTGAGGCAGGAGAATCACTTGAACCCTAGAGGCAGGGGTTGCAGTGAGGTGAGATGGTGCCACTGCACTCCAGCCTGGGTGAAAGAAAGTGACTGTGTTGGAGAGGAGAGAGGAGAGGAGAGGGGAGGAGAAGGGAGGGGAGAGGAGGGGATGATAATACCCTAATGATCCCTGTCATTTAGTTGAGGAAGTCATAGAACAACCCCAACCTACCACTACTTCTTTCATTTTATTTCCATAGTTTTTGAGGTACAGGTGGTTTTTGGTTACATGGATAAATTATTTAGTGGTGATTTCTGACATTTTGGTTCACCCATCACTTGAGCAGTGTACACTGTACCCAGTATCAAGCCTACCATTACTTCTACTTATTAAATTTCCACTTATTTGTCAATTTTTTGAATTTTCCTCTGATTTCAATTTCTTCTGTTATTGATTTCTGATTTCATTTCCTCAAAGTCAGAGAACATACTTCGTACGATTTTATGCCTTTCAAGTTTACTGAGGTATGTCTTATGTCCTGACGTATTGTTTATCCTGGAGAATGTTCCATCTGCATTTGAAAAGAATGTATATTTTGATGATTTGGGGTGGAGTATTCTATAGATGTCTGCCATATCTACTTGGCTTACAGTGTTGTTCAAGCTTCTATTTCCTTCTTAACCCACTGCCGTGTTGTTCTGTTCATTATTAAAAGTGGGGTCCCCAACTGTTATTTTTATATTATGTTTCTCCCTTCAATGCTCTCAGTTTTTGTTTAATGCATCTTGTGCGCTGTTGTTAGATACATGTATGTTTTCAATTCTTGTATCTTCCTGATGAATTGACTCCTTTATGCATTATAAACTGTCCATCTTTGTCTCTAGCAACAATTTGTCTATGTTAGTAGAGCTACTGTAGCTCTCTTTGGGTTACTGTTTGCATAGCATAGCTTTTTTCCTCCTTTTACCTTTAAACTATTTGTTTCTTTTAATATAAGTCATTTTTCCTTGTAGACAGCATATCCTTGGATTATATGTTTTAAATCCATTCTGCCAATATCTGCCTTTTGATTGAAGTGTTTCATTTATTGTCAGTGTAATTATTGATAATGTAGAATTTGTCTGCTCTTTTGCCTTTTTACTCTACATTTTTAATATATTTTTTCTTCTTTTGTACCTCCATTACTGTCTTCTTTTGTTTTACATTTACATTTTCTAGTATGACATTTTAATTGCTTGTTGTTTATTTTACTATATGTTTTCAGTTATTTTCTTAGTGATTACTCTGGGGATTATAATTAACATATTATCTTAAAATAATCTAGTTCTTGGACAAAAGGGAACTCTTACACACTATTGGTGGGAATATAAATTAGTACAGTCATTAGGGAAAGCAAGATCGAAATCCTTAAAAAATTAAAAATAGAACTCATTACTGTGATTCAGCAATGTTTCTACTCTATATGTATATATCCAAAGGAAATAAAATCAGTGTGTTGAAGAGACATCAGCATTCCCATGTTTATTGCAGTAAACCCCCATGTTTATCCACAATGGCCAAGATATGAAACCAACCTGAGTGTTCATCAAAAGAAGAATAAATTTTTAAAATGTGGTATATATACACAAATGGAATACTACTCAACCATAAAAAGGAGTGAAATCCTGTCATTTGTGACAACATGGATGAATCTAGAGGACATTGTGTTAAGCGAAATAAGCTAGGCACAGAAAGACAAATACCATCTGATCTTGTTCATATGTGGAATCTAAGAAAAGTTGATCCCATAGAAGTTGAGAGAGTAGTGATTGCCAGAGGATGTAGATGGGAGGGGGCAGGAAAGGATGTGGAGATGTTGGCCAACAGGTACAAAATTAGTTAGATATGAGGAATAAGTTCTGGTGTTCTATTGCATAGTAGGATGACTATAGTTAATAATAATGTATTATATATTTCAAAATCACTAGAAAAAAAGATTTTGAATGTTCTTATCACAAAGAAATGATCAATGTTTAAGGTGATGGGCATGCTAATCGCTCTGATTCAATCATTACACAATGTATGCATGTATCATAACATCACATTGTACCCCACAAGTATGTATAATTACTATGTGTCAGTCAAAAATAAAAGTTTAAAAAATCTAGTTCTGATTAATACCTACTTAATTTTCAAAGTATACAAAAACTTTTCTTGTATACACCTCTATTTCTTCCCCTTCTTTTGTGCTACTATTGTCAAACAGAGTACATTTTTATACATCGTACGTTCTTCAATACCTTCATAATTATTGTTTTATATAGTTGTCGTTTTAAATCATGTGAAGTGTAGAGAAGAGGTACAAACAAAAGTACATTGATATTGGTCAGGTGCAGTAGCTCACGCCTGTAGTTCCAGCACTTTGGGAGGCTGAGGCAAGCAGGTCACTTGAGGCCAGGAGTTCCAGACCAGCCTAGCCAACATGGAGAAATCCTGTTTCTACTAAAAATACAAAAAATTGCTGGGCATGGTGGTGCTTGCCTGTCGTCTTAGCTACTTGGGAGGCTGAGCCACGAGAATTGCTTGACCCCAGGAGGTGGAGGTTGCAGTGAGCTGAGTCCATGCCACTGCACTCCAGCATGGGTGACAGAGCAAGACTATGTCTCAAAAAAAAAAAAAAAAAGCACATTGATAATACCTTTTATACTTTATATGCCTTATATACTTTATATATGTAGTTACCTTTATTGGTGTTATTTCTTCATATGGATTTGAATTTGTCTAGTGTTTTTTTTCTTTTCATTTCAGCCTGAGTTTGTATTTTTTGAGGGCAAGTACAGTAGTGATTAATTCTCTCATTTGTTTCTAAAAAAATCTCAATTTCTGCCTACTTTTTGAAGGATGGTGTTTCTTGATATAGACTTATTGGTTGACAATTTTTTTTTTTTTTTGAGACAGAGTCTAGCTCTGTCACCCAGGCTGGAGTGCAATGATGCAATCTCAGCTCACTGCAATCTCTGCCTCCTAGGTTCAAGCAATTCTCCAGCCTGAGCCTCCCAAGTAGCTGCAATTACAGGCGCAGGCCACCATGCCCAGCTGATTTTTGTACTTTTAGTAGAGACAGTGTTCCACTGTATTAGCCAGGCTGGTCTCGAACTCCTGACCTCGTGATCCACTTGCCTTGGCCTCCCAAAGTGCTGGGATTACAAGCGTGAGCCACCGTGCCCAGCCAACAATTTTTTCTTTTGGCACTTGAATGTCATTCTACTGCCATCTGGCCTACGTGATTTATGATAAAAAGTCAACTATTAATGTTATTGGGGATCCATTGTATGTGCTGAGTCAGTTTTCTCTTGCTGCTTTTAAGATTATCTGTCTTTGACTTACAACTCTGAAGTGCCTAGGTTTTGACCTGCTTGGAATTTGTTAAGCCTCTTATATGTACAGATGAATGTTTTTCATTAAATTTGGAAGTTTCCTGCCATTATTTTGTAAAATATTCTTTCTACTTTCCTGCCCTTTCTCCTCTCCTGAAACACTGATTATGAATTATGCATATGTTAGTATTCTACTGATTCCAATTGAATTCTGAAACTTTTTTTGACTTTATTCTTTTTATTTTCTGCTCCTCAGACTAGAAAATTTCAAGTGACTAAGTTCACTGATTTTTTTCTTTTATCGGCTCAAATTTTCGCTGAAATACTCTAAAATCTTACTTTTCAACACAACAATTTTTATTTTCTTGTAATTTGTATCTTCTATTAACTTTATCTTAGCCAAAAGTCTGAGAAAGCAATTATTTTTATTGATATTCTCTAATTGGTGAGACATCATTCTCATTCTTTCCCTGAATTCTTTAAACATTATTAACTCTTTGAACATATTTACAATAACTAATTTAAAGTCTTTGTACAGTATATCTAACATCTAGGCTTCCTCAGTGACGGTTTCTATTGATTGCTTTTATTTCCCTGTGTATAAACCATACTTTGCTGTTTCTATTTTATAATTTTTGCTGAAAATTAGACATTTCAAATGATAACATGTAGCAATCCTGGAAGTCAGATCACCCTCATTCTGTATGGGTTTGTCATTGTTGCAGGTCATTGCTGTTGCTCTTCGTGTTTGTTTAGCAACTTTCCTGGACTAATTCTGTAAAGCCTTTATTCTTTTTGTGTGTAGCCCTGAAGTCTCTGCTGAGTATGATAATGATTGAACAGAGATTCCTTAAATTCCTTGAACCAGCAAGCCTCCCAGCCTTTGCCAAGGAGCTCTGGGTATGAGCTACAGCATGCCTTTTATGCTGCATCAGTATACGAATCTGCCTTAGACTTCACTTTCTATTTGCACAGAGCTTCAAAGTAAACCAGATGTGAGAGACTAAAGTTTTCCTGGGTCTTTCCTGAGCTTGTGCACAGCCCTGCACAGGCATGTAGTCTTCTACATTCCCAGGAATAGGCAAGAGCTTTTCAAGGTGCCCTGTCGATAACTTATTCCCATGTTTTTTTTTTTCTTTTAAGTCTTTTGATCAGCCTCCTGTGTATCCCAACTTGTATCCCCATCTCAGGTTGTTGTGATGTCAAACAATCTTGACACTTACTGTTTTTGATAAACACCCTGAGGATAGGCAAAAGCAAGATCTGAGTCAGGTCAAGTAGAGACAAATTCTGAAAGTGGAGCTTTTCTTAGGAACAGCCAGACAGGTCAAATAGTAACAATTTTCTGGGGATGGAGCTTTTGGAGCAGCTCCAAACTTGTTCTCCCCTTCTCCCCAGTAGCTGCTAGGCTGCTGAGTTTTACAGTTACCATGGTTACAAGACTGTTAGCTTTCATAGCTTCTGTGGAGCAAGTGGGAAGAGGATAGAGCAAGTTATAAAGTCCCAAAGCTCACTGTTTTTACTGGTATTACACTTTTTTTCTTTGAATAGGTATGCCCTTGGATTGTTGTAAACCTTTGGTTAATTTTCAGAGTTTTGAAAAAGTTTATTTTTCTCCACTTTTGTTAATGTTCTTACTGCTTTTACATAGAAATGGATTTTTTGGAGGTCCTTCCTCTGCCATCCCAGATGTGCTTCTGCCATTTATTTTTAATTTGGCTTTCTACCTTATTGATTTATAGGAGTTTCTATTTAACATTTTGATTGATTCTAGATACAAATCATTGGTTAAATATATGCTTTGTGACTATCTTCTCCTAGTTTGTGTCTTGCTTTTTCACTCTGTGAGTATCTAATCTTGTATTTCAGTGCTCAGCTGAATTATTTTATCATGAAGAGAAGGATTAAACACCTGGGTTCACCTGCCAGGTAGTCAAGAGTATCTATTGATTGCAGTAGAAAAGGCTGCAAGGTGGGAATTCATGATCATTGGGCTAAGCAGTATAAGCAAAATTGTTTATATCATGTTATTCTAGCTATGTTTTGTGACTTGATGATTTTCAATTATTGTTGTTTTAAAAGCTATGTTGTATTCAATAATAATAGAGATACTACGTTTTGCTGAAGATTTAGATAATTTCCAGTTGTTTATGCTAAGAAACAATGCTAGAATATCTTTGCAGATTTGTTTCTAGATTTATTGTATTTCTGAAGATTTGAATCCAGGAAATGAAATGCATGACCCACATGGCATGAACTTTCTATCAGTTTTATAGAGTGGCAAACTGCCTTCCAAAAAGGCTACATCAAGCTATACTTTCGCCTAGAGTTTATAGAAATATGTTTTCCTGCATCTTTACCAAAAAATTGAGATAAATGTTCTAATTTTGACAGTTGAATGGTAAAAATCTATTTAAAGGCTTTAGTTTGTATTTCTTTGATTACTCGTGAGATTGAGAATCTTTTCATTTGTCCATTTTTATCTTCTTTTCCATGGATTATTTGTATCCTTCAGCTATTTTAAGTTATATCTTGCTGACTTGCCTTTGCTTGTTAAATATACTGTAGCCAGGCACAGTGGCTCATGCCTGTAATGCCAGTACTTTGGGAGGCTGAGATGGGAGAATTGCTTGAGGCAGGGAGTTCAAGGTTACAGAGAGCATGACTGTGCCGCTGTACCCCAGCCTCAGCAACAGAATGAGAACCTGTCTCTGAATAAATTGTAAATGTTTTTCTCAATCTTATTGTTCATATTTTCATTCTTTTATATTAATTTTAAAAAATATTTAATTATATATTTCTAGAATGTTTTTCTTGTTTAAAAAGGCCTATTTCAACTTGAAGTTATAAAAATGCTTTTCTATATTTTTTCTAATCATTTTATAATTTTGCTTTGTAATGTTGTTTTCTAATCTTTGTAGTAACAAATTACCCTCCAAAAGGATTTTAGTCTTTTCTTAAATCCATCTCTTGCAAACATATAAGAACTTTACAGTGACTCTAGTGCTCTATAACAGATATAGTGACTGTTTTTTCAAATGTGTGGGAAATTATCCAGTAATCATTTACTAAGTTGTCCCCTCTTTATCTCAGATTTGAAAGGCTGCGTGTGACAAAACTAACTCCCTGCTTTTGCAAGAGGCTGCCTCTGGCCTCTTTGGGTCTCACTGATCACTATGTCTATTTCTGAGCTGCTGCCTCACTGTTTTATTTACTACAGGTTTATGGTATGTTTTCCTGCCTGGCAGGGAAGCCCCACCCCTTGTGTTCTTTTTCATAAATGTCTTTGTTACTGTTGTGCATTTGCCTCTTTCATGTGATCTTTAGAATAAACTTCAGGTTTCTAACAAAAATTCTGATGGAATTTTGATTAGGGTTGTATTTAATTTATCAGTAACTTTAAAACAGGTTTATGTCCTAATAATGTTAGATGTTCCCATCCAGGACACACACGCTTTGACTTATGTTCTGTATGTTTAATTTTATTAATATAGTCCTAATATTCCTTTTTTTTTTTTTAAGACAGAGTCCTGCTCTGTCGCCCACGCTGCAGTGCAGTGGTGCGATCTTAGCTGACTGTAACCTCGACTTCCCAGGTTCAAGAGATTCTCCTGCTCAGCCTCCTGAGTATCTGAGATTACAGGCATCCACCACCACACCTGGCTAATTTTTGTATTTTGTAGAGACGGGGTTTTGCAATGTTGGCCAGGCTTGTCTCAAACTCCTGACCTCAGGTGATCCGCCCACCTCGGCCTCCCAAAGTGCTGGGATTACAGGTTTGAGCCATCGCGCCCAGCCTAGTTCTAACATTTCTTATTAGGTCTTTTAGGGATGAGTTGCTAATTGCAAATGGCATTATTTTATTCATTTTATTTTCTAACAAGTAATTGTAGATGCCATCAATTTTGTATGTCCTTGTTTGCAACCACATTTGTTAATTTTCTTGTAAGTCACAATAGTTTTCCAGATTATTTACCTGATGTTTTTTATTGATTTATATGAACCTTCATAAAACATTACCTGGTGACAGTTATAGTGGTTATCTTTGCCTTTTTACCAATTATAGTGGAGATGGCTCCCGAGGATGAAACTCAGGTTTATTGTGGGATTTAAGGGAGTTCTCTTCTACTTTTAGTTTACAAAGAATGTTTTAAATGATTTTCCCCATTGAAGATTGAATTTGGCCCATTTTCATTTGTTAACGTAGAGAATTTGATTAATATGAATTGTATTGTTGAACCACCTTTTTATTCATGAGATGAAACCTATTTTTTCATCATGCATTTTTAATATACCACTAGATTTGATTTATTAATATTTAATCTGTATACTTGCATTTATATTCTCAAATTGAATTATAATTTCCCTTTGAGTGTCATTCTTGTTCTCAGGGATATGCTAGCTATATAGAGTAAACAAAGGATCCTCTACTTTTCTGATATTCTTCAACAGTTTATAATAATAATTATCTGCTCTTAAAAGTTTTGCAGAACTCATTCATAAACTGGGCCTATTTTCTTTGGGAGAAGGTGTTCATAGTTAATTACTTTCCACCATCTACTGTAGTTAATGATTTAAACAAATTCTGTAACTCTAAGTCATGTTTTAAGACTATCATTCATTTCATCTGGATTTTCTAACTTTGAGTGCTTCCAAGTAGAAAAGACCAAAAAACAAACAAATCTAAATGTTTCAAACAAATAAACTGAAGAATATGTCTTGGGATTAAAGATGACATTGTTTCTTTCTCCTTCACGATAGAAAAAAAATCTCAGTTCAGAAGAATACTTAGAGGAGCTATGATTCAAACCAATTTCTCTATTAAGCAACACAAAACAATACCATCCAGTTTCAAATGTGTCTTAATACTAAATTGTGTATAAATTGCCATAAGACAAGCCCATTTATACTGATTATACAGTTTCTTAAATTTTAGATGGAAAATCATTCAATGATAGAAAAACAATAAGAAAAAGGGTGCTTGAACTTAGATGCATGTGTGGAGTTTCCTGATAAAATGATGACCACTGCTTTAGAGATGTGGACATGCCAGTGAAGTCAAGAGATCCAAAAACATGCAGTTAATATAACATGTTCTAGAGCTGCCACAGCGTAACCAGAGAGAACCTGTGTTGACTGTGGTTGTTTCCACAGTGGCCCCTGTAATGTCCATCCACTCTCTCCCTGTTGCGTGGATGAACACCAACTAAACCAATCAAGCTAATCTCATCTACTCTGCCACTGAGATTGTTTCTGGTCACCCAAACCTAAATAAATCATCCCAATGCATCTTTCTGTAACCTTTATGGGGTTGCACTGTTGGAATTATGCTCTGGTTTTGAATTACTATATTCTTGTCCCTGTACCTCTAGAGCTCTAGACAACTTTTTTTTTTTTTTTTTTTGTGAGACAGGGTCTCACTCTATCGCCCAGGCTGGAGTGCAGTGGTGCGATCTCAGCTCACTGTAACCTCCACCTTCCAGGCTCAAGTGATTCTCGTGCCTCAGCCTCCTGAGTAGCTGGGATTACAGGCATACACCACCATGCCCAGCTAATTTTTTGCATTTTTAATGGAGACGGCATTTTGCCATGTTGCCCAGGCTGGTCACAAACTCCTGAGCTCAGTCAATCCACCCGCCTCAGCCTCCCAAAGTGCTAGGATGACAGGTGTCAGCCACCATGCCAGGCCCAAACAACTTTTTAACAGCCCCACCAATAGACTACAGCATGGGGCTTTACCAGTGATCTCTTCAACTTCTTTATGAAAGGACATGACAAATGCACTTGTCTCCTGTTGTATTAGTTTTAACACCACTATAAAGAACTGCCTGAGACTGGGCAATTTATTAAAAAAGAGGTTTAATTGACTCACAGTTCTGCATGGCTATGGAGGTCTCAGGAAACTTACAATCATCATGGAAGGGGAAGCAAACACGTCCTTTTTCATAAGGCAGCAGAAGAAGAAGAACATGCAGAGGAAATGTCAGACGCTTGTAAAACCATCAGATCTCGTGAGAATTAACTCACTATTATGAGAACAGCATGGGGGAAACCGTCCCATAATCCAATCACTTCCCTCCCTCAACACATGGGGATTACAAGGATTACAATTCAAGATGAGATTTGAGTGGGGAAACAGAGCCAAACCATATCACCTGTGCTCAGGCACAGGTTTTAGAAGCAACAACTCAAGTTAAAGAAGAATAGGAGCATCTGGTTTCTGACATTATCTAGATAAGATAGAGACTTTAATCTGTGCTTTTAGAGATGGGATTCAGGGATTCTAAGTGATGCTTAAATTATATCCAAGATAAGGTGCATTTTCCTGGAAGAGGGTCTATTGCTTTTGTTAGATTCTCCAAGCCACAAGGAACTAAAAGGCTTAAGAACTTTGGCATTATAGCCCATCTTTCTTGAATACAGGGAAAACTGCACAGACGGTAATCAAAGGCTCACAAGAATCAGGAGAGCAGAGGCAGGTTTGTACTGCAGGTAAGAGATGGTTTGTAAATAAGTCTCAGCAGTTCTGGTGGTGGTCCTCAGTCTTGGCTATGCTTTAGAACCACCTGGAGAACTTACAAAAACTGTGCTAAGAAAAATGCCTAGATAAACCGAATGAGACCCACACTGGTATCTGGGTTGGTAGTAGCTTTTTGTTTGTTTGTTTTGTTTTGTTTTTGTGACGGAGTCCCGCTCTATCCAGGCTGGAGTGCAGTGGCGCGATCTCGGCTCACTGCAAGGTCTGCCTCCCGGGTTCACGCCATTCTCCTGCCTCAGCCTCCCGAGTAGCTGGGACTACAGGGGCCCGCCACCACACCCAGCTAATTTTTGAATTTTTAGTACAGACGGGGTTTCACCGTGTTAGCCAGGATGGTCTTGATCTCCTGACCTCGTGATCTGCCCGCCTCAGCCTCCCAAAGCACTGGGATTACAGGCGTGAGCCACCGTGCCTGGCCTGGTGGTATGTTTTTGTGACTTAAGGACTGTCATCAAGAGAACCTTAACCAGATTCACCCAGAGAGCTTGTTTCCCACCTTCAGTTCTGCAGCTCCAGAATAGATCAGATCATAACTCCTCAAGACAAACATTCCCTTGCCTCCAAGTAGATAGGGTCAGATAGTTTATCCCTCTAAAGAAAATTACTCTGGGGAATAATCACTTGGGATGGAATTAAAATTCAGTGTTTACTCACAGACACCAATATTGTACCTGCTCTGGATTTATGGGATAACATTAGAAGCATGCTTGAGAATAATCTTGGTGTTTACAAAGCACTGGGATGTTTCCTGCTGAATGAACACCCTCATCATCATGTTGAGGCTTAACTAATATTTTGAATAGCCAGGACTTTTTCCTATTCTCCAAGAAGACTTTCACACAGTCTAAAAGCTTAAAACCTTATTTTTCTTTTTTTTTTGTTAATTTTTTCTTACTTTTCTAATTTCATCCCAAATTTTTTGCTACTTCATTTCATCCCATTACTTCTAGTCATAACCCTTCTATCATAACTATCTCTACAAATTACTCACATAAGCAAATTATTTCAGAAAGAATTCATTTAGAACAAAAGCATTTATTTTTAAGATTGCCATTCTCTTTGCAGCCTATGAAAAATTATCATTTTAACTAAGAGTAGGCATTATTTAATTTTGATTAGTGATCTAAAAAGTAACCTGCAGAAATGCAAAATATCCAAAATCAGGACACAGTCTGAAATGTAAGTCATGTTAGCAATATACTATGGTGAAATATTTAAAAGCTTTATTATCTAGCTATTTTTAGCCTTTATCTTAATTATTTAAAAACCTATTTTTTAAAGCATTAAATAATGCTTCTTGCAAACTCCCCTTTGGTTTCAAAGGTAAATAGGCCTTAACTCCTCTTGCAGATGACAAAAGCTAGAAATCAACTGCTCCCATTTCCACACTCATTCCAACTTTCCTTCTGGCTCCCCAGTATATACCTTCAAGTTCTTGATCATTCTTCCAAACTCTGTCAATTAGAGTCTGCATTTTTTTAATTTTAATTTTTAATTATCCTTTTCCCAGGGTATAAGGATTCTTTATTTTTTAAAAGGAAGAAATATCAAACAAGACAAGCTTTATGGTGGAAACTTTATCAAGCACTAGAATTTAGTACAGGAATTTGTCTGCCTCTTAATCAGATAAATGTCAGTTACTGATGGCCAATTTAAGAACTGAATGACAGTTAGATGGCTTATGTGACAGGTCTAGAAAGCCTAAGGACCCTCGTTTGCAGAGTGAGTCTTTAGTCTTGAGGCTCTGGATGCTTGAGGAACTATAGTAGCCCTCTCTCAGAGCTGTCCTCACCACCGTGGAAATAGATCAGCAGAAAAGCACAAATTTAGGAGCACGGAGCCCTGGTGCAAATCCCCTTTCTGCCACCGAATGCTTTGTGATCTCCATGCAGGTCACAGTTTCTGTGATGCTCAGTTTCTCATCTGCAAACTGTGATTGCTCATATCTAATTCTAAGGATGTTATAAAAGATTAAGTTAATGCATGTAAGATCTATTGCTAGTGAGTGACGTTCAATAAACGGAAGTGATCACATTCCCAGAGTCTATGAATGTCAAAGAATTTTCTTTCAGCAAATAAAAACTTACTGAAATACCTTGGAGAACACTTATTTTTATGTAATTACATTTCCTAATATTTTCTAAATCAATAACTGATATTTATCCAATGTCTCCATTATACCAGGGCTGCCTGGGTCCTTAATCCAAGCTCTGCCAAGTATTCACAGTGTGACATGAGCAAATCACTTAATTCTTCATGCCTTTTCCATATCTGTAAAATGGCTGTAATAATAGTACCTACAGCACAGGGACTCAGGATAGAGTAGTGAACAAGACAGACCCAGACTTGCTGGTTGTGAGTTTCACAGGTAATAAAACCAAGAGGCATACTTCTTCCTGTTCAATTGTTTCAGAAATAATCATAATAAGCCCCAAGAGTCCAAAATATCACAAGGTAAATTACTCCCTTTAGACAATAAAAGGCAAGATGTACTCAATGCTGACTATGGTAATCATTTATATGTTAATTAAATTAATCTTCACAATAATTCTATGACGTAGGTACTCTTTTTTTTTTTTAAAGAAATGGAATCTCACTATCTTGCTCAAGCTGGTCTCAAACTCCTGGCCTCAAGTGATCTTTCTGCCTCAGCCTCTCAAAATGCTGAGATTACAGGCATGAACCACCATGCCTGGCCTATATATACTATTATTACTATTGTTTTATAGATGAAGAAGACAAGGCATGAGAAATTAAGTAATTTGCTCTCATCACACTGTGAATATGTGGCAGAGCTTGGACTAGGGACCCAGGCATGTGGCTGCAGAGCCCTCTCTCTTAGCCTTTGTTCTGCATGACAGGTGGAGTGAGGCCCAGAGGCAGCCTCATCTTCTTGGCTTTCAGATCACATAGACTGTGAAGGCATGTTTTGCCAGATGCCCCAGACACAGTTGGGACAAATGTCCATGGGTTCTTGGAGAAAGGGAACTGAGATAAATAATTGCTATCAGTTGAAATCTAAAACTCTCCGACAAGGTGGGGAAGGTAGGCAGAGGGTCTCCTTTCTATTCCCTGTGAAAGGTTTAATGTGCAAAAAGGACTCACTCTGAGATGTGCCAGTTTGTCCCAAAAGCTCATGTTACCTTCCTTGAAAGACAGGCTTTTATCAACAAAGAGTAGGCTAAATGAATGCTTTTTCACTGGGGATATTACAAAAAGGGCTGGGCACGGTACTCGCACCTGTAGTCCCAGCAACTTGGGAGCCCAAGGCAGGAGGATCGCTTGACCCCAGGAATCTGGGACCAACCTGGGCAACGTAGGGAGACCCTACCTCTACAAAAAAATTTAAAAGAATTAGCCGGGCACGGTGGTGCACATCTGTAGTCCCAACTGCTCAGGAGGCTGAGGCAGGAGGATCGCTTGAGTCCAGGAGGTCCAGGCTGCAGTCAGCTACCATAATGCCACTGCACTCCAGCCTGGGTGACATAGAGAAACCCTGTGTTGAAACAGATATATATTTCACATATATATGAAAGAAGTAGCAGGGGCTCTTCATTGTGAACTTAATATATAAATTGTTTCTCTGCAGTTGAGGGGTTGGGAGGGGGCGTTGGATTGGAAGATCATACAAGAAAGGAAGAATACACGCTCTCTAACCAAGGACCCTAGCAATAACCCCAAGAAGAATGGCTGTGAGGAGAGGACCACCACCCACACTTTGGGCCACACAGGTCCCTGTCTTGACTGTTACCCATGGCCACCTCCATACAGATGGCACCCATTCTAAAATGTATTACTGCTACCCTGGCCATTGATGGCTGAGCCCCAACAGCACAAAGCTTTCAAGGCTGATCAGCAGTTCTCCTGGGGGCCTGGCAGAAAGCTTTGTCAGGAAGGAAGCTCCACATGAAACAGCAATTGATAAGCCCCACGGGGCCCCCTTTCTTAGATAGTTTGTATGTGGCGCATACATAGGAAATCAGCATCAGAGTAGGCAATAAGCTATGATCTCCATAGCTTGGTGCTATGTAAGGTGGGGTTTACAAGATGATCCCTTGGGGGATTAGAAGAAAATATAAGAATTCCTGTTTATATTGACTCTTTTATCTCATTGCTCTTATATTACTTGTGTACATTTTAAAAATGTATATATTGGAAGGAGCATGTTCAAATTTTTTCGCTGTTGGGTTACAGGATTGAAACCATTTGGAGGTGACTGCAGAAATGCATAGAAAGCAATTAGGCCCTTGTTTGTGCAGGGATGGCCACTTACAATGGTGTTGCATCCTGAAAATGCTCCTGGTCATCTCGAGGCCCAGGGCTGGAGCTGCTGAGGTAGTGGCTGTGCCTTTTTCCCTCCCTACATGCACTTATGTCAAAGCCCCACTAACAAGGTGCCCCAAGTATGTCTCCGGAAATAGCCCAACCAATGCAGTTGGATGGTGACCAATTCTTTTTTGTGTGTGTGATGGCGTCTTACTCTGTCATCCAGGCTGGAGTGCAGTGGCACAATCTCAGCTCACTGCAACCTCCGCCTCCTGGGTTCGAGCGATTCTCCTACCTCAGCCTCCCCAGTAGCTGGGATTACAGGCATGCGCCACCACGCCCAGCTAATTTTTGTATTTGTATTAGAGACGGGGTTTTGCCATCTTGATCAGGCTGGTCTTGAACCCCTGACCTCAGGTGATCCGCTCGCCTCAGCCTCCCAAAATGCTAGGATTATAGGCTTGAGCCACCATACCTGGCCGTGGTGACCAATTCTGATCTGTCCTGTCACAAGGGCAACAACCACGTAATGCAAGAGACTAAGGAGAGGGGAGACAGGAGATGCAAACCTCAAAGGAAAACTCAAATGCCCACAGGGAGACTGTGTGAGCTACCCTTGAATCCTATCAGAGAAAGAAGGAGTTTGGAATTGAGGCTAGCATTCCAATGACCTGCATTAAAAACCCCATCTTTTCTGCGTTTCACTCTCTTTTGAGTATTTGCCTCTGAAGTGGTTGAGTATTTTAAATTTGAACTTCTAGGGAGTTACACAGTTGAGCTCCCTGGGGACTATTTATCATTAAACATTTAGGAAACAAAGAAATCTCAATGAGATGTCTCTAAAAATAATCAAACTTTCATAGATTTTCATTAAATTTCCTAGCTACTGTAGGTCTATTAACTGGATTTTTTTTTTCCAACAGAGTAAAGCTGTAATAAGTGATGAGAAATCCACCAAGAAACAAAAATAGAGGAAATTTCCAAGCCAAAATATTGAAAGGATTTTAATGATTTTATTCAACATCACTGGGCAAAAATAATTGCAAATATAAACTAATGAATGAAATCTTACTTCTATTATCTTCTAGAGTCCATAATTATTACTGCTGATGGTAGAATTCATGGGCATGGGAGAATAGATCAATGGATGATTAGCCATCCTTTCCATGTGGGATTCCATGTAAAAACTTAGCTATGTTTCCTCATAACTTTCTTTTCTTTCAAAAGGAAAAAATACTGTTGTAAATAATTTTAGCAGTATTCTTTGGCCTATGGATAACATCTGTCTGTAAATTCCATTTGTCTCAACTATAAAAATGCCTTGAGATTATATTGCTATTATTATTATAGGATTCAGAATACCTTGCTCCAAAACTCCCATCCAAACTCAAAAGGTTTGGTCAGGTTGCTGCCAAATACTTCTCAGCTGTTTATGTGTCCAATACCATTCAACAAGGCGATGTTTGCTCTAGGCACAATTCTTGGCCTTTGTGACAAACACAAAGCAAATTAATCATGTTTTCTGGGCTGAAGGAGCTTGTACTCTAGCAAGGAAGATAAAACATTCATGTAAATAATTGTAACACAAGGTCAATTGCACTATAGGCTGCAAACACGGCATGAATGAAACACGGAAGAGTGTTGGAAAAGTCGTGCTCACTTCTGGTGAGGGGCATCCGGAGAGTTACAGGTAGTAAAGGATAGGTTTGATTTAGGTAGCCAAAAAGGGTGGAGAGAGGAAGTGGGAAGAAGAGGGGAACAGAAAAGAGTGGGGATGTAGTTGGGGACTTAGAAGAATCACACCTGGCAAGACTGGGAATGGAAAAACGTGGAGTCCAGTTAGGGAAAAGCAAGTGATAGGCTACAGATCACTCTAAGGGAATCAGAGACAAGTGAAGGAGTAAGTAATACAGAGAGATGGGCTGGTTGGTTAAAAGGCTCTGATTAAAACTGAGCTTCTCTTGCCTGATATCTATTTTCTTCTTCCAGATTTGTTTGTCCCCACGCCACTGTAGTGCACTCATAAGCTGCTGGTTTTGTTTGTCTGTTTACCTGACTCTCTTGGTTCTGGAGCAGGTCCCTGAGGGCAGGGCTGATGTCATTTTCCTCTTTGTAGTCACAAAACCCAACATAGAGCTTGGCACAGGAATGACTGTAGAATGAATGAATGCCATGCTTTTCGAACCAACCTCTGTATAATAGTTGTCTGTTCAAGATTTTGCCACTGGCGATGATGTCTAAGTGGTTAACAAAGGAGTAAAATAGGATGGCAACTCAGCAGTCAACTGGACAGCAGACCCACCTGGGTCAGAGTCTACCTCAGCTCCTTCCTCAATCTGAGCACTGTATGCAGGTGCTTACCTGACCAACATGCATTACCCTTCTTTGTAAAATAACCATAATAGTAGACACACCCTTTGGTATGCACAGGGGATTGGTTCCAGTAACCCCAAAGACTCCACAATCTGTGGATGCTCAAGCCTCTGATATAAAATGGCTTTGTTTTTGCATATAACCTGTGCTCATCCTCCTGTATAATTTAAATCATCTCTAGATTGCTTATAATACCTAATCCAATGTAAATGCTATGTAAATAGTTGTTAAATTGTATTGTTTAGGGAATAGTGATGAGGGGGAAAAAGTCTGTACTTGTTCAATACAGATGCAACCATCCTTTTTTTCTTCTATCAAATATTTTTGATTAGCAGCTGGTTGAACCCACTAATGCAGAACCCAAGGAGGGTTGACTGTCTTTAGCTGTGAGGGTTGATGTGAGAATTAAATGAGCTAATGTATGCTGGACCCTTAGCACATTACCTGGGACGTAGTAAGTACTTCATTTGTATAAGTTCTGCTATTATTTAACATTAAATACAGGTTGTCAATGACACCTGGGAGGCTGCTCAAGATCTTAGCATGACACTGGCTTTATATTCAAAGCACAGGGGCTGGATAATAAATCTCTGCTTTGGGCTGGGTGAGGTGTCTCACACCTGTAATCCCAGCACTTTGGGAGGCCAAGGCGGGCGGATCACTTGAGGTCAGGAGTTTGAGACCAGCCTGACCAACATGATGAAACCCCATCTCTATTAAAAATACAAAAACTACCCAGGTGTGGTGGTTTAGCCTGTAATCCCAGCTACTCAGGAGGCTGAGGCAGGAGAATCGCTTGAACCCGGGAGGCAGAGGTTGCAGTGAGCCGAGATCGCACCACTGCACTCCAGTCTGGGTGACAGCCTAAGACCGCATCTCAAAAAATAAAAAATAAAAGTCAATTATCTGCTTTATTTTGGAATCTAAAATCATGCCAACAGGATTCTCTTTCTGGTGGGTGTATTTTTTAAAATATTTTTGTTTGGACATAACAGACATACAGGAGAATGCAAAACATTCAAATATGCAGTGCCATGAATGATTATATATAACAAATGTGCTTAAAATATTGTCTTTCTAGTGGAAATCCTCTCACTCTACAGGAAACTGCCACCCTGATTCTTACAGTGGTCCTATTCTAGTTCTACATTTTCTTTATAGTTTTATCACCTTTAAGGTATGATTTCTCCTGGTTTTTTATTTTATATCAGTGAGAAATATAGTGTACCCATTATTTTGTGCCTTGCTTTTTTTGATCCATATTGTGGTTATAAGATTCTTCCCAAAAAAACCTCTGGTTCATCTTTTTATTTTTAGAATTTCAGTGTGCTAATATATGTACAATGTATTCATTCACTTAATATTTTTTCTTTTCACATTTAGGTTTATAACCCACTTGCAGGAAGAGGTTGAGTTTTATCCTTTTCTTGGTTTGCTCAAGCCAGTTCTCAGGCTATTTTTGGGAGAACTCACCGATATTGAGTACAAGGACATATGAAAACATGCCTCTCATATAGAAGATTTTATGAACAAAAATTATTGTTTCCTAGTCATCATTCTGGTTTTTGTTTGTATATATATATATTCATTCTGGTTTTGTGTATATATATATATTCTGGTTTTGTATATACATATATTCTGGTTTTGTATATATATATATATGATATTTATGTTTATATATGTATAATATTTATATGTTTTTATATAGAGAGTATGTGTGTTAAGAATCCAACTGACCAAGAACACAAAGAAGCAGAATAACAGTACAGTTGACCCAAGATTCTTCATGTCTGACACCAGACTTCAAAATGCTGCTGTTTAAATGTGCCAATCTCCCTATCTCTTGAATTCCTCAGAAAATGCATGTTGCATTGTAGTTGATTTTGAAGAGAGATATCTGTGCAAGGTGAGCAGCCGTTAAATGCAGCTTTGGAATAATTGGCCTTCCTCTATTGTTCAGTTCACAGTAGCTGCAATAGTTCATACTGCTAAAATAGATCCAATTATGTAGAAAAATATTAAAGAAACAGCAAGCACTTCCTCAGCTAGCCTAAAAAGTAAGGAAATATTTTCTTTTCATCATGACTATACTTAAAGTTCCAATAAAATACATAAATCCAGAAATAAAAATACACAAAAAACCCTCACTTAGGATTTCACATAATGCTAAAAACTACAAAAGTTAAAATACAATGGGAGAATGTAAGTAAGGCTATAAAAAGTAGGTTTGATTTGTCTTATTAATCCTAGAATTTTGGCACAATAGTTATCACGGTATAAATTTATCTTTCAGAAAAAAGTGTAGCACATATTTATATGCATATGTCTAATACAAATGCATAAAGTTTTAAATAAAAACAGATAAATTAAATTAATACATTTAATGTGTATTTCATCTCATGTTAAATACATATTATCTGAGATAAAGGATGATAAAAATGTAGTAAATATTAGCATTAACGTACTTTGTAAATTATTTCAAAGTAAAGCAAGCAAGTTTTGTTTTTCCCCATTTGCTCAATTTTAGAATTTCCTTTTTGAGCCCTTTCTAATCTCACTTGTTAATTGTTGTATCCCTACTTTTAAAAATTTCTTAGATTATTTCAATTGTTGGTTCTGTATCTCTTAAGCTCTAAGCTAGCTAGCCCCGTCCTATGATATTTTGAAAAATGAATTGTTAGGAAGTTGGGCAGGTGCTTTCTTATAGTAATTGTGTCATCCATGGTAATTAGGTCTTCAGACCAGTTCACCAAAAGAAAAGAAATCTATTTATCACAACTTGTTGCTGGAGTTTAGTTCTGATAATACTTGAGAGTCAAAGTATTATTTGACCCAGCAATCCCATTAATGGGTACATACCCAGAGGAATATAAAACATTCTACCATAAAGACACATGCACGTGAATATTCACTGCAGCAAATATATGGGAGAGCAAAGACATGCAATCGACCTAAATGTCCACCACAGACAGTCTGAATTTTTAAAATGTGGTACATACACACCATGGAATAGTATGCAGCCATAAAAAAGAATGAAATCATGTCTTTTGTGGGAACATGGATGGAGCTGGAGGCTATCATCCTTAGCAAACTAACACAGGAACAGAAAACCAAATACCGCATGTTCTCACTTGTAAGTGGGCGCTAAAAAATAACTTACGAACACAAATAAGGAAACAACAGACAATGGGGTCTGCTTGAGTGGGGAGGGTGGAAGGAGGGAGAGGAACAGAAAAAATAACTATTGGGTACTGAGCTTAATATGCAGGTGATGGAATAATATGTACAACAGACCCCTATGGCAGATGTTTATCTACGTAACAAATCTTCACATGTACCCCCAAACCTAAAATAAAAATTTTAAAAGAAATGCTTAAGAGTCTATGTACCATCTCTTACAGTTCTGTCATGAGGAATAAATTCAGTTTCAAGCTGAGATGTCAGGAATACACATTCTTTCCATGCTGCAGTGGTCTTGAACCTCCTCTTCCTCTTTCACCTCTAGCTTCTCAGCACTGGTGGTGAGACCTTCTCCAACCGTGGACATTTCTCACGGCTTCTGTAGGCTAGTGCAGTGAGTCCAGCGGGCAGAACTAATGGTGGGACATGGAAAATGAGGCAGAGTCTTGGGTGGAAATTTGGAGGAAGAGATGTAGAGTTTCAGGGTCAAGCTTCTGGGTCAAGGCTGTCTTTCGATCTTATGACTTAGATCTGTTTTAAACTTCCTCTGTCAATGTTTTGTTTCTGATATGGCTTTGAAAACATTAGTCTACCAACCTCTCTTCTCCTTCCCACTACTTGTTGTCAAGATGACATTGACCAAATACAATCAAGGTCAAGCTACCTGCTTCTCCGCATTAGCCTTCAAGCAGGAACACGAGCCCTTTGAGGACTTCTCCTTAGAAGTCCATTGACCACTGCTGGTGATTGGGAGACACATGGGTGATAAAGTGACTCCCTTCTATTTATCCTCTATTTCCCTGCAGAATATACAAGGAAAGGTCACGTCTGCATGTAGATGTGAATAAAGAGTCTTGAATCCAAAATGCTAAAGTAAGAGTTCTCACATCTCATGAGGTCTGAATCAAACACTTCCTGGGGCTTTTTTCAGGGGAGGAGCTAATAGCTTCCCCTTACAGGAATGTATGTTAAGTTCATGTAGGTAAAAGTGATTATTTCTTTTCCTTTTATAGGCCTTGCAAAGTTTGCTCAAATGAGGGAAGCCAGCTACTTTCACAATGCCAGCAACCACTTGGCAGTTTTAAGTTGAAAATTAACATACCAGTATATATTCTGCAAATCTCATTGACAGTGGTTGTCAAATAGAGGGTTCACTTACACATGACATCTTCAACAAGTATGCACAGTTGGCAATTTGTAGTCAATTGGAATCTCAGATCAAACTATTTTAGCATCAAAATGTGACTTCTTATGAATTAATCTTATCAGCTGGGGTTTTCTTCCTTGTAGAAATATTTGCTCATGAGTTATCTGATCACTCATACACCCTAAAAATCAAAGAGTACTTTTTGCAACTAGCAATACAAAATAGGCTAACTTGTGCCATAAAAGGTATTGTTTTAGGCATGAAGTTCATAATATGGGGAAAATAGTAATATAAATGATGTTGTCAAGTCATATTTTTCATGTCCTTACTCTTTGTTTTAGGTAATAACAGAAAGAAAATGAAACTAATAGTTTCGGAGGGCAGTTCTCATGGGAGTTCAGAATTCTGGTTTGTATCACTTCTGAGTGTATCAGTTTTTGCTTACTGGAAAATGGAAAACCACCAGACTACTTTGAGGGGATATCACTAAGAAAGAGTGGGGGAGTGGAACATCACACACTGGGGCCTGTCGGGGGCTGGTGGGCAAGGGGAGAGATAGCATTAGGAGAAATACCTAATGTAGATGACAGGTTGATGGGTGCAGCAAACCACCATGGCACACGTATACCTATGGAACAAACCTGCACGTTCTGCACATGTATCCCAGAACTTAAGTATAATTTTAAAAAGAAAACATAATTAAAGAAAGAAAGAGTGGGAATAGGAGGAGACAAGTAGAACTAACAAAGGCACTAACGTCAGGCCTACTTGGTTTTGAATTCCAGCTCTCCACTCACCAGCTCCATAATGGTGTTGAATTTAAACTGTGCAGACCTTAATTTCTTCATCTGTAAGGAGGAGTTTATATCTGCATCATAGGACTATTATGAAGGTTAAGTAATCTGTTTCTTAGCCCCGTCTCTCACACATAGAAGGTGGTTAACAATGTGAATCCCTTTTTCCCTCTTCTAAATCCTCTCCCTTTCTACATAAATATAGACACCATGCCTGGAATATTTTAACTTACCTTTTAGTTAGAAAATATTTATATAATATTTACTATTTGCCAGGTACTGTCCTAAATATTTTACAAATAGTAACTTATTTCTCATAACAACCCGTTAAAAGTGCTGTTTTAATCTCTCCTTATAGATGAAGAAACTGAGGCACGAAGAGTTAACAACTTGCCCAATGGACACAGCAGGTAAGTGGTGGGCTGGGTTCAAACTCCGGGTATCTATTTTGCACGTAAGTCTTACATCTGCTTTCATAGTAACAAAAGAAAAAGCTCAGGCTGAGTGCAGTGGCTCATGCCTGAATCCCAACACTTTGGGAGGCCACAGCAGAAGGACTGTTTGAGGCCAGGGGTTCAAGCCTGCAGTGAGCTAGCCTGGCAACATGGCAATATCCTGTCTCTAAAAAAAATTTTTGTTTAACTATCTGGGCATGGTGACTTACACCTATAGTCTCAGCTACTAGGGAGGCTGATGCAGGATGATCACTTGAGCCTAGGAGTTCAAGGCTGCAGTGAGCTATGATTGTACCACTGCACTCTAGCCTGGGCAACAAAGTGAGATTCTGTGTCTACTTTAACAAGTTTAATAGTATTATTTGTTGTCAGAATTTCACTACCAAAGATGAAATATAATACAAAAGATATCAAAGGGATGTTCATAAACAAAAATATTATTTAAAAGAATACTAAATGTGCCAGAAAATCATGTGCCTTAGGGGATAAATGGGGCCATGGGACAAGATGAAGTATGGGGGTGAGAGGAGGGGACATCGTGGTGAGGGAAGGGTGGACCTATGTCAGGGCAGCAGAGAAAAAATGCCAAGGCCAAGTTGAGACATCATTTATCAGACTCTTTACCATCAAAACTGTGCTCCCCAACCTTCCAGGCAAGTGTAAGTGTGGTAACAGCCATGCTTGTCCCCAGCTTGTAGAAAGTAGCACTATTGCTGACAGCTGCCAACCATTACTGCCTCTCCTGAGTCATGAAGATGTCTTCAAGAACACAACATTCTGCCCTAATAGAGCTCTGTTTCCATAGGTTCATTAATTGACTTACACTGTATCAGACAACAAAACTGGAGAGTTTTGCAGTGCACGCTCTGCTACACGTCCTGATCCCCCTCCAGGACGAAGGGCTCTCCCCTAGTTGCTGTATATTTGGCTGCCAGAAGGCACTTGGCTGTCAGTCCCCTTCAGGAACTGCCTCAGCTGAAGAGCCACCTCACCCATGGTCATGCCCCTTCCCCAGGGCAGACCAACCCAATGAATGGTCAACAGAGGTCTAAAGACACAGCCCCCTGGCTAACTGGGACAATGCTGAAGGACTATCCCAGCATCAGAGCTTCGCACAGGGTTGACTGAGGCCTTTGTTGAGACTGCATCTCAGCCCAGCTTCTCCACTGCCCAACTTGCTGCTTTGCCTTCCAGAGGTGTCAATCCCAAGTTCATTAATAAGTATCCTACAAATTAATTTCCATCTCAGAGTCAGCTCTCCGGGAAACTCAATTTGCAACCAATTCCCATTATGCGCATGTGTGTGTATGTGTGTGTGTATTGATTTGCCTGGTAATTCCAAGTTCTAGTAATTTTCACTTTGGCAGATTTCTAGTCTCTCCCTGCTACACAGGCTGAGTGCCATGGAGGCAATTGATTAACTTGGCCATGCAGAAATGACAGCAGAAGCAGGCTCAGACTCGGGTCACACTTTGCAGCCCTCACTGATAATGGTATTTAATGAGAATCTCATAGGACTTGTCACTCGAAGGCACAAACATGACTCCATAGTCAAGACTCTCTCTGGGCTGGATATTTCCCTGAAAGCTAAAAAAATTCCTAATAAAATATTTTCACTGTAAAGAAAACTGTATTATTCCTGAACTATTGTAGGGAAAGGCTTAGAAAGAAATACATTTTTTCTGTGAAATAAACTTGGCTTTTTTTGTTTGCTTTTTTGCTAGATTTGTTTGGTTTTGTTTTAGATGGCAAAGTACTACACAGACTTTACAAGCGTATCTTTAAAAGAAGACTGACCAAATTTCAGGCCTGCACATTCCTGTGAGTTCAATGATGAAAGAGCGTACCATTTTAAGAAGTGATTACAAGCAGCTTTTTTTTTAGACCTGAAATTTAATCAAGATTTTCTCTTTCTTTTGTCAATTGTTCTCTGACAAGCGAATTCATTTCCAAGTACATTAGGCTGAATGAGATTCCAAGAGGCCCATGAATACCTTCTTCCAGACTCCATCTCAACAAGGGGGACAGTGTACTCGTCCAGATCAGAGGGACTCTTTCAGAGGTTACACATCACAAGCCTGCTGCTAACACTGGAAGCTTGGGCAGGGCCTTCTAAGGAAGCTGGCGAGAGGCCATACGGCAGAATTTAAGCATAAGAAATCCTCATCTGTTTCCCACCTCTAAGGATAGCTGAAAGACATGCAATCTCCTTTTAAATTCAGAATTATTGATGTGTAGACAATAGAGCCTTCCTATACTCTATCTTGTCACCTTTCCCATTTGGAAACTTGTAATATAAACAAAAGCACTTATGAAAACTGACCAGGGTGCCTTTTTTGGAGGAGGTTTGGCTAGCATGAAAGGACCCTGGTCTAATTGGAATAGCTCCTAAGAATGATACAACAGGGTGTGGAAAAGCTGTAAGGACATGAAATGCTGTTCATATTCAAAACAAATGTAATGCAATAGGTTGCAACATAAACAAGTCTTTCTTGTTCAATAGGTCTAAAAAGATCAGCTCACACAAACTGACCTTAAGACTGATTCTAGGATGCTGTAATGTAGCATTTTCCCATTTTTTAAAAAAAGTATATACTGGCCTGAGTGTGGTGGCTCATGCCTGTAATCCCAGCACTTTGGGAGGCTGAGGTGGGCAGATCACGTGAGGTCAGGGGTTTGAGACCAGCCTGGCCAACATGGTGAAACCCTATCTCCATTAAAAATAAAAATAAAAATAGCTAGGCGTGGTGGCGAGTGCCTGTAATCTCAGCTACTCAGGAGGCCAAGGCAGGAGAATTGCTTGAGCCCAGGAGGTGGAGGTTGCAGTGAGCCGAGATTGGGACACTGCACTCCAGCCTGGGCTATAGAGCAAAAGTTCGTCTCAAAAAACAAAACAAAACAAAAGTGTATACTGTAGATTATTTACTCTGTAGTAAAGTACAGATTTACATCTGTAGATGATTTACTGTAGATGATTTGACACACCAAATTTTGTGTAAAAAACAAATAACAGGACGATTATTCAGTTTTTACCAGGCTCTTGCATTTGGTGAGAGAAAGGATGGAGGCCACAGGATTTTTTCTCTGGCTGCCGAGAATGCCATCAAGAAGCGGCGATGGGGGAAGCTGGTGCACATTACATGTGCCAGGCTGTTGGGATGTGGCCTAGGGCTAACCACATGCATATCCGTACAAACTTGCCTATGCTGAGAGACTCCAAAATTTCATTTCGTAGGCTTGAAGCTGCAATAACTCTGACTAAAGGGAATAGAATTCTCAAGACCGCTTTGGTAGAAGACTCCACATTGGAAAAGTTTCCGCTGGTCTCTTTCTTTCCATTTTAACTGTCCAGCATTTCCCAAAGGGTAGTCTGCTAAAAGGTATTACCCAATACAATTTTCCATGGTCAAATACACTTGAAAAATGATGGGTTTAAGGAAACCACAGATCTCTTGTGGCAGAGGGCCTCAGATCCTGTAACACACGAACATGCACTGTCACTTTTCCAGTGACAATATACACTGTCTCCCAGAGCCATTTCACCCTTTAACTTCTGTTTTGAGGGTAACAACTTATGGAGTTAACATCCCAAGGAATATATTTTGGGGGAGTCTTCTCATTTGGGGAAATATTATTTTAAAAATCTTGACCAGGTGCTGTGGCTCACACTTGTAATCCCAGCACTTTCGGAGGCCGAGGTGGGTGGATCATTTGCATCCAGGAGTTTGAGACCAGCCTGGGTAACACGACAAAACCCCGTCTCTTAAAAAAAAAAAAAAAAGTAATTGCTTTCTAAATTGCTCATTTTGTACCCATATTTTAAAATTCATGGCTTATACATTTCATATATGTATTATTTTGATAGCATTGTGAGAAATGTTAAAGAACTCAATTCATTTAATGTGCATGCTGACTCTTGACTAACTCAGCATTTCGAAAAGTATAATTTTGTGTGCTTAAAGGCACACACTACTTTTGGGGTTTCTAGAAATTTCAATACAAGGTTTCAAATAGCTAATAGGCAGTATTCACCCAGTGTTAAGGCTTTGACTCAAACACTGCTTTAGATAGCAAATTAGATAATTATTACAAACGTTCCATCACAGTGACGGGAAGGAATGCCCACATCGCTTGCCCTCCCGAAGCCAGAGCACGGTCTATTTGATGAAGCCTCTTGTGATCTGCAGCCTCTGATAATGCCCATCAACCCCAACAGCCAACTTTGATGCCCTGCTGAAGGAAGAGCTGAGCTGCTTTCACTTGAAAGGGATCAGAAACAATTACAAAATTGAACGAGGTATTACTGACATGGCAGGAAGGCATGCCCGAAGAAGTGAAATACCAGGAACATGCATTAATCACCCCACGGAGCTGATAAGACTCTCCCTGAATCCACGAGATAAAACAGAGGTATAATTTTAAACAAGAAAACAGCCGGAGTCCAGAAATGACTTAGCTAATCTCTGTGCCAGAGCTTCATAATCCTAAAAATGAGGGTGATAACACCAACATTGAGCAGCCTCGTTAGGAAAATTAAGGATAATGTATGTAAAACACCTAGCATGGTGCCTGGCACATAGTAGGCTCTAAATAAATAGTTATCATATTATTATCAGAACATTAAAAGGTATGTGGCAGACATGCTGTCAAAATTCTTGTAATTTGCTAAAACTGCCAACGATCTCGAGACTTCCTCAGGATGTTAATAAATAGAAAACAGTAGGAACTAGCCAATGAAAACACAGACATTATTCAAAGCAGAAAAACAAGGGAAGTATCTTACAGATGGAATTTTTTTTTTTTTTTTTTGAGACAGAGTATTGCTCTGTTGCCCAGGCTGGAATGCAGTGGTGAGATCTTGGCTCATTGCAGCCTCGAACTCCTGGGCTCAAGCAATCCTTCCACCTTAGCCTCCCAAGTAGCTGGGGTTACAGGCGTGTCCCACCACATCCACCTAATTTTTTATTTTTTGATAGTAGACACAGAGCCTCCCTATATTGCCAAGGCTGGTCTCGAACTCCTGGGCTCAAGCAGTCTTCCTACCTCAGCCTCCCAAATTGCTGGAGTTATAGGTGCGAGCCGCCACACCTTGCACAAATGAATTTTAATTCAAGAATCAGTGAGAACATTTTTTGTCCAAGGAGGACCAAAGTTTTTTGCTGTCAAATTGTGCTGTCCTCATAAGGGTGGAAAATTGTTAAAGTTTCCTAAGAGACTAAAGATATGGTCTTTAGCATATAGCAAATGCTAAATGACCAGCATTTAGCATGACCAGCAAATAGCAAAATAAGGCATATTTGTGATAGTTTGTCCCTGAATTGCAAATTGTATAATGAAAATTGCTCATGCAGGAATCAGCGTGAAAAGCTCAGCCTAGGATATCCGGTAAAGGATCTTAGGTTGGACGCAGTGGCTCATGCCTGTAATCCCAACACTTTGGGAGACCAAGGCAGGAGGATTGCTTGAAGCCAAGAGTTCAAGACCAGCTTGTGTAACAAACAAAGAATCCCCACCCTATCTCTACAAAAGATTTTTTAAAATTAGCCAGGTGTGGTGGCATGCACCTGTAGTCCCAGTTACTTGAGAGGCTGAGATGGGAGGATCAGAGAATCCCAGGAGTTCAAGGTTGCAGTGGGCTACGATCACCAGTGCACTCCAGCCTGGGCATTACAGCAAGACCCTGTCTCAAAAAAAAAAAAAAAAAAAGAAAGAAAAACAAAAAGGATCTTGGTTCTGGACACCCAAAGAGAGATGGCAGAGAGATAAATTCTGAGCAGTGCGTACGGGTCATGTTGTCTTTGTTTCTGTAATCTTCCATCCTCACAAATGAGGCATTACAATCATATCCTTGCCTAGAGCACATCCAGCTATGAGAGGAGAAAACTCTGCTTAGTTCCTGCTGCCATACAGCTTCTTGTATTTTTTTTTTTTTACACTTAAGGCAGATGGGGTATTGAGTTGGAAAAAAAGAAAAAAGATTATGTGCCTCACACTAAATTCCAATTTTTGTCCTCAGGGTCTCTCTTTCTATACAAAAGCATAAGGGTTTTGTTGGGTTTGGGTGAGGATCACTTTCCTGAAGTGGAACATTTAATCCCTAGCTGTGTGTGTATTTCACCATCTACTTGTTGGACAATACGTTCCTGAGACTGTAAAATAGTCTGTCCCCTTGGGACACCAGTTGTCTCCAGATGGGAAGATTTGACCTTCATTTCAGCAGGGAATTGGAAGAAATGTCATTTTCTTGTGGTCTGTTAAACAATGTGACATCTTGTTTTGCATTGGCCTTCGGCTCCAATCCATCCCATCCTCCTTTAAATCATTCACTCTTGAAGATATTGCCTTAGACCTTTTGCTTTTCCTTCTCAAATTGGTGGTGGATAATGATACTGGAATGTTGTCAAATTCCTTCTAGGAATAATATATTCGTTTTTGACAATTGAAAGGGTCTCAGTCCTAACCCAAAGATCCTGTACAATGAAGCAGCGGCTCTCTGAAAGCTCGCGCACCCCTGCAGGAAGACCATGCCTCTCTGGAAAGCAGCTACTCTGGTTTAATCAGGAATAAGCCTGATGATAGAAGAATAGAACTGAAGTTGACACATTCTCATTAGAGTGGCTGAAACAAAAGCACATATGGATCTTTCCGAATCACTGAACACACACTGCTTGATAAATTACATTCTCATTTTCAGAGGCTGTGTCTCAGAATGTTTTAGCAGGTAATAGCCATCCTGAGCTCTGCGTGGCTACTTTCCACCACCCATAAATGAATTCGGTGGGCCCCTGGGAAGGATCAGGAAAAGTTAACTGTAAGGTACTGACAAGCTTGTCTTCCACCAGGCTTAGCTAAGTGAATCCCCAGCCCTGTACCTCAAGACACCTGGGGCCATTTCCAGAGCTACCATTCTCCATTAATGAATAGGAATACAACTATCATGGTAAGAGTTGGAAACTGACATTAATCTCCTTTTAGAAATGTTGCATCTTTGACTCTGTTCTCTGTGAGCTGTTGGTGATGACATCATTCTCCCTCGCATTTGATTTGGGCAAGGAAAGTGTCTGAGAGACATCAGGGACAGGGGTCAGGGGGCAGATTCAGAAAGGCCACCTCTACCAATGAATACCTCTGTGCTGTGTGACAGAAGCTCAGGGTCGCTTCTAGATCTCCAGGTCTGAATCTCAGAAAGAGCCTGGGTCTATCACATGGAGTCTTAGTTGCTGCAATAGAAACCCACTCTGAAGGACCAAAGCAGAAAAGCAGATGTTAAAAGCACATTGAGTAACTCCCTAAATTGGCCATCAAGACCAGAGAAAATCAGGCCCAGAAATATGCCTGAGCTCCTCTGTTGCTACCACTAGCCTTCTCCCCAGCTCTGCACACAAGTGTGGCCACTGGAACTACCACCCTTGGGCACCACCAGGCACCTCAGAAACTGAAGCTGCCCTGCTGCTCAGCGACACTCACTCCTAAATCTAAGGTCCAGGAACACATGACTGGTTAAGCCAAGTCATGTTCTCACCCTTTGCTGGTGGAGATGGGGGTGAGGACAAGTACCCGGCTTTTTTCTATTTGCTTCTTTGGGAAGGGAAGCAGGTGAGTTCAGATGCTCAACAAAATCAGTCCCCCCACCCCCAAAAATAGAAGGGAGGAAAGAAAGAAGGGAGGAGGAATCTGGGCAAATGCCTATCAGAGAACCTCTCAATAATTCTGGCAAAATGCAGCATAAACCATTTTCCATGTAAAATAAGACACTGCCCTCTCTCTGTTCCCTGCAACCCTCTCAAATTCTCCCTTGCCATTACTAGGCAAACTCAGTTTTTAAAAACCCACTCATAATTATGCCACACAGCTAAGCTTATTCCTCTAACTCCCCAGAAAATAACCACCCTGAAACCTTAGCCAGGTTTCTCTGCCATACTGAACTTTTACATGGCCTTTTTTTGAACTAAAGGTCATTAAAAGTTTTTTTAAATGACTGAACTGTTCAAAAAGAAGAAAGAAAAATAAGTCAAGCTATTAGTGATTTTTGAAGAGCAGTAATGAAGGCAACCTCAACTTTTTGTCCATGTGAAAAAATTTTCTCATTTCTCTGAACAGCTTTTAATCTTGTTTTCTTCTCATAGACATAATTAATGGGATCCCTACAGAAAAAGACAACAAAAACAAAGCTAAAAATGTTTGTAATAATCATGACACAGAAAATTTTACTGGGTTTTAAATAGTAGAATGGACAGCTAAAGTATTCCAGTTATAGAACCTGCAGAAGGGGAAATAATTGTAGAAAAACAAAAGCAGAAACTGTCTCCTTGGTCTTTTTTTAAGTATATGCCATTGCCAACCTCCTGGGAAATCCAATTCCTGCTGGTCTTGCTTCCAGACAGGCCATAAACTACGTGATCCCTGAAATTCCTTTTAATGGGCGTCAGACATGAGCTGTTAACTAACATAATGCATGGCTGAGCTCCTCCACAGAAGCAAACTGAAAATTAGACAAATTCCAGAGGATTCATCCTCAACACCTTCTCAATCTAAATTTCCCTCCCTTTGGCCTGGCACAGTGGCTCATGTCTATAATCCCAGCACTTTGGGAAACCAAGTTGGGAGGATTGATTGCTTGAGCCCAGGAGTTCAAGACCAGCTTGGGCAACATAGTGAGGCCCCATTTCTACAAAAAATAAATTTCCCTCCCCTTCAATGACTGCAAATGAAAGCTCGTTTGAACCATTTGCTTTACACTACTATCTGGGAAACTCTGTTAAATTTTTGCGTTATCAGTAATGCTTTCATTTTTTGGAGGGAGAACATATCATGTAGCAGAGATGTTATTAAATGTTGGTTTTAAAATAGTAGAAGTTACATAGTTAGCACTGTCTTTGCTGTAGTCAAGTAGAGAAATTTCATATGCATAGCATGTTTGCAATGGCTAGATTGCTTGCTGATGCTAAGAATAAGCAGTTTCACTAAGTCTTCTGTGTGTTATTCTAATTCATGCTTAACAGTTGGTTTTTCAAGTGTTATTCCTACTTGAGAGCCACTTTGTGAAAATGATTCTCACCTCTTCTACCTTGTTAAAGCACCTAGAAGGTGGCAACACATATTGGTCAAGTCCACCTGGGACAGGTAGCTGCCCTTCATAGTAACTGAAGAGAGTCTTCACATTTGAAAATGTATAAGAACAAATAATTTTTGGTTGAGAATAACCAAACTTAATTATTTTATGCACAAATATAGGCAACAAATTACAAATAATACACAGTAAAAGTTTGGCCTGGGTGTGGGATTATCCACCCATCTGTTCTCTCTGGATGAAGATCTTGGCCAAGAAAGAACAATGTAGCCAGAGTCATGTCCTTAATGTACCTATTTGTTTTTCTTTTCCTTTTTTTTTTTTTCTTTTTTGAGACAGTATCTTGCTGTGTCACCCAGGCTAGAAGGCTGGAGTGCAGTGGCACGATCACGGCTCACTACAGCCTCCACGTCCTGGACTCAAGTTATCCTCCCACCTCAACCTCCCAAGTAGCTGGGACCACAGGCACACACCATCACACCTGGCTGATTTTTGTATTTTTTTGTAGAGACAGAGTTTCACCTGGTTTCCCAGGCTGGTCCTGAAGTCCTGGGATCAAAGGATCTACCCACTTTGGCCTCCCGAAGTGCTGGGACTACAGGCTGAAACACTGCACCTAGCCCTATTTGTTTTTCTATTACTGCTTTTATGTTTTCATTTTGCATTCTTTAATCATGTGCTCCTCATTGGTAAGTGCTAGTCTGGTAGCCCTCTGTCACTGCCATTAGTATGTTATTGTAAGGAGTTCTGTCTTTACAATCTGTAATTCTGCATTGTAAAGAGTTCTGTCTTGGCCGTGCATGGTGGCTCACACCTGTAATCCCAGCACTTTGGAAGGCCAAGGTGGGCAGATCACTTGAGGTAGGAGTTCAAGACCAGCCTGGCCAACATGTCTGGTAAAAATATATCTCTACTAAAAATACAAAACTTAGCCGGATGTGGTGGTGCATGCCTGTAATCCCAGCTGCTCTGGAGGCTGAAGCAGGAGAGTTGCTGGGACCTGGGAGGTGGAGGCTGCAGTGAGTAGAGATCCTGCCACTGCACTCCAGCCTGGGCAACAGAGCAAGACTCTCTCTCAAAAAAAAAAAAAAAAGAAAACAAAACAAAACAAAAGTTAAACCCTTTAAGTACAAGCTTTTGGCTTCAGAGTTCTTGCTAGTATTACTAATGGCTATTGCACAAACCTTTGCAATTAGAAACTGGAAAAGTGCTGGTGTTCTTAGGACTCTCTATAAGGAAAGCAATGGTGTCATGTTGAAGAGATGTCTGTTTCAGACAAATTTTGACAGTTACTACCTGGGTAATCTTGTACAAATTGTATAATCTCTCAGAGCCTTGGGACAGTGAAGTCTGTTACTGTGATTGGCACCCAATAAGCACTCACAGGATGGCAGTTACTACCATTATTTCTTCCCAATGTCCTTTCATGGAGAGGTAGAAAGGGGTTAGTGAAAAATGCATGGGCTTAGTTGAAAAATAAATATTGCCCTGTTGAATTTCTGCCTAAAGAATATTTCTATTACCCCAAACACTTTTTCTGAATGGTTTCCTGTCTCCACCTTAAATATCTCCCCATGCAAAGGAGGTTCAAGGGGTTTATGAGCATACACACTATTTGCTATTTATTTGTCACATAAATAATGGGAATTTGAAAATTGAAGTCTAATGAATTAGGAATAATTAATTCCTATTATACTTTATACTAATTCCTATTATACTTTATATTAATTCATATTCTACTTTAATAATTGTCAATTTAATAGCATTCATTACTGCAAGGTTCTAGGTGGTTCTGTGTCATGAGGCCACTCACACATTGCTGCAGTTCCTCCGTGTAGCCTACTTGGACCCGCGGGATCTTACGTATGAAAGCCCACCAGAACCTATCAAATGGATAATGCCACATTGCAAAAATGCAGTTTTGCAGCAGAGAGAAAATTAAAGTGCATCCCAGACCTCGTTAAAAAGTCTGTTTCTAAAACACTGATGACTCTACATTTCGTAAAAAAACAGAGTGAAGGAAAGTGCCTATCAATTTAAAAAAAGAGGATTGTATAAGCACATTGGGAGAAATGGAATATAAAGAACACTGTTTTTAAAAGTGGGTTTTTGAAGCATGAAATTGATGTCAAACTAGGGCTAAGGAATAATATAGAAAGCAGGGATGTATTTGAAGCGAGTATGAGTCAAGAAGGGTCAAGTCTGTTACTCATTGTCAATACATCTGTTGTCAGTAAGCATATAATTAAAAGATGTTTATTTGGAGGAAGGTTGATAGCACACTTTATATTGCAGGTATTAAACTGGTACCACCTGAACACACCGCCCAATCTTAGTATTACTAGATAACTAGTGCAACAAGTTACTATATGCCTAGAATAGGATGCACCACCTGTGAAGTCATCTTGTCTTAAAAGTTCAACCTAGGCCAGGCGCGGTGGCTCACGCCTGTAATCCCAGGACTTTGGGAGGCCGAGGCGGGTGGATCATGAGGTCAGGAGATCGAGACCATCCTGGCTAACACGGTGAAACCCCGTCTCTAATAAAAATACAAAAAATTAGCCGGACGTCGTGGCGGGTGCCTGTAGTCCCAGCTACTCGGGAGGCTGAGGCAGGAGAACGGCGTGAACCCGGGAGGCGGAGCTTGCAGTGAGCCGAGATCGCGCCACTGCACTCCAGCCTGGGCAACAGAGCGAGACTCCGTCTCAAAAAAAAAAAAAAAAAAAAAAAAAAGTTCAACCTAAACCTAATCAATTTTCTATACCAAAATTTCAGTTACAGAAAATATGGAAGAGAGAATAACAAGTTAGCTGGCACTATGAGGAACCAACTGGCCAAGTTCAGAATGTGACATTTTCTACAGAAACAACCCAGTTTATCTTATAAACTAACGGCATAAATAAGAGGGGGAAATGGTGTGTAGCTATAAGAATCAACGGCCGGGTGAGGTGGCTCATGCCTGTAATCCCAGCACTTCGGGAGGCAGAGGCAGATGGATCACCTGAGGTCAGGAGTTTGAGACCAGCCTGACCAACATGGAGAAACCCCGTCTCTATGAAAAATACAAATTTAGCCAGGCGTGGTGGTGCATGCCTGTAATCCCAGCTACTCGGGAGGCTGAGGCAGGAGAATCACTTGAACCCCAGAGAAGGAGGTTGTGGTGAGCCAAGGTTATGCCATTGCACTCCAGCCTGAGCAACAAGAGCGAAACTCCATATCAAAAAAAAAAAAAAAAAAAGAATAAAAAGACCTAACATATTAATTAAGTGCAGTATGTGGATCTGGTGTAAAAACTGATTAAAAAAAAACTATAAAAAGAGGTTTCTGAGACAATCTGGGAAATTTTAATGTAGTAAGGTTTTAAATGAAATTAAAGAAATTATTGTTGATTTTATTACCTGTGATAATGGCATGATGAGTTACGTTTCTTTAAGAAATAAAGGGGAATAGATCTTATTTGTTAGAAATACATACTTAAGTGTTAGGTTTAAAATAACACAGCATGAGATTTGCTTTAAAATACCATAGCAAGAAAAAAAAAAGGTAGAAAGAATGAAGCATGATTAGCTAAATGCTGATCATTGCCAAAATCAGGTAAATACAGGTTATTGTACTATGCTATTTTTGACTATTTGAAAATTTCCATTTTCAAACCTTTATTAATTGCCTCATGATAAATGTACTCATTTCATTCTGGAGACATTACTGGAAAATGCAGTGGCCCTGGAAAAAATAGACTGGTATATTACCAACATGCTATGATAAATTAGCATTTGATTGAATCGTTGCTGCCATGTGAAAAGATGTATCTTTGAAAGGGGGATATTTCCAATACTATTTGTTCCAGTATTATACCTGAACACCAGTGAAAGATCAGACTTGGCTCTAGCACTCGGTTTAATATGTTAAATGCTTAAAAGCATATAAAATGCTAAGAAGAAAAAGTAATTTCTGTCAAAAGATAGTAATACCTGCAGCAGCCAGGCAGAGCGTATGCAAAGGAAAATATTTGGACACATTTCACTTCATAGTGAGGACATGGAATGGTCAAGTCCAGGATATTGGGGGATCATGTCTTCAACAAGGAGCATTACTTCATGGGGCAGACCAGCCACAGTGTGATGCCAGCAGAAAAGGATGTCCCATTTTACATAAATGGAGGCTACTTCGGACAAATATATAATGATGTGTTGACATTTCACACAGTCAATGAACGCACGAATAAAATGTACACCTTAAGTGATCTCAGAGGCTGCTTCATATACATAGTGGTGTCACTGTTGGTGATGACCTACGTAAATTCTTCCAAGATCACTTTTAGTATCCTTGGGGCTCCTATTGATTAACTCAGTTCAACAATGTAAGCCCCCTTTTTTTGAAGTTAAATTTTGCTTTTATAGATTTAGGGAGTACAGGGTAGATTGTTACATGGGTGTACTGTGCAGTGGTGAAGTCTAGGCTTTTAGTGTAACCATCACCCAAAGAGTGTACATTGTACCCATGAGGTGATTTCTCATCCCTCATCCTGCCCATCTTCCCACCCTTCTAAGTCTCCAACATCTACTCTTCCAGTCTCTATGTCCATGTGTACTCATTATTTAGCTCCCACTTACAGGTGAGAACATGCAATATTTGACTTCCCGTTTCTGAGTTATTTCACTTAAGATAATGCCCTACCAAAGGGTTCTGTTTTAGAGACAGTTATAACAATTCCCATATCATTATAAGCCAATATCAGGACCTTCTATAACTGGAAGTCCAGAGTTGACAGACCTTAAGTTTCAGCACAGAAAAAGCAGATACCACCATCCACAATCTGAACCACATTAGAAAATCCAAGTTATCAAAGAGTCACTTGATATCAGTTAGAATGTCTAGACTAATATCTTGTACCTACTGGGGGCACAATAATTATTTTTAGGAAGAAAGAAGAAGATGGCCAAACAGGAACAGCTCCAGTCTGCAGCTCCCAGCATGATCGACGCAGAAGACAGGTGACTTCTGCATTTCCAGCAGAGGTAGCTGGTTCATCTCATTGGGACTGGTTGGACAGTGTGTGCAGCCCATGGAGGGCGAGCTGAGGCAGGGCGGGGCATCACCTCACCCAGGAAGCACAAGGGGTTGGGGGAATTCACTTTCCTAGCCAAGGGAAGCCATGAAAGACTGTACCTGGAAAAATGGGACATTCCCGCCTAAATACTGTGCTTTTCCAGTGGTCTTAGCAAACGGCACACCAGAAGATTATATCCTGTGCCTGGCTCAGCAGGTCCCATGCATATGGAACCTTGCTCACCGCTAGCACAGCAGTCTCAGATCAACCTGCGAGGCAGGAGCCTGGCAGGGGGAGGGGCATTCGCCATTGCTGAGGCTTGAATAGATAAACAAAGCATCCAGGGAAGCTTGAAATGGGCAGAGCCCAGGGCAGCTCAGCAAGGCCTGCTGCCTCTGTTGACTCCACCTCTGCGGGCAGGGCATAGCTGAACAAAAGGCAGCAGAAATTTCTGCAGACTTAACCATCCCTGTCTAACAGCTCTGAAGAGAGCAGTGGTTCTCCCAGCACAGCGTTTGAGCTCTGAGAATGGACAGACTGCCTCCTCAAGTGGGTCCCTGACCCCCATGTAGCCTAACTGGGAGACACCTCCCAGTAGGGGCCAACTGACACCTCATAAAGGCGGGTGCCCCTCTGGGATGACATTTCCAGAGGAAGGATCAGGCAACAGTATTTGCTGTTCTGCAATATTTGCTGTTCTACAGCCTCCACTGGTGATACCCATGCAAACAGGGTCTGGAGTAAACCTCCAGCAAACTCCAACAGACCTGCAGCTGAGGGACCTGACTGTTAGAAGGAAAACTAACAAACAGAAAGGAATAGCATCAACATCAACAAAAACGACATCCACACCAAAACCCCATGTGTAGGTCACCATCATCAAAGACCAAAGGTAGATAAAACCACAAAGACAGGGAGAATCCAGAGCAGAAAAGCTGAAAATTCTAAAAACCAAAGGGCCTCTTCTCCTCCAAAGGATGACAGCTCCTCGCCAGCAATGGAACAAAGCTGGATGGAGAATTATTTTGACAAGCTGACAGAAGTAGGCTTCAGAAGGTCAGTAACAACAAACTTCTCCAAGCTAAAGGAGGGTGTTCAATCCCATCAAAGGAAGCTAAAAACCTTGAAAAAAGATTAGATGAATGGCTAACTAGAATAAACCATGTAGAGAAGACTTTAAATGACCTGATGGAGCTGAAAACCATGGCACAAGAACTATGTGATGCATGCACAAGCTTAAGTAGCCGATTCAATCAAGTGGAAGAAAGGGTATCAGTGGCTGAAGATCAAATTAATGAAATAAAGTGAGAGTGAGAGGAGAAGTTTAGAGAAAAAGAGTAAAAAGAAATGAACAAAGCCTCCAAGAAATACAGGACTATGTGAAAAGACCAAATTTACGCTTGACTGGTGTACCTGAAAGTGACAGGAAGAATGGACCAACTTGAAAAACACTCTTCAGGATATAATCCAGGAAAACTTCCCCAACCTAGCAAGGCAGGCCAAAATTCAAATTCAGGAAATACAGAGAACACCACAAAGATACTCCTTGAGAAGAGCAACCCCAAGACACATAATTGTCAGATTCACCAAGGTTGAAATGAAGGAAAAAATGTTAAGGGCAGCCAGAAAGAAAGGTCAGATGACCCACAAAGGGAAGCCCATCAGACTAACAGCAGATCTCTCAGCAGAAACTCTACATGCCAGAAGAGAGTGGGGACCAATATTTAACATTCTTAAAGAAAAGAATTTTCAACTCAGAATTTCATATCCAGCCAAACTAAGCTTCATAAGTGAAAGAGAAATAACATCCTGTACAGACAAGCAAATGTTGAGAGATTTTGTCACCACCAGGCCTGCCCTAAAAGAGCTCCTGAAGGAAGCACTAAACATGGAAAGGAACAGCCAGTACCAGCTACTACAAACACATACCAAATTGTAAAGACCATCAACGCTAGGAAGAAACTGCAACAATTAAGGGGCAAAATAACCAGCTAACATCATAATGGCAGGATGAAATTCACACATAACAATATTAACCTTAAATGTAAATGGGCTAAATGTCCCAATTAAAAGACACAGACTGGCAAATTGGATAAACAGTCAAGACCCATCAATGTGCTGTATTCAGAAGACCCATATCACATGCAGAGACACACATAGGCTCAAAATAAAGGGATAGAGGAAGATCTACCAGGCAAATGGAAAGCAAAAGAAAGCAGGTGTTGCAATCCTAGTCTCGGATAAAACAGACTTTAAACCAACAAAGATCAAAAGAAACAAAGGTCATTACATAATGGTAAAGGGATCAATTCAACAAGAAGAGCTAACTATGCTAAATATATATGCACCCAAAACAGGAGCACCCAGATTCATAAAGCAAGTCCTTAGAGACCTAGAAAGAGACTTAGACTCCCACACAATAATAATGGGAGACTTTAACACCCCACTGTCAATATTAGACATATCAAAGAGACAGAAGATTATTAAGAAGGATATCCAGGTCTTGAACTCAGCTCTGCACCAAGTGGACATGATAGACATCTACAGACCTCTCCACCCCAAATCAACAGAATATACATTCTTCTCAGCACCACATCACACTTATTCCAAAATTGACCACATAGTTGGAAGTAAAGCACTCCTCAGCAAACGTAAAAGAACAGAAATCACAACAAACTGTCTCTCAGACCACAGTGCAATCAAATTAGAACTTAGGATTAAGAAACTCTCAAAACTGCACAACTACACGGAAACTGAACAACCTGCTCCTGAATGACTACTGGGTAAATAATGAAATGAAGGCAGAAATAAAGATGTTCTTTGAAACCAATGAGAACAAAGACACAATGTACTGGAATCTCTGGGACACATTTAAAGCAGTATGTGGTGGGAAATTTATAGCACTAAATGCCCACTAGAGAAAGCAGGAAAGATCTAAAATCAATACCCTAACATCACAATTAAAAGAACTAGAGAAGCAAAGGCAAACATATTCAAAAGCTAGCAGAAGGCAAGAAATAACTAAGATCAGAGCAGAACAGAAGGAGATATAGACACAAAAAAACTGTTCAAAAAAATCAATGAATCCAGGAGCTGGTTTTTTGAAAATATCAACAAAAGTGATAGAACACTAGGTAGATTAATAAAGAAGAAAAGAGAGAAGAATCAAATAGATGCAATAAAAAATGATAGGGGTGGAGCCAAGACGGCCGAATAGGAACAGATCCAGCCTACAGCTCCGAGCATGAGCGATGCAGAAGATGGGTGATTTCTGCAATTCCAACTGAGGTACTGGGTTCATCTCACTGGGGAGTGCCGGACAGTGGGTGCAGGACAGTGGGTGCAGCGCACCGTGCATGAGGCAAAGCAAGGTGAGGCATCGCCTCACCTGGGAAGCGCAAGGGGTCAGGGAATTCCCTTTCCTAGTCAAAGAAAGGGGTGACAGACGGCACCTGGAAACTGGGTCACTCCCACCCTAATACTGTGCTTTTCCAACGGGCTTAACAAACCGCACACCAGGAGATTATATCCCACACATGGCTCAGACGGTCCTATGCCCATGGAGCCTTGCTGATTGCTAGCACAGCAGTCAGATCAAACTGCAAGGCGGCAGCGAGGCTGGGGGAGGGGCGCCCGCCATTGCTCAGGCTTAAGTAGGTAAACGAGGCGGCTGGGAAGCTCGAACTGGGTGGTGCCCACCACAGCTCAAGGAGGCCTGCCTGCCTCTGCAGGCTCCACCTCTGGGGGCAGGGCACAGACAAACAAAAGACAGCAATAACCTCTGCAGACTTAAATGTCCCTGTCTGACAGCTTTGAAGAGAGTAGTGGTTCTCCCAGCATACAGCTTGAGATCTGAGAACAGGCAGACTGCCTCCTCAAGTGGGTCCCTGAATCCTGAGGAGCCTAACTTGGAGGCACCCCCCAGTAGGGGTGGACTGACACCTCACACGGCTGCGTACTCCTCTGAGACAAAACTTCCAGAGGAACAATCAAGCAGCAGCATTTGTGGCTCACCAATAGCCGCTGTTCTGCAGCCACCGCTGCTGATACCCACGCAAACCGGGTCTGGAGTGGACCTCCAGTAAACTCCAACAGACCTGCAGCTGAGGGTCCTGACTGTTAGAAGGAAAACTAACAAACAGAAAGGACATCCACACCAAAAACACATCTGTACGTCACCACTGTCAAAGACCAAATGTAGATAAAACCACAAAGATGGGGAAAAAACAGAGCAGAAAAACTGGAAACTCTAAAAATCAGAGCACCTCTCCTCCTGCAAAGGAACACAGCTTCTTACCAGCAACGGAACAAAGCTGGATGCAGAATGACTTTGACGAGTTGAAGTCAAAGAGAGGAAGGCTTCAGAAGATCAAACTACTCCAAGCTAAAGGAGGAATTCGAACCAAAGCAAAGAAGTTAAAAACTTTGAAAAAAATTAGGCGAATGGATAACTAGAATAACCAATGCAGAGAAGTCCTTAAAGGACCCGATGGAGCTGAAAACCATGGCATGAGAACTACGTGACAAATGCACAAGCCTCAGTAGCCGACGTGATCAACTGGAAAAAAGTGTATCAGTGATGGAAGACGAAATGAATGAAATGAAGCGAGAAGAGAAGTTTAGAAGAAAAGAATAAAAAGAAATGAACAAAGCCTCCAAGAAATATGGGACTATGTGAAAAGACCAAATCTACATCTAATTGGTGTACCTGAAAGTGACGGGGAGAACGGAACCAAGTTGGAAAACACTCTGCACGATATTATCCAGGAGAACTTCTCCAATCTAACAAGGCAAGCCAACATTCACATTCAGGAAATACAGAAAATGCCACAGAGATACTCCTCAAGAAGAGCAACTCCAAGACACATAATTGTCAGATTCACCAAAGTTGAAATGAAGGAAAAAATGTTAAGGGCAGCCAGACAGAAAGGCCGGGTTACCCACAAAGGGAAGCCCATCAGACTAACAGCTGATCTCTCGGCAGAAACTCTACAAGCCAGAAGAGAGTGGGGGCCAATATTCAACATTCTTAAAGAAAAGAATTTTCAACCCAGAATTTCATATCCAGCCAAACTAAGCTTCATAAGTGAAGGACAAATAAAATCCTTTACAGACAAGCAAATGCTGAGAGATTTTGTCACCACCAGGCCTGCCCTAAAAGAGCTCCTGAAGGAAGCACTAAACATGGAAAGGAACAACTGGTACCAGCCACTGCAAAAACATGCCAAATTGTAAAGACTATTGAGGCTAGGAAGAAACTGCATCAACTAACAAGCAAAATAACCAGCTAACATCATAATGACAGGATCAAATTCACACATAACAATACTAACCTTAAATGTAAATGGGCTAAGTGCTCCAATTAAAAGGTATAGACTGGCAAATTGGATCAAGAGTCAACACCCATCAGTGTGCTGTATTCAGGAAACCCATCTCACATGCAGAGACACACAGAGGCTCAAAATAAAGGGATGGAGGAAGATCTACCAAGCAAATGGAAAACAAAAAAAGGCAGGGGTTGTAATCCTAGTCTCTGATAAAACAAACTTTAAACCAACAAAGATCAAAAGAGACAAAGAAGGCCATTACATAATGGTAAAGGGATCAATTCAACAAGAAGAGCTCACTGTCCTAAATATACATGCGCCCAATACAGGAGCAGCCAAATTCATAAAGCAAGTCCTTAGAGACCTACAAACAGACTTAGACTCCCACACAATAATAATGGGAGACGTTAACATCCCACTGTCAACATTAGACAGATCAATGAGACAGAAAGTTAACAAGGATATCCAGGAATTGAACTCAGCTCTGCACCAAGCGGACCTAATAGACATCTACAGAACTCTCCACCCCAAATCAACAGAATATACATTCTTTTCAGCACCACACCACACCTATTCCAAAACTGACCACATAGTTGGAAGTAAAGCACCCCTCAGCAAATGTAAAAGAACAGAAATTATATCAAACTGTCTCTCAGACCACAGTGCAATCAAACTAGAACTCAGGATTAAGAAACTCACTCAAAACCACTCAACTACATGGAAACTGAACAACCTGCACCTGAATGACTACTGGGTACATAAAGAAATGAAGGTAGAAATAAAGATGTTCTTCGAAATCAACGAGAACAAAGACACAACATACCAGAATCTCTGGGACACATTCAAAGCAGCGTGTAGAGGGAAATTTATAGCACTAAATGCCCACAAGAGAAAGCAGGAAAGATCTAAAAGTGACACCCTAACATCACAATTAAAAGAACTAGAGAAGCAAGAGGAAACATATTCAAAAGCTAGCAGAAGGCCAGAAATAACTAAGATCAGAGCAGAACTGAAAGAAATAGAGAGACAAAAAACCCTTCAAAAAATCAATGAATCCAGGAGCTGGTTTTTTGAAAAGATCAACAAAATTGATAGACCACTAGCAAGACTAATAGAGAAGAAAAGAGAGAAGAATCAAATCAATGCAATAAAAAATGATAAAGGGGATATCACCACCGATCCCGCAGAAATACAAACTACCATCAGAGAATACTATAAACACCTCTACAGAAATAAACTAGAAAATCTAGAAGAAATGGATAAATTCCTCAACACATACACCCTCCCAAGACTAAACCTAGAAGAAGTTGAATCTCTGAATAGACCAATAACAGGCTCTGAAATTGAGGCAATAATTAATAGCTTACCAACCAAAAAAAGTCCAGGACCAGATGGATTCACAGCCAAATTCTACCAGAGGTACAAGGAGAAGCTGGTACCATTCCTTCTGAAATTATTCCAATCAACAGAAAAAGAGGGAATCCTCCCTAATGCACTTTATGAGGCCAGCATCATCCTGATACCAAAGCCTGGCAGAGACACAATAAAAAAAAAGAGAATTTTAGAGCAATATCCTTGATGAACATTGATGCAAAAATCCTCAATAAAATACTGGCAAACCGAATCCAGCAGCACATCAAGAAGCTTATCCATCATGATCAAGTCGGCTTCATCCCTGGGATGCAAGGCTAGTTCAACATACGAAAATCAATAAATGTAATCCGGCATATAAACAGAACCAAAGGCAAAAACCACATGATTATCTCAATAGATGCAGAAAAGGCCTTTGACAAAATTCAACAATGCTTCATGCTAAAAACTCTCAATAAATTAGGTATTGATGGGATGTATCTCAAAATAATAAGAGGTATCTGTGACAAACCCACAGCCAATATCATACTGAATGGACAAAAACTGGAAGCATTCTCTTTGAAAACTGGCACAAGACAGGGATGCCCTCTCTCACCACTCCTATTCAACATAGTGTTGGAAGTTCTGGCCAGGGCAATCAGGCAGGAGAGAGCAATAAAGGGTATTCAATTAGGAAAAGAGGAAGTCAAACTGACCCTGTTTGCAGATGACATGATTGTATATCTAAAAAACCCCATTGTCTCAGCCCAAAATCTCCTTAAGCTGATAAGTAACTTCAGCAAAGTCTCAGGATACAAAATCAATGTGCAAAAATCACAAGCATTCTTATACACCAAGAACAGACAAACAGAGAGCCAAATCATGAGTGAACTCCCATTCATAACTGCTTCAAAGAGAATAAAATACCTAGGAATAAAACTTACAAGGGATGTGAAGGACCTCTTTAAGGAGAACTACAAACCTCTGCTCAATGAAATAAAAGAGGATACAAACAAATGGAAGAACATTCCATGTTCATGGGTAGGAAGAATCAATATCATGAAAATGGCCATACTGACCAAGGTAATTTATAGATTCAATGCCATCCCCATCAAGCTACCAATGACTTTCTTCACAGAATTGGAAAAAAACTACTTTAAAGTTCCTGTGGAACCAAAAAAGAGCACACATCGCCAAGACAATCCTAAGCCAAAAGAACAAAGCTGGAGGCATCACACTACCTGACTTCAAGCTATACTACAAGACTACAGTAACCAAAACAGCATGGTACTGGTACCAAAACAGAGATATAGACGAATGGAAGAGAACAGAGCCCTCAGAAATAATGCTGCATATCTACAACCATCTGATCTTTGACAAACCTGAGAAAAACAAGCAATGGGGAAAGGATTCCCTATTTAATAAATGGTGCTGGGAAAAGTGGCTAGCCATATGTAGAAAGCTGAAACTGGATCCCTTCCTTACACCTTATACTAAAATTAATTCAAGATGGATTAAAGACTTACATGTTAGACCTAAAACCATAAAAACCCTAGAAGAAAACCTAGGCAATACTATTCAGGACATAGGCATGGGCAAGGACTTCATGTCTAAAACACCAAAAGCAATGGCAACAAAAGACAAAATTGACAAATGGGATCTAATTAAACTAAAGAGCTTCTGCACAGCAAAAGAAACTACCATCAGAGTGAACAGGCAACCTACAGAATGGGAGAAAATTTTGGCAACCTACTCATCTGACAAAGGGCTAATATCCAGAATCTACAATGAACTCAAAGAAATACACAAGAAAAAAACAAACAACCCCATCAAAAAGTGGGCAAAGGATATGAACAGACACTTCTCAAAAGAAGACATTTATGCAGCCAAAAAACACATGAAAAAATGCTCATCATCACTGGCCATCAGAGAAATGCAAATCAAAACCACAGTGAGATACCATCTCACACCAGTTACAATGGCAATCATTAAAAAGTCAGGAAACAACAGGTGCTGGAGAGGATGTGAAGAAATAGGAACACTTTTACACTGTTGGTGGGACTGTAAACTGGTTCAACCATTGTGGAAGTCGGTGTGGCAATTCCTCAGGGATCTAGAACTAGAAATACCATTTGACCCAGCCATCCCATTAGTGGGTATATACCCAAAGGATTATAAATCATGCTGCTATAAAGACACATGCACACGTATGTTTATTGTGGCACTATTCACAATAGCAAAGACTTGCAAGGAACCCAAATGTCCAACAATGATAGACTGGATTAAGAAAATGTGGCACATATACACCATGGAATACTATGCAGCCATAAAAAAGGATGAGTTCATGTCCTTTGTAGGGACATGGATGAAGCTGGAAACCATCATTCTCAGCAAACTATCGCAAGGACAAAAAACCAAACACTGCATGTTCTCACTCATAGGTGGGAATTGAACAAAGAGAACACATGGACACAGGAAGGGGATCATCACACACCGGGGCCTGTTGTGGGGTGGGGTGGGGGGGAGGTATAGCATTAGGAGATATACCTAATGCTAAATGACGAGTTAATGGGTGCAGCACACCAACATGGCACATATATACATATGTAACAAACCTGCACGTTGTGCACATGTACCCTAAAACTTAAAGTATAATAATAATAAAAAATAAAATACCATAAAATAAAATAAATAAATAAATAAAGACACCTATATTCAGTTTAAAAAAAAATGATAAAGGGGATATCACCACCAATCCCACAGAAATACAAACTACCATCAGAGAATACTATAAACATCTCTACATAAATAAACTAGACAATCTAGAGGAAATGGATAAATTCCTGGACACATACACCCTCCCAAGACTAAACCTAGAAGAAGTTGAATCTCTGAATAGACCAAGAACAGTCCTGAAATTGAGGCAATAATAGCCTACCAACCAAAAAAAGTCCAGGACCAGACGGATTCATGGCCGAATTCTACCAGAGGTACAAACAGGAGCTGGAACCATTCCTTCTGAAACTATTCCAATCAATAGAAAAAGAGAGAATCCTCGCTAACTCATTTTATAAGGCCAGCATCATCCTGATACCAAAGCCTGGCAGAGACACAACAAAAAAAGAGAATTTTAGACCAATATCCCTGATGAACTTCGACGTGAAAATCCTCACTAAAATACTGGCAAACTGAATACAGCAGCACATCAAAAAGCTTATCCAGCATGATCAAGTTGGCTTTATCCTGGGGATGGAAGTCTGGTTCAACATATGCAAATCAATAAATGTAATCCATCACATAAACAGAACCAATGACAAAAACCACATGATTATCTCAATAGATGCAGAAAAGGCCTTTGACAAAATCCAACAGCCTTCATGCTAAAAACTCTCAATGCGTGGAATGTATCTTAAAATATTAAGATCTATTTATGACAAACCCACAGCCAATATCATACTGAATGGGCAAAAACTGGAAGCGTTCCCTTTGAAAACTGGCACAAGACAGGGATTCCCTCTCTCCTATTCAACATAGTGTTGGAAGTTCTGGCCAGGGCAATCAGGCAAGAGAAAGAAAGAAAGTATATTCAATTAGGAAATGAGGAAGTCAAATTGTCCCTATTTGCACATGACATGATTGTATATTTAGAAAACTCCATCATCTCAGCCCAAAATCTCCTTAAGCTGGTAAGCAACTTCAGCAAAGTCTCAGGATACAAAATCAACATGCAAAAATCACACACATTCCTATACACCAATAACAGACAGACAGCCAAATCATGAGTGAACTCCCATTCACAACTGCTACAAAGAGAATAAAATACCTAGGAATCAAACTTACAAGGGATGTGAGGGACCTCTTCAAGGAGAACTACAAACCACTGCTGAATGAAATAAAAGAGGACAGAAACAAATGGAAGAACATTCCTTGCTCATGGATAGGAAGAATCCATATCATGAAAATGACCATACTGCCCAAGGTAATTTATAGATTCAATGCCATGCCCTTCAAGCTACCAATGACTTTTTTTCACAGAATTGGAAAAAACTACTTTAAAGTTCCTGTGGAACCAAAAAAGAGCCCACATTGCCAAGACAATCCTAACCCAAAAGAACAAAGCTGGAGGCATCACACTTCAAACTATACTACAAGACTACAGTAACCAAAACAGCATGGTACTGGTACCAAAACAGAGATATAGACGAATGGAAGAGAACAGAGCCCTCAGAAATAATGCTGCATATCTACAACCATCTGATCTTTGACAAACCTGAGAAAAACAAGCAATGGGGAAAGGATTCCCTATTTAATAAATGGTGCTGGGAAAAGTGGCTAGCCATATGTAGAAAGCTGAAACTGGATCCCTTCCTTACACCTGATACAAAAATTAATTCAAGATGGATTAAAGACTTACATGTTAGACCTAAAACCATAAAAACCCTAGAAGAAAACCTAGGCAATACCATTCAGGACATAGGCATGGGCAAGGACTTCATGACTAAAACACGAAAAGCAATGGTAACAAAAGCCAAAATAGACAAGTGGGATCTAATTAAACGAAAGAGCTTCTGCACAGCAAAAGAAACTATCATCAGAGTGAACAGGCAACCTACAGAATGGGAGGTAATTTTTTCAGTCTACCCAACTGACAAAGTGCTAATATCCAGAATCTACAAAGAACTTAAATAAATTTACAAGAAAAAAACAAACAACCCCCTCAAAAAGTGGCCAAAGGATATGAACAGACACTTCTCAAAAGAAGACATTTATGCAGCCAACAGACACACGAAAAAAAGCTCATCATCACTGGTCATCAGAGAAATGCAAATCAAAACCACAGTGAGATACCATCTCACACCAGTTACAATGGCAATCATTAAAAAGTCAGGAAACAACAGGTGCTGGAGAGGATGTGAAGAAATAGGAACACTTTTACACTGTTGGTGGGACTGTAAACTGGTTCAACCATTGTGGAAGTCGGTGTGGCAATTCCTCAGGGATCTAGAATTAGAAATACCATTTAACCCAGCCATCCCATTACTGGGTATATACCCAAAGGATTATAAATCATGCTACTATAAAGACACATGCACACGTATGTTTATTGCGGCACTATTCACAATAGCAAAGACTTGAAACCAACCCAAATGTCCACCAATGATAGACTGGATTAAGAAAATGTGGCACATATACACCATGGAATACTATGCAGCCATAAAAAAATGATGAGTTCATGTCCTTTGCAGGGACATGGATGAAGCTGGAAACCATCATTCTGAGCAAACTATCACAAGGACAGAAAACCAAACACCGCATGTTCTCACACATAGGTGGGAATTGGACAATGAGAACACTTGAACACAGGGAAGGCAACATCACACACAGGGGCCTGTCATGGGGTTGGGGGCTGGGGGAGGGATAGCATTAGGAGAAATACCTAATGTAAATGACAAGTTAATGGGTGCAGCGAACCAACAAGGCACATGTATACCTATGTAACAAATCTGCACGTTGTACACGTGTACCCTAGAACTTAAAGTATAATTTTAAAAAAAGAAAAAAAAGAAGAAATTTTTAATTTTTCATTAGGAATTTTGTTTGTTCTTAATGGCACACCCCAGCCTTATTCCTACTTCCCGTGGCATATACCAATCACCCTAAATTTTGCCTCAGTCAGCCAAACAACCCTATAAAAAGCATTGGGGGCATAATCATTATCTCTTTGATTACCAAGCATCTCCTGAGTGTTAGGCTCAAGCACTATCTTAGGTTCAGAGAGATTTAGAAACGATGAAAGATGAACTACATATTCCTGTAAGGAATTTACAATGTCTCTCCCCAAAAAATCTGAAAAGCATCACACCTTGTCAAATTGTAACAGTACTGGCCTTGCATTTAAACTGTTACCCTACAATTATACATTTCAAAGCCACATCTTCATTAAACTGTTGTGGATGTTTACTGTTGACATCTGTCATTTGGAAATTTTCCCTTAACAAAATTTATTGTGAACAAGTAACAAAGTTTATTGCTTCAGGACATCTGGCATATAAAAATGGCCCCTTTGGAAAGAACTGAACGTTAAAGTGTTTTCTCTATACCTGAGCTTTATACAAGTTTTGCTAGAATGAAAGAAGTTTTCCCTCCATTTAAACAAAGTCAGCTATATGCAGCTCATGGGTCACAAATGATTCACGGGCTAACAAATTATGCCTCCAAAGAGCAGTTGAATATTTATTCTGACACAGCTTTCACAGGACAACCAACAACCTCATTTGAAGTAAATTCCTTAGTCTGTTCCAATAAGAATAATTGTGTTGGAGCTGTGCTCCCTGCTCTAAAGAGGGCAAATCCATTTACTGCTGCAGAAAAGTCTCTTGGATGGATCTAACCTCTTTGCTTTGTGGGTTCTGATGCTGCTGAGTAAGCCAATGATATTTCAAGTTGCTGCTTGTTTGGACACAGTTGGGCAGAACTCTGTAGAGTGCTTTTTTCTTCAACGACTCAATCATGACTGCAAAAACAGCATCAGTATCAGAGATGTGGAGTAGTAACTCAGCTTGACAGCACTGAACTAACGGACATCCATCATTGGATTGTTCACACATCTTTCACAATTGAGTGTCTGACTTTAAAAGGAATTGTCATATAGTCTTTAGCATGTCAGTAGCATTCATCTGTAGCAATCTGTAGTGTTTATCTGTAGTTTAAATCCAAAAAGAAAAGAAAAATTAATCTTTCATGCAAGGCTGCTTTTGGAACAAAATTAATAATGGCTGCAATGTGCAGAATGATTCTCTCATGTTGTGTAGGCTAAATCAGACTAATTTAATTTTTTTGCAGTAATGGCTTAAAATATTGCAGAAGAAACATTTGAAACACTGTGAACATGATACCACTATACAACCTATTTACCAATCTCTTTTAGAGAGTGCTCACCAAGATTATTCTTGGCTCAATGATGTGTTTGCTTTCCCTCATAAATCTAACACTGTTTTTTCAGATTCATCCATTGTCATTTTTGGTGAATTCTAATTGGCTCCCACTGAGGCTTGGCAGCCTCCAAACTGATCATATGCCAGTTTAATTGACTCCAGGGAATATTTAACAAATTGTTCACTATTTCACTGTGCACTGAAGGATAGCTGCAACTATTCTTTTTTCCTGTCATCACCATTGGGGCCATTATGACAACCCTGTACATGTTTTATTTTGTGGCATAATTTTCTGTGCTGGAAAAATAATAACGCTTCACCACCTCCATCTTCTCTACCATTGAAACTATGATGAGATCAAAGATTGACTCAAGCTAATACATGGAAAAATAATGATTGCTAGCCTGTCAATTTGTAGAGCAATTTGTAACTCAATTCCTTATAATGCTGGACACCTACAAAGATGTATTGCAATGAAATCATTGTGTGATAATTCATTCCATCCTTCTAAAATGAACTTTTAATCAGCTAAGAAAATGTAATAGATCTATTCATCAGGTGTGTTTAATGAATGAGTTTTAAATAACACAGGATCATAGGAAACATCTGTGAAATCTTTGAATACAAGCTTTGTTTCTTTAAAAACAAATCCGTTAGAGAAAAATATTGAACTTCATCACATTGTTTATAGACTACAAAGATATGACTTCCAGGTAATAATTTATAAAGCAATGAAATGAAAATATGCAAATTTTCAAGAAGCATTCAACATAAGAGGCTTTTCTTGTTTAGAAAAGTTGTCTCTTTAATCCCTTCAATTCAGTGAGTTAACACTGAGCAATGAAAGGTACTCCATGTTGCAGAGGAAAACTGTGAGTTATAGCTCTGAATTTGGACAAACACACAAGCTGGAGGGACAGATGGGGGAGCCGCATGCAATCATCAGCAGAGCCCTCTCCTTAAATGAGAATATGCCATAGTCAGAGATAGGAAGATATTTCCTCTGCCGATATATAGGGAACAAAGAGTACTATGACCATGACATTGTGAATGAGTCCAAAGGACAAATGGCAAAAGGTGCACAGAGTTGTTACAACTTTCATAATCTAATCTGCCTTCCTCAAATGAGAGTTTAGAATTATAAAGCTACATGGCCATCCAGTTGGCACAAAAGCGCACTGCTATAACCATTGATTCATTTCTTGACTTCTTTTTTTCTTTTGCCAGCGCTTGTCTTTTAGCTATATTCCAGTTGCAGACCACAATTCTACCTTTCACTGTGTTCATTCTGCTGGAAACCTGGCAGGACCCATCACCCCATGCTTACTGGACCACATCAATTTTGGAGCCAGCTGCTCTAACATTTGGCAACATTAGGATCCACGGAATAACCCCTACAGTATCTGCAGTGGCTCTACCCATGTTAGCACCTATAAAAATAACAGTTACTGAGCACCAACTATGTGCCGAGCACTACTTTAGAAACTTATGATACATTAAGGAACAGACAAGGATACTGAGGTGTCTGACTTTGAGCCAAAATCCTACATGTGCTCTTTCAAGACAGACCTTAGCCAATCACAAAGACTTCACCTGGCAGGCATCACAAGGCATGAGCGGGAGGAGTGATCCTCCCCTTACTAGAGTTGGTGCACAGCCAAAGCGTTGCATCCTCTGAAGGAAGCTGCACTCAGGGACTCAGGTGCATGCCCCTGGCTGGACATGCTCTTACACATACCCATTTTCCTAGCCTAGGTGACTCCAGTTGGAGGCCTGCTTACCTTCGGGAAGCGGGTGGGAGGGCTCAGCTGAGACACTGTTCAGATGCCTCTGCTAAGACTTCCTAATGGGTGTGGGGCAAGAGGAGGGGCTTAAAGCTAAAGACACCTTTTTCCACTGTGACTCAGTTCTCAGTACTTTTCCCACTCCTAGCCCTTCTCTGCCTCCTCCAATATCCCACTCCATAAAACAGCAGGAGCCTTTTGTTCAGTGTCCCTTTAGCAATGAGATGATTTTCCTGTGTGAACCATTCCTAGAAACACAAAAATGGAACAATGGGGAAGCCAGCACCTTCTCTTATTGGTCTCTTGCTTGTACTGTTGCAATAAGTAAATAAAGGCCTTATTGTTTGGCCCATTGTTCAAATTAACTACCTTGGCACCTGGCAGTTTTCAAACAGGTGCCTGCCTTTGAGAAGCTTACATTCTAGATTACTCCCTGACTTGGGTTAAGCATTAAAGATTGTTCAAAAGTAAACATCAGAAAAAATGGTAGCACATTAATTTGTTATTAGTAATTAGTAATGCAACTCAAATTTTAATTTCAGAACCACCAGTCAGGGAAGGTACAAAACACAAAATGCCCAAGGTTATAGGTTCTGGGAAGCATTTTCTGAAAAGTCTTAGTAGTCATGAGACATTATTACAGGCCATACATCTGGGAGTGATGGGTTCTCTTACAAAGGGAGGCAGCTGGTTATTTGATTTGGGTTGGTTTGATTCAGTTTGTTGGTTTTGCCTGCCCACATTTTTTTTCTTTCTGAAACTGCCTTTCTCCATCAGTGGGTACCAGACTTAGGTAAACTCACAGTTAAGGGCACAGTCTTCCAGACTGCTACATCTAGCCAAAACTTCTGACACCAACTGCAATGAGAATATCAAGCTTCAAAGTCTAAGGAAACAGACGTCACAGGTCTGGCCTCAATACAGACACCAATTGTGAGTTTTGGGGTCCCCCACCACCACCTTCGCTTCAGACCAACTGGCTACAAATTCAGGGGTTTCTATGACCACCCTTAGGCTTGATAATCTGCTAGGACAACTCAAAGAATTCAGACAAACACTATACTTATGATTACAGCTGTATTATAGCAAAAGAATATAAATTAGAAGCAGAGGCATATAGGATGAGTTCTGGGAGGATTCCAGATATAAAGTTTTCATCATCGTCAAGGATGCCTTACACTCCCATTATCAAAATGTAACAAAACACTCCCAGTACTGCCAACCTGGGAAACTCACCTGAACTTTAGTGTCCAGAGTGATTATTGCGGTTTTCTTACATAGGCATGACTTAATCATTGACCACATAGCTGAACTCAACTTCCAGCACCCTCTTCTTGTCTCTCTGGAGGTCAGACTTATATCCTGTGGCCCAAAGGCCCAATTCTGTAATCACACAGTTGGTCTTTCTGGAATGGCGATCCCACCACCCTGAGTCACCTCATTAGCATAAACTATCAGGTTTAGGTCTGAGGGGTCCACCATGAATAGCAAAGACACTCCCATCACTCTGGAAGTTCTAAAGGTTTAGGGGTTTCCTCCCAGGAGCTGGGACAAAGGTCAGTAATCTCTCTGGGTAAAGTTAATATTCTATTATGTAGTGGGGTTGCCAATCACCACCTGACTTAAGTTGGTCAGTTGGAACACCGCATTCTCTGACAATATTCAATGATTGCTTCAAGGTTGAGTATATCACAAGCTCAGTCATGAGATGCTCCCAGAGGCTCTGCCACCAGAGCTATCAAATAAACTTTTCTTTATACATTGGTGCTGTGATTTTGAGAAAAGAGTGTGTGTGTGTGTGTGTGTGTGTGTGTGTGTGAGAGAGAGAGAGAGAGACCTTGTATCTCTTGAGTCTCTGAATTTAGCCATGTGAAAAGAAAGTCTCCTAGACTTCTCAGTTATAAGAGCTGATAGATTCCTTTTTGTGGAGGGGGTTGTTAATTTAGCTGGTGAGATTTCTGTGACTTGCAATCAAAAGAGCCTTGTCTAATACCTGCAGGACTCTTGTAGGTGCAGAAGTGGAGCTGAAGGGTGGATACAAACAACCTTCAACAGCACGATGTTGCCCATGGCCTTTCTCGCTTTCTAGAAGTTTTCTAAAAGTACCACACAGCTTGTTTTCACTCTAAGTTAATCAAGGAATTAAAATGGATGTATACTCCACAAGAAAGTCATGACACTGACTGATTACTTGATACTTTTAAAACCATATAAAGTATATTTTAAACCAGGAAAAAATACTGGTGATTGGGGTTTTAATCCCTATTCAGCCCCACAACCATTCATTCAAATCAAAAGAAGTAATCCTATCAGTAAGCTTTGTTCATGGGAACATTGGATAAGCTGAATGGAAGGTTATTGCCACTCAAATCCAGCTTTAGAATTTGTAGTTCTAACCCTTTGAGTGGTACCACCCCCTTGTTATAAACATGTGTGATATATTAATATCATGCTATCCATGTATATAAAAACTTTAGTGTTAAAGTACTAACATTTACCAATGATTTAATTTTTATATAAGTTATCATTTCACATTATCTATATTATAACTCTCTCTGGCTCACATGCATTCTGATAAAATTTCTTAAGTGAGAGAGAAGTGCATGGTAGCAAAGGCAGGGAGTTGAGGTTGGGTAAAAGCCACAGCAGAATTCACTAATGCCTCAGCCCACAGGGTGTTTTATTTATATAAACATCACCTGTCACAGGCAGTAACTCAGAATAGAAATCACACAGAACTGTTCAGGTAAAGGAAATAAATCTGCATAGACCTTGATAGAATATCCTCTTTCTATAAATGCCCTAATCACAGAAACTATCTCTCCTGTTTGTTCTTACTGTGTTTCTGCAAAGATTGTGTCAGAGACATGCACATGCAAGCTGGAAGAAGAGAGATTTTTGGGAAAAAATTGTTTTTCAATAATCTGACGATTCCCATGCTTCTCTTTAATTTTGAGCCAAGCATTGTTATTACCACTAACCATATTTGAAGTTGGTCTATGACTAAATCTGGGCTGCTTTATTAAGTGGAATGAATACACTCAAGTCTACATAATTATTTACCACTTAATTCATTCTCACAGAAGCAACGTAGTATATGCATAAAAGCTGCCTTCAGTTGGCATGAACACTATCATAATCGTTCTGAGGTTAACATCAAAAAATTGTAAGTTTCAGGTGGCAGGTGTCTGAAATAAGAAGTTTCTTTACTCAACAAAAATAAGCCTTTTGAAGTCTTCTGGACTAGTTTTAAAACATGTTCCTCTCAGACTTAAAGGTCCTATTATGCATTGAAATATTGCAACAGATAGCTGTATTCTATCAGCCTACTCAGATTCCCTCCAATATCCTTGCCTCCCAGCACACTCTGCTACAGCAAAGGACCAAGCAAACACTTGCTCTGGACGTGTAGAGCTCTCCCAATGGGCAGTCACCCACAATTTGACGTCCCCCATCATTCGAGACTTGGCTGAAGCACCAGAATTGTAGATTCCAGATGATGCAACTCAGAAATATGGGGAGTTTAAATTCCCACGCGGTCCTGTGCTTTCAAGAATTGGTCCAAGAAAGAGGCTTCGAGGAAAATAGGAGAGAATTGGGATTCTAAAAGCAATGCCCCAGGCTGGGTCACTAGGAGACACTTACCTGATTTGGAGTGGAGAAGGAAGGCAGTGGCCATTTTGAGATTTAGAAGGCAGAAGGCAGGCAGTGGCCATTTTGCAGCTGATCCCTGTTGCTGATGGCGTAATTCACCACATTAGCCTGAAGCAGCATGTGGGCCTGAAATTGATCTACCTTCCCAGTTTGGCTTCAGCTTTTCTGACTCCTGGGCCAGGTGTACGTGTTTAGCTCTGTGAGGAAGAGCTCCAGTTTGCACAAGACCACCCTCTTCATGAGAGTGAGAGGCAACAAAAATGGCTGCAGCTTCAGCCCACCCTCAAGGGCTCACAGCCTGCTCATGATCTTCCCTTTCAGATCGCCTGCCCAGTGGACTTGAAGCTCCAGCATTACATATGGAGACAGCTTTTTGAAAACCATTTTACCAGCTCCCACAACTGCATAAGCCAATTCCCTGTGACAAATCCCATGTAGAATCTTTCTCTTGGTTCTGCTTCTCTGGTTAAACCGTAACTGAAAAACCTGGGCTAACCTTTACTAGTAGGAAACAAGAGATGGCAGAGAGGGAGACACGAATCCCTCCTCTTTCCTTTTGCTCAAAGACTACTCCGAGGCGTAGTGCCTCACTGAAGCCCAGCCAGGGAAGTGCCGAGTGGGCACAGCCTGAGCTGCTTCCCACTCACCACGAAGAGGTAGCAAGCATGGCTACGCATCTTGCATTCATTTTCATCTTTCCTTTCTTCTTTTCTCCTCATCCTTGCTTCTCTAGGTCTAAACATACCATATAAAGCATGAACCTTTCTTTAGTTCTCCCTTAGAATATTTTCTGAGGGAAAAGTTTTCTTAGCATAGACAACTATGCTAAGAAAATTGGAACAGCGGGTGACAGGTGCACTAAAATCTCAGACTTCACCACTATACAACTCATCCATGTAACCCAAAACCACTTGTACTCCAAAAGCTATTGAAATAAAAAATATATATAATTGGAATAGGAACATGGTTCCACAAAGCAGACCTGCATGACAGAATTTAAGGGTCACATTGCCCATTCATCTGAGCCACCTCCTTTTACCTTTCAGCCTGCTCTTTTTCCAATTGAGATTTAATGCTGGTTTCTTTTCAGATTCTCCATATTTTTCACAAGTGAACTCATCTATTTTTGTGGCTTTAAAGACTTTCCTTCTGCTAATGATTCCAAAGTCTTATCTCCAGCCCAGACATTTCTCCTGGGCTGCAGATTTATGTATCCAACTGTCTTCCATGGCAAACACTTCAAGCACAACATCTCCTGGCCTATATTCATCTCCTCCCCACACCCAGTCTTGCCCAGTATTCCCTATCTCAGCAGAACCTAGAGTCACTCTTGATTCCTCATCACCTTCACCTTTCACATTCATTTAGACATCAAGTTCTAGCTGTTCTCCCTCATAAATATATCTCAAAACACCATTTTTCTCCATCTTAACTGCCACTACCTTGAATAATCCTATTAACCCACCATCCATTCTTGCCCGAAATCACACCATGGCCCCCTAATAGGCTTTATATTTTCTAATCTTTCTGCTCTCAGATCCTTTCTGTGTGCTACAGCCAGAAAGATCTTTCTGAACTGCAAACCTAATCATTATGAGGTTTAAAACCAATCAGTCTGTTCCATTGCTTTTAGGATAGAATCCAGTCTCCTTAACAGGTCTAATCAGATCCTTGATGATCTGGTCCTGCTTAGCTCACAGCCATTATCATCTTCACCTTCAATTACAGCCCTAAAAACATTCTTTCAGTGCCTTAAAGGTAGCTTGCACTCTCTCCTCTGGGCCTTCACACAGGACATTCCCTTTATCAAAAAACCTTTTCTACCTTTCCCAATTCCATCTTTCAAGTCTCGAATTTGGCATCACTTTCTCCCAGAAGCCCTCTTGAGTCCCCTAGAGCAGAGGCAAGGTGATCCGTTGCTCCTTGCTCTTTTTATTCTGTTACACTTATCATGCATTACTGTAATAGCTTGTTTAATTGTTATTTCCCCCACTAGACTCTATAACTTGTTTGTCTCACTTACTGCTGTATGCCTAATACAGAATGCATGGTCTGGAACAGAGGAGACACTCCATAAATATTTGATGAATGAATGACCATCATTTTAAAGAGACAGAATGGCTCCCAGGCCGGGATAATTTCACCATAATATTATTAAATGTATAGACATGTCTAAATAAAGAATGCATCAATCATTAAAGGAGCTGGACAGTTTGGAAACATAGGACAAGGTGAGTTATTGATGTAAATGCTGCAGTGCTTATCCAAACATACTCAGAAATGAAGGAATATTCACTAATGGACTTCAAACACTATGGTCCCATTAGTAAGAAAATCCCATTTATGAAATGGACATATCCAGCTCTTTTAGCCAAATGTCATTAACTTCCTATTTTGTAATTCCATAACCATGTAGCAATTTTGTAATTATTATTTGGTTTCCCATGTAAGTCTGTCTACAGGGAGAATGATATGCAAATTTGGAGTATGTCAGGTCTCTGTGATGGTAATTTCTCATGGGGAATTAACAAATTGCCTGCAGATTATGGTGTGCACTCATTATGAACCAACGATAAGTGGATCTCATCCACTATTTGTTCTTTGGACACTTCATCCACTCTTACTTTGCTTCTTAGGTTCAGTGGCCACAGGTTGTGGAAGCAAGCCCTGGATGCCCACAACAAACGGTGGAAGGAATGTGACCTTGGCAGGGACCATGCCCTATAACTGTTAATTCTTTTTTGCCCTCAGCAGCTTCCTAGCTAGTTCAGGATTATTTGCCAAAGAACCATAGTTCACAAGCAGGATGCTTTTATAACATCATTGTCTGGTAGATCGAGAGAGTTATCTCAGAATTTACTCACCATCTTGAGTGATTTCTAAGACATACTGACCAAAATAACAGAAATGAAAGGTTTCTAAAAGCATTAAAAAAAAAAGTGGCCCAAGTCAATCAAAGTCACTAGAAATATAGGCTCTTGGATCTGATGCTACAGAGTAAGGCTTTCAGTACATGTTTAAAATCACAGTAATTTCAAGCCAGCAATAGTGTGCTTAAAATATCACAGCAATGGAGAACCTGGAGCAGTGGTTCACACCTGTAATCCTAGTGATTTAGGAGACCAAGGCAGGAGGATCACTTGGAGGCCAGGAGTTTGAGACCAGCCTGGGCAACACAGCAAGACCTCCTCTCTATAAGAAGAAGAAGAAATAAATAAAAGTTTTAAAGATTACAGCAAGGAAGTTTATACCTAAAGAGAATGGATAAATTTCCTTTGTTGGTAGAATAAAAAAGCAGCGGGAAATTCCAAGGGCCTCTTGTTTTCATAATCACCCTGTATGATGAAAGATAGTTTGACAAGTAGAAAAACAGTTTAATACGTTTCCATATATTTAAAGAAAAGCCTGATGATGGTTTATAATTTCAATTTTTGTAAAATGAATGAAATTAACAACATCTATTTAGTAAAAGTACTAATGCAAGTAACACAAGTAAAAATTGTACAATTGATGTAGGCACCTTGTAGATATATATGTGTTATACCTCACGTACACTCCAGCAGCATATAAAAATGGTAGCAATTAATGCTCTGTTTCATACGGGAAAGTACAATGCCTCATTTAGATCTTTGTCCTTTACAACCAAAAAGGACATGAGATAATTGGAAATAGTCTTGGAACAGTGCTACTTATGAATTTTTTCTGAGAGTGGGTGTTAGTCTGTGGCCTTGTTTCTGTTCCCATATCAGAGAAGGGAGTCCAGTTTAAATTAATGCAAAGTACAAGCACGTTTAGCATTAGATTATACCTTTCATTTCCCCAGTGACTCAAGCAAAACATGAGTTTTCTTTAATTAAAATGTGCATGGGGAATGCTAATGAAAATTTTGGTAAGGCTATAATACTTTTTGAAAACAAAGTTAATCACGCACTGAAGAAGAAAGAAGAGGAGGAAAAGAAAAGAAAGAAGAAAAGAAGACCTAGCCAAAAGGAGGAGTTAAAATGACTTTCATCAATTTCTTGACATTTAGCACGACAACCTAGTAGCATACCTTTTTATGAAGAGAAGACAGTGGAGGTAAAGATGTTTTACGTGTTAATAAAAACATAAGTGAAGATTGTGTTACAGGAATTCACCTGTAAGAAAGCAAGCAAAATGTGTCAGCATTTAATTAATATGTGAGTAGTGAGGTGGAAGCTCACTTTTTTAACGTAAGTGAAGGTGAACAAGATTGCAAATCTCATTTATTTTCTTTTGTAATTTATTATCTTTTAAAATCTTTTTTTAACCTCCTGTCTTAGCCTGTTTGGGTTGCTATAACAAAATGCCTAAGATTGGGTAATTAATCAAAATTAGAAATATGTTTCTTACAGTTCTGGAGGCTGGGAAGTCAAAGATCAAGGCACCAACAAGTTTGGTGTCTGGTGAGGGCCTGATCTCTGCTCCCAAGGTGGTGCCTTGAGTGCTGCATCCTCTAGAAGAGAAAAACACTGTGTCCTCACATGGCAGAAGGGACAAAAGAGCAAATGGATGTAGCTAGTTCCCTCCAGCCCTTTTAAAATGTTGTTAGTACTATTCTTGAGGGTACTGCCCTCATTACTTAATCACCTCCTAATGGACTCACCTCTTAATACTATCACATTGGTTACTGAATTTCAACATGTGAATTTTGGAGGGGGCACAAACAGTCAAGCCATAGCACCTCCTAATTCTCAATCTTTATTAATTCCTTAGACAAGCCTTGAGGCCACTGGTCTTTCCTTTAGTATGCTAGACACTGTCATGTAACCATTCTCTACCGAACACATCTGGACCCCTTGCCAACTCTGCCTGCCTGAATATAGAATGAGTGGCACCCATGAAAGACTTGGGGGATGTTAGAGATGGGAGGGACTATATTATCCAACTTTCATTTTCAAAATAAAGAAAAAACAGGAGCCCAGAGAGAAGACCCAGGTTGCCCATTGTTATGTAGCTGCTTAGTGGCCCAGCTGGGGTGGAACCTCAGGGTTCCTAACTCCCAGGTCCAATGCTTCCTCCAGCACATAGGCTTCCTCTATCCCTCACAGAGTATCATGGAAATGACCCTGGACCAGTATCTTGATCCCTGGACTTGAGATCAACATTTGCCACTCATCAGATGTGTGACTTGAGGCAAATGCAGAGGCCTTGGTGAGCTGATTTCCCAACCTTTGAAACAAGGGGTTGAACTCTCTAGGTTCACTTCTGCTTCTACTTTAATCTGAAAAGATGGTTATCCTCCACCTGAGGAGAAGCACCTATTTCCATTTTCTTAAGTTTATATCCATTTAAAAATATATCTTTTATTTTTAAATAAAAAGGAAAGTCTCACTCTGTTGCCCGGGCTGGTCTTGAAAGTGTTGGCAGAGTTGATTTCTTCTGAGACACTCTCTTCAGCTTGTAGATAGCTGTCTTCTCCCTGGGACTTCGTGTGGTTTTCCTTTTGTAACTAAGTCCAAATTTCCTCTTCTTATAAAGACACCAGTCGTATTGGATTAGGGCCCATCTATAAGACCTTATTTTAAATAAAGTATCTCCTTAAAGGCTCTATTTCTAAATACAGTCACATTCTGAGGTTCTGTGGGTTAGGACTTCAGCATATGAATTCTTGGGGAAGATAATTCAGCCCATAACAGAAACCATGTGATAATATTCTTCCTTGATAGTTTCTCTTTTGAGAAATGATGTATTTCTTCCTTTTCCCTTCAATTGCATATTTTTAGTCCCTTTGAGAGCCCCTTTATGAAGACTAAGAACATGGACCTGTCCTCGAAAGCCACAGCATTGGCAGCTGTGATTTCAGTTTAGGTGAAGGTGACCTTATATAGGCAGTTCTAAATCACCTCTGGAAAACAGTGGAAGTCCAGGGTTTCCCTGGCACTTCAAGTCTGTTGCAGACTTGGGGGTCCCTGTGTAGTCCAGGAATCCTATCTCAGCCCAGAATTAGGCACTCTGGGAGGACCCTCTGAGGTAGGTGCTGGTGTTCTAGTATCTGACTAGATTCAGATGCATCCTTTGATAATAAAATCTGCCTTTGGGTGTGGCAGGGAACATGAGAAATTGATGAACAGCAATAGTGAAAATGGTCATGTAACTCTGTAAACAGAAGCTTCTTTTATTATATAGACCCAATTTTAGTTTCATTAAAAGGGAGATAGGCTGGGTACGGTGGCTCACATCTGTAATCCCAATGCTTTAGGAGGCCAAGCTGGGAGGATCACTTGAGACCAGGAGTTTGAGGCTGCAGTGAGCTCTAATTGCACCAATGCACTCCAGCCTGGGTAATGGAGGGAGATCCTGTCTCTTAAAAACAAAACACACCCACACTCTGAGAAATAAATTTCTGTAGCACTTTGTTATGGCCACCCTTGCAAATTAATATAATTTCCCTTTTTGTTTTAGAAATGATCCTCTTTATTATAAAAGTAACACATCTTCCAAATATTCCAATGGAGGGATTGGAAGCTGCATGGGTACAGTGCCCTTTCATATTTATGACACATTGCATAGTACCTAATATGCAACAGATGTCAAAAAAGTATTTGACTGACTACAGGAAAAATTTAAACTACAGATGAGTATTAATAAAAAATAAAAATAACAGGTAATCTTGTCTTACTGACCAATGATAGCCACTATTTTCACATAGTATCATTTTTCTCAGCCATTAAATATTCTTTAAAAAACATGTTTTAATGTTAAATGACGAGTTAATGGGTGCAGCACACCAACCTGGCACATGTATACATATGTAACTAACCTGCACATTGTGCACATGTACCCTAAAACTTAAAGTATAATAAAAAATAAAGCTATTAGAAACTTTAAAAAAAAATCATGTTTTGTAACACCTGAATGAAATTCTAGTAGAAGGACAAACCATAATTTTTAGCCATTCCCTTACTGTTAGGTATTTAAATTGTTTCAATTTTTTGTCAATATAAAAAAGTCATAAAAGATATCTTTGTAATCATATCATTGTGTCCTGTTTCCTCAGAACAAATTAATAGAGTAGAATTATTAAGTCAAATGTATGCACGATATTAAAGCCTTCATATATATATCAAATTTTTATTCTGGAAGGTTTTACCAATTTATACTTCTCCATCAGTGTATTGGGATTCTAGCTTCCAATAACAATAATAATCACAATACTAATATTAACAGAGCATTTGCTATATGCCAGATGAGACGTTAAACACTTTATAAGCATTATTTCACTTAATCCCCTCAAAAAGACTGTGAGGTGATTACTAATGTTATCTGCATTTTACAGCTGAGGACAATAGTCTTAGAGAAATTATATGGCAAGCCCAAGTTCCCTCAGCTAGTAAGAGGAGGAGCTAAGAAGCAAAACCAGTCTGACTCTAGTAACCTCCTGGTATTTTCACCAATCCTGGATATTATTGTTTCTTACATATTTGCTAATTTGATAGGCAAAAATAGATAGATTGTTTTAATTTGCATTTCCTAGTTTATTGATTAGTTTGAAGCCATTTTCCTATGTTTATTGACCATTTTGTGATAATGGTTTTTTTGAGTTGTCTTTCTCTGTCTGCTAGGCGTTTGAGAACTCCCTTGTATGTGACTTGCTTCTTTCCTCTTGATGCTTTCAGCATCTTCTCTTTCTCTTTGATCTTTGACATTTTAACTACAATATATCTTGGAGTAGTCTTATTTGTATTAAATCTGATTGCAACTTTTGACCTTCCTGTACCTGGATATTTATACCTTTCTCTGGGTTTGAAAAGTTTGCTGCTGTTATTTCTTTAAATAAACTTTCTATCCTTTATCTTTCTCTACTCCATCTTGAACATCAATATCTCACAGATTTGCTCATTTGATGCTATCCCATAAATCCCATAAGCCTTGTTCATTTTTGACCCTTTTTCCTTTTTTCTCTTCTGACTATATATTTTCAAAAAGCCTGTCTTTGAGTTCACAGATTCTTTCTTCTGCTTGATCAATTCTGCTATTGATGCTCTCTATTGCATTTTTCAGTTGGCTTATTGTATTTTTTAGCTCCAGGATTTGATTTTTTTTTAATTGTTATTATTTCAATCTCTCTGTTAAATTTCTTGTTCTGGTCACTCATAGTTTTCTCATTTCACTGAATTTTTCTCATATTTTCTTGAAGTTCATTGAGCTTCTTTAAAATAGCTATTTTGAATACCTTTTCATGAAATTTATACATCTTCATCTCTTTGGGGTTACTGGCACTTTATTTTGTCCATTTGATGACATCATGTTTCACTGACTGTTCTTGATGCTTACGGTCATACAGCAATGTCTGTGCATTGAAGAAGTAGGTACTTATTCCAGTTTTCGTAGTCTGGCTTTATCTGGGAATGTTCTTCAGCAGTAAGCCTGTCTAGAAATTCTAGGCAGGTCATTAATTGCAGTCCCTAAGCCTGTGATGGCCACAGCTATTGCAGTGCTAGGGGACGTTGTAAACCCAGGATCACTGCAGCCAATCTGAAATCCCTTGACTGCTGAGGCTGGTGCAGCATTAAGCTGAATTTCAAGCCCCCAACCACAGAGGCCTATCTGTCACTGTGGGTTATTCGGTACCCACAGCCACTGTATTTGACCAATGGTGATGTAGGCTAAACCTCAAGTCCATTTTGCAGGGAATATGAATTCCCATGTGGTGTCTGGATGGCTCTAGAGGTTCAGTCTTCAAGTACTAGCCTGGAGTGAGGGGCTGAGAGATTCTGCCTGGCACCGGGTTTTACTTTGGCAGGCCCAGTACTGGGGTCCAAGGAAAACTCCTATATTTACTTCCTTCTCTTTCCATCAAGCAAATGGTATCTCTCTCCACACTGTGCTGCCTGGAGTTGGGGGAGGGGTGATATGGGTACTGTAAAACTATCCTTCCTACCCTCTTCAATGTGTCTTTTTGTAGTATGATGCTTTAACCAGGTACTGTGATTTCTCACCTAGTTTCCTTAGCTCTTGTGAAGGTTTTTTGCATGTGAATAGTTACTCAAGTTGATGTTTCTGTGGGTGGATGATCACTACAGAGTCATATTCCACCATCTTGCTCCACTCCCCATCTGTCTCTGTTCTTTGTTCTTTCTGCTATTGGAGTGAAACAGCACAACAACTAAATATAAAAACTTTCATCTATTCATGATGCTTGTGAAGACTCCCAGAAACCAAGGTTTGGCACAGGTCTCACTAAGATTTGGAATCAACACTGCTGATTACTCATTCCAGCCAAACATTCAGTATAGTCTCATCATGTCGTAAGCAATACACATTTGGAGATAACCCACCCAGCTGCTAATTTTGTGAAGCATTATTTTCCCTTCTGTAGCATTGTAAACTATTTCAATTAGGTAGTCTTTTTTTTTTTTTTTTTTTTTTTGAGACAGAGTCTCGCTCTTTTGCCCAGGCTGGAGTGCAGCGGTGCAATCTTGGCTCACTGCAAGCTCCACCTCCCAGGTTCACGCCATTCTCCTGCCTCAGCCTCCCGAGTAGCTGGGACTACAGGTGCCTGCCACCACGCCCTGCTAATTTTTTTTGTATTTTTAGTAGAGACAGGGTTTCACTGTATAAGCCAGGGTGGTCTTGGTCTCGATCTCCTGACCTCGTGATCTGCCCGCCTCGGCCTCCCAAAGTGCTGGGATTAGAGGTGTGAGCCACAGTGCCTGGCCCGGGTAGTCTCTTAATATTTTATTAAGTCCAATTTTTTTACTGTTAACAAATCTTGACATTTTCCTCTCAAGCTGTGGAAGGAAAGAAAGAAAAAGAGGAAAATGGAGCAATAAACACTTCCTTTGGCTAACTTCTATGTAATCACTAAAGTTAGAAACATTATGGCACTGAAGCTCTAAGAACAGAGTTCTGAGTAAGGATGCACAATTTTTCTGGTGGTGGGGACAGGGAGAAGGCAGAAAAAGGAGGGCTTGTTTTTGTGCTATAAACCAGCTTTTAGCCATGCAGAAACATTTACCTTGGAGATAGGCTCAACGTGTAGAATGGATAATTATATGTTAAGGAGTTTAATTTAGGTTAAGAGAAGACACAGATTCATGGCAGACACATGAAACATTGACACAGCCCTGTGCTGTTGGGTTCACAATGCCCCATGGTATCAAGCTGATTCAAGGTTAAATTGATTAAGTATAGATCACATTGACAAAGAGATACAATTAAACAAAGGCTCGAGTCTGGAGAGTAATTAAAAGCCTCCTCCTTATTCAGCAGTCTAAGCTCCAAAGTTAGAATCAGGACATAGGAGGCCGAGCACAGTGGCTCATGTCTGTAATCTCAGTATTTTTGAGAAGTCGAGACGGGAAGATTGCTTGAGACCAGGAGTTGGAAACTACTCTGGGCAGCGTTGTGAGACTCCATCTCTACAAAAAAAAAAAAAAAAAAAAAAAAAAAAATTTAAATTAGCCGAGTGAGGTGGCACACACCTGTAATCTCAGCTACTTGGGAGGCTGAGGTGAGAGGATCACTTGAGCCCAGGAGTTCAAGGCTGCAATGTGCTGGAGTCACATCACTGCACTCCAGCCTGGGTGACAGGACAAGACACTGTGTCAAAAACAAACGAACGAACAAAAGGATCTAGGGAAAACGCTATACCTCCCCCGAAAACTGCTTTGTTTTATGTTTTTGTTCTTTTTTCTTTTTTTTTTGCTAATTTAAGAGAAAGGGAACATTTCTCTCCTTGAGATCCTGTTGTTTGATGCCCAGTTCAGAGGATGTGCATGTTAAGACGTGTTGATCCTTTAATAATTAAGAGCTGTGTCCGGATTGTTGACCTCCAGCCTTATTCAGCTTATCAGCAGTCACAGTCGGCAGTGACTGTGGGAAAACCAAGCCAAAGGGAGTTAAAACTGTTTAGACAGCAGCATTAGTGCTGACAGTGAGTTCCCCCAGTGGCAGCATCCTTGCCAGCTTATAAGCTTCATTTACAAGAACCAGGCTGCCCATAAAGCACATGCAGGGGAGTTACTCTGTTGTGTCAGGCTGGGAACTTTAGTTTAGATCACTCTGTAACTACTAGGAAATCATACAAAAATTTAAGTTGAAGCTGCTTTAATCAAATTCCAAAGGAAGGGTCATTAATATGCTGCTGCGAATAAAAGAATATGTAGTAAGTCTCTGAAAGGCTTTATAACAACAAGAAAAAGAATGCCAATTAGGATGACCTTAAAGGATTTGTAGAAAGCAGCTCATATTCATCATTAATGCCTCCAAAAGAGAACTTGCAGAAATAGATTGCTGACAGAATACATACCTTCAAACGTGCAGAAATTTTCATCCTATTTGCCCAACTTGCAGGGCAGGAGAGCAATCTCCACCTACCACATGCCGTCAGGATCTGGGTGCCCTGGTGCTTCTGCTTTTCTTAACAAAAGCTCAGGGAGCCACATAGTTGCCCAGGAACTCAAAGATGGAGCAGCAAAAGCCCTGTTCAGCCTGGCTCTGTGTTTGACTAGAATAAATCCAGAGAACCGGTTCATTTTCCCTATGGGGATAAAGGGAGACCTGCTCAGACACTCGCTGAGTGCTATAGTCCACAAATACAAGGTTTGATTAAACATAATGAACACAGGTGGAAAAACATATCCATACCTCCTTTTCTAGACACCAGCTATGGCAGAATTACAATTCTAAAATGAGATCAATCTAATAAACACATTCAAAAGGCCAACCCATTCAAATCCTTCTCCAAAGAAAAGGTTACTTTGTCATAGATTAATATCAATTTTGCCCAGCAATTAATTTGTCAGGAAACATTATTTTCAAAAGCACAATCGATTTTTGTTATCAGCTGTCTTTCACATGAAAAAAGAAATACTTCATATTTTAAAACAAATTAAAACAAAACATTGTTTTTCCTTTCAAAGACAGAACAACCTTAGGTTTGATAAATTGTTCTATAATTGTTTGGAAATTATAAATATATCTGAGTTTAACTAGGGTAATCTTTATACAAAATGATATCAAGTATGAATACTGTGACTAAATTCTAATTACTGAGAAAAGATAATTACATGCAAAACAAATAGAACTAATCAAAATCATTAGCAGAACTTGCTATCAATCCTTCAAATCTGATTTGGCCATCCAGAAGTCTAAGAGTGTGCAGAACAGGGGATATGGACATTAATTAAAAGGATATCTCTGAGAATGCCAGAGATTGACAAAGGGGTGACAATTACCATGAACAGTATTTGTAGAAGGGAAATTAGGGATAATGCTATCAGTTGCTAACATGCTAGTTTCCAAAACGTCCTGAGCAAGGCCAGACATTTCCTGATGGTTCTTAAAGATGCTTTTAGCAAATTTTATCTATTTGTAGCTTCTGATTACCACAACAGCAACCAAGCAGCTGAGACAGGGGAATATGATCTAAAATAGTGTTGGACTATTTCCTTTCCTCAGAGGAAATGGGTTTTGGTCTTCAAAATCAGCTCCTCAGCTACTCTCTCTTATTGACTGTTCCCTAGTCAACTTGAGATATCCCCTCCACCCAGAGGGAGAAACCTTTGCTCAAGGTGCCTTGATTTGCATTTTCAGCACTTCAACTTAACCCCCTTTTTTGTTGTTTGTTTTAAAAAGAAATGCTCTGAAGAGAGCACATGAAATACAAATAAACGTCAAAAAGCAGTAAACACTGAGAAGCAAGGCACAGAGTAGGTCAATGGTGATAAACCATAGGAGGAGCAGGAAAAAACTGAAGTAAAGATGAAACAAAATAATAGCTGCACATACAAAAATTCATCTTGGGTGAAAAAAAAAAAGCATCCGGGCAGTTGCCACCCCCCAGACAGAGATTTACTGTAAATAAAAAACCAGTCAGCAGGGAGATGATAAAAATGGAAGGCGACAAAGTTCATTAAGAAAACTTGATTGTATCTATTTCTTAGACATAAGGGAAATTTTAAAAAATATGAATATAACTTACTGGAGTAATGTCAGAATAGGGCTAGTGGAGAGTCAGAAATTTCACGATGTCCCAGTGGTTAAAAGGCCAGCCTCACTGCAGTATCAGTGGAGACCACATGAAAAGCCAGAACCCTTATCCCCTCCAAGTTATAAGCTGAGCTACCTACTTGGGTGTCATCAGAAGCCAAACAGGGATCATGAGTTTCTACCTCCACCAGGCAGTAACAAGGCAATGCTCACTTCTCCCTGCCAGAGTGGTGTCAGAATCTGCCAGCAAAACAGAAGATTTAAGTAACATCCAGTCTCCTAGTACACTACGAAAATGTCCAGATTTCAATCAAAAACCACTCCTCACACCAAAAAGTAAAACTATCTCAAACTGAATGCAAAAAGACAATCAATAGATACCAACATCAAGTGACAGAGTTGTTGGAATGGTCTAAAAATATTTTAAAGCAGGCATGATAAAAATGTTTCAAAGAACAATTATTTACACACTTGAAACAAATAAAAAGCAGAAAGCTTTAGCAAGAAATACAGAAAGTCTCAGCAAAGAACTAGAATATTTAAAGAAGAAACAAATAGAAAATTTAGAACTGAAAAACACAATAATTGAAATTTTAAAAACCTGGTAGATGTACTCAACAGCAGAATGAAGAAGACAGAGGGAAGAATTAGTGTACTGGAAGACACAATGATAAAAATTTCTTAGTCTAAACAACAAATCAAAAAAAGAAAGAACAGAGACTCAGGACCCTGTAGGACTATAAGAAGATATATATATATATATATATATATATATTCACGTCATCAGAATCCAAGAAAAAAAAAAGGAAAAGAAGATAGGGCTAAAGAGTTCTTGACCATAAAATGGCTGAAAACTTCCCAAATCTGGCAGAATAAACCTACAAATTTGAGAAGTTGAGTCCACCTTAAATAGGACAAACTCAAAGAAATCCATGCCAAAACATATCATAATTAAAGTTCTGAAAACTAAAGACAGAAAAATCTTAAACTTTACCTATACTAAAAAAAAAAGAATTCAAATGACAGTAGATTTCTCATCAGACACCAAGGAAGCCTGAAGGAAGCAACACATTTTTCAAGTGCTGAAAGAAAAGAATTGGCAACCCAGAATCTTATGTCCAGTGAAAATATGCCTTAGGAATAAAGAGGAAATCAAGAGTCTTACATTAACAAAAATAAAGAGAACTTGTCATCAATAGACCTATCCTGAAAGGACAGATAAAGAAAATTCCCTAAATAGAAAAGAAATGATAAAAGAAGAAAATTTTATACCAATAAGCAAGAACAAAAGTATAGTTGATCCTCATTATTTATAGATTCTGTATTTGTGAATCTTCCCATTCACTGAATTTTATTTGTAACCATGAAATTAATACTCACAGCACTTTCATAGTCATTCACAAACACGTGCAGAGTGGTAGAAAATTTGAGTCTTCTAATATATTTCAAGCTGAGGTTGAACATGGCTGTCACCTTTTGTTTCAGCTCATATTATAAACAAGTGCCTTTTTCGTAGTCTATCTAATGCTAAGTTATTTGCAATTTTTTACATTTTGTTGGCTAATGCACTGTTTAAAATGATCCCCACTGTAGTGCTGAAATGCTGTCTACTGTTTCTAAGTGCAAGAAAGCTGTGATGTGCCTGATGGAGAAACCATGTGTGTTAGATAAGCTTTATTTAGGCATGACTTACAGAGCTGTTGGCCATGAATTCAATGTTAATTGAATTTAAAGGTATCTTTAAATAGAAACATCTATGAAACAAGGTTATGTATTGATCAGTTGATAATATCATGACCTGAGGCTCCCAGGAATCTAACCTTGTATTTCCCCTAGGAGCAATGGTATAGTATTTGCTAATTCAGAGACTTTGTAGAATACAACTACTACAATAATGACAATGAATTGCATATAAAAAAGGAGGATGAAGGAAGGTAAAGAAGGGTAAGATCTCTATACTTCACTTGAACCAGTAAATAATAGCAGTAGACAATGATAAATTATGTATATGTAATGTAATACCCAGAGCAACAACTAAACAAGTCCTACAAATAGATACGCTCAAAAACACTATATAGAAACATCCAAATAGAATTCTTAAAAACTGTTTGAGTAACCCACAGGAAAAAAGAAAACAGAAAAATGAAAAACAGCAAGAACAAACAGAAAACAGCAAATGTCAGTCTTAATCCCTAACACAGCAATAATTACATTAAATGAAAATGGTGTAAATATACCAATTAAAGAACAGAGATTGTCAGAGTGAATTAACATGACCCAATGTTTGCTATCTATAAGAAACTCACTTCAAGTGTAACAATATAGGCAGGTTACCAGAGACAGAGAGGAATGGTATATAGTGATAAAAGGGTCAATTCACCAAGAGGACACAGCAATCCTAAATGTGTATGCACCAAACAACAGTGCAGCAAAATGTGCGAAGCAAAAATTAATAGAGCTAAAAACATAGATAGACAAATCCACATTATACTTGGAGATTTTAATACCCTGCTGTCAACAACTAATAGAACAACTAGACAGAAAATCAGTAAGGATGTGAAAAAATTCCACAATACCATCAACTAACATGATCTAATGAACATTTATAGAATATTCCATCAAACAGCAGCAGAATGCTCTTTCAAGTTCCTGTGGAAAGATATATCAAGATAGACAAAATCTTGGACAATAAAACAAATTTCAAAACATCTAAAAGAATTGAACTTTTACAGAGTGTTTTCTCTGACCACAATTAAATCTAACTAGAAATCAATAACATAAAGACAATAGGAAAATTTTTAACAATTGGAAACTAAACAACACACCTCTAAATAATCCATGGGCTAAAGAGGGAGTCTCAAAGGAAATTTTAAAAATGCATTGCACTTAATAAAAATGTTTAATGTATTAAATTTGTAGGATATAGCTAAAGCAATGATAAAGAAGAAATTTGCAGTAGTAAATACATACATCAGACAAAGAAGAAAGGTGTCATATCAATAATCCAAACTCCCACCTCAATAACCCAGACAAAGAAGAGCAAAATAAATCCAAAGCAAGCAGAAGAAAATATGACGATAGCATAAATCAGTGAATTGAAAACAGAAAAACAAAAGAGAAAATTAATGAAACAAAGAACTGGTCTTTTGAGAAGATCAATAAAATTGACAAAATCTAGCAAGACTGAGAAAGAAAAAGGAGAGAAGACACAAATTACCAATATTTATACGAATGGAACATGGAATATCACTACAGACCTATACACAGTAAAATGGATACTATGAATTTTACACACATAAATTTAACTCAGAAAAAAATGATCTACTTCCTTGAAAAAAACACTATTGCAATTCAACCAATAAGATATAGAAAAATTTGAATAGCCCTATATATAACATTGATGAGATTTCATTCATAATTTTAAGCCTCCAAAAAAGAAATCTCCAGGCCCAGAAGTCTTCACTGGAGAAATCTCCCAAACTTTTAAAGAATAAGTAACACCAATTCTACACAATGTCTTCTGGAAAATAGAAGAGGCAATAAGGCTTCCCAATTTATTTATGAAGCTAGTATTAGCCTAATACCATACCAAAGACAGTACAAACAACGAAAACTACAGAAAAATATTCTTCATGAATATAGATACAATAATCCATAACAAAATATTAGCAAAGAGAATTCAGCAATATAAAAAGAATTAGACACCAGGACCAAGTCGGGTTTAGTTAAGAAACGCAAGGCTGGTTCAACATTTAAAATCAATCTGTATATTCTTTGGGTTTTTGGGGGTTTTTGTTTGTTTGTTTTCAGATGGAATCTCCCTCTGTCACCCAGGCTAGAGTGCAGTGGTGTGATCTTGGCTCACTGCAACTTCTACCTCCTAGGTTCAATCAATTTTCTTGCCTCAGCCTCCCAAGTAGCTGGGATTACAGGTGCCTGCCACCATGTCTGGCTAATTTTTGTATTTTTAGTAGAGACGGGGTTTCATCATGTTGGCCAGGCTGGTCTTGAACTCCTGACCTCAAGTGATCCCCTGCCCCAACCTCCCAAAGTGCTGGGATTACAGGCATGAGCCAGTGTGCCTGGCCATCAACCTATATATTCTACCATACATGGTTATATTAATTGATGAAGAAAAAGCATTTGACTAAATTTCATACCCATGTATGATAAAAGCTCTCAGAAAACTAGGAATAGACGGGAACTTATAAAGAGCATCTAAAAAACCCTGGAGCTAACATACTTAATGGTAAAAGACTGAATACTTTCCTGAGATTGGAAAAAGGTAAAGATGTTCACTGTCACCAATCTTACTCAACAAAGTGCTAGAAGTTTTAGTCAGTGCAATCAGGGAAAGACAAGAGGGAAAAATAAAGAGACACTTGGATCAGAATGGAAGAAATAAAACTGTCCCTATTTGCACATTACATTATTTCTACACAGAAAAGTCAAAGGAATCTACAACAAAAAAAATACTGCTAGAACTAATAAGTGATTTCAAATGATTTCAAATGGATACCTAAATTAAAAATACAACACTAGGGCCAGGCATGGTGGTTCATGCCGGTAATCCCCAGAACTTTGGGAGGCCCAGGCAGGCAGATCATTTAAGGCCAGGAGTTCAAGACCAGCCCTGGTCAATATGGCGAAACCCCATCTCTACTAAAAACACAAAAATTAGGTGAGTGCGGTAGCACATTCCTGTAGTCTCAACTGCTTGGGAATCTGAGGCACAAGAATGACTTGAGCCTGGGAGGCAGAGGTTGCAGTGAGCTGAGATCACACCACTGCACTCCAGCGTTGGCGACAGAGCAAGACTCTGTCACCTCCCCCCACCCCCCAAAAAAAACTGACAAGGAGGACAAAATAAAAATAAAACTACAACATTCATAATCACTCAAAAAATTAATTACTTAGGTGAAAATCTACCAAAATGTGTGTGGGACTCATAGGATAAAAACTATATAACACTATCTGATTAAAGAAATCAAAGATCTTAATAAATAGAAAGATATTCTTTATTCATGGATTAGAAGACTCAGTATGGTAAAGATGTCAGATTTTCCCCAAATTGATATACTTGTTTAACACAATTCCTATCCCAGTGAAACTTTTTGCAAACACAGACAAAATTACGCCAAAATATATATGTAAAAGCAAACAAACTAGAATAGTTCAAACAATTTTTTAAAAGAATAAAATATTTTAAAATATATTATAGAGCTACAGTAGTCAAAACTGTGTGGTATTGGTAAAGGAAAAGACACATAGATCAATGGAAAAGAATACAGAACCCAAATATGCCCACACAAATATGCCCAACTGATTTTTGATAAAGGTGCAAACACAATTCAATAGAGAAAAAGTTAACCTTTTCAACAAATGGTGCTGGGGCAATTGGATATCTACAGGCAAAAATAATAAACCTCAATCTGTCTCACACTATACAAACTTAACTAAATTAATATATGCAAAAATTAACTAATAATGTGTCAAACCTTAAATGTAGAATGTAAAACTATAAAACATTTAGATAAAACATAGAAGAAATTCTTAAGATTCTAGAAAAAGAGTTCTTAGACTTGACATCCAAAGCACGATCCACAAAGTAAAAATGGGTACATTTGACTTTATAAAAATTTAAAACTTTTGTTCTGTGAAAAATCCTACTAAGAAGATGAAAATACTAGCTAAAGACAGGGAAATATCTGCAACCACATATTTGTAAGCCACGTATTTTGCAAAGCACTAGTATCTAGACAATATAGATAACTCTCAAAACTCAACAGTAAAAAACAAACAATTCAATTAGAACATAAGCAAAGGACATGAAGATACATTTTACCAAAGAAGACATGAAGGTGACAAATATGCATTTGAAAAAATATTCAACATCATTAGCCATTAGAGAAATGAAATTAAAACCATAATGAGATACCTCTACACACATATCAGAATGGATAAATAAGAAATAATGATAACACCAAATGCCACCAATAAAGTTGAGAAACTGGATAACTCATACCTTGCTAGTGGAAATGTAAAATGGTACTGCCATTCTGGAAAAGTTTGGCAGTTTCCTAAAAACTAAACATGTAACTACTATATACCCAAAAATCACATTGCTGGGTATTTATCCCAGAGAAATGAAGACTATATTCACACCAAAACCTATACGCAAATGTTTATAATAGCTTTATTTGAAATAGTCAAAAGCTAAAAATGGGTGAATGGTTAAACAAGCTATTGTACCATCTACGCTGTAGTAACATGAAAAATGAACTTATTTGTGATGGGGTCTCACTCTGCCACTCAGGCCGAAGTGCAGTGGTGCAATCATAGCTCACCACAGCCTCAAACTCCTGGCCTCAAGCAATCCTCCTGCCTCAGCCTCTCTAGGAGCTGGGACTATAGGGTGTGCCACCACACCTGCCTAGAAATGAAGTATTAATACATGGAATAACCTGGATGAATCTCCAGAAAATTATGCTGAGTGAAAAAAAGACAATCTCAGAGGTGACATACTGAATAATTCCATTATAGAACATTCTTGAAATGAAAAAAGTATAGGAAACGAAAAATGGATTAGTTGTTGTCAGTTGTTAAGAAGGGGGTTGGCAGGAAAGAAGTAGGTAACATGAGAGATCCAAATGATGATGGAATGTTCTGTATCTTGAGAGTATCAGTGTCAATATCCTATTGTGATATTGTGTTACAGTTTTACAAGATGTTATCATTGGGTGAAACTGGACAAAGAGTCCATGGGGTCCCTCTGTATTATTTCTTAATGAATCTGTGGTCACTTCAAAATCAAAATTTTAATCATAAAAAAATACCTGAACATATTGTTCCCTCATAGGAAAAAAAGAGAGAAAGAATCAATGCAGTTCACTTCAATGAAGGAAACATTAAGATGAATTTTACTATAATGTAAAAATCTTTCCAGTATTCCTGACCAGATTTAAAAATTGTTCAGAACAATGGAATTTTAGTCATCAAAGTGCTTTCAGCAATACCCTAAAGCATCTATCTTACCTACTGTCTGTTTCCAGACTTGACATATAATTGATGTGTTCAATAATATTATTTGCCTTTATTAGTAAATTGATTAGTTTTTGTACTGTAACTTGAACTTATAGAGCATTTCAAAAGCACAGTGAACTCTGCTTATTTCCTGCTCATGTGATATTGAAGTGAAATGGTGGATTTCTTCCTGGTCGCTATGAGCATTAGTTGGATATCAAGAGTATAGTGAGAAGGAAAAAGCAAAAACAGCCATATACTTCAACTGAGAAGTGAGACTGTTCAGATGTATTGGAGGTAATGGCCATGAAGATCAAAAGGAAGAGAAGACAGGTCCAAAGCTGGGCAGAAAATAGAAAGGACTTCACAGAAGGGTAGTTATGTGAAGCAACAAATGGAAATAGAATTATGAAGTTCAGTCCTAGGCAAAAAAAAAAAAAAAGTAAAGATTTTCTTCAATGACTCCTCATTCAACAGGCATTTGTTGACTACCTGCTAGATGCAAGGAAGGCATTTATTGAATATACCCACTAGGTGCAAGGAAGACACTCAGAGAATTTCAGCGATATGAAAAGGGAGCTCCTTTCCCATAAGGGTTTTATAGCCTAGTAGGAATGACAGAAATATAAAAACAGTGAAGCCTGTAATCATGGCACTTTAGGAGACCGAAGTGGGAGAAGTGCTTTGCTTTAGCCCAGGAGTTCAAAACTAGCTTGAGCAACAATGTGAGATCTTGTCTCTACCAAAAAAAAAAAAAAGAAAAATGTAAAAATTAGCCAGGAATGGTGGTGAGCACCTGTAGTCCCAGATACTCTGGAGGCTGAGATGGGAGGATCACTTGAGTCCAAGAGGTCAAGGCTGCAGTGAGCTATGATCATGCCACTGTGCTCCAGCCTGGGCAACAGAAAAAGACCTGGTCTCAAAATCAAAAACAAAAAATAAAAACAGCGAATGCCACGACAAGGTGTAATTGACCCCATCACCGATGGGAACATAAGCAGTATGTCCAGGGAGCTCAGGTAATAACTGCCTCTCATCAGTAGCACCTCAGCCCCTGTAGATTACAGGCTTCTTCCCAAAGATCCCATTCTGGAACCCGACTTGTTCTTCCTCAACAACATTTAACTTGGAACTCTATTCCCTGCTAGGGTTAATCAGATAAATGTGTGCCAATTACGTATTAATCTCTGATTCTGGCTTACTCTATAATTCGATCAGATAACTTAATTCATAGAAAGAGGTAGATGAAAGCGACAATCACCTCAATAGCTACATCAGAGGAAGGAAGAGAAAGAGCCGAGTGTTTGAGACTCACAGAGGGAGGGAGAACTCTAGACGGCCCTAAAATTGCACCACAGAGAGGGCTGCACCCAAAGCGATCAGTTAGATTGTGATTCCAGGGAGGAGGACCTTTCCTCTGAGAGAAAAGTTCCGGGTAAAGTCCAATTTGCTGGAAGAGACCTTGAATTTAATGTTGTTATTGCACAAATATTATTAAATCAACTCAAGCTGCAAACCAGAACATTTTCATTTTTCATTAGCTTGATCTGTTTGCATAATGTGACTCATTAATCTTTTTCCCTGAACTAATCTTAGGTTGCAAAATAATTCCATCTCCCGGATCCCAGTCCAATCTTCAAGCTGTAACTAGCTTTCTAAAGATTTCCTTTACTGTAACGAACTCTTTCTTTGCTGACGTCACCTGTTACATAAGCAGCCAGATCAATATGAAATAATGACTTGGATTTACGGCATATCTGAAAATAACACATAGGGCAAGGACAACTGTTGAACAGTAAGGTATGCCAGCCATGTTCACATCCATTATTTTATTTAATTTCTATGATACCTGACAATATGTGCATTATATCCCCACTTTAGAGTTGAATAAAGAGAAATTCAGAGAGGTTAAGTGACTTGCTAAAGGTCACACACCTAGCAAGTGGTGAAACCAAGGTTTAAATTCAGGTCTGTCTGACTTCAGAACTTAGATGCATTCCTTCACATCCCATTCCACATGCAATTTAAAGCCAGAAGAATTAAATAAGAATCTGTCATTTTCACTAAAGATAAAACTGGAATAAATGACTCAAGTTTCAAAAGTTGGAAAGCTTTCTCTAAATAATAATGCCTGTGAGACACAGGATACGTAACCACAGGATGTCTTTAGGATACATATTAGAATAGGTTAGAAAGCCGTAAGGAAGTTTTTATCATGAGGTCTGTCTAAAAGCGGAGATTGGATTAAAGCAACATGCTTCTAAAGCACATATCTGATACTCACCTTTCTGTCTCTGCCTACTATTGTAAGACCGTTAAGTCATCAAGGTAGCACTCTCTAAAATGAATTTCTACATGTTCCCAATGGCGCCAATTAAGCTAAACCTAAGGAATTGCAGTGAACAGTGGCAGCAGCAGATCCTGAAGACTTGGACAGGTTGAGGTCGCCAAATTTCCCTATCCTTTGGAAGTGAAAAGAAATACAAAAAAAAATTATTGTCAATACTCACCATCGGTACAAGGAGATTGACCATCCAGGCCTTCTTTCTGACAACTGCCAGCCGCTCTCAATTTTGTAAAAAGTTGCCAATAAATAAGAAATAGCCTGTTTTTTGTCCATGTCCCAATTCTTTGCATGCACCACTCATTGCTGCTCTCATGCTCATTCCATTAGTTTAGGCATCAAATCATAAATGTAACTGAGATGGTATTTTGCTGTAGGTTCAGTAACATGCTATCACAACTCCTTAGTTTTAAACAATATATCATTCTCACCAATAAGAGACGACAATAAAGCTTAATAGCAAAAGCCATATGCCTGAAACCACAATTCTTTCCTTACCACGTATGAGCAGATGGCCCAGGCCTACTAGGATGATTCAAACTTAATACATGATTCTGAGTCATTTCCTTAGACATTTCCTCAGATGAGCAGAAAGGATTCTAGCTTGAACCTAAACTGTAGTCAGCTTAAGATTCAGGCATTCTGGTGGTATCCGGAAGGCCCCAATGGGACCCTAGAGTCTATTTATGCATGGAACCAAGACGGAAGAGGCTGGAAGTCAGGCACACAAGCTTGGTTCAATGTCAAGGCCCCAAGAACTATTGGCCAACTGGAGAGTAAGGAGGACATTGAGCATATCACTGAGCCCATCCAGCTACTCAACTGCATGCAGACAAGAGTGTGTTTAGAGCCCAAGGCAGCACTGCTCTGGCCAGGTGAGAGTATTACATGATGTTTGGGTACAAGGGGACAGACTCTCCGCACTTTGGTAGAGAATACAACATCTTCTGCAGCATCAGTGACACAGCAGGTAGACAGTCCATGTGGTTTGACCAAAGGGTAACCTGACTGTGCTGGGCACCTTCCTAGTGCCGTGGTGGGCATCAAAGAACAGTGCAGCAGGTCACCACAGGAGAGGCTTAGCAGGAGAGTGGGCGATATCAGGCTCTGCAAGGAACCAAAGAGGACTGTGCTTGAAAATCCACCAAAATTCCCCTGAGGGTTTCCTGAGATATTTGAGAAGAACATCAAAGAGAGAAATCGGGGGTCCTACAAGAGTTTGTTGTTGCAGAGAAGAGAAATATCACTGGCTACTGTTATCACCCTTTTGATTTAACCATTTAGGTGCCCTACGAAAACTAGGTTACAACCTGCTGTGCTGACATCTGAGATAATGGAAGGATACAACTGCAACCAAACCTTGGAGAAAGGCTGGGCACGGTGGCTCACACTTGTAAACCCAGTACTTTGAGAGGCTGAGGCAGGAGAATTGCTTGAGTCCAGGAGTTCAAGACCAGCCTGGGCAACATAGTGAGACTCTGTCTCTACAAAAAATTTAAAAAGTAGCCAGCTTTGGTGGCAAGTGCCTGTAGTCCCAACTACTTGGAAGGCTGAAGCAAGAGGATTGCTTGAGCCCAGGAGGTTGAGGCTGCAGTGAGCCATGATTGAGCCACTGTACTCCAGCCTGGGTGACTGAGACCCCATCCCCCACCACTCCCTGCCCCCCAAAAAATAAAAAATAAAAACCATGGAGAAAGAGGAAGCTGTGTGACAAGCTATGAGTTCAAGAATAGCTATTGACTTCAATTTGAGGCAATACAATTAAACTGTTCATTGTGGTTTTCCCTACTTTATTAAAATAGCAATTTGCAACAGTAAGTTAGAAGCTCTGCTGGTTTCAAAGCCAATAGTTTCACATATGTTTGGCCCAAATGTCAAATTCTTTTTCAAAAGACTTTACAGACCATCTACCTTCCTATTGCCATTCCAAAAAAGTCACCAATATTAATGGTGCAATATTTGGTGTGTATATCTCCATCTTCATTTCTCACAAACATCTTAGGCAGAATGGATCTAAGCAGATCTCATTATCTTTTGATCAAATTCTACACTTCCCTCTACAGTTTCTACCCCAGTAAATGGCATTCCTATACATCAATAACAATTAAAAATTTAATTCCAGATGGAATATCTATCCTCCTTTGAATGAATTAAAATACAGCTATAAATTCAATAAAAATACAGAAAACCCAATATTATAAAGGTAACATAACATTTCTTCAAAAATTAATCTCTAGGCCGGACACAGTGGCTCATGCCTGTAATCCCAGCACTTTGCGAAGCTGAGGCAGGCAGATGATCTGAGGTCAGGAGCTTGAGACCAACCTGGCCAATACGGTGAAACCCCGTCTCTAGTAAAAATACAAAAATTAGCCAGGCGTAGTGGCACACGCCTGTAATCCCAGCTACTAGGGAGGCTGAGGTGGGAGAATTACTTAAACTCAGGAGGCAGAGGTTGCAGTAAGCCGAGATCACGCCACTGCATTCCAGCCTGGATGGCAGAGCAAGACTCCATCTCAAAAAAATAAAATAAAATAAAATAAAATAAACTCTAATTTCAATGAAGTTCCAATCAAAATTTAAACAATATCTTAATGAAACTTGACAAGCCCATTTTAAAATTAAAATGGAAGAGAAAATGTGAATGAATCAAGAAAACTTTAGGAAAAAAGAAAACGAGGGAAGACTTACCCTACTAGTTAGTGAAATTCTACTGCAGAGGGCCGGGCATGGTGACTCATGTCTGTAATCTCAGCACTTTGCGAGGCCAAGGTAGGAGCATTGCTTGAGCCCAGGAGTTCAGGGCTGCAGTGAGCTATGATCAGGCCACTGCGCGCCAGCCTGGGCAACAGAGCGAGACCCTATCAAATCCTTAAATCAGGCTCAAGAATAAAGGCTCAATAAATACAGGCTCAAGAATAAAGAAGTAAAACCCAGAAATAGATCCATACATATGGATGATGGAGACAGTTTAGGTTAGTGGGAAAAGGGTAGACTGAATCTTCAGTAGATAGCGTTGGTACAGCTGGCTATCCCTCTTTAAAAGATAAATTTATATATAACTATTTACCCAATTGATAGAAATCAATGAATTCCAGATGGATTAAAAGTCTAATTGTAAAATACAAAGCTGTACAACATAGATGAAACGAAAACATTATACTAAGTGACAGAAGCCAGTTACAAAAGACCACATGTAATATGGCCCCATTTGTATGGTATACTCGGAATAAGCAAAAATAAGAAACAAAAATTAGATTCATAGTTGCCTGGTAGGTTGTGGAAGGCCAACAGTGTTGAGGTAAAATGTCAAGTTTCTGCAAATGAGTATGAGGGTTCTCTTGGGATTGATGAAAATGTTCTAAAATTGATCATGGTGATGGGTGCACAATTCTAAGAATACACTAAAAAACATTGAATGGTATACTTTAAATCAGTGAATTGTGTGATATACGGTTTACATCTCAATAAAGCTGTTAAAGGATTTTTAAAGCTAAACAATTCAAAAATATAAGAGAATGTGTTTATTACCTTGTACTTGAAAATGCATTCACAGACCCAAAAACGGTGTTAATAAATTTTACTTCATAAAACTTTGAAAACTATACAAGAAGGAACCTTATTCAAAAGTTAAAAATCAAACAACAAACTAGAAAAAAATGTTAGCAACATATACAAAAGAAAAATAATTGATATATGGACACACATTCATACATGTACAAACATACATATAAAATAAACTACAAGTCAATAAGAGGCAGACAACCTAATAGAAAATTGGCAATTGCTATGAATGGGACAATTAAGGTTTAAAAATTATTTGATCTCACTATTAATTTAAAATACAGCTGGGAGCGATGGCTCACGTCTGTAATCCCCGCACTTTGGGAGGCTGAGGCAGGAGGATTGCTTGAGTTCAGGAGTTCGAGACCAGCTTGGGCAACATGGCAAGACCCCAACTCTACAAAAAAATTAAAAATTAGCTAGGCATGGTGGCGCATATCTATGGTCCCAGCTACTTGGGAGGCTGAGGCAGGAGGATTGCTTGAATGCAGGAGGTCAGAGTTGAGGTGAGTTGTGTTTGCACCACTGCACTCCAGCCTGGGGGACAAAGTGAGATCCTGTCTCAAATAATAAAAATAGTAATTAATAATAGTAATAATTTAAAATACAACATAAAACAGCATTTCTTTTACCCATCAAATTAGCAAAAGATATTTTAGACTGATATTTTTGCATTGGCAAGAGTGTCTAAAAAAATGAGAATTCTCCTGCATTGTTGTTGAAATGTGAATCATTTGTAATACTTGTGGGAAGACAATTGTGCAGTTATCCATTAAAGCTTCATTTGTGCATACCGTTTGGCCCAGCAATTCCACTCTAGTTATTTGTTCCTGAGACATATTCATACATGCATATAAGGAGTAGATAAAGAATTTTCACTGGAGCATTACTTATGAAAGTGAACATTATAAAGTATTTTTAATGCCCTTAATTTAGAACGTGGTTACTTCATAGTATATCTATGTACAAGGGCTTCAAAGGATGGGGTAGATCTACATTTACTGATATAGAAACTAATAGCAGTGGTTATCTGTTTGTTTTTGAAGAGATTGATGGCATCAAGAATTTTTCTGTATTGGTGTAGTTTTTTTACCAGAAAATTTTCTATAACTTGTATAATTAAAAATAAATGAAAACAAGAATATGCAATATGTTAGTAAGGAGCATTATGAGAAAATTATCAAAACAACACTTTGCATTGGTGTCAAGCAGAGATGAGCAACTATTTTTTAAAGGGCACCAATTTAGTTAAAATAACAGTGTTTAAGGAGCCCGTGATCTCACTTCTTTAGAATTTATCTTGCAGGAAAAAAATGCATGTGTACACACACACACAAAGTGTAGCCATAAGAATATCCATTCCAGAATGTTTTAATTTTAAAAATGGACACAAAATAATGGTTCACATGTGAGGGGTGGGTATATAAATTATTATAGATACATTAAATAAAATTATCTATAACCATTGAAAAGATGATGAAGACTTATATTTTTGACTTGGAAAATGTCTTACAACATGTAGTCTAGTGAATAAATCAGGTAAGAGAATAGCCGGTGTATTAGTCAAGGTTCTCTAGAGGGACAGGACTAATAGGACAGATGTATATATGAAGGGGAGTTTATTAAGGAGTATTGACTCACATGATTGCAAGGTGAAGTCCCACAGTAGACCATCTGCAAGCTGAGGAGCAAGAAAGCCTCGAAAGTAGGGAAGCCAACGGTGCAGGCTTCAGTCTGTGGCCAAAGGTCTGAGAGCCCCTGGCAAACAACTGGTGTAAGTCCAAGAGTCCAAAAGCTGAAGAACTCGGAGTCCAGTATTCCAAGGTAGGAAGCACCCAGCATGGGAGAAAGATGAAGGCTGGAAGACTCAGCAAGTCAAGTTCTTCCAATGTCTGCCTGCTTTATTCTGGCCACACTGGAAGCTAATTAGATGGTGCCCACCCAGATGGAGGGTGGGTCTGCCTCTCCCAGTCCACTGACTCAAATGTTAATCTCCTTTGGCAACACCCTCACAGACACACCCAGGAACAATACTGTGCATCTTTCAATCCAATCAAGTTGACACTCAATATTAACCATCACAGCATGTATACTTTGATCCTATTTACATTAAAAAATGATTTCCATATCCTTGTGAACTTACATACATAGAAAGGTATCATAAGGGATGTTTAATAAAATGTTGATATGGTCATTAAAGGGATAAAAATAATTTATTAAAATTCTCATTAAAACATTAATTTGTATTGAGATATTATATAATATATAATAATTATTTCATTTGCTCCTCATTATTCTGTAACTTGAGAACCATTATTCTTTCCAATTTTTTAGATAAGAAATTAAAGATTAAAAATGTACAAAGACTGCACAGCTAGTAAGGGATTAAAATCTGTCTCATTCTGAAGCCTGTGGTTTTAACTACCACCTATTCTAATTCTCTACTTTATCATTTTCTTATAAACAGTTAAAATAAATAACTTATTGATTCATTGTTATTGCATGGCTTCTAAGCCTAATGGTTGCTGAATAAAAGGGAGTTACCAAGAACGAACCATAACAGGAAAAGATCATGGAGACCTTCGTCTTTCTAAAGTGTGAGACGTCTTTAGAAAGGAGCCAACTGAAGACAGAGCTCTTGGCCTTTCCTTATTCCTGGCTGACCCTGTTTCCACCAAGGCCTAGGGAGAGTCTAACAGTGTGTTTTGAAAAGCAATTTGGACACGGCTGTATACATAACACACAAATACACACACACACACACTCACGCGCACACGCACACACACACACACAGGCATTTTTATGGCCTTTTTGTTACCTCCCTCTTTCTACCCTTTAAAAAAAATCCACAAAATTCACATGATTACTATTTTTTCTGTATTTTTTGTCTTTGTGTGTTTGTGTGTGTGTGTAGAGGGGATGTAGGTCAATGATTGTCACCAAAAACTGGGAAAACTGAAGATCTACCCTCTTAGCAAACTTCAAGTATACCATACAGTATTATTAACTATGTATACATATAGAAAAACATGAAGTTGTACATCTTTTTTTTTTTTTTTTGAGACGGAGTCTCGCTCTGTCGCCCAGGCTGGAGTGCAGTGGTGCGATCTCTGCTCACTGAAGGCTCCGCCCCTCCTGGTTCACGCCATTCTCCTGCCTCAGCCTCCCGAGTAGCTGGGACTACAGGCGCCTACCACATCGCCCCAAGCTGTACATCTTATTTGTCAATTAAACTTCAATAAAGATGGGGAGGGGGAAAGACTCTTTGAATCTATTTAAGAAGAAAGCTGAACTAAATACTCTCTCCCAAATGCCCTATAATTGCTTAAAATATTTTTTAAGTGTGGCAGAGGTCTTTAACAGATATTAAGAGAGTCTACTTAAAAATTCTAGTTGTAATTTAACATAATTTGAATACATATAATGATATATTTGAGGGTCTACTTACAATTCAAACTGTAATTTAAGACAATCCTAATAAACATATTGCCCTTCTACCCTGGTACTATTGGATGAGTGCCTGGAAGTTGACTGGAGTTTCTGTCACTAGGATGGATCTTATGGATGGAGCATGATGAGGCTTTAATAAAATGTCTCATTTAAAAGATCAATGGGCCAGGCACTGTGGCTCATGCCTGTAATACCAGCACTTTGGGAGGCTGAGGCAGGCAGATTACCTGAGGTCAGGAGTTTGAGACCAGCCTGACCAACATGGCAAAACCCCGTCTCTGCTAAAAATACAAAAAAAGAAAAATAGCCAGGTGTGGTGGCAGGCACCTGTAATCCCAGCTACTCGGGAAGCTGAGGCAGGAGAATTGCTTGAACCTGGGAGGTGGAGGCTGCAGTGAGCCGACGTCACGCCATTGCACTCCAGCCTGGGCAATGAGTGCGAAACTCCGTCTCAAAAAAATATAAATAAAATAAAATAAAAGATCTATGAGACATTCATTACAAATTGGCTTCTCACAAACTCAAAACTGATTGAAATCCCTTCCTCCAGCTCCCCCACCAAAAATGGTGAAAGATACCTGAATTAAGAACAAATGCCTGGAGGGAGAAAATATCAGATCATACAAATACATAGAGAGACAGAATAATAAAAGGAATGCTGCTGAAAGCACTGTTAGATTCACTTTAACTAATAAACAAAGTACACAAATAATACCTGGGAAAGAGAACTTAACATGCATATATTTGTAACTAATACAGTAATGGTATTTCTTTCCTTTGTGTCCACCTCACTCCAGGGTAGGAAAAGTCTGTTTGTGGGAGAGATGCCTTTACAGTGGTAACTTTTGGGGTCACTGAGAAATGGCAGCAGCAAACAAGGAAGAGAGCCTGAGGCTGTCTGTCCCTGCATAGTGCCCATCTCCTGGCCAGTGAGCAACCCATCCCACCAGCACAATGGTGGTTACAATATGGAACCCTGTGACTTACACCATGCTTGAAAAGTTAACTCAAGGCAATGTGTGGAAAGCTTAAAATGAAATTCAGAATATTACCAAAGACAACTATTTGGTATTATCTTGCAATAAACACACTTATTTAAGTATATTTAACATATTATTAAAATAAATATATTAAAACAGAAAATGGTTTTATAACAGAATAAAGGAAAATGAATATTTATTGAGCACCAATTATGTACCAGGTACTTTATGATCATAAATTCATTGCATAGTCACATCAATACTGCAAAGTGGTTATCAACCCCATCTTAGACCAAAAAAATGCAGTCCAAATAGGCCAGGTAACCCCCACAAGTTCAAACATGTACAGCAGCAGTCCCCAACGTTTTTGGCACCAGGGACTGGTCCCGTGGAAGACAATTTTTCCATGGGCTGGGGGGTGGACAAGGGCTGGGGGATGGTTTTGGATGAAACTGTTCCACCTCAGATCATCAGGCATTAGATTCTCATAAGGAACGTGCAACCTAGATCCCTCACATGTACACAGTTCACAATAGGGTTTGTGCTCCTATGATAATCTAATGCCACCCCTGATCTAACAGGAGAAGGAGCTCAGGCAGTAATATTCACTCACCTGCCATTCATCTCCTGCTGCGTGGCCCCTTCCTAACAGACCATGGACCAGTACCAGACCACGGACCAGTACCGGTCCACAGCCAGGGGCTGGGAACCCCTGATGTAAAGGACAGATACAGAACTCCAACCCAGGCTAATCTGGCACTAGAATCCATGATATTTTCATGCAATGGCACCATCTTCCCAGATTAGGATTGTTTTTCTCATTAAATAGACATGTTTGGTCTGTAATTAGTGTGTGCATGGTATGCACCACTGTAAAGCCATTTATTGGAGTCCATCTGACACAATCCTTGGTTGAAAAGAGAGAATAGAATGAATATGGCAGTTTGCTAGCACTGAACTCTTAAAACAACACTAGGAATCAAATGCAGTTTTCTTTTCTGTAATAATATTTTAGGGGGAACAAAAACAACTCCATAAGAAAATACCTTGCAGTGAGTAATTGTTGAGACAATGAACGCTCCACAGTCCATATCTTGGGGCACGGTGGGTGCCTGCATACTCCTGCAGACTGAGCATGTTTCAGAGCCTTCAAAAGCCTTCTCGGAAAGCCCCAGGTGGTGAAATTGCCCTCAAGCACTGATGAGAAGCCTCCAGCCTAATGATTTGTTTTAATGCTCATGGCCACATTGTCCATTAGTGTTATTATCTGCCTTTGAGAGATTGGAAAAGAGAGTCTTGGCAAAGCAGGGTAGCCCAATTTCTGATATCAGAAACCTTCTCATTCAACTGATGGTGGGACAGGCACCTACCTTAGCTTTGATACACTCTGTGACATATTCAGTTCATGTACTGATGGATGTGCCACTAGCAGGGTCTGGCAATTGGAGGATAATGGTTGATTGGATTTGCCTTGTAGGTAGATATCCGTCTCTTTAAGCTTGGAAGGAAGGCAGATGGTGGGAGAATGGATGGGGATGGTGTGAGTGGAGTCTGTCAATTTTCCAAAAGGCTGTTGCCAAGAAAAGAAAGGCAGTTGATGAAAATCATGTGTTTCAAAGTAAGGAGACTAGGAAATACTTCTTTTGTTTTAAAGACATCATTGTTTGTCTTATTTGCAATGGGAAAAAAATATCTTTTTCAGAAAGAATATAATACCAAGAGACTCTATGTAATAAGCCACATTGTATAGTTAAGTAGCATAGAAGGTCAGTAAAAGACAAAAGAAACAAGATTCTCAAATGTCTTACTCAGCAACAAAAGTTATTCAAGACCTGGCCTGGTGGCTCCCATTTGTAGTTTCAGCACTTTGGAAGGCTGAGGTGAGAGGATCACTTGAGCCCAGTAGTTTGACACCAGCCTGGGAAACATAGAAAGACGTTGTATCTACAAAATTAAAAAAAAAAAAAAAATTAGCCAGGCGTGGTGGGGCATGACTGTGGTCCCAACTACTGGGAAGGCTGAAGTGGGAAGATCACTTGAGCTTGGAAGGTCAAAGCTGCAGTGACCCATGACCGTGCCACTGCACTCCTGCCTGGACAACAGAGCAAGACCTTGTCTCAAAAAAAAGTTATTCAAAGGCGCAGCATTATAATAAGATACTGCAGTGCATGCTACTATGTAAATCCTGAAATTTTAGCAAAAAGGAAAAAAAAATCATGAAGTCTAGCAAAATAGTAAGAGAGGAAAAGAAAAAGCCTTCATGATACTGACAGTAAGACCTCTGCAAACAAATGACCCGTGTGAGCATGATCCCACAATGAAGCTCAAAGTCGACAAGTACAACCATATTCACAGAGACCCTAATCCGTTTTTCAGGCCCCTAATCTTTATCATGAGCAGACATGCAAGAGCTACCAAAAGTATGAGGAAACCTACATGAAAGATAAAGATGAGAACAAACAGAAAAAAAAAAAAAAAAAGCAACTACAAGGAAACTGAAACAATGCAAGGAAAAGAATACTTTGAAAACAAAAACCGTAACTCCTATACTCAGAGGCACAAGAAAAGATAATGCATTAATAAAGCAAGAACAGAATCCTCCAAAAAAGAGCATTCAGAGAATAAAAAGTGTTCTCTTTAAATTTAACATAAGGATTGGAAAACCCCAAAACCAGCTGGGCGCGGTGGCTCACACCTGTAATACCAGCACTTTGGGAGGCTGAGGCAGGTGGATCACGAGACCAGGAGATCGAGACCATCCTGGCTAACACGGTGAAACCCTGTCTCTACTAAAAGTACAAAAAATTAGTCGGGCGTAGTGGTGGGCACCTGTAGTCCCAGCTACTCAGGAGGCTGAGGCAGGAGAATGGCGTGAACCCCAGAGGTGAAGCTTGCAGTGAACCGAGATCTCACCACTGCACTCCAGCCTAGGGGACAGAGTGAGACTCCATCTCAAAAAAAAAAAAAAAAAAAGAAAGAAAGAAAACCCCGAAACCAGGAGAAAATCTAAAGAGAAGAACAACCAGAGAAGTCAGAAAATTAGAACACAAGTCCAGGAAGTCCAACATCAAAATTATGGGATGGTTAGAAAGAACCAAGAAAACAGGAGATAAGATTATAAGCAACATTTCTCAGAGCTAAAAGATATCAGCTTCTACTTTGAAAGGTCTATTGAGTACCCAGCACAGTGGAACAAAATAGACTCACCCAAGGGCACATCAGTTCAGAATACTGCCAAAAATAAGTTTTACAAAGCTTCTGCAAGTTAGAAAGAAAGAGAGAGGGAGAAGAAGCCACGTGGAAAGCAGCAGGATTCAGAATGGCTTTGTACTTCTCAACACTAGCCCTGGAATCCAGAAGACCATGGAGCAATGCCTTCCAAATTGTGAAGAAAAATTACTTCCAACCTTGAGTTCAATACTCAGCCATAAATTGGAGGGGAGGTAGAACTAAAACACTTTTAGAAATGTAAGGTCTCAAAAGATGTGCTTTTCGTGCACACTTTCTCAGGAAGCTATTGAAGATGCCCTGTATTAGTCTGTTTTCATGCTGCTGATAAAAGACATACCTGAGACTGAGAAGAAAAAGAGATTTAATTGGACTTCTAGTTCCACATGGCTGGGGAGGCCTCTGAATCATGGCAGGAGGTGAAAGGCACTTCTTACATGGCAGCCACAAGAGAAAAATGAGGAAGAACAAAAAGCGGAAACCCTGATAAACCCATCAGATCTCATGAGATTTATTCACTATCACAGGAATAGAACAGGCCCCTTTGATTCAATTACTTCCCCCGGCTCCCTCCCACAACATGTGGGAATTCTGGGAGATACAATTCAAGTTGAGATTTGGTTGGGGACACAGCCAAACCATATCATTCTGCCCCTGATTCATTTAAAACTCATGTTCTCACATTTCAAAACCGATCATACCTTCCCAACAGTCCCCCAAAGTCTTAACTCATTTCAGCATTAACTCAAAAAGTCCACAGTCCAAAGTTTCATCTGAGACAAGGCAAGTCCCTTCTGCCTATGAGCTTGTAAAATCAAAAGCAAGCTAGTTACTTCCTAGATACAATTGGGGTGCAGGTATTGGGTAAATACAACCGTTCCAAATGCGAGAAATTGGCCAAAACAAAGGGGTTACAGGGCCCGTGCAAGTCTGAAATCCAGGCTGGCAGTCAAATTTTAAAGCTCCAAAATGATGTACTTCGACTCCAGGTCTCACATCCAGGTCATGCTGATGCAAAAGGTGGGTTCCCATGGTCTTGGGCAGCTCTGCATCTATGGCTTTGCAGGGTACGACCTCCCTCCTGGCTACTTACACAGGCTGGCATTGAGTGTCTGCGGCTTTTCCAGGTGCAGGGTGCAAGCTGTCAGTGGATCTACTATTCTGGGGTCTGGAGGGTGGTGGCCCTCTTCTCACAGCTCCACTAGGCAGTACCCCAGTAGGGCCTCTGTGTGGGGGCTCTGACCCCACATTTCCTTTCCGCAATGCCCTAGCAGAGGTTCTCCATGAGGGCCCCACCCCTGCAGCAAACTTTTGCCTGGTCATCTAGCCATTTCCATATATATTCTGAATTCTAGGTGGAGGTTTGGGAAAACCTCAATTCTTGACTTCTGTGCAACGAAGGCTCAACACCACATGGAAGCTGCCAAGGCCTGGGGCTTCCACCCTCTGAAGCCACAGCCTGAGCTGTACATTGGCCCCTATCAGCCACAGCTAGAGTGGCTGGGATGCAGGACACCAAGTCCCTAGGCTGCACACATCACAGGGACCCTGGGCCCGGCCCATGAAACGGCTTTTTCTTCCTGGGTCTCCAAGCCTGTGATGGGAGGGACTGCCGTGAAGTTCTCTGACATGACCTGGAGACATTTTCCCGATGGTCTTGGAGATTAACATTAGGGTCTTTGCTACTTATGCAAATTTCTGCAGCCAGCTTGAATTTCTCCCCAGAAAATGGGTTTTTCTTTTCTATTACATAGTCAGGCTGCAAATTTTCCAAACTTTTATGCTCTGCTTCCCTTATAAAACTGAATGCCTTTAACAGAACTCAAGTCATCCCTTACATGCTTTGCTACCTAGAAGTTTTTTTTCCACCAGATACCCTGAATCACCTCTCTCAAGTTCAAAGTTCCATAAATCTCTAGAGCAGGGGCAAAATGCCACCAGTCTCTTTGCTAAAACATAACAAGAGTCACCTTTACTCTAGTTCCCAACAAGTTCCTCATCTCCATTTGAGACCACCTCAGCCTGGACCTTATTGTCCATATCACTATCAGGATATTGGGCAAAGTTCCAAACTTTCACAAATTTTCCTGTCTTCTTCTGAGCCCTCAAAACTGTTCCAACCTCTGCCTGTTACACAGTCACTTCCACATTTTCGGGTATCTTTTCAGCAACACCCCACTCTACTGGTACCGATTTACTGTATTAGTTCGTTTTCATGCTGCTGATAAAGACGTATGTGAGACTGGGAAGAAAAAGAGGTTTAATTGGATTGATAATTCCACATGGCTGGGGAGGCCTCAAACGTCACCTCTTACATACAGTGGCAAGAGAAAAATGAGGAAGAAGCAAAAGCAGAAACCCCTGATAAACCCATCAGATTTTGTGAGATTTATTCACTATGACAAGAATAGCACAGGAAAGCCTGGCCCCCGTGATTCAATTACCTCCCCCTGTGACCCTCCCGCAACATGTGGGAATTCTGGGAGATACAATTCAAGTTGAGATTTGGGAGGGGGCAGTCAAACCATACCATGACCTCACCAGAGTGAGGGAGTAAACTAAGAATATGTAGGCTACACGAAAGAGAAGACTCACACCAGGAGAGAGAAAAAAAAAAAAGAATTTTCAAGACAATGGTAAAGGGAGTTGCCTAGTGATAATAGAATGCCCATCAAGTAGAGATAATGAATGAAATTGTGTGATTCAGATGATTGGCATGCTGGGGCTATCATCCTGATTCCCTCTGCTACTATAAAATCATTCAACCTAGACGAAACTCCTGGAGGATATTCTCTAATTTTAACAAAAAAGAGTTAGAAAAAACATTTCTGTTTTGTTTTGTTTTTTTTTTTTAAAAAAAAAAAAAAAAGGTTCAGAAAGCCCACCAAGGCCTGGAACAGGAGCAAAAGTAATCCAAAGGTGTGACTACTATCTAGCCAGCCTAGAAGTAAGAAGAAAGGTCTCTAGAGGCAGTTTCTCAAAAAATACAAAAGGAAACTGATAGGTAGGCTATTGTGAATAGCTTTGTGTAATATTTTACTAAAAACAGCCATTAGAAAAGATGGAAATACTTAAAAATAGATACAAAGAAAACTAAACAAATAAAAAAGGCATTATTAACTTTAAGAAAAATATAAAGGAAGGAAAGAAAAAACAATCATAGTATACTACAGCACTCAGTTATAAAAAAATATTACAATGACAACAATACTGATTTAACCAAAATTGTAATTGGACTATATTGGGAGAATGAGAAAAAGGAAGCAAAATGGAGGCAGTGTAGAAAGCCAGTTATGTTTCCTACAATAAGAATTCAATAGATGATGTCTAGAATGGACAAATCAAAATATAGAAATATATGTGTAGTGTTTGGAACTTTGGAGATGTTAAATGCCAAAAGGAAGTTAAAAGAGCTGGAAGTGGTTGTCTTTGGAGAGGGGACCTGGGAAAAGTGAGAAGGAGTGAGTCAGAACACTGCTGAATTTTGTAATAGATCTTTTACTACCATCTTGACTTTTTAAACCACATGTGTACAGTTTTTCATTTAAAATGTAATTTAAAAAAATTAAAGAAAAATAAGATAGCCAGATGCGGTAGCTCATGCCTGTAATCCCAGTACTTTGGGAGGGGGAGGCAGGTGGATCACTTAAGCCCAGGAGTTCGAGACCAGCCTGGGCAACATGGTGCAACCCTGTCTCTACAAAAAAATACAAAAAAGTTAGCCAGGCATGGTGGTGCATGCCTGTAGTCCCAACAACTTGGGAGGCTGGGGTGAGAGGATCACCTGAGCCCAGGGATCACAACACTGCAGCCCAGCCTGGGTGACAGAGTAAAACCCTGTTTCAAATAGTAATAATAATAAGCTGTACCTACAATATATACCTCCAATATAAACAGGTAGGCTCTTGGGTGATTAACTTGAATATTAAAAAGAGACCTGGTATTATCTGAACCCCTGGCAGGGGATTCAGGCTACAGGATACAGATTACACTGGAATAGCCCAGTGTCTTCACCTTAATGTTTTCTCTTTAATTTCTGTAATGCTTCCATCCTTTTAAATTGTATGAATAGTCAGTGATCTAATCTTCTGCAAGTTCCAGACTTTCATCTACAGATATAACAAGATCTGTTACTTGCTCACATTATTTCTCTGAATCACAATGGTAAGGTGATAATTACCCTCTCCCTGGGAATAAGAAGCTACTATTTATTATGTACGTACCCTTCACTGCCTTGAATAATCAAAGGATCTCGCAATTGTGTAGTACTTTACAGTTTTCATTGTGCATTTTCATTGTGCTTTTTCATGATTTTATGAAACCAAAGGCCAGGCGGAAGCTCAGAGAGTTGAAGTGACTTCCTTAAGGTCACTCAGCTGGTAACAGCAAGCCACAAGTAGAGGCATCACTGCTGACTCTCTCTCCACCTACCATACTGTGCAGCAGTCTGGTTTTCAAATTTCCTAAAGTCCCCATTTGTTTAATAGCTCCAGTTGCTGGCAGCTGAACAACCAGATGGTGGGAAAAAAGAAAAAGGGTGTGTGTAAATTTACTTTTCGAAACTCCGGCCATTGTGCCCAGAGCCAGCCTTAGAACAAGTTGCCCTCTACCCAGATCAACCCCAGAACCTGTCGTGCAAACATCCCAAATTGGGGGTCTTAGGACTTTTCCACATTCACGAGTCTCTTTTAAAATTGGAAATACCCCTGAGAAATGGAGTACCTTAATACTTATCAATTAATGCCTTAGGTAGTTTTGGTTGACAGCCAGCTAAAAATAAGACTGAGGTATTGGAAGACAATCAAGGGAGAAAGAAACAGACACAGATTTATCCTAATTCAAAATTGTTCCCAGGGTTAACCCTGGCCATCCTTCCCAGGATTCTTTTAAAAAGTTCCTTTGGCAAGAATGCCATAAGATACCAACTCTCATTTTGTCTACCTGTTGGTATCTAGTGATGGGAAAAGTGACAACCACCAGAACGCTACAAATCCCCCTCTAAGTCCAGGTCACTAGGAAATATTTTAGATAGACTAGCATTATAATCTCAACAGTTATTTATGCATCCATTTAAAAACAGTTGGACATTTCATCTTGCTCATCAGGAACAAGATTTTCCCCCTATTTTTAGCAAAAATTGTAAGCCGGGCACATGCAGCCTTTGCCAAGCAGAATATGATTCCTCAAGGCTCTTCAATGTGTGGGAGCCTGACATAAGGCTCAGAGAAGGGCAGAGCCACAAACAAGCTGTGATGATCACTTTGAGATAACCAACCAATGTGTCCAACTCAACTATGGCTTCCCAGACCATTATTAGTACTCTACTTTTGTTTATTTTTAATGACTAGTGCACATAAATTTAAATTCATGGCCTGTTAGGATCCATTCGTGCTAGCTCTATGTATAATGAGTAGCAAAGTCTATGCAGCTTTAAATATAGAGGAAAGAATAATTGTAAGATATCTCAATCAAGGTTTCTGCTCTCCTTCACATATTTTAAAGACATAACACACAGAGGTTACATAACAGTCTTTACAGAAAACCTTGCATTCAGAGCTGTTGTGGAAGCCTGTTTGCAGCTGAGTGTTTACTAAATCAAGCACTAAAAACTAGATTTACACTGGTTGTTTGAAGCTGAAAGCCAGCTGCAGCTGCCATTAGAGCAATTCAATTTCTTTTTTATAAAGCACAAGTAAGGCTCAATTTACTAAAGTTTTATTTCCTTTTTATGCATCCCATATGCTAGGGGAAAAAATTAAGTTTATGAGATTAAAAATGAGTTTTATGCTAACTGTTTACAAAGTTTCAGCTGCCTGCATTTGCAAGCCCTCAAACCCACCAACTTCAGCTTCTGGCTTGTTTTTTTTCTTTTCCTTCCAACGAAGGAAGGTCTTTGTGTTTGCAAAAGGAAATCACCCAGCCCCCTTCTCTGCTTCCCTCTAGCTCTGGCTTCCTGTTTCACAACGTGCAATTTTATGACAGTTGAGGCAGACAGATAAGTTCCTTCATGATGCCAAAATCTTCAGAGAAGAAGGTTCTTGTATGGATAATAGCTTTTTTAAAGGATTCTTTTTTACCTCCATTCCCTGTGTCTGGATTTAACTAGTCTGGTGATGTTTTTCACTTCTGTGATCAACTCTTAAAAGGCAATATAGCTTTCACTTGATAGGAAGAAACATCTAGACAGTGAGCAAACTGCTGCTGAATTTGGAGAACAGTGCATTTTGTTACCTAATTACAAACCATAGTAGATTTTTTAAAGATGAAAGTTGAATTTGTTTGCTCCAAAATTAATGAGCACAATTATTTTTCAAGTGTATATATGTAATTCAGGAGACCTCAAGATATCCATTATTAATTGAGTCCACCATGCAAATTCTTCCTCTATCTGGAATACTTTGGCCTTTCTTAGGATTAAAATTCCTCCAGTTCAGACTAAGCTGTTGGAGAACGTGTCATTTTTTGTTATTTTAAGGTGCATTCTGTAAAAAAGACAGGGTAGAAAAATACAAGAAGATGAGAAAAGCTTCTAGATATCAGGCCAGAGAAATCATCTAAAAGAGTAATGTAATGCATACACTTATTTCCTCTAACTCCTCCTGCCTCTACCTAACTACTAAAAGGTTGAGTTTTAAACCTTCCCAGTAGAAGTAAAGGACATTCTAGAACCTTAAAGTATGTGATTGGGAAAAGGACAGAGAGAAAAAAAAATCAACATGTAAACAATGCAGCAGATGATAGCTGGCAAGGGCCTTGTGAGAACACATTGTTTTGCCAGTTAGAGGAAATAAGTATGTCCAAGCATGTCACAGAGAGTTTCTCAGAGGTTTCCCAGTTGAACAGAGCTCACAGTCAACTCCAGCACTGAAATTCTTGAGCAAAGAAGAGAAATGAAGACCATGTCCCCAGCATTGCCCTAGAGTGGGGAAGAGTTGACATGGACCAACTTCAGCCACAGATACTAAGTAAGCGTCAGCAGGCTAGAATTCTCTGGAGGTATGAAGCTTTGTTATACTTCAAATAATCTCATCCCAACAGGCAATTCTTGGCAAACAGGATGGTTTGCACCATGAACATTGAAAAGCATGCAGAGCCCATGGAAATGAACAATTCCCAGAAAGAAAGTTGAAAGGTGTTTACTGAGCACTGATCAACGTCAAAGACCTATTGCAGTAAGGCCTACAACCTACAGCAGCAAAGACCAAGCACTGCAGAGATGATCTTGGGGCACTGATCTGACATGCTTCTAGCAGCAAAGGGGAACACCTGGGACCCTGCGACGAGAGAGAGGTACCTGAGGCTGGGATTCCCCTGGTTTTATAGTAAGAAGCTTAGAGCATAGATCACTCTTTGCTGAGACACATGAACTATGCCCCTTCAAACTGTTTGTTACAGCTTAAAAAATGAGTCACACCAATGAACCATGGACCATACCACTGATTTAGAATCCTCACCCTTCAGCTAGAGGAGACAAGATGCACAATCATGAAACAAACACAAACATAATTAAGACAGGATTGGTAAGATGCTACCCGCAATTCAACAAAAATCAAAGAAAACAGAGGAACCCATGTATGTAGGAGCAGTCAGAGAAGGTCTGCAGAGGAGATGGGCCTTGAAGGATATATAATATGTAGATGGAAGACAAAAATTGTTCCACGTGTACAGAGGGCTATGTAATGGCATTTGAAGCAGGCAGGAAAATGAGCTGTGTGTAGAGAGGGGAATGGTGAGGAGGCCAATTAGAGCAAGGGGCTAGGAGACCTGCAGAAGATAACACTGGAATGAGAGATTGGACTCAGGATTTGGGGATCACCAACAACAAACTGAGGAGTAGTTCCCAGCCATTCAAGGTTGTGAGAAGAAAAATGGCATAAGGAACGCAGCATCTCAGAGACTGATCTGGCAATGTGTGGTGGGATAGAGCAGAAGGGAATGAAGTAAGGTTATTGAAGAGGTAGTAAGGATCCAGGCATGAGGTTACAAAGCACAAGCAAGAAATTGGAAGGCTCTTGGAGAGAAGGGGTGGGCATTTGCTTTCCACACTCACCTCCTCACCCTATGCCATGCCTCTGCAGTGTTCAATAGCGGCTGTGTTCCTCTGGGAACTGGTGGGTAGACCCAGCTCCATCGATCAGCTTTCTCTGAACTGGCAACCCAGAGCATTGCCCATCCCTTTTGTCCTTTCAATACTAGGAGTGGTAACAGCATCCCAATAGTTTAATACCTGGGAGCCTCCTCATCTCTTCCTGGTTTTCTGAACCATCCCTCTGTGTCTTTTTGGAATGGACCATCTGTGCCTTTGCAGACCCTGACTGATAGACACAACAAAAACATTTTGAAAGAGAAGTAGAGAAGTTATGGATTGGACTGGAAAAAAAAAAGAATGTTAATGAGTATAGTTTTGAGCATGGGAAATTAGAAAACAGGGCATGGAAATATAATGTATTGGTTAGGAGTAGACTCCATTAATTCAACGACATTGCCTGAGATGAATTTGTATCCTCCACTTAACAGCCATGTGATGTCATTTGTTGGGGGGCTGTTGCTTTAGCATTTCTAGGCTGAATTCCTTCAACTGTAAAATAAGAATAATAACTGTTTTAAGGTTTAAATAAGTTAATCCATATAAGGTACTTAAAATGGTGCCAGGTTTAATGCACATGCTTTGTGTTTTTCTATTATTATTGTTATTAAAATAATAATTAGATATTTTACTAATTGCAATTTTCTCAACTTTAAGTGAGTTCTTTCCCAATAGACCCCTCATCTTTCTTCAAAAATTTATTTCCATGTGGAAAACACTGATTATAAGCTCAGGCTTGTGCACTTTGAGTTTAATGGTGACCGTAAAATATTTAAATGGAAATTTCCAGGAAGAATTTGGAAATAAATACTGGCATTCATGTAAGAGGAAATGACAAAGGTATAGATAGATCTAAAAGAGCTTGTATGAAAGGGAGAGATGAAACTTTGAAAACAGATGACCTTTGCAAAGGGGAAAATGTATCAAAAGAACAGCAGAGTTCTAAGAAATAAGCATTGGAGAAACCCACAGTGAGAGGGTGGGAGGAAGACGAGAGGTGAAAAGGAAAAAAGAAGCAAAGGTGCTGGACTTTCCAGTATTACAGGAAATAAAGGAGCAAGAAATAGTAGAAATGACAAATGTCTTTGAACTTCACAGAGAGGTTACTTGGACCTTCAAGAGAAGAAGCTTGAAGAAATGGAGGGAGTGGAAGGGAGAAACAGGTATTTTTAAAAAACTAGAGAAAGCAGGTACAGTCAAGACTAGGTCACTCATGGTTTTTCCCAAGATGGAGTAGACATGGGCAAGAGAAAGGAATCAAAAGAGAAAAACTGAAGATTCTAGAGAAAGAAAAGACAAGTAAGATAGCAAGATGCCTCTGGGAAAACCTAAGAGGCTAGGATTAGAAATCAAATCAGAATTTCTTTAGAAATTAAAAATCAAAATTCCAAGTATTTGCAGGGTTTTCCTACCCTCAATGTGTTCTTTTCATTTATAACAAAGCTAGCTCTTAAGATTTTTAATTATTATGGTCCAGCTGTGAATTTGAGCTAATTTAAAAACAAAACAAAACACAAACATGGCAACCTATACTTGTTCACTTCACAATAACATTGTAGTTAAAAAATGTGGTCTCTAGGGTAAGACTGGTTGAGGTTAAAATCTTAACTTTGTCACTTACTAGCTACATGCTCTTGGGAAAGATTACATTTTTTAATACCTAAATTTCCACATCTCTAAAATGGGGATATTAATAGTACAGACCTCATTGGGCCACCGAGAAATAAATTGCTTAGAACAGGGTCTGGCTTATAGTATGCGCTCAAAAACCTTAGTTTTGATTACTCACACATATCTACCCTATACAATAATTATATCTTAATTCTTTCTCCTCAAGGCAATACTTTGATTTCTTTCAACTCAAAGAGAACATGATTATAGGAAAATCCCTTAGTAAACATGCCCCTTGATAATGTAAATTCAGATATAATGCAATTGGACATTGGCACTGTCTTTTTCTGTGCTCAACCCCATTTTTCAAATGGGGCAGAGCAAGCAAGTTTTCATTTTCTGGAGAGGAGACACATGAGATACAGAAGGGGGCAAGACAGGGTGGAAAGACTGCAAGCAACCCTGTTTTAGGAAATTGGAAAATAAAGGAAGTATGACCACATCCCCAGTCATCTCTCAGCCCAATCGCCCTGCCTTAGGCTGAAAAAATGGGGACCAAGTTACCAAGGGATTCCCAGAATCCCTGCCACTGCCCTGAAAATTCATCCAAGCCCAAGAGCCAGAATGATTCTCATTGATATTTAACCAGATATTAAACACAATGGCCACCAAGGAGTACCAACTTGTATCTGAAAGCATTAAATAGTGTAGTCAGACCCAGAATTCCTGGTCAACCAGACACGAAGGCTCACCTCATTATTTCATTTATCTTGCAATAATATGGACCCCAAATTTACTCTATTAAAATTGTTAGACTCTCATCTATCAAGTTACATTAGAATTTTCCTGTACCTCAGTTGTCTTCAGAAAATTGTTCTTGGTAAATTAACAGCCTCTTAAATTTATTATTTCTGTCTCCCCAAGCTCAACTCTAATTTTCTTGAGAGCAGGGTTCATCTTTAACAACCTGTTTTTGAAAAAATCTCCCACAGTGCCCAGCATAATACAGTAAGAAAATAGATACCATGGCAACACAAGAAGGGGATTCAAGGACTCAGAAAAGACTTAGCTTCACCTACTACTACATAATCTCCATCAGCCCCTCCCCACTCAAACAAATTATGTCCTTAATCCCCTTTTTATAGGAATTCTAGAGCAACTTCTGAGTTGGTGCTAAATAAATATTGCTGAAAATTTCTTATTTGACCAGTATGATAGGTCCTCTATTTTATATCCCTTGGATGTATCTCTAGCTCCCCTCTATGGAGGGTAAATGTTAGGGTATCTCTTGTGGATAATTCAGATGGGTAAGTGTCCCAGAAAGAAAGGGGCAGAGATCTTAAGGATTAATATAGTTGACCTAGAGAGAGTTAAATGCTGGTGGGGCATGGTGGCTCACGCTGTAATTCCAACACTGCAGGAGGCCAAGGTGGTAGGATCATTAAGCCCAGGACTTTGAGACCAGCCTGGGCAACATAGTGAGACCTTGTCTCTATTTTTTAAAAAAATACAAAAAAAAAAAAAAGACTAAATGCTATCTTGTTAGCTATCTGCTAAATGTTACTGAGTAATAGCGTAAATAGATAAAACAGAAAACAAACTGAAAACAGCTTACCCGGCCAACTCCTCTGAGTTGGGAGCATAAAAATCCAAGTCACATCCACTCTTCTGTTTGAGTCCTCATAGGATGCTACACAACTCCTCTCTTTCTTCTGGAAAGGTATTTTCCAGTCTTTTTTGGACAATCAAAGGCTTTTAAAGTTCAGACACCTGCCAATGTTTGTTACAGCTGCTTAACAGCTAACAATGGAGCAGAACCTCTACCTAGGTATTACTCCATCAGAATGCAATGATTGCCTTCCGCCCACCCTAGCATATGTCAGGTTAGGTTACCATACTTCATTTCTTTCACCCACCAATCTCTTCTGCTAGAAGTGGGTGGATAATGGCAGGAGGTTCCTCCTTTGCAGTGTCTTTTATCAATACTAATATAGCACCACTGCTATCTTCATTTTTCTTATTTGTTTCAGAATTGATTCTGCCCAGAGTGTAAACACCAAACAGGGTAATTAGTAAAGAGTTCGTGGTTTTAATCATCTTTGAACTTACCGGTTGAATAAAATACTCTATTTGATTATTCATTGAACATCCAGGTGCTGGTTTTAGCTTCAAGAAGTTTACAACATATTTGGGGAAACTCAGAAGTAAACAGATGATGGCACAGCAAGTCTATAGTAGACGTGTTCACAGAGAAAAAACTTTAAGGCTGTCTAAAGGAGGAAGCACCTGAGCTGAATTGTGAAGCCGTGCAGGCAGAAGCAGTGGGGAGGATGTTCATAGAAGGAGCAGCTAGCACACCGAGGCAGGAAGGAGCACAGCACATTTAAGGATCAACTAGCCTGGCTGGAATGTGGAGTTGAAGGGAAGGACTGGCTAACCACCATGTTGGACAGGATGGAAAGGTCATGCAAAAGAACTCATGGCTCCTTAGCAAATGATCTCATGCAAGATATTCTTTTTCTTTTCTTTTTTTTTTTTTTTTTTTTTGACACAGCATGTCACTCTGTCACCCAGGCTGGAATGCAGTGGTGCAATCATACCTCACTGCAGCCATGACTTCCTGGGTTCAAGTGATCCTCCCACCTCAGCCTCCCAAATCGCTAGGACTACAGGCTTGCACCACCACACCTGGCTAATGTTTTCGCTTTCTTTTTATTTATTTATTTATTTATTTATTTATTTATTTATTTATTTATTTTGAGATGGAATCTCCCTCTGTTGCCCAGGCTGGAGTGCAGTGGTGCAATCTTGGCTCACTGCAAGCTCTGCCTCCCAGGTTCAAGTGATTCTCCTGCCTCAGCCTCCCGAGTAGCTGGGACTACAGGTGCCCGCCACCATGCCCGGCTATTTTTTTATATTTTTAGTAGAGACGGGGTTTCAATGTGTTAGCCAGGATGGTTTCGATCTCCTGACCTCATGATCCGCCCACCTCAGCCTCCCAAAGTTCTGGGATTACAGGCATGAGCCACCACTCCTGGCCCTCATTTTCATTTTTTTAAATAGAGACGGGGGTCTCACTATGTTGCCCAGGCTGGTCTCAAACTCCTGGCCTCAAGCAATTCCCCTGCCTCTGCCTCCCAAAGTTCAGATATTACAGGAATGAGCCATGACACCCAGCCTCATGAATGATTTTTAAACTGACATTATGAGATCTTCAATTTAGAAAGTTAACTCCAGAAAGGAGAATGGTAGTGAGAGGTGAATAACTCAAGGCTGAGAAAAGAAATTAGGAGGCTGTTATAAGAAGACATACAAAAAGTAAGAAGAATCTTGACTAAGAATGTAGTACTGGGGATAGAAAGAGGTGCTTTTCAGAAATAATAGAAATAGCGTTGAAGTATCATAATGACTGAGAAGACATAGGGGACAATAAGTGAGGGCATCACTGATGATTCACAGGTTTCTGGCTTAAGCAATCAGGTAGATAATGATACTACTCCCTGACACAGGGACTATGAAGAACTTAGGAAGAGTTTCATTGTGAGACGCATTGACTTCGAGGTTTCCCTGGGACTTATGAGAAAAAGTGTCCAGTACACAATTATATACACAGGTCTTGAGTTTGAGAAGCAGTTTAGGGCCTGGCACAGTGGCTCATGCCTGTAAATCCCAGTACTTTGGCCGAGGCAAGAGGATCTCTTTTTTTTAAATTATGGTTTTAAATTTTTATGGGTGCATAGTAGGTGTATATTTTCATGGAGTATGTGCGATGTTTTGATGCAGGCATGCAATGTGAAATAAGCATATCATGGAGAATAACCCTATCCATCCCCTCAAGTATTTGCCCTTTGAGTTACAAACAATCCATTTACATTCCTTATTTTTAAATATACAATTAAGTTATTATTGAGGAGGATCATTTGAGCCCAGGAGTTTGAGACCAGCCTGGACAACATAGGGGGACCCTGTATCTACAAAAAAAGAAACAACATTAGCTGGGCATGGTGGTGCACACCTGCGGTCCCAGTGACTTGGGGAACTGAGGTGGGAGGATCATTTGGGTCTCAGAGGTCAAGGGTGAAGTGAGCTGAGAGCTCATCACTGAACTCCAGCCTAGGTGATAGAGAAAGACTCTGTCTCAAAAAAGAAAAAAGAAAGAAAGAAAGAGTTTAGTACTAGAGATGGAAATTTGGGAGCCATTAGCACCTTGGTGGAAGCTAAAGCCATGATAGTTAATAAGCTCATTCAAAGAGCCTGTGGCTAATGAGATGAAGATGGGAAACCAAGGCCACCTGAACAGGAGCTAGACCCTAGCATTGGCTGATATCTGTGACTCTGCATTAAAAATGCACCCAGAAGAAAGAAAAGCCCTGCTCCCTCATATTCCCTAAGTAAGTTTACTTACGGTTCTGCAGTCTTTGTGGGTTTTTGAAGTTCGTTTTGGAATTTTGTGTTTAGTCTTCATTTCATGAAGACTCTACTTTTGAAATTTCAAATTGGCCTAATAAACTATGAGTGAGATGGGGACAGGATGGGGATGAGCAGGTCACCTGATACCAAACACGGCTGGGGACCGAAGGTTTTGGAAAATCCTCATTTACTAAATGGGGCAGTTTTACTGAGATAGAGCCATGGGCATAAGAGATGCGATATTGCTACAGCTAGCATCAGCCCCAACCCAGAAGCTATTATTAGGCATCTTGGTACTTCCTACTTGCAAAAGTTAGTCATCATGATATATTAGTAAAAATTTTAATATGGAGAAAAGAAATGAAGGAAACTTGCATGGTTTGGAATGAGCATTTTAAGGTAAATGAAAAGTTCATATCCTCTTGCGTCTCTGTGTCTTATGAATATTAAATCAGTCACTTACCCTGTTTTGATTATTATCAGGTCTTCCTCCTGATCATCATCTTCCTGATTCTTGGGACTCTGGAACCTGCTGTTTTCCCTTACCTTCCAGAATGTTCTGTTCACTGATAACCCTTGAACAAGTTACTTGACTATGCAGGCAGTATCTGCTCTGTACTAATCAGGACTCTTTGGGATGTAAGTGACAGAAACCCAACTCCAACTAGCTGAGGCAAAAGGGGAAATGTACTGGTTCCAAAAAGCGTGGCTCAGGCATGTTCCCTGCTCTATGTCTCTGCCTGTTTCTGCTGTCAGCTGCCATCTCATCTTCTGGACTGATTTTCTCCACAAAGCAGGAAGCAGCACCACAATTCACATCTCCTGAGTTTGACACCAGAGAATATCTCAGACTTCTCACTAGAGCTGAGTTCAAAACGACTCAGGTAATTCTCTGATTGGCCCAGCCTAGGAAACACGTCTACCCCACAACCACACATTCTATCCAGAAAAATGGTATTTCTAAAAAAAGGTGGAGGGAGGGGAGCAAAATAACAGACACCATTCTGTTGTAGCAGAATTCTCCCTCCATTATCTTGTTCCCCCACAGATCTTCCTGGGTGCCTTATGTATCAGGGAAGCTCTTCCTCTTTTAGAGTCTATTCCCTTTTTACCCTGCTCAATTACTCCTTAAAGGTTTTGTCTGCTCTCAGGCTGGCACGCTTCAATCCTCTCGACTTTAGATCAACTTTAGATGTCATTGCTTCCAGGAACCACATGTGAAGACTTGTCTTCAGATTACCCAGTGAAACCACAGAAGAAATGGAGAGGTCAGAGTTCCAACAAGCAGGATCATCAAGAAGAGAGGATATTTTCTCTGCTGGGTTCATAAGATAGTTTTGCAATCCTACCAAGTAGGGAGGCTGGTGAATTCAAAGAAGACAAATCTATCTATCTTTGTGCTAATTCCGATTTTGAAAAAAACCTATTTAGAGACACATGGCAATTTAAGAAAGCAGGAAACCAAAGAACCTGGCATTCTTGGAACAATAAATAAAAAGCTCCTTAAAAGTTAACAAGGCAAAGATGAATGTGGATTCTAACACGTGAAGTTAGCAGTATTTCATGATTTGGCTCTGCCGGAAGTTATTATACCAGAATAGAGCCAAAATGGAAACTTGCTTTGATCTACAGTTCCCAGTAAAAGAAATCTAAAATTAGACACAGTGTGATCAGTTACAGAGTATTTCTAATGGATCACTGAGCAGATTAGTGATTCAGTTTTGTTCCTTGAATATAAGAAGACAGACTAATGATTGGCTAAAAGACAGACTTAAGAGAATATGACTACACTGAAGACCACTTATCAAAGGTTACATTGGAATACAATTAAGTTGGAAAGTGTATTATTCATTTTAGTCCACTAAATATTTGATTGCTTTTTCTTTCTTATACATATTGCAAATATCCCCTTCAATTATAATTTTTTATAATTTTAATTTTCTTGGCTATGTGGCCTCTATTAGAAGAAACAAAATAAGCAAAGAACTGTTTTTATAATTTATTTTCTAATAGTCAATCTTCTACCAATAAGTAATAATTCAAAAGCTGAATGTATAATATATAATGGTTATGATTCGCTTTACTTAGTTTATTCCTTTTAAATTGGAAACTGTTAAACTTTTACATTTTTTTTCAGAATAAGAAATCATATCTCATGTATATTACCACTAGGTGGCTCAAATGGCTAAAACACCAGTTCATTATACAAGCAGATCAAAACCTTAAATATTTAAAGATTTATCTCTTTCTACAGTTCTATATACTTTAATTTTCTACAAACTTTCACATTATTTATAGATTATCGCTATAATACTACCCATGGTAAACAATTACTTTAATGTAGATCATCAACACATATGCTATTTTTATGAATGAGAGGATTAACAGACACAATGAATGAGTTATGTTACATTTCATCATAAACACGCAATAATAAATTAAAATTTTATCAGCTGACTGAGAACAAAGTATTCAACGGGGTCTAAAGAACCAGAGTACTGGGTTATATTTCATTTTAATGTATCCAGGCATTTCTAGAGATTACCAGCTTTATTTTCTGGCAGTTGTGGTTATTTATGTCTCTTCTCTACGGCAATGTCGCCATGTGGCTCTATGATAGACAGTGTCTTGCAGCCAGAGCTCAATCTCTCTGTAGACTAGAGACTTTGAAAATCAAAGCAGTCTTCCTTAGAGTAAGTTTTGAAATGCAGGACTCTCCAGATACCGTGTCCATCACATTAGCTGGCTGGAGGCCCTTGCCTCTGCCTGATACAAAGAAAACAAAAGCAGAAAATGATTGTTTTCTTCCCAATTTAAAAAGCATCTTATAATTCTGTTTGACTATTCAAGATAGAGCATCAAGGGGGAGAAAGGAGGAGAGATCCTTTCAAGCTGGAAAGGAACGTATTAAGCCTGTAGATTCTGTCAAAAAAAAAAAGGAAAACATAATGGCGTCCTTGGACTAAGAGAGCCTTGTATGTTTTCTAATCAAGAATAATCAATACACATTCCCCTTATTCTGAAGGTATTTTTGTTGTTGTTCTCTATACTTTCTTAGTACTGTACCAACAGAAGCTCTGCCCTTCTAGTTTAAAGGTGAGAACCAATGAAATAAAATCTTAAAGAAAATCTCTTTCGAAGTGATAATTTTTTTTTAAGAGACAAGATCCCACTCTGTCACCCAGGCTGGAGTGCAGTGGCGCCATCACAGCTCACCGCGGCCTGGAACTCCTAGGCTCAAGCCATCCTCCTGCCTCAGCCTCCCAAAGCTCTGGGATTACAGATGTAAGCCACCATGGCTGGCCCTCAAGGTAATGATTTTATCTTTGATTATTTGTCTTTTTAATCCCAAACAACTGAATTTTTCACCATAAAAGTTATTTAATTGGCTCTACCCTGGGGGAGAATAAAGATATATAGAAAAAGCTTAAGGGAGGATTTTTCCAACTCTTGTAACAGACGAGTAGCATTCTCCCCCTAATTTTTATCCTCTGTAGAGGTATTTTAAAAATCTTTTCCTTGGTCATTTATTATTTGTTATTTGGAAGTACATTTAGGAATCTTGAGTTTGGCTTAAAAGAAAAGTATTGATTCTCCCTCAGGGAGCTATAATTCAGTTTCAGCTGCAGTAACAGCAGGTCCTGATATTTTTATATTCATATTCAAGCATCTGACATTTGGGTTTTATTTGAATATAGAGCTGTAAATATAACATGAACCAGTTATCACATAGCTTTTTAATACCGAGATCTAATTAGTTCTTTCCAAGCGTGATGACTATACTCTGTCAAAGTTCTAACCAGTTAGCTTTTGAGAAAGAAATATTATCTTCCCTTACTGTGGCCATGAATAGTTTCCACTGGGTGAGAAAAAAAAACCTCAAATGATAAAAGAGAATTAATAGCTCACATGACTGAATGCTAGAAGTAAGGTTAGTTTCAGGATTGGTTCAGTTCAATTGCTCAACAGTGTCATCCAAGACCAAGTTTAGTTCAACATCTGTCTGCCTTTGGCAATGTCATCTTCAATCCCAGCAGTCCTATTTGGGCTGTCCACAACTACCTGGGCCCTGCCTCCATTTATATCTAAGGATAGAGAAAGAAGCTGCTTTCCCAGTTTTCCAAAACAGAGGACACTTCTTTACCAGAAATTACTCAGCAAACATGGTCTCAGGCTCGCTACCCACCCCTGATGCAATAACTCTGATCAGGGAATAGTTGTCCCTCATTGGTATAGGCTCCACCTAGGTACATGCCCCATCTCAGAAGCCAGGAACAGAATCAGCTCCCCGCAGCAAATGGGCTGTATAAAGGAGGTGTGGATACCTGTGTACGAGGGAGCACTGCTCCTATAGGAGGGAAAAGGAGGAGATATCAGTTAGGGGGTGGGGGTGGCTACTAATACATACATCGCCTGACTATGGATGGGAAACTCTAGAATCAAACTGCCTGATTTTGAACCCAAGTTCTACCACTTATTAGCTCTATTACCAGGTGCAAGGTACTTGACCTGTCTCATCAAGTAACAAGTGGGCCAATGATTTGCTTAATTGCTTATATCATAGGTTTTTTTTTTCTAAAATACAAGGTATTTAGTCAAGCATTTATTACACTCTTTCTTTGTGTGAGGCATGTGAAAAGAATTGGAGAGAACACAAAAGTGAACAAAATGATGTTCTACTTTGAAAGAGCAAGCAATTCAGGAGAGGAAATTAGAGCCCAGACATCATGGTAATAGACAGATGGGATAAGTTACATAAAAAGATATGTTTCCTAAAATGACATTTTTCCTAATTAAATATTCTTTAATAGCAAGCACATCATGTAGTATTTTTCACATCCAAATGAAGTTGACACAATTTTCTGGATATTCATTAATGATAAATGACATTGATAATTTTTTTTTTGAGACGGAGTCTTGCTCTGTCACCCAGGCTGGAGTGCAGTGGCGCGATCTCAGCTCACTGCAACCTCCACATCCCGGGTTCAAGCAATTCTCCTACCTCAGCCTCCCAAAGAGCTGAGATTACAGGCACATGCCACCACATCCAGCTAATTTTTGTATTTTTAGTAGAGACGGAGTTTCACCACGTTGGCCAGGCTGGTCTCGAACTCCTGACTTCGTGATCCACCTGCCTAGGCCTTCCAAAGTCCTGGGATTACAGGCGTAAGCCACCGTGCCCAGCTGACATCAAAAACTAATAATCAGAACAATCAAACTACCAAAAAATAAATAATGGTAACCAACCAAATTTCAACTATAAAGTGTGTAAAATATAATGTTATCCTGCTACACATCTATTAGAATGGCCAAATTCCAGATGTAGATCAATAGGAACCTTCAGTCATTGGTGGTGAAATGCAAAATGGTACAGCCACTTGGGAGGCAGTTTGGCAGTTTCTTATAAAACTAAACATACTCTTACCATGCAATCTCACTCTTTGAAATTTACTCAAAGGAGCTGAAAATTTATGTCCCCACAAAAACCTACACATGGATTTTTGTTTGTTTTTGAGACAGGGTTTCACTCTGTCACTCTGTCACCCAGGCTGGAGTGCAGTGGTGCCACCATGGCTCACTGCAGTCTCAACCTCCCTGGCTCAAGTGATTCTCCCACCTCAGCCTCCTGAGTAGCTGGAACTACAGGCACGCACCACTAGCCAAGTGGCCTAGGCTAGTATCAAACTTCTGGACTCAAGTGATCCACTCGTGCTGGCTTCCCAAAGTGCTGGGATTACAGGCATAAGCCACCGCACCTGGCCCACGTGGATGTTTATAGCAGCTTTATTCATAATTGCTAAAAAACTTGGAAGCAACCAAGAGATCCTTCAGTAGGTGAATGAATAAATGAACTGTGATACATTTAGACACTGGAATATTATTCAGTGCTAAAAAAAAATGAGCTGTCAAGCCATGAAAATACATGGAGAAAACTTAAATGCACAGTACTAAGTGAAAGAAGCCAATCTGAAAAGCCTAAAAAGCTAAAAATGTTTAGTTTTATAAGAGCATGTTTAGTTTAATATACATACTGTATGATTCCACTATATAACATTCTGGAAAACGCAAAACTGTGGATACAGTAAAAAAAACAGTGATGCCAGAGGTTGGGGGTGGGGGATGATTAGGCGGAGCACAGAAAATTTTTAGGGCAGTGAAATTACTCTGTATGATAGTACAATGGTGGATACACATCACCATGCATTTGTCTAAATCCATAGAAGGTATAACAAGAGTGAACCCTAATGTAAACTATGGACTTTAGATGATAATGACATGTCACTGTAGGTTCATCAAGCAACAAAAATGCCACTCCGATGGGAGGTGTTGATAGTGGGGTAGCCATGCACGTGATGGGTGCTGTGAACCTCAAACTACTGTTAAAAAAAAATCTCTAAAATGTGTTTGTGTGTTTGTGTGTGTGTGTGTGTGTGTGTGTGTGATGCTATCAACTCTGTAATATTTGAAATATTTGAAATAAAATAGAGAAGCAGAGGTGAGCGCTATCCAAAAATCATTGCAATCTTCCTTGGAAGTCTTTTGTGCTTAACGGTGTAGGGTGTAAGGATGTGATATTCTATGACCTGTTACCAGATCACAAAATGAACCTCACCGTGAAAACCTAGGAAGTTGTCTTTTCCCAGTCCACACCTGGGTTAGCTCTTTCCTGGGTAAAAATAGAAAGCTTTCCCTTGTTCTAAATAGAGTTTATTCTCTTGGAGCAAAGGTAGTTAAAATTCTGCTTTTCCAAGACCTTTAATGAGTAAACAGTATGTCAGCGAAGTACAATAATTCAGTAACTACCACCCTTAGAGGGCACTATGGTGCCTTCTGTGCCACCCAAGTCAACTCTCTAATGACAGCCCTGCGGAACTGGCTTGCTGGGCCTATTTCTTTCCAAGTCTTAGTCCCCAGAATTTTGAACACCCTGCTTTTTACATGGTTTTCCTTAGTGTTAAAAGAACATAATCACAGCAAGATAACAATTCTACAAAACTAAAAGAACCTAACCAAACTAACACCAGATAGAAGGTACACAGAGTCTTTGCTTAAAAAAAAGAAAAAAGAAAAGAAAAGAAAAGAAAATGACCATTACTCTATGTATTTATAGCCACTGGTAACGTCTTCATATTCCTTTTGAAATGCACTGGTGATTTCCAAACACCCTACCCCAAAGTATGGCACCTTGACATACTGAATATTTCAAGCTGAAGGAATGTGTGAAAACAGCAGAAACAGGAAGGTCTCTCTGGCCTTCATTTGTCCTCTCCTGAAGCAGGGCATAAGAATCTCATGTGAAAGCTACCCACCCTATACCCAGAAAGAAAAAATCTCTGAAGACACAGGGACATGGAAGAATTTGAACAAATAGGTTTGCTAAGTTTCCCCAAGTTTATTACCATTAGATCATACCCTTTTTTCCCACTCATATTTCTCCACAACTGTCCACTCTTGATCAAACCAGCTATAAAAAACCACTCAAGTTTGGCTGCATGTAGTGGCTCATGCCTATAATCTCGGCTGTTTGGGAGGCCAAGGAAGGAGGATCACTTGAGGCCAGGAGTCCAAGACTAGCCTGGGCAATGCTGCAAGGCTCCATCTCAAATAAAAATTTTAAAATATTTTTTAAAAACATTTGAGTTTAACTGTGTCTTTGAATCTTCATTTCCCTATGAAGGCTCCTGTGTCACATAAAACTTACATTAAATACATTTGTATGTGTTTTATTTTGTTAATCTGTCTTTTGTTACAGGGGCCTCAGCCAGGAACCTAGGATGGGTGAGGAAAAGATAGTTTCCTCTCCTACAGCATAAATAAAATTCCCAGGTTGGGAGGGAGAAGAAATGCTATTGAGCACCTACAGTCTTTAGAATGGAATTGTAGCAATGGAGCTAACAGACTTTTCTGCCAGGTTGTGTGATCCTGGGGGACAGAGCCCTGTCTGTTCCTGTTCATGTCTGATATGGTATGGGTCTATGTCTGCACCCAAATCTCATGTCAAATCGTAATCCCCAGTGTTGGAGGTAGGGCTTGGTGGGAGGTGATTGGATCACTGGGGTGGATCCTTCATGAATAGTTTAGCACCGTCTGGTTGGTGCTGTTCTTGTGAGAGAGTTCTCATGAGATGTGGTTGTTTAAAGTGTGTAAAACCTCGCTGCCCCCGCACCCCACCCCTGCTCTTGCCCCTGCTCCTGCTCCTGCTCCTACCGTGTGAGAGGTCTCGCTCCCCCTTTGCCATCCACCATGATTGTAAGTTTCCTGAGGTTCCCCCAAGGAGCCGAGCAGATGCCAGGATCATGCTTCCTGTATAGCCTGAAACACTGTGAGCCAATTAAACTTCTTTTCTTTGTAAATTACCCAGTCTCAGGTATTTCCTTATAGCAATGCGAGAACGGCCTAATACCATGCACTTGCTTCAGTGTGCTGCAGGTTATTACCCACATAAATCTATGCTGAGTCGATTTCACTTTTTTCAGAATGTTTGTAAACTAACACACATTTGATGTAAATAAGAAAACAATGATGTCAAAAATAAAAACTGTAAGACAGAGGTGGTGACTGAGAAAGATGATAACTAAAATGTTATCTCAAGAGGAGAAGGGAGTGGCTGGCCAGGGCTTCCTTAGAGTGAGGACAACAACTTGCACTGGAACCCATTTTCATCCCTAAAAGAAAAATCCACAGTACTGCAGGAATGACAGAGCTGGAAAAGGCTTTTCAGATCCTCTTGAGTCAACCCTCTTATTTTACAGTTGAGAAGTTCATAGCTGAAAGTAACGTGCCTATGTTCTCTCAGCCAATGAGAGATGAAAGCAAGACAATGAATTATTTTATCCTCACCTCACCAATGGTCTCAACTGCTCCACGTGGTGGTGGCCACTTCTCTGGTCCTGGCATCCAGAATAGACCTGGCTTGACAGGAGAGAGGGTTTCTTGAAAAACCAAGCCCCACCTCAGAGTTCATGTCAAAACCACTTGATTACTTCCAGGGTAAAGGTTGCTGGGTCTCTGTCCAGCATCAGTGAGAAATAAGGAGCTGGTGGTGTTACTGCCATTTGCATTTTGCCCAGACGCATGGATATGGGAGACTTCCATACCAGTCCAAAGCCCCTGCCAAGGACAGGCCACGAGGGGGCCCAGTTCCTCAAAATGCTTCCTTTAGGTCTTTCAAGGATTCTTGGCCCCAGAGTTTCCAAAAGACCTAGATGACCGGAAACACTTTGGTGATGTGATGCAAGTCAAATCAGGAGTTAGCACAAGGAGAGATATTCCATGCAAAAGTATAATTCTAGAATCCCGGAGTGAGGTAGGCCTGGCTATCAGCAGAAATCAGTAATCCTATCACACTGCCTAGTCAGGTGGCTTTTTCATGCTACTTCAAATGTGCATGTCAAACACCTACAAACACTTCAGTTGTACAGTAACTACAACCCACAAGATGGTGACTATTTAATAGATGCTAAAGCAAATAAATAAGTGCCTACTGATTCCATTCATGTATTCAATCACCTATTCAACCCTGCATTAATTAGATATTTATCAGCCGGGCACAGTGGCTTATGCCTGTAATCCCAGTGCTTTCGGAGGCTGAGGCAGAAGGATCACTTGAGGCCAGGAGTTCAAGATGAGCCTGGGCAACATAGACTTCATCTCTACAGAAAAAAAATTAAAAATTAACTTGGCATGGTGGTGCGCACCTGCAGTCTTATCTACTCAGGAAGCTGAAGCAGAAGGATTGCTTGAGCTCAGGAGTGCAAGGCTGCAGTGAGCTATGCTTGCACCACTGCATTCCAGCCTGGGTGACATAGCAAGACCCTATCACTTAAAAAAGATATTTATTAAGTGACTCATATTAGAAGCACTGGGCTCGAAGATGGGTGCATAAATGAATAAAAAACCATCCTTTCCTCATGGAGTTCCAGTTCCTGGCAGGGTAATAGAGAAGAAAAACAAATTACTATGACGCAATGAGGAAAGTGGGGAAGCATGACTGCAAGATCAAGGGAGAACAGAGGAGCGAGGGAATCCTCTCTGATATGTGTGGGTGTTCATTCAATTAGAGTTCTCATGCCAAAGACTCACTAGTGGCTCATTTCATAAACTTACAGCCACACAATTTTCTCTCTTCAATGGCAAAACCTCCTAGAGCACTAACTCCAAATTTCCCTGGTTGGTACTTAGTACACTTGTAGAATTAAATCTTGCCTCCCCCTCCCTCATCGTCCTCCCCTTTAACCTATCAAGGCCCCTAGTTTGTCTTGTTAGCTATAAGAAAATGCCCTTGCAAATTAGCAAGATTATACATTACAGTCTGAACTAAATAGATGTGAAATGCTTAGAGTTCAACTCTTCTCCAGTTAACAAGAAGAGCTTTTAAAGACGGCAATCTATATATTTTTTCAAGTTAGAGAATTTTAGAACAAAAGGGGAACTTAGAGGTACCTTGGACCAACTTCTCTGTTTTTAGACAAAGAAACTGAAACCTGTACTAATTGAATATACTAATTGAATTGAAATTGAAATAACCAAGCTCATAAAAATAGTACTAGAAGATACTTACTACCTTAATTATTGTAATCACTGACAAAAATCACAGTCACTACCTCTTAATCACTGAAGATTTTAGACCCAACTCACTGTCTTTCTCCAACACTATTCCTGCCATAATTCTTGGGGATTTTGATACCTAATATAGGTAATATGTTCAACCCATTAGCTTGCCAATGTTTGGCTCTTCGCCAACAAGGATCTTGTCCTCCTTCTCCCCACAGCCACCCACCTCCATGGTCACACCCTAGTTCCTGTCATTACCAACAAATGCATCCTATTCAAATCCCCAGTTTCCAGCATCCTACTCTCCTACCACCAGCTCACACCTTCTTCTACCCTAACACCAACAGCGTTTGACCCTACTGGCTTCTCATTTTTATTGTCCAGGGTTTGGTTCTTAGACCTCTTCTCTACCTGCCATTCCTTTGATGATCTCAGTCTATTAGCTTTTTGGGATACTAGAATATGCCACCCCAAAATATGCCTCTCAAAGGGTTGCTGAGCTGAAGGCAATTAAGAAGCAGTTGCAGGAAAGCACTCTGTCCTCCTTCAATTTGCCTAAAAGCAAAATATAGATTTACAAATACTAAAGATACCCGCCCTCTACATCCCCTTCTATCAGGGAGAACAAAGGCTGACCAGTGGAGATAACTTTAGACCCTTCTGGGCCTGGAGATGGCACCAGGGAAATCTACATTAATAAGCTTTACTCACCAGAGTTTATCTGAAGGTCATTTGCCTTCCTATAAATTGCCACCCATAGAGCATTAAAGTCCTTTTCCTTTGTCTCTTGTCACATCTCTAAAAATGTACTTTTCTTTGTTCAAGATTCTATTGAAGCTCAAATTCAAAGCCACTTTTTTGAGATTTACTCATTCCATGGGTATCTCCTGTGAATATATGAAATAAACATGTTAATAAAGTTCTGTTGTTTTTCTCTTGTTAATCCATCTCTTGTTACACGGATTCATTCCAACAGAGAATTTATGAGCAGCTGGGAGTATCAGTGCTGACAGCTCTTAGCTGAGCCCCTCTGCAGGAATTGCCTGTGGCTAAAAAAAAGCCACCTTGCCCAGTGTCTTAGCCCAATCCAATGACTGGTCAATATGGAGGTATCAATGCCTGGCCCCTTGGCAACCACTTTGAAGGATGATCCAAGCTTCAGAGCTTCTCCAGCATTGCAAGATCTGTGGAGACTCCTATTGCAACTGCATTTCATTCCCTCCACTATTGGTGATAATGAGAGTACATCCCTGTAAACCACCTGCACTCAAATCTCCTTCCCAAAAAACTCAATCTGCAACGTGGGGATAAAGGGAGGGTGAGGTCAATCTTGAGACTCTCAAAATAAATAGGCAGAGGGGGTGACTGTGAGTGGCAGGATGGAGGAGGGCAAGGTCAGGAGTCTTTCTAAGAATCCACATGCTCTGAAGTTCCCTTTTCACCCCAGAACACATAGAATTCTGAGGTTGTACTCATTGTAGAACTGATACTGTTAATATGCTCCAAGGAAAAAAGAGGACAAAAATTAGCCTTTCTGCCCCAAGATCTTGTAGAAGTTTTCATTTTTTTGGTGAATCCTTAACAAAAGCTGAATAGGCACTGTAATAGATTACAGTTGACCCTTGAACAACTTGGGTTTGAACTGAGTAGGTGCATTTATATATGGTTTTTCTTCCACCTCTGCCACCCCTGAGACAGCAAGAACAACCCCTCCTTTTCCTCCCCCTCCCAGCCTACTTAACATGAAGACAACAAGGATGAAGACTTTTATGATGACCCACTTCCACTTAATAAATAGTAAATATATTTTCTCTTTCTTATGATTTTCTGAATAACATTATCTTTTCTCTAGCTTACTTTTTGTAAGACTATAGTATATAATACATGTAACATACAAAATAGGTGTTCATTGGTTGTTGATGTTATTGGTAAGGCTTCCAGACACAGCAGACAATTAGTAATTAAGTTTTGGAGGAGTCAAAAGTTACATATGAAGACCTCAAACTATAAGAACCCTAGAAGAAAGCCCTGGAAAAACCATTCTGGACATGGGCCTTAGGAAAGAATTTATAACAAAGCCCTCAAAAACAATTGCAACACAGCAAAGGAAACTATCAACAGAGTAAACGGACAACTCACAGAATGGGAGAAAACATTCACAAACTATGCAGCTGACAAAGGTCTAATATCTGGAATCTATAAGGAACTTAAACAATTCAACAAGCAAAAACCAAATAACCCCATTAAAAAATGGGCAAAGGACATGGACACTTCTTAAAAAAAGACGTACAAATGGCCAACAAACACGAAAAAATGAATATCATCAGTAATCATCAGAACCATGCAAATTAAAACCACAGTGAGAGACCATCTAATACCAGAATGGCCATTATTAAAAAGTCAAAATACAGCAGATGTTGGTGAGGCTGTTGAGAAAAGGGAATGCTTATACACTGTTGGTGGGAATGAACATTAGTTCACCCACTCAACAATCTCAGTTGGAAGGCATTTGAGAGATTTATCAAAGAACTTAGAATGATAATTTGACCCAGCAATCCCATTACTGGGTATATATCCAAAAGAAAATAAATCATTCTACCAAAAGGACACACACTTGCATATTCATCACAGCACTATTCACAATAGGAAAGAAATTGAATAAATCTGGTGTCCATCAACAGTGGATTGGATAAAGAAAATACAGTGCATATACACCATGGAATTCTATGCAGCTATAAAAAAGAATAAAAGTATGTCCTTGGCAGCAACACAGATGCAACTGTAGGCCATTATCCTAAGCAAATTAACACAGGAACCGAAAACCAAATACCACATGTTCTCACTTACAAGTGAGAGCTAAACATCGGGTGCTCGTGGATATAAAGATGGCAACAATAGACAATGGAGACCACTAGACAGGGGAGGGAAAGAAGATGGCAAGGATTAAAAATTTGTTGGGTTGGTCAGGCATGATGACTCATGCCTGTAATCCCAGCAATTTGGGAGACGGAGGCAGGCAGATTGCTTGAGCTCAGGAGTTCAAACCCAGCCTAGGTAACACAGCAAAACCCTGTCTCTAAAAAAAAAAAAATGCAAAAATTACTCAGGTGTGGTGGTGTGCACCTGTAGTCCCAGCTACTCAGGAACTGAGGCAGGACAATCACTTGAACACGGGAGGTTGAGGCTGCAGTGAGCCAAGATCATGCCACTGCACTCCAGCTTGGGTGACAGAGTGAGACCCTATCTCAAAAAAAAAAGGTGGGAGAGAGGGAGGAATTAGGAAGGAAGGAAGGAAGGAAAAAAGGAAGGAAGGAAGGAAGGAAAATAGGAAAGAAGGAGGGAAGGAAGGGAGGGAGGGAGGAAGGAAGGAAGGAAGGAAAATAGGAAAGAAGGAAGGAAGCAAGGGAGGGAGGGAGGGAGTAAAGAAGGAAGGAAGGAAGGAAGGAAGAAGAAAAAACTGTTGGGTACTGAGAAAAAACTATTCTCAGTACCTGGGTGAGAGGATCATTCATACTCTTAACCTCGGCATCACACAGTATACCCAGGTAACAAATTTGCACTTGTACTCCCGTATTGAAAATAAAAAATTGAAAAAGAAAAAAATGATATAAATGAATTTTTCACTGTGCAGGTGGTCAGCATCCCAAACCCCAATTTGTTCAAGGACCAACTGTATCCTATTGTTAAAGTATTTTCCAGATCTTCCTAGCCAGGTCATCCCTCCCAGATGTTACAAGAAAAGCCTAGGACTATAACATCCCCCTTCCCTAAAATGGGAAGGAACAGAGATACAAAAAAAAAAAAAAAATGACTTCAACAAGTCCAGCTTGGTGAGTAGATGAGTTTATTAGGACTTACATACAGGGTACTCCTAGATGATAGCAGCACAGCTCTAGAGATGAGTGTCGCCTCCCATCTCTCAAATGCTTTTAAGATAATTTTCTGGCTCTTTGCCTACTGTGTTTGGATGATGAGACTGTTTTTCTTGGTAGGTTCTCAGATACTCTCAGTTTGGGTTCCCAGGTACACCTGCTTCTCGGCTGGGCCCTGTGACCTTAGCACACCACTTGGCCTTCAAGATTCAGGCAGCCAGTATAAATCCTTAAGTAACCCGGTGGGGAACGTAGCATGCTATACCAGAAGTCCCTGCGGAGAAATACACTTCCTTCCCCAGGTTTGGCCTTGTGACTTTCTTGGCCAATGAAACATGAGTGAAAGTGACATGTGCCACTTAAGAAAAGTTGTAAGAGCTATTGTGGTTCCACTTTCTCTCTTTTAAACTCTTTACTAAATCAGTAATATTCCAGATAGGGGCTGCTCCTGTAGCCTGCATTCTGGAGTGACATATTGAAACTGACTCTCAAGGATCATGTCATGTGAATGAGAAATAACCCTTTGTTCTAAGCCATTGAGGTTTTGCAATTACTTGCTGCTTCAGTATACTTTAGCCTCAGCATACTAATACAGTCACCTAGAGCAGGGGTCAGCAAATTCTGGAAAGGGCCGGAAAGTAAATATTTAAAGATTTGCAGGCCATACAGCTCTGTCACAACTACTCAACTCTGCCACTGAAGTGCAAAAGCACTGGGAGATAATATGTAGAGAAGTGAGAATGGCTATGTTCCAATAAAACTTTATTTACAAAAGCAAGCAACAGACTAGTTTTGAACCACCAGCCGTAGTTAGCCAACCCCTCATGCAGATACTTAAGTAGTTTGGCTGCTTGCTAAAAACTCTACAGGCAATTCCCTAAATCCATATCTTCTCTAATTTTACCTGCCCAGTATTAGTTCTCTAAGTTTTGCATTAAAGATGACAGAGAATGAACTTCGTTATATAAGTTTGTAGAGCCTATTTATTTAAGTCTTTAGTGGATGAAAAGGCATAGGATGTCAGATTTAATATTTCTTGATGGAAAGAAGAAAAAAAAACTAGAAATGATATCTCCAATTGCACACTCTTCAAAAGCAGTTGAGAAGACATGGAGGAAGAGAATCAGGGAGAAAAGACAAAAAGCTGAATTAAAAAGGGGTAAAAAGAAGAGAAATGGAAACGTGAAGAGAAATAATCCATCTGTGAGAGAAAATTGAATGAAGCTGGAATTCCTGTATCTGGCTGTTTTCAGCACCAAGGCCAGATAGCATGCTTGTTCCTCTACTGCCACCCTCAGTTCTTTCAGGATTCTGTCTCTACTGTTGAAATTTGCACTAATGGTTTAAATTGCCCAGGTTGCAGCTCCAAGGAGCGCTTTTTCCATTTTTTATTTTAGCTACACCTTGCTAAAACCCACGGAGGTTCAAGAATGGTAGGACTTGAATAAATGATTTTGAATGGCAGAGGAAGAGGACAAATCAAAGACAGAATAAACTGGGGCCAAGGTTAGTGTTGGGAGTGAGGAGACACTGAGCAGAGGTGGGGATTCCGGGAACAGGGAGTTTGGAGACCGTCTATTTGTGTCAATTATGGAGCTGAGTCTGCATGTGGCTGCAGAATTCCACAAAAGTGCTAAAGTAAATCCATAGATATTAATGATGACTGGGATCTGGAAGTGTAGCATACAGGCAAAATTATGGAACAAACAGCTCTGGGGAGATATGGGCCTGGCTGTGACTCCTGCATTTTATCACACTTTGTCTTGGAATCAGGGGTAATAAGATCACAGAAATATAATTTTTTCACCTATTAGCGAAATTCACTCTGTCATTGCATTATGGTTATACATTCAAGAGTCCATCTACATTGAAAGCAATTTGAAGCAAAAATAAGTCTTTTTCATCCTTCTAAACCCAGTACTCATTAAAGTAGCTTCCTAAGAGTGAACACTCAGTGAAGTCACGTTAAATTGAATTGTTTCTTTTCAATGGTAAAAATAAAAATTTTCAAAATGTGGGAAGATGTCAATTCACTGGAGTGAAGATCAAGAACACTTTGTCCCTGCAAACTCTCAGAGCTTGCCATCTATTTTCCATGCCTCCAATCTAAAGCTATCCTTCATTTCCATTCATTGTTTGAATTCCTATACTCATCAATGGAGTTCAAAGCAAATGGTCAAGGCTTTGCTCTAATCACTGCAGTTATAAGATGCATTGTTTGACCCGGATCCCAGCCTGAGATTCAGACTGCAGCCACTATAAGTCTTTTCCAGTTGATATGTTGCCTGAGAGGAGACTGACTGAACATGCAATATCCATTGTCACCCTCCTGTGACATCTTCTCTGGGCAAATCAGCCTTGGTCCAGCAGTGGAAGATGGAGCATGCACTTTCTAGATGTCAATTATGATATACAATATCTAAGCCATTCAGAAGATGAAATCCTTTTGCTTCTGAAAATAAGACTGTACATATTAGTAGGGGCTAAGTTGTCACAGTAATAAAAAGAAAACAAAAACCAGGAGAATCAAGTGGAAAAGTTTGCTTCAAGAAACAGCTACACCAGGCCAGGCATGGTGGCTCATGACTGCAATCCCAGCACTTTGGGAGGCCAAGGTGCGAGGATCACTTGAGCCCAGGAGTTGAAGACCATTCTGGGCAACATGGGGAGACCCCATCACTACAAAGAATAAAAAAACTAGCCAAGCGGAGTGATAATGTGCCTGTAGTCACAGTTACTCGGGAGGCTGAGGAGGAAGGATCACTTGAGCCGGGGAAGTTGAGGCTGCAGTGAGACGTGATGATGCCACTGCACTCCAGCCTGGGTGACAGAGTGAGACCCTGTCTCAAAAAAAAAAAAAAAAAAAAAAAAAGAGGAAAGAAAGAAAGAAAGAGAGAGAGAGAGCAAAAAGAAGGAAAGAAAGAAAAGAAAGAGGGAAAGAGAAAGAAAGAAGGAAAGAAAGAGAGAGAGAGAGAGGATGGAAGAAGGAGGTGAGGGAAAGAAGGAAGGAAGGAAGGAGAAAGGAAGGAAGGAAGGAAAGAAGGAAGGAAGGAAGAAAGAAAAGAAAAGAAAAGAACTACACCTTACATTGTGTAGTATGGGGGTAATAAGAGGAAGGAGCTACTCTTGCTCTGTTCCTAACTAAAGAATACCTAAGCTTTGCTTTTCTCTTGTGGTTGAGGAAACTTTACTTGGCAAACCAGCAAATCTCTTATTCCTTAAGTCTGAGGTCACTTCTTCCAGGACCACCTTTCTGACCCTCTCCCCAACATTCCCAAGGTTGGCTACACGCTCCCTCTCTGTCCACATTGACCTCATCATATTGTATTAAACAGATTTATTGACTCCTCTGACTCCTGCACCATCCTGTAAATTTCTTCAGGGCAGGAACCATTTCTTAATAGCCTCTGTCACTTCAACCCAAGCACCTAGTAGATTCTTATCAAGTGTTTGTAAATGAATTCGTCATTCATTGATGGTTTGTGAGTCAGATAAACCACAAATTCAATTCTAAGAAAGATGGCACCATCTCAGACCTGCTAGTCAACTAAACCATGGGAAAAAGCAAAACAGCCCAACAGGCTTTTCCATTGTCGTGGGCTGTGTGGGGGTCCCATGGACATCTCAGGCATTAGGGAAAGAAAGTCAGAGAGGCCACACAATGCAGCCACGGACATTGATTGTCCTCCTGTCTTCATACTCCTGGGGTGTCCCTTGGAGTTCCTGAGCCACCTCACAATAGTTTGGGACCACAGGAAGAGCCATTTGGAGATTGCTTGTGTGCCAGCTTGCTTCAAGATCACAGTGACCTTGAAACAAACTTTTTTTTTTGAGACAGAGTCTCACTTTGTCGCCCAGGCTGGAGTGCAGTGGCGCCATCTTGGCTCACTGCAACCTCTGCCTCCTCGGCTCAAGTAATTCTCTGTCTCAGCCTCCTGAGTAGCTAAGATTATAGGCACCTGCCACCGTGCCTGGCTAATTTTTTTGTATTTTTTTTTTTAGTAGAGATGGGGTTTCACCATCTTTGCCAGGCTGGTCTTGAACTCCTGACCTTGTGATCCGCCCGCCTTGGCCTCCCGAAGTGCTGGGATTACAAGTATGAGTCACCATGCCCAACTCAAACTTCTTATAAATTCTGTTGACTCAAAGAATAGTTGTATAATCCTTATACCTAGAGAGCTCTTTAGACATTTAAAGGCATAGAAACGTTCTGGTATAGTCATATTGATAGACAGGACTAGCTGGATTTCCTGGGCAGACTAAGAATCCCTAAGCCTAGCTGGGAAGGTGACTGCATCCACCTTTAAACACGGGGCTTGCAACTTAGCTCATACCCGACCAATCAGGTAGTAAAGAGAGCTCACTAAAACGCTAATTAGGCAAAAACAGCAGGTAAAGAAATAGCCAATCATCTATTGCCTGAGAGCACAGGGGGAGGGACAATGATCAGGATATAAACCCAGGCATTCCGGCCAGCAATGGCCACCTGCTTTGGATCCCCTCGCTTTGTATGGGAGCTCTATTTTCACTCTATTAAATCTTGCAGCTGCACACTCTTCTGGTCCATGTTTGTTACGGCTGGAGCTGAGCTTTCACTCGCCGTCCACTACTGCTGTTTGCCTCTGTCGCAGACCCGTCACTGACTTTCACCACTCCGGATCCGGCAGGGTGTCTGCTGTGCTTCTGATCCAGCGGGGCGCCCAATGGGATAAAGGCTTGCCATTGTTGCTGCACAGTTAAGTGCCTGGGTTCGTCCTAATCGAGCTGAATACTAGTTGCTGGGTTCTACGGTTCTCTTCCGTGACCCATGGCTTCTAATAGAGCTATAACACTCACCGCCTGGCCCAAGATTCTATTCCTTGGAATCCATGAGGCCAAGAATGCCAGGTTAGAGAACAAGAGGCTTGCTGCCATCTTGGAAGTGGCCCACAACCATCTTGGGAGTTCTGAGAGCAAGGACCCCCCGGTAACAATATGATGTGAATTATTTGGTCAATTCTGATTATTTCTTCTCAAGACAATGCTTTGCTTCAAACCCCGTTTGTGGTGACCTTTCAGAAGGGTGACAGGACACAGGCATTACTCACAGCACAGTAGTTCCCTCTTATCCACAGGGGATAAGTTCCAAGACTCCTTGTGGATGCCCGAAACCCTTAGTAGAACCCAATCCTATATATGCTATGTTTTCTTAATACACACATCCCTATGATAAAGTTCAATTTATAAACTAGGCACAGTAAGGGATTAGCAACAATAGCCAGTACACTATTTGTGCTTTGGGATCATTATTAAGTGAAATAAGGGTGACAAACACAAGCAATGCGACAACAGGACAGTTGATCTGACAACCGAGACAGCTAAGTGACCAAAGGGATCCGCTGGACTGAGGGATGAGTCACACCCTGAGCAGGATGGAGCAGGATGACGCAAGATTTCATCATGTTACTCAGAACAGCGTGACATTTAAAACTGATGAATTGTTTAGTTCTGGAGTTTTCCATTTAATATTTTCAGATTGTGGTTGACCAAGGATAAACGAAACCACAGAAAGCAAAAACTAAATATGCTGGGACTACTGTATTCTTGCTTTCTCTCTCTACCAAATCAATAAATGTGAACTGGCGTCCATGTGCATTCTCTTACTGAGTTAACCAGGCTTGCAGATTTCCGGAACATTGGTACAAATAACAGGATATTATTTCTAAGGGAGCAAAACAAACATACACATGAGTTCATTTTGTATAAGTATAGATATATCCATTGTATATGTATAAGTATAGATATATCCATTGATTCTTCTCTTGAGTCATAATTACTTGTTTAAAAAATAAAATAAAATCAGATTCAAGTTGCAAGTCCTTGGTACTCCACTAAGCTACATATCCATTTAGAAAAGAAGAAGAGGGCTAATTGGGGGATACATTTCAAGACAGCCGAATAGGAACAGCTCCAGTCTACAGCTCCCAGCGTGAGTGACGCAAAAGACGGGTTATTTCTGCATTTCCATCTGAGGTACCAGGTTCATCTCACTAGGGAGTGCCAGACAGTGGGCGCAGGACAGTGGGTGCAGCGCACTGTGTGCGAGCCGAAGGAGGGCAAGGCATTGCCTCACTCAGGAAGGGCAAGGGGTCAGGGAGTTCCCTTACCTAGTCAAAGAAAGGGGTGACAGACGGCACCTGGAAAATCGGGTCACTCCCACCCTAATACTGCACTTTTCCAATGGGCTTAAAAAACGGTGCACCAGGAGATTATATCCCGCACCTGGCTCAGAGGGTCCGATGCCCATGGAGTCTCGATGATTGCTAGCATAGCAGTCTGGGTTCAAACTGCAAGGCGGCAGCAAGGCTAGGGGAGGGGCGCCCGCCATTGCCCAGGCTTGCTTAGGTAAACAAAGCAGCCGGGAAGCTCGAAGAGGGTGGAGCCCACCACAGCTCAAGGAGGCCTGCCTGCCTCTGTAGGCTCCACCTATGGGGGCAGGGCACAGACAAACAAAAAGACAGCAGTAACCTCTGCAGACTTAAATGTCCCTCTCTGACAGCTTTGAAGAGAGCAGTGGTACTCCCAGCACGCAGCTGGAGATCTGAGAACAGGCAGACTGCCTGCTCAAGTGGGTCCCTGACCCCTAACCCCCGAGCAGTCTAACTGGGAGGCACGCCCCAGTAGGGGCAAACTGACACCTCACACGGCCGGGTACTCCTCTGAGACAAAACTTCCAGAGGAATGATCAGACAGCAGCATTCATGGTTCACGAAAATCCACTGTTCTGCAGCCACCGCTGCTGATACCCAGGCAAACAGGGTCTGGAGTGGACCTCTAACAAACTCCAACAGACCTGCAGCTGAGGGGTCCTGTCTGTTAGAAGAAAAACTAACAAACAGAAAGGACATCCACACCAAAAACCCATCTGTACATCACCATCATCAAAGACCAAAAGTAGATAAAACCACAAAGATGGGGAAAAAACAGAGCAGAAAAACTGGAAACTCTAAAAAGCAGAGTGCCTCTCCTCCTCCAAAGGAATGCAGCTCCTCACCAGCAATGGAACAAAGCTAGACGGAGAATGACTTTGATGAGTTGGGAGAAGAAGGCTTCAGACGATCAAACTACTCTGAGCTACAGGAGGAAATTCAAACCAAAGACAAAGAAGTTAAAAACTTTGAAAAAATTTTAGACAAATGTATAACTAGAATAATCAATACAGACAAGTGCTTAAAGGAGCTGATGGAGCTGAAAGCCAAGGCTCGAGAACTACATGAAGAATGCACAAGCCTCAGGAGCTGATGCAATCAACTGGAAGAAAGGGTATCAGTGATGGAAGATGAACTGAATGACATGAAGTGAGAAGGGAAGTTTAGAGAAAAAAGAATAAAAAGAAATGAACAAAGCCTCCAAGAAATATGGGACTATGTGAAAAGACCAAATCAACGTCAGATTGGTGTACCTGAAAGTGATGGTGAGAATGGAATCAAGCTGGAAAACACTCAGCAGGATATTATCCAGGAGAACTTCCCCAATCTAGCAAGGCAGGCCAACATTCAGATTCAGGAAATACAGAGAACACCACAAAGATACTCCTCGAGAAGAGCAACTCCAAGACACATAATTGTCAGATTCACCAAAGTTGAAATGAAGGAAAAAATAAGGGCAGCCAGAGAGAAAGGTCGGGTTACCCACAAAGGGAAGCCCATCAGACTAACAGCTGATCTCTCGGCAGAAACTCTACAAGCCAGAAGAGAGTGGGAGCCAATATTCAACATTCTTAAAGAAAAGAATTTTCAACCCAGAATTTCATATCCAGCCAAACTAAGCTTCATAGGTGAAGGAGAAATAAAATACTTTACAGAAAGCAAATGCTGAGAGATTTTGTCACCACCAGGCCTGCCCTAAAAGAGCTCCTGAAGGAAGCACTAAACATGGAAAGGAACAACTGGTACCAGCCACTGAAAATCATGCCAAATTGTAAAGACCATCAAGGCTAGGAAGAAACTGCATCAACTAACGAGCAAAATAACCAGCTAACATCATAATGACAGGATCAAATTCACACATAACAATATTAACTTTAAATGTAAATGGACTAAATGCTCCAATTAAAAGACACAGACTGGCAAATTGGATAAAGAGTCAAGACCCATCAGTGTGCTGTATTCAGGAAACCTATCTCACGTGCAGAGACACACATAGGCTCAAAATAAAAGGATGGAGGAAGATCTACCAAGCAAATGGAAAACAAAAAACGCAGGGGTTGCAATCCTAGTCTCTGATAAAACAGACTTTAAACCAACAAAGATCAGAAGAGACAAAGAAGGCCATTACATAATGGTAAAGGGATCAATTCAACAAGAAGAGCTAACTATCCTAAATATATATGCACCCAATACAGGAGCACCCAGATTCATAAAGCAAGTCCTGAGTGACCTACAAAGAGACTTAGACTCCCACACGATAATAATGGGAGACTTTAACACTCCACTGTCAATATCAGACAGATCAATGAGACAGAAAGTTAACAAGGATACCCAGGAATTGAACTCAGCTCTGCACCAAGTGGACCTAATAGACATCTGCAGAACTCTCCACCCCACATCAACAGAATATACATTTTTTTTCAGCACCACACCACACCTATTCCAAAATTGACCACATAGTTGGAAGTAAAGCTCTCCTCAGCAAATGTAAAAGAACACAAATTATAACAAACTGTCTCTCAGACCACAGTGCAATCAAACTAGAACTCAGGATTAAGAAACTCACTCAAAACCGCACAACTACATGGAAACTGAACAACCTGCTCCTGAACGACTACTGGGTACATAACGAAATGAAGGCAGAAATAAAGATGTTCTTTGAAACCAACGAGAACAAAGACACAACATATCAGAATCTCTGGGACACATTCAAAGCAGTGTGTAGAGGGAAATTTATAGCACTAAATGCCCACAAGAGAAAGCAGGGAAGATCCAAAATTGACATCCTCACATCACAATTAAAAGAACTAGAAAAGCAAGAGCAAACACATTCAAAAGCTAGCAGAAGGCAAGAAATAACTAAAATCCGAGCAGAACTGAAGGAAATAGAGATACAAAAAAACCTTCAAAAAATTAATGAATCCAGGAGCTGGTTTTTTGAAAGGATCAACAAAATTGATAGACTGCTAGCAAGACTAACAAAGAAGAAAAGAGAGAAGAATCAAATAGATGCAATAAAAAATGATAAAGGGGATATCACCACCGATCCCACAAAAATACAAACTACCATCAGAGAATACTACAAACACCTCTAAGCAAATAAACTAGAAAATCTGGAAGAAATGGATAAATTCCTCAACACATACACCCTCCCAAGACTAAACCAGGAAGAAGTTGAATCTCTGAATAGACCAATAACAGGCTCTGAAATTGTGGCAAAAATCAATAGCTTACCAACCAAAGAGTCCGGGACCAGATGGATTCACAGCCGAATTCTACCACAGGTACAAGGAGGAGCTGGTACCATTCCTTCTGAAACTATTCCAATCAATAGAAAAAGAGGGAATCCTCCCTAACTCGTTTTATGAGGCCAGCATCATCCTGATACCAAAGCCGGTCAGAGACACAACCAAAAAAAGAGAATTTTAGACCAATATCCTTGATGAACATTGATGCAAAAATCCTCAATAAAATACTGGCAAACCCAATCCAGCAGCACATCAAAAAGCTTATCCATCATGATCAAGTGGGCTTCATCCCTGGGATGCAAGGCTGGTTTAATATATGCAAATCAATAAATGTAATCCAGCATATAAACAGAACCAAAGACAAAAACCACATGATTATCTGAATAGATGCAGAAAAGGCCTTTGACAAAATTCAACAATGCTTCATGCTAAAAACTCTCAAAAAATTAGGTATTGAAAATGGCCATACTGCCCAAGGTAATTTATAGATTCAATGCCATCCCCATCAAGCTACCAATGACTTTCTTCACAGAATTGGAAAAAACTACTTTAAAGTTCATATGGAACCAAAAAAGAGCCCGCATCGCCAAGTCAATCCCAAGCCAAAAGAACAAAGCTGGAGGCATCACACTACCGGACTTCAAACTATACTACAAGGCTACAGTAACCAAAACAGCATGGTACTGGTACCAAAACAGAGGTATAGATCAATGAAACAGAACAGAGCCCTCAGAAATAACGCCGCATATCTACAACCATCTGATCTTTGACAAACCTGAGAAAAACAAGCAATGGGGAAAGGATTCCCTATTTAATAAATGGTGCTGGGAAAACTGGCTAGCCATATGTAGAAAGCTGAAACTGGATCCCTTCCTTACACCTTATACAAAAATTAATTCAAGATGGATTAAAGACTTAAACGTTAGACCTAAAACCATAAAAACCCTAGAAGAAAACCTAGGCATTACCATTCAGGACATAGGCATGGGCAAGGACTTCATGTCTAAAACACCAAAAGCAATGGCAACAAAAGCCAAAATTGACAAATGGGATCTCATTAAACTAAAGAGCTTCTGTACAACAAAAGAAACTACCATCAGAGTGAACAGGCAACCTACAGAATGGGAGAAAATTTTCACAACCTACTCATCTGACAAAGGGCTAATATCCAGAATCTACAAAGAACTCAAACAAATTTACAAGAAAAAAACAAACAACCCCATCAAAAAGTGGGCAAAGGACATGAACAGACACTTCTCAAAAGAAGACATTTATGCAGCCAAAAAACACATGAAAAAATGCTCATCATCACTGGCCATCAGAGAAATGCAAATTAAAACCACAATGAGATACCATCTCACACCAGTTAGAATGGTGATCATTAAAAAGTCAGGAAACAACAGGTGCTGAAGAGGATGTGGAGAAATAGGAACACTTTTACACTGTTGGTGGGACTGTAAACTAGTTCAACCATTGTGGAAGTCAGTGTGGTGATTCCTCAGGGATCTAGAACTAGAAATACCATTTGACCCAGCCATCCCATTACTGGGTATATACCCAAAGGACTATAAATCATGCTGCTATAAAGACACATGCATACGTATGTTTATTGTGGCACTATTCACAATAACAAAGACTTGGAACCAACCCAAATGTCCAACAATGATAGACTGGATTAAGAAAATGTGGCATATATACACCATGGAATACTATGCAGCCATAAAAAATGATGAGTTCATGTCCTTTGTAGGGACATGGATGAAATTGGAAATCATCATTCTCAGTAAACTATCGCAAGGACAAAAAACCAAACACCGCATATTCTCACTCATAGGTGGGAATTGAACAATGAGAATACATGGACACAGGAAGGGGAATATCACACTCTGGAGACTGTTGTGGGGTGGGGGGAGGGGGGAGGGATAGCATTAGGAGATATACCTAATGCTAAATGACGAGTTAATGGGTGCAGCACACCAGCATGGCACATGTATACATATGTAACTAACCTGCACGTTGTGCACATGTACCCTAAAACTTAAAGTATAATAATAAAAAAAAAAGAACAAGAGGGCTAATTGCTTTCAATGGGTAGTATGCTCATGACAAGATTACCAAAATTCCAGCACCATTTACACTCTTTCTTGTTTTGTTTTAAGAACATATTTTTAACAGGGAAGACACACACAGCATTGATTATCATTTTTGTGATTCAAACATCAGTTTGTTTATCCTTTGGCTGAGAGAGAGAAATAGGTCAGTAGTTAACATGCTGAAATCTGAAGCGTATCACATGCTGTTGTGCAAACAGTAGACATTCAGTAAGTACCTGTTGAAAGGGTAAAAACATTTTCAGTAAAGAGTAAGTTGTTTTCCTGAAATTACAGTTTAATGCAGTCAAAAGCACAATACTGATTTTAAAGTGAACATATTATATGTTTATAAAGTAAACATTTATATTCTACTCTGTAATTGTTTAGTTCTATTACTGTTTAAGTCATTTTCTTTCTAAGCCAAGACTTTTATCTGATAGCCAAGCTTGCAGAATCAAGTAAATGGACTTCCCCTTCTGCCAATGAGGGAGTTACCTAACCCTTTACAGGGAAAACCGGAAAACGTTCCTGCTATAAAACAAAATGTAGTAAGGTAACAGGTCTACAGTGGCCAAAAGTGATGAAGAAACTTCAGCCAGAAAGGTAAGAATGAGCTGGTAATGCTAGACAGTGCTACAGGGTTTTATTTGTCTTTGCATACAAAAGGCTACGATCTTAATGACCACATGAGTAACAGTTGAGGCCTGGAGTCTTTCTGAGAAAAAGGAGATGCAGCTGAGGCTCCTGAATCAAGAAAGGCGCCCTAAAGTTTTTCCCCTCTACAAAGGGTATACTAAACACTGCCATCCAAAAGAGGGAAAGAGGCTGGGTACAGTGGCTCATACCTGTAATCCCAGCACTTTGGGAGGCCGAGGTGGGTGGATCACTTGAGGCCAGGAGTTTGAGAGCAGCCTGGGCAGCATGACTAAACCCCATCTCAAAAATACAAAAATTAGCCAGTCTCTTAATCCAGTCCCCCAAATAAATAAACACATAAAAGAGGCATAAACTACTATATTCAATTGTCTGGAGATATGTAAGCCAAAAACCTAACAACAAAAAAATTGCTGCCAAGCTGGTAATATCCTTGGTAGAAGGAAATTAAAATCTGTTCAGGAGATTGTACAAGATTCCCACCCAAAAAACCCGCTTAAGTTCCCCTTTCAAAATCTGCAAACAAAGAAGGAAACTCTAATCAAATCGATCTACACAACACATGATGGGAAGAACTCAGGTAATAGAATTATCACAGATTTTTTTTAAGTATGTTTAAATTAAGAGAAAAGAAAAATCGGATATCTGTAAAACTAATGACCCATAGAAAAGGATTAAAAGATTTTATTAAAGGCTAATAAGGACTAAAAAGAAAAAGATTTGAAAAAGAAAAATAGAATTTATGTAAATGAAAAATGTAGTTATTGAAACTAATGCTCAATGGAAATGTTAAAGAGAATATTAGACACAGCTGAAGAAATAATAAGCGTTAACTTAAATCTAAGGAAATTGCACAGAAGGCAAGATAATCAGTGAAAAACACCATGAAAAAGAAGTTAAGAAACGTGGAAACGAGAATTAGAAGGTCTAATGTAGTTCTAATATGAGTTTTAGAAAGAGAAAGTAGAAAAAAATTCGGGAAAAAGAATTCAAAGAGACAATAATATCTTAAGTTTTCTCAGAAATGACAATAACTGAACGCTCTTAGTTTCAAGAAGAAAAGCCCAAACAGGATTAACAAACATTTTCCCATTCCCAGCATAGGAAATTTGCATTCAATAAGTTGTGCTACAATAATTGGTTGTTCTTTTGGAAAAATAAAATAAAATGAGGTCCCTATCCCACACAGTTTTCAAAATTCAACTGCAGGCAGGTTAAAAGCTAAATGAAGAAAACAAAACATTTAAAACATTAAGAAAAATATTGGAAAATAGCTTTATGCGGTCTCACGGTATGAAAAATTTTATAAAACAGAAAAATGTTCAAATAACGAATGTTTTGTTAATTGAAAAATAACTTTTTTTTTTTTTTTTTTTTTTGAGACGGAGTCTCGCTCTGTCGCCCAGGCTGGAGTGCAGTGGCACGATCTCGGCTCACTGCAAGCTCCGCCTCCCGGGTTCACGCCATTCTCCTGCCTCAGCCTGCCGCGTAGCTGGGACTACAGGCGCCCGCCACCACGCCCGGCTAATTTTTTTGTGCGTTTTTTTTTAAGATAGGCTGGAGTGCAGCGGCATTCCCAGGCTCAAGGGAGCCTCTCACCACAGCCTCCCCAGTAACTGGGACTACAGGTGCATGCCACAATGCCTGGCTAAATTTTTTTGTATTTTTTGTAGAGACGAGGTGTCACTATGTTGCCCAGGCTGGTCTTGAACTGTTGGGATCAAGCAATCTGCCCACCTCGGCCTCCCAGAGTGCTGGGATTACAGGCATGAGCCACCGTGGCCAGCCTAAAAGATGGCATTTAAAAATCAAAACATAAGCCACAGATTGGGAGAAAAAAGATTCATGACCAAATATTATAAAGAACTCCTATAAACCATTAACAACATAAGCAACCTAAGAAATAAGGAAAAAAGATATAATTCTCAGAATAAGGAACCTGAATGGCCAGTAAATACATAAAAAGATGCTCAACGTCAGTTACAACCAGGGAAATTCCTATTGAAACAATAAGTTATTCCATTCACACTCAGCAGATTGGAAAAAATACAAAATTCTGATGATACATTTTAGTGAGAGAATCAGCAAGGGAACACTGCTAGTGGAGCCTATAAATTGGTATTAATACAATCACTTTAGAGAACAATTTGGCCACATCTAGTGAAGATGGGTGTACCCTATAACCCAGCAATCCTATTGCTACATATATATATTCCTAAAGAAATTATTTTCTAAGGACATATGGATAATTGGAAAATAATATTTAATACAATATTTTTGAAACTGAAAAAAATTTTGAAATCAATCATTCAATATAAAAATGGCTGAAAGATGTTTTGATTTACTCACCCAATGAATAACAACCATTGGTGAAAGTGAATAGAGCCAGATCTGTCAACATGGATAAATCTAAAAAACATATTGCTGGCTGGGCGCGGTGGCTCACGCCTATAATCCCAGCACTTTGGGAGGCCAAGGTTGGTGGATCGTGAGGTCAGGAGATCGAGACCATCCTGGCTAACATGGTGAAACACTGTCTCAACTAAAAATATAAAAATAAAATTAGCCGGGCGTGGTTGGCAGGTGCCTGTAGTCCCAGCTACTCCGGAGGCTGAGGCAGGAGAATGGCGTGAACCCGGAAGGCGGAGCTTGCAGTGAGCAGAGATCGTGCCACTGCACTCCAGCCTGGGCGACACAGCGAGATTCTGTGTCAAAATAAATAAATAAATAAATAAATAAATAAATAAATGAAAATAAATAAAAAAGACATATTGCTAAACAACAATAAAAGTGTTTTTGAACGTTTTGAAAGAAAGGGTATGTATACTATGATACAATTTATATAAAAATCAAAGCTGGAGAGGGGTTGGGTACAGTGGCACACGCCTGTAACTCCAGCACTTTGGGAGGCCGAGGAAGCCGGATCACTTGAGGTCTGGAGTTCGACCCTAGCCTGGCCAACATGGTGAAACCTTGTCTCTACTAAAAATACAAAAATTAGCAGGGCATGGTGGCGCCTGCTTGTAATCCCAGCTACTCAAAAGGCTGAGGCAGGAGAATCACTTGAACTCAGGAGGCAGAGGTTGCAGTGAGCCGAGATGGTACCACTGCACTCCAGCCTGGGCAAAACAGGAAGACTCCATCCCAAAAACAAAACAAAAAATAGGAATGGCTGAAAAATTTTTGGATTTATTCACCCAATAAATAGCAACCATCAGTGAAAGTGAATGAAATAGAGCTAGATCTGCCAAAATGGATATCTAAAAAATACATTGCTAAATAGCAATAAAAGGGTTTGAACTCTTTGAAAGTAGGGATATATATATTAATGATACAATTTACATAAAAATTAAAACATGCCAAAGATAGCATAATTTTTAAGGCTATGTGTGTGTGTGTGTGTGTGTGTGTATATATATATATATATATTATAAAAATTGGAGATGAGGGGCTGGGCACGGTGTCTCAAGCCTGTAATCCCAGCACTTTGGGAGGCTGAGACGGGCGAATCACAAGATCAGGAGTTCAAGACCAGCCTGGCCAATATGGTGAAACCCTGTCTCTACTAAAAATACAGAAATTAGCCGGGCATGGTGGCAGGTGCCTGTAATCCAAGCTACTCAAGAGGCTAAGGCAGGAGAATTATTTGAACCTGGGAGGTGGAGGTGGAGGTTGCAGTGAGCCAAGTTCACGCCATCGCACTCCAGCCTGGGTGACAGGGCAAGACTCCATCTCAAAAAAAAAAAAAAAAAAAAAAAAACTGGAGAGGGAAGGAGGGTGGGAGGTAGGTTTCACAAGGGGCTTCAATTATGGTTGCAATAATCTTCTTATATCAGATGATCAGTACATTAGGTATTGATAATACTATCACCTATACTTTTTAATGTATCTATAATATGTCATAATGTTGAAAACTCAAAAATATCCAAATATCTTTAAATACCCATGTTCTTTTTTCTTTTAATGAAATACATGCTATGGTGAACCATAAGCACATCCCAATACCCATGTCTTTTAAGATGAAACTTTAAAACACTTTCTAAGTTGTGCTGAACAATAGGCTGGTATATATACCTGGGCCTGGTGAAAATCTCCGGAACAAAGAAGATACTTCTGCAACTGCTTGGGTTATTAGTAAATGAACCATTTCTAACTTTAAATGATTTGATATTGAAAAAATATATGTTATAAAAAATAATGAGATCATGTCTTTTGCGGGAACATGGATGGAGCTGGAGGCCATTATCCTTAGCAAACTAACGCAGGAACAGAAACCAAATACCGCGTCTTCTCACTTATAAGGAGCTAACTATGAGAACTCATGGACACAAAGAGAGTAACAAAAGACACCGAGCCCTATGTGAGGGTGGAGAGTGGGAGGAGGGAAAGGATCAGAAAAAATAACTATTGGGTACTCGGCCTAATACCTGGGCAACAAAATAATCTGTACAACAAATCTCCATGACATGAGTTCACCCATATAACAAACCTGCACATGTACCCCAGAACCTCAAATAAAATACATTACTTATATTAAGGAAATTTGGGGGTTATGCATTTAGATTACTTAAATCTTCCAGGTCCCCACCCTGCAATGGTAAAATAGAAATGGAACATTTTAAACAAATTTACTTGAGAACCTATGCAGGCTTCTCCCACAGAGAAGGGAAACACTTTTCCACCTAAAATATTTACGAAGCCCAGTATGCAATGTATTTATGTATGTAGATATTTTCTCTTTTCATCGTAAAAAGCATTTCAAATAGCTGAATCTATATAGTAAATATAATGAATTCAGGTTCTTGGGGTAAGACAAAGAATATTAGAAAATCCCACAAGAAGTTTACAAAATAATTCACAAAACCTTTCATCCAAAGGTGAACACTCAGTGAACACTCTTGAACACAAAAAGCTTACAAAATAACTTACAAAACCTGTCATCCAAAGATGACAGGTGCATGTTTTCCAGATACAGAATATCAAGATATTTAAACAGCTGACTGCTAGAAATATACAGGCAGCAAATCACACCAGCCTCTGAATCATATCCATGAGCTCATTTATATTTGCCCTAGCGTTTCTCCAGTCACTAATGGAGTCAGCATTAATCTTTCTTGATGGTCATTTTGTCATTCCTAAAATACATTTTAAAAACCACAATTGGGGCTGGGTGCAGTGGCTCACGCCTATAATCCCAGCACTTTGGGAGGCCGAGGTGGGCGGATCACGAGGTCAGGAGATCAAGACCATCCTGGCTAATACGGTGAAACCCCGTCTCTACTAAAAATACTAAAAATTAGCTGGGCGTGGTGGTGGGCGCCTGTGGTCCCAGCTACTCCGGAGGCTGAGATAGGAGAATGGCGTGAACCCGGGAGGCAGAGCTTGCAGTGAGCCGAGATTGCACCACTGCACTCCAGCCTGGGTGACAGAGCGAGACTCCATCTCAAAAAAAAAAAAAAAAAAATCACAATTGTGCAATTTCACAGCAACCTCATAGTCCCATATTAGTAATTTACTTTGCATGCCCTCTCTCCACAGTTGCTAAGCAATTTGCTTATAAATGTCATGAAGCAATGTTGCCAAATGCCTAGCGAATATTATCAGGATCATATCTGGAAAGTGACCCTATTCAAAGTATTACTGAGCACTTATTAAATCAGCTATTGTCAATAACAGAAGAGTCCCAGATAATACTTATTTTGAACAGTCTCGCCGTGTTCAGACCAATCCTGCATAGACTAGAATTAAAACCTTTTACTTCCATGAAGTCTCAGGAGCCCAGGAGGTTTTCTGATGAACTGGCTTAAAGTTTGGGAGTCTTCAGAAAGTAAATAACAGCAAAGCCTGTTTCAAGTCAATTGGGACAGTAGGGGTCAGACCAGAGGGAATGGAGCCCAGGGAGAAATCAACTGTCACAGTGGCTTCGGGGTCACTAGATCCAATCTATTCGAGATTGTTACTGAGTAGAAAAGGTCTCTGGTTTTGCTTTTGTAACGGGTATGTAAGAAATACGTTAGCAGCCCTAGAGTAAGTCAACTTCTTAGTGATTGGGGTCACATCAATCAAATACGACATCAGAGCTTGAAGGTGCTCTAGAGGCTCAGCCAGCAGTCTCATTTCATAAAGGGCAGAATGTCGCTCCAGGGAGGCCATGTGACCTGCCCAATTAAAGTAAAATCATAAAGCAATCAGCAAGGGTGCTGACGGCAGTAACAGGCTTTTCTGGGCCCCTCACTCCCCACCCCCATGCTCACCCAGACATGATGTGATGTGGCCATGAGAAGCATCTCACCTGCAGGCTGTAACAGCCAAATGACAGACGCCCAAACTGGAAACAGTGACCATGGCAACATTTCTAAATATACACCTGGAGGAGGCATTGCAATTCTTTGAGTAAAGAGGTTGGTTAAGAAAAGTATCTGACTACACAGGCTTAAAGAGGTAAACAACATGTTTTTTTTTTTTGTTTTTTTTTTCCCCCATTTGGATATGTGAAATGAGAGCCTGGAAAAGAAGTAGCATCCCTTGGCCGGGTGCGGTGGCTCACGCCTGTAATCCCAGCACTTTGAGAGGCTGAGGCAGGTGGATCATTTGAGGTCAGAAGTTCAAGACCAGCCTGGCCAACATGATGAAACCCCATCTCTACTAAAAATACAAACATTAGCCAGGTGTGGTGGCACATGCCTGTAATCCTAGCTACTCAGGAGGTTGAGGCAGGAGAATCGCTTGAACCCAGAAGGCAGAGACTGCAGTGAGCTGAGACCGTGCAATTGCACTCCAGCCTAGGCGACAGCGCAAGAGTCTCAAAATAAAAAAAAAAACAAATGTATCATCCTATTTAATGTTAGACGGACCCTGTGTCTGGAGTGGAAGAAAGCAGCATCCTTCAAAGGCTGCCCAGGCTGGGGCTTGTGCTCAGAGATGACAACAGGTTGAAGGCAGATGTGGGCTGCCCCTGCCTTCCCCTGGCCACACACTGGGAGACACCATGTCCACGGGAAATGCCCTCCTAAGCAGACAGATAAATCTTGGTCATGGTGCACCCCTCCTGGGCAGCTTCCTTTGCCCCAGTGCCATGAAATCTGACTCTGAACTGCCAAATTCACCCAGTTTCAATCGCCTCCACTTTTCTGCCACTCTTCGCTGACAGCTTCATGGAAGATGGCTTATTCTCTCTTCCCTCTTAGGTAATAAATGTGTCACTTTAATTGGTGGACTGCTCTATGGTAGGCACTGTTCTAAGGGCTTTACGTGTATTAATATTTACTCTTCATGACAGCTGTAGGCTGGGCATGGTGATTACACCTGAAATCCCAGCACTTTGAGAGGCCAAGGTAGAAAGATTGCTTGAGCCCAGGAGTTCGAGACCAGCCTGGGCAACACAAGGAGACCCTGTCTCTATTTCATACTATAAATAAGTACTTTTAAAAATTCTATTAGGTGGATACTACTATTATTCCCATTTTATAGATGAGGAAACAGACCAGAGAGATTATGGTACCAAATATATATTTTAGTAGTGGGTTCTAGTGGTCCAGGAGATCATTTACCTGTTTAGTGTGTAACCCAAAGCAATAGTCTAATATTTGGGATTTCTTTCAGGAGATTTACAGGGAAAAGGATGGTGTCACTACTGGCTTATAAATGACCAAATGGGGGAAAAAAAAAATAGAACTGCTGATAGTCCTGTAATCTTGTAGCTGTAAAATTCACCTATGTGCAAGGTTGACTTTGGGGGAAGTCTGAGTGTCTGTCTACTCTTGAGTTCTCATGTTGGTAAAGAATAAAAAGAACACAGCTTAGCCAGGTGCAGTCACACACGCCTGTGATCTCAGCACTTTAGGAGGCCATAGCAGGAGGATTGCTTGAGCCCAGGAATTCAAGGCCAGCCTGGGCAACACAGTGAGACCCATATCTCTACAAAACATTTTTTTAAAGTAGCTGAGCATGGTGGTGCACACCAGCAGTCCCAGTTTCTTGGGAGGCTGAGGTGAGAGGACTGCTTGAGCCCAGGTGGTCAAAGCTGCAGTGAGCTGTGATTGCGCCACTGCACTCCAGCCTGGCTGACACAGCGAGAGCTTGTCTCTCTCTCTCTCTCTCTCTATATATATATATATATATATAAAATACATATATATAATACAAATATATATATAAACATATATATTCAATTAAATAAAAGAAGAGCATAGATTCACATGTACTTTTATACTAATCCTCAGGGAGAATTTCCAGCAGTTTTGAAAATGTAGCTAGAATATTCTTCAGAAAAAAAATCCATAAATCACTTCGAAAATCTATTTCAATTCAGAGAAATCGTGTGATAGAAACAATTTCATTTCCCTTAGATACTGATTAGTATCTCAGTAATGTGTTAATTACTTTATAACCTGCCAGATTCTAAAAAGAATTTTAGCTACATTAGGTTCAGGTTTAATATATTATTCACTCTCTTAGCTCTACCTGTTAAATATTTGGGAGTTCAGTAATAAATCAACTAAGAATCTTTTGTAGTCATACTGGAGAAAACAAAAATCTATAGTCATTTATAAGTTATCTCCACAGTAACTCCAAAATAAAAAGATACAATAATGAGTTTATAGCAGGAATGGAATAATATTTTACACAACCTTTTATGTGAACCCATATGAATCAATAACTTAATATTTCATTATTTCATTTATTTTGGATCATTAGCAAAACACTTCAAGCACTTAAATATAATAGAGTTGATTTTCTCCATGTTAAGCATTTTAAGAACTTGAGCTCATCGGCTCTAAAGCTTAAACTAAAACTGAAAGTCAGTTAAGTAATGCTTTTACCAGCACCTTCCCCATCACAGATCACACACACACAAGCAGAACAGAAGTAAGTGGCCCAATCCGGCTTGATAAACGAGAGGAAAACCGGTTCTTATATAAGAGACAATGCACACCTCACCCAGTTACATAATTAAGCATATTTGGCAGGAGAAGTCTGACAAGACTGGAATACCCTGCTTGTTTGTAAGTGTTCCGACAGATGTAGGGATGGGAAAAAATCTATCAAGAGACATCAGTTCAATGTAGTCCAAAACCTTGAAGCAACATTTTAATGGCCCACGTCTGAATAAACAACCCACCAATCTGCATGGGTGTCTATGTAAGGGAAGCTCTTAATCCTCAAGGTATCATTCTATTGCTTTTTTCCTTTTTAAAGTCTCTCTCTGTCTCTGAGACAGGGCGAGACTCTGTTGTTCAGGATGGAGTGCAGTGGTGTGATCATAGCTCACTGCAGCTGCGACCTCCCAGGCTCAGGTGATCCTCTTTTCATTTCATTCATTCATTAAATGAAATGAGTCAATGAAGGCATCAGCCTGCCAAGTAGCTGGAACCACAGGCACACACCATACCACCGGGCTAATTTTGGGGGAATTTTAGTATAGCCACGGTCTCACTATATTGCCCAGGGTGGTCTCAAACTCCTAAGCCTAATGGGATCCTCCCACCTGGGCCTTCCAAAATGCTGGGATTACAGGCATGAGCCATGCCCGGCCAAACTCAACCTTTTCAAAAGCGAGTCTTCACTTACTGCTTCTCCTTCTTTGCCCTCTGCAGTTGGGGGACTTGCATTGATAACCAAAATGCTAAAGATTTTCGTTTCAGACCTCAAATCTAAGTAGCCCTTTCTGAGTTTTCATCCCACCTGATCTCTTTGCAGTATGTGACACTCTGCCTAACTTCCCTTCTCAAACCCTCATCTGCAGATAAAATAGAAAGTTTAGAAACAAACCAGCTGGCGTTCAATTTAAGGCCCAGACAATTGCAGTTTGGGAGTGTCCTCGCGTAAGTCACGTAACCTTCTGAATCTCAGTTTCTTTCATCATCTATAAAAATGAGAATACTATTCCCTGCCCTCAGGAGACTGGTATGGATTAAATGAAATGAGTCAATGAAGGCATCTATCATAAGGTAATCAACAAGTTGTTAGCTTCCTTTCTCTCTGCAGCCCTGTTCTTGTTCCTGAGTGTTGGTCCATAATTTTTATTTCCCTTCAGCATAGCTCCACCTGAACTTCCAATTCAATTTGGACAAAGCTAAACTAACACATTCTTCCACTCCTGCCTGCACTCTCCAGTAGCTAAAGTGGGGCTTATAGCCTTAACCCCCTCCCCATCACCTGAGCCAGCATTCCATGTGTTATGAAATTAAATGGGGATATATGACCTAAGCACTTAGGACCGGAACATCTGTGAGGGATCCTCTCTCTGTGTCTATTAGTCACAGAAACTTTCCAGCATTCAGGCAAGCCTATGCAGAGCATCTTTCTGAATGTTTCATGGTTCTCAACCGGACGTGGTGGCTCACACCTGTAATCCTAGCACTTAGGGAGGCTGAAGCGGGTGGATCACCTGATGTCAGGAATCTGAGACCAGCCTGGGCAACATGGCGAAACCCTGTCTCTACTAAAAATACAAAAATTAGCCAGGTATGGTGGCAGGCACCTGTAATCCCAGCTATTTGGGAGGCTGAGGCACAAGAATCGCTTGAACCCAGGAGGCAGAGGTTGCAGTGAGCTGAGATTGCACCACTGCACTCCAGCCTGGACAATAGAGCGAGACTCCATCTCAAAAACAAAAACAAAAACAAAAATAAAATAAAATAATGGTTCTTAAAGTGGGGTCCCCAGGCCAGAATAATCAGCATAACCTAAGAACTTGTTACGAAGGCATATTTTCAGCCCCTCCCAAGGTCTACAGAGTCAGAAACTCAGGGTGGGAGCCAGCATCTTCCAGGCATTTTGGATGCATACTAAAATTGGAGATCCACTGGCATAAACAACCTGTTATCTTGGATCTTAGGAGAAGACAAATATTTATATATTAGTGTACATGAACATGAGTAATCTCATTCAATCAGTACAAAACAATTTATAAAACAGAAATTATCTTAGTGTATATTATTATTTCATTATAATAAGTTCATACAAATCTTGATACTATGAAAACTAAAAATATTCCCATTTCATATCCATGAACACAAAATATTTAGAAAAAGACTGAAAAGTTACCTGTCTTAACACTGTGAAAAAACAATTTGTAAGAAACAAAGGTAACATACATAACAGATTCCTACTTAAGCCTATTATGTAACAATTTTTAAAAAACTAACTTTAAGAATGGGAAGGCTGTACTTGTTTTACATTAACTTGAAACATCTTCTCTTGGTCTAACTAGCTTGTGATACAAATAATCAGTGTCATTTCAAAGTCCAGGATATGCAGAGAAAAAACTTAGCAACTTAAATATACTGCATTAATTACTGTCTTCAAAGATATTAAGTTAAAATAATTAGTATATAGAATGTCTCTTGAGACTCAGGAAATGTCAGATCTACTTGTCACTAGTAGAACAAGGAAACATTAACAAGACAGATTTTGTGTGTTTGTTTGTTTTTGTTTTTAAGACAGAGTCTTGCTCTGTCGCTCAGGCTGGAGTGCAGTGGTGTGATCTCGGCTCACCGCAACCTCCACCTCCTGGGTTCAAGCAATTCTTGGGCCTCAGCCTGCCAAGTAGCTGAAATTACAGGTGCACGCCACCATGCCTGGCTAATTTTTTATTTTTAGTAGAGCCAGGGTTTTGCCATGTTGGCCAGGCTGGTCTCGAACTCCTGCCTTCCAATGATCCACCTGCCTCTGCCTCCCAAAGTGCTGGGGTTACAGGCATGAGCCATCATGCCTGGCCAACGAGATAGATTTAAATTAAAGAGCTGCAAATTCCTTCACAAGATAATAGGTCATAAAACAAGAGCCAAAGCAACATCATCAGTGAAAGCAACATGGGAATGTTGTGTGGGGCACCACCAACCACAGAAACACCCACAGCTCTGCATGCCCAGGTACATCCTTGGTCCCTAACAAGGCTGGTTTGCAAGGCTGACCTCAGTGACTCACACCTGTAATCTCAGTACTTTGGGAGGCTGTGGTGGGAGAGTCACTTGAGCCCAGGAGTTCAAGACCAGCCTAGGCAACATAGTGAGAACTTGTCTCTACAAAAAATGAAAAAATTAGCCAGGTGTGGTGGTGCATGCCTGAGGTTCCAGCTACTTGGGAGGCCGAGGTGAGAGGAAGACTTGAGCCCAGGAGTTTGGGGCTCCTGTAAGCTATGATTGTATCACTGTACTCCAGCATGGAAGACAGAGGGAGACCCAGTCTCTGAAAGAAAAAAGGATTGGGGGAGAGCTTGTTTGCTCCCAGCCTCCTTCATGCAGCCCTTATCTGTTCCTTCACTGGAAATGCCCCTTGAATCTCATTCCTCAGAGTTTACTAAAAAGTACTTCTAGCGTTAGAGAAAAGCCTTCAACCTCATCCAAGCTCGCTTTCCAAGTTTCATGCTCCAAGGATTGAACACTCCCTATGATGACTGACAGCAGGTACATCTATTTCCTTTAGGAGAAACCCTTTTAGCCCCAACAAAAGTAGGTGATTTGGCCAGATGGTCTCTAAAACACAATCAACCGATAATCAGTCAGCAACCAATGGTTTAACTTGAATTCGTTACAGAGTATGTACCAACAATTGCCCAGTGCAGTTCAGACTGCAAATCTTAGTTTAATTTATTTTAAATCTCATCACAAGAAGAATTCAAAAATTACTAGAGTTCAACCTTATACAGCATTATATTTATGTATGTATTTAAAATAACCTGAAAAATGTGTACCAAGTTTTTAGTAGTTGTTTTATCTGGTTGGTGGATTTTAGGTAGTTTTTATTTTTATTTACCTATAATTTTTTTTACCTTTTTACAATGAATAGCCATTTTTAGCTAACCAAAATTTTAAAAGTTACTTGAGCCCAGGAGTGTGAGGCTGCAGTGAGCTATGTTTGCTGCTGCACTCCAGTCTGGTGGCAGAGTGAGACCCCGCCACCAAAAAACAAAATAAAATAATATCAAAAAGAAAAGTATGGGCTGCGAGTGGTGGTTCATGCCTGTACTCCCAGTGCTTTGGGAGGCCGAGGCCGGCGGATCATGAAGTCAGGAGATCGAGACCATCCTGGCTAACATGGTGAACCCCTGTCTCTACTACAAATACAAAAATACAAAAAATACAAAAAATTAGCCAGGCGTGGTGGCAGGTGCCTGTAGTCCCAGCTACTCGGGAGGCTGAGGCAGGAGAATGGCATGAACCCGGGAGGCGGAGCTTGCAGTGACCTGAGATCCCACCACTGCACTCCAGCCTGGGCAACAGAGCGAGACTCTGCCTCAAAAAAAAAAGAAAGAAGAGAATTATTATCTAGCTTTTTTTTTTTTTAACAGTCTTGCTCTGTCACCCAGGCTAGAGTGCAGTGGCGCAATCTTGGCTCACTGCAACCTCTGCCTCCTGGGTTCAAGTGATTCTCGTGCCTCAGCTTCCCGAGTAGCTGGGACTACCTGCGTGTACCACCACACCAGCTGATTTTGTATTTTTAGTAGAGAAAGGGTTTTACCATGCTGGCCAGACTGGTCTCAAACTCCTAACCTCAGGTGATCTGCCTGCCTCCATTTCCCAAAGTGCTGGGATTACAGGCATGAGTCTCTGTGCCCAGCCTCTCTAAGCTTTTTATAGGATACTCTGGAGGGGGTTGATGCTATAAGCAAGGAAGTGAAGTTAATAGTAGAGAAAGATTGGAGACCTGAAGTAAGACCATATGGATGAAAAGATACTTAAGAGGCTAAATTAACGGGAATAGATGACATATTTGGATATAAAAGTAGTAATTGGCAGGGCACAGTGACTCATGCCTGTAATCCCAGAACTCTGGGAAGCCGAGGCAGGTGGATTGCTTGAGCCCAGGAGTTCCAGACCAGCCTGGGCAACAGCATCTCTACTAAAAATACAAAAATTAACTGGATGTGATGGTACATACCTGTAGTCCCAGCTTCTCGGAAAACTGAGGTGGGAGGATTGCTTGGGCCCAGGAAGTCAAGGCTGCAGTGAGCTGAGATCAAAGCACTGCACTCCAGCCTGAGCAACAGAGCAAGATCCTCAAGAAAGAAAGAAAAGAAACATCGATGGAAGGAAGGAAGGAAGAAAGAGAGAGAAAGAGGGAAAGAAAGAAAGAAAGAGAGAGGGAGGGAGGGAGGGGGACAGAGAGAAAGAAAGAAGAAAGAGAAAGAAAGAAAGAAAGAAAGAAAGAAAGAAAGAAAGAAAGAAAGAAAGAAAGAAAGAAAAGAAAGAAAGAAAGAAAGAAAGAGAAAGGAAGGAAGGTAGGAGAGAGAGGGAAGAGAGGGAGGGAGGGAAGGAGAAAGAAAAGGAGGGGAGGGGAGGGGAAGGGAGGGGAGAGGAGAGGAAAGAGGAAAGGGAAGGGAGGGAAGGGGAGGGGAGGGGAGGGGAGGGGAGGGGAGGGGAGATTAGTGTTCAGAGATGACCCCCACGTTCCCAGCTTAAGAACATAAACTAATGGCACTACCTTCAACCAAGGTAGGAGAGGCAGGAAAATAGTGTGTTGCTGGGAAAAATTATGAGTTCAATTCCAGACACGTGGGGTCTGGCGGGGGGCGCCTGAAGGATAGTCAAGCAGAGAACACTAGTAAGAAGTTGGATTTGGAGCTCAGGAGAAATGTCCGAACAATGATTCAGATTAGGAAGTCATCCCTAAAGTTATAGCAGAAGTCGTGGTTGTGGATGAGGCTGCTGGAGAGAATGAAGAGAGAAAAAGAACAAGACACTAGCAGAAAGGAATTCCAAGGATCACCAACATTTAAGGCAGGAGCAGAAAACAAAAAGCTCAAGAAAAGTTTTTCCAAGAAAGAAAAAACAACCCAAGAGAATGGAGTCACAGAAATAAAGGGAATGATGGCAGCTGCTCTCAGTGCCTACTTCCTACAGCTCAGTGCTATGCCAGGAGCTTTACTCATCTCACCTGTAGCCATTCAGCAACCCTACAGGGAGGGCATTGCTGTCTCCTCTTATAGAGAAGGAAACTGACATTTGTAGAGCACAAGAAATTTTCCCAGGATCACACAGCTATTAAGGAATAAAGAAAGGATCCAAACTCAGCCTTGCTGACTCCAAAGTCTGTGCTCTTTTCTCTCATCATCATCCTGCTTTATTAGAATGCATTGTAAATTGCTGTATCTGTCAACTGGTCTACATCCAGGTGAAATCTAGACCCTTGGCTTCCTTGACACAGTTCTTCAAACAACAGAACTGATAGGTGGTGGGGTCCTTTTAGTACAGCCATGCTATTGTTAAAATAGTGGAACATAGCACAGCTTTCTGAATATTTTACTTCCATCCCTTCCCAACTACCCTGGCCCCCCTTCCAGGACCCCCCTCCTCATGATCCAGCAATCTTCTCTAGCACTAAGACCAATGCCTTGTTCTGTTTGGTTGGCACCCATGCCCTTCAGATTGTTAAATATTACCACCACAAATAACTGCGTGAGCCAGCTACGCATTTTACATCTTGATAATATATACAGTAAGCACTCATAGGAAACACCTCTTATCTCCTTAATATTTGGTCAAATCATGTATTTTGATGATACAGCTTTTCTTTCTTACTTAAAAAGTAAGACTAATGGAAAAATTGAATTATAAACAGTCATTTTAGAGATCAGTATTCATCACTTAAACAGCCAAAAGAATATGAAGCCTTTTGATGGGCCGAGTAATTCCAGGACATTCCATTTGAACAAAATGGTGATAAACATTTGCAAATGGATTAAGAGAGCACCAGCTAGAAATCACACAATTATGCAGATTTAAAAAGGTAAGATTTTTAGACATAGTCATCATAGATATTTTATAGATGGTGGAAAAAATTAGTAAAATACTATGCTGAAAATAAATATAGAAGATCATACTTAGTTTCTTAAGCAGTCACTTAATTTCTCTGTGGTTGGCAGATTGTGATGCAAGAAAAAATTCTGAAACCATGTCTTCTCTCAAGAGACAGTAAATTTCAAGATAAAAAGATTATGTAGAAAAGGATTTTCAAGTCTTTGTGTTTGGATTTTTTAAGAAAACAAAGCATTCTAAAAGTACATTTTGTTATTTCTGCTAACATTGTAACAGCTGGATCCAAGATATATAATTATTTTGTCTCCTTCAAACAAATACATACCAATTTTATTCCTTATTTTTCAGTAAGATTGACATGGGTGATTCCAGATTTACACTAAGAATTACACAAGGAAGACTGGGTGCAATGGCTCACGGCTGTAATTCCAGCATTTTGGGAGGCTGAGGCAGGAGAATTGCTTGAGGCCAGGTGTTCCAGACCAGCCTGGGCAACATAGTGAGTTCCCATCTCTACAAAAATTTGTTTTAAAATTTAGCCAGGCATGATGGCATATGCCTGTAGTCTTAGCTACTAAGGAGGTTGATATGTGTACTAGTTCATTTTCAGGCTGCTAATAGACATACCCGAAATTGGGAACAAAAAGAGGTTTAATTGGACTTACAGCTCCACATGGCTGGGGTTGCCTCAGAATCATAGCGGGAGGTGAAAGGCACTTCTTACATGGTGGTGGCAAGAGAAAATGAGGAAGAGGCAAAAGCAGAAATCCCTGATAAACCCATCAGATTTCATGAGACTTGTTCACTATCACGAGAATAGCATGGGAAAGACCAGCCCCCATGATTCAATTACCTCCCCCTGGGTCCCTCCCATAAAACGTGGGAATTATGGGAGATACAATTCAAGTTGAGATTTAGGTGGGGACACAGCCAAACCATATCAATATGGGAGGATCTCTTGAGCCTAGGAAGTCAAGGGTACAGTGAACCATGATCATACCACTGCACTCCAGCCTGGGTAACAAACAGAGAGAGGCCCTGTCACAATTAAAAAAAATTATTCAGGAAGGACTTAATTGATCTCACTTTGGGCCACAAGTAAGTGACTAAATGATTGACTGGGGATCCTCATTTCCTGGCTCAATTAGTCCCTCCTATAATCACATGCCATCTAAACAAGTTATGTCGTTCTTTAAAGAAGTGAAATTATCAGCCCAAGAACCATGAACAAATGTAAATGTGTCTGCGGCCAGTGAAGCTCAGCAGGAAATCAATCATATAAAAATATCAAAGAGGCTGGGCATGTGGCTCATGCCTGTAATCCCAGCAATTTGGGAGGATGAGGCGGGCAGATCACCTGAGGTCAGGAGTTCAAGACCAGCCTGGCAAACAACATAATGAAACCCCATCTCTACAAAAATGCAAAAATTAGCCAGGCATGATGGCAGGTGCCTGTAATCCCAGCCACATGGGAGGCTGAGGTGGGAGAATTGCTTGAACCCAGGAGGCGGAGTTTGCAGTGAGCTGAGATCACACCATTGCACTCCAGCCTGGATGACAGAGTGAGACACCTTCTAAAAACAAACAAAAAACAAAGGAAACTTGACCTAAGTTTTAATATGTTGTTGTTGTTGTTGTTGTTGTTGACTTTTTTCATGATGCAGCTGATAATACTAGACCTAAAAGAGAGTTCTCAATGAAAATAGAAGCCAGGCACAATGGCTCACTCCTGTTATTACTCCAGCACTTTGGGAGGCCAAGGAGAGAGATCACTTGAAGCTAGGAGTTTGAGACCTGGGCAACACAGCAAGACCCTTTCTCTACAAAACAAAATTTTTTTTATTAGCCAGATGTGATGGTGAGTGCCTATAGTCCCAGCTACTCAGGAGGCTGAGGCACAAGGATCACTGAAGCCCAGGAGTCCAAGGCTGCAGTAAGCCATAATCACTGCACTGCACTTCACCCTGGAGGACAGAGCAAGACACTGTCTCAAAAATAAAAATAAAAATAAATAAAAAGTGAAAATACAAAAGCAATCTCAAAACAAATGAGTTTGGAGGTGGAAGAATAAGTGATGGTAGAGAGTATTTAAGTCAAACATGCCTATGAAAACAAAAGGACACAGTAGGTGCCAGGTATATATAATTACTGCCACAAATTTCTAACAAAAAATTGAAAGAGAGGGAGAGACTTGGCAGTACGTACAGAGCTATCCCCAGATTTGACAGATTAATTATGCATGTTTTTCTTTGGGTCTTAAGCTTTAAAGTACAAAAGAAAAATGCCCTAAGAGCCAACTTCCATTATAAAATCAGGATGCATTATAAAATCAGGATTTAGTGTTATCAGAAGATAACACTAAAAGGCTTTTTGGAAATCGAGGGATACAAAGAATGGCTGGGTCTGCATTAGCACAGGACAGTAGAGGACAATGAATGCTGCACTTCCAGAATTCTATGACTTTTTTCTAACTCCAAGATCTTTCCACTGTTGTATTCTCATTGGCTGACTCAGACCACAGGAGGATGTATTATTTCTTTTTTTCTTTTCTTTTTTTTTTTTTTTTTAGAGACAGGATCTCCCTCTGTTGCCCAGGCTGGAGTGCCATGGTGTGATCATAGCCCACCGCAGCCTCAAACTCCTGGGCTCAAGCGATCCTCTCACCTCAGCCTCCAGAGTAGCTGGGACTACAGGTACATGCCACCATGCTCGGCTAATTTAAAAAATATTTTGTAGAGACAAGGTCTTGCTTTGTGACTCAGTCAGGTCTCGAAATCAGAGATTTGTGATTTGTGCTTGCATTTATTTATTTAATGCTTTTTATTTTATTTTTTATTTAGATTTCTAAGGTCATGACCTCTCCGAGACATTCACATCACTCAGGATCTATTAATGTTTCACTGATAAGCAGATCCTTTGTAGAAATCGCACATCTTTGTATTGGTATCTAATGTATTTTCCTCATTCAACATACACATGACAATGCATATCCAGCCTCTCAGTGTCTTTCCTTATCCAAAGTAGAAGCCTTAAAATATGCCTTTGACCTTTCCATTCGGTATTCCATGACCCTGTTTCTCTGCTTCCTGGACCCTGTTTCTCTGATTGCTGGTGCTTTCATTGCCTTTCCACAGCTATTCCCCTCACCTGGGGTGCCCAACTAGCCAGTTATGCAAATCCTCTCTATCCCTCAGGCATATTCAGTTGTCACCTCCTGCCGAGACTCAACTTCATCATCGATAACTGGGGTTAATAATATTTGTCTTTTAAGGTGGGTATTGAAGCACTAAAATAAATAACACACTTATGAGTTCAAAACCTTGTCTAACAGGGAAGTCATTCACAAATTTTAGATACTTCTCTTCTGAACTTCTAAACTTATCTATACATGACCTTGGCATGTATCACATTATTTATATTAGGGATATTTATGTACCTATTTTATCCCTACCATTAGATTTTAAGTTTATTTTATTTATTATTTTAAAATTTTTTTTGTAGGGACAGGTTCTCACCATGCTGCCCCAGCAAATCTCAAACTCCTGGCCTCAAGCAATCCTCCCACCTTGGCCTCCCAAAGCAAGATTTTAAGTTTCTTGAGGACAGAATTTGCTTGATTCATCTTGGTTTCCACTTAAAGCATAGCAAATGTAAGCACAAAAGTAAATGTATAAATACAGCATTCAGGAAATAAGTCACAGGATCAATTTTATCTGCAACACTAAGAAGTGAATCAGGCTGGGCACAATGGCTTCTGCCTGTAATCCCAACAATTTGGGAGGCCGAGGCAGGTGGATCACTTGAGGTCAGGAGTTCAAAACCAGCCTGGCCAACATGGTGAAACCCAGTCTCTACTCAAAATACAAAAATTATCCAGGCATGGTGGTGAGAGCCTGTAGTCCCAGCTACTTGGGAGGCTGAGGCAAGAGAATCACTTGAACCTGGGAGGTGGAGGTTGCAGTGAGCCGAGATCGCGCTACTGCACTCCAGCCTGGGTGACAGAGTGGGACTCTCTTTCCAAAAAAAAAAAAAAAAAAAAAAGCTTCTATTAAAAAAAAGAGAGAGACCAGGTGCGGTGGCTCACGCCTGTAATCTCAGCACTTTGGGAGGCCAAGGCAGGCGGATCACGAGGTCAGGAGATCGAGACCATCCTGGCTAACACAGTGAAGCCCCGTCTCTACTAAAAATACAAAAAAATTAGCCGGGTGTGGTGGTGGGCACCTGTAGTCCCAGCTACTCAGGAGGCTGAGGCAGGAGAATGGTGTGAACCCGGGAGGCGGAGCTTGCAGTGAGCCGACATCGCGACATTGCACTCCAGCCTGGGCGACAAAGCGAGACTCCATCTCAAAGAAAAAAAAAAAGAAAAAGAAAAAGAAAATAGCCGGGGGTGGTGGCAGGTGCCTGTAGTCCCAGCAGTGACTCAGAAGGCTGAGGTGAAAGGATCACTTGAGACCGAGAGGTTGAGGCTGCAAGTGAGCCGTGATCATGCCAATGCCCTCCAGCCTGGGCAGCAGAGTAAGACCTCGACTCCAAAAACAAAATCCCTTTAATGAAATAATGTGATGTCTGGGGCTTGCTTTATGATAATGGTGGGGCAGAAGATAGAGGATATAGAGAGAACAAGATTGGACATGTGTACATGAGGGTTCACCTTAACTACTGAATTTTCTGTAACAAAAAACCTTTATTCCCTATTTTATTTATTGACTCTTTAATTTTACTTAAAATAAATTTAGTGTAGTGGATAAGAGTGCAGGTTCTTGAATTACAGAATTTGGATTCCATTCCTGTTTTTCCACCTGCAAAACAGAGATGAAAGTCCTAATTCCTATTGCATGAAGCTGTTGAAGGATTGAATAAGAAAATCCTCATAAACCGTGGAGGAAACACAAGGCCTGGAATCTAACAAGTGCTTGATTTTGTGTGGTTCCATTATTATTATTATGGAACCATACAAAAATAAACCAATGTGCTTAACTGTAGGAATAATTTCCACCAAGCTGGAGTGACTAAATGCTTCTAACTCAAATGAAATGGCACCAAGTTAAAACCTAAATAAGCCCTGGTGTGGTGTCTCATGCTAGTAATCCCAGCACTCCGTGGGGCCAAGACAAAAAGATCGCTTGAGGCCAGAAGTAAAGGCTACAGTGAGCTATGATTCTACCAGTGCACTCCAGCCTGGGTAACGAAGTGAGAACCTATCTAATCATTAAAAAAAAACTTTTTTAACTTAAATAAAAGTATTTAAGAGGTATATGTAAACTAACAAAAAAGATTAGCTAGCAAACTTTCATTAAACTGGTATGTTTAGTTTCAATTTTCTCAAGTTTTACAAAATTACTATTCGAAGGTCCATCACTACCTGGAATTTCAGAATCATCTTCATTACTACTTGTGGTCAAACTGTTGCTGTTAATGATGTCATAATTCATTAACAGTGTCTAAAGCAGGGCTTCCCTTACTTGAATAACGATGTGGTCTTCTTAGAAAAAAAATCTAAGCACTATAGAAAATCTCAATTTAAAGAAAAATAAAAATGGGCCAGGCAAGGTGGCCTGTAATCCCAGTGCTTTTGGAGGCTAAGGCAGGAGGATCACTGGAGCCCAGGAGTTTGAGATCAGCCTGGGCAACATAATGATGCCCCATCTCTACAAAATATGTTAAAAAATTAGCCAGGTATGGTGGTGTGTACTTGTAGTTTCAGCTATTCAGGAGGCTGAGGGAGGAGGATCACTGGAGCCCAGGAGGTCGAGGCTGCAGTCAGCTATGATTGCACCACTGCACTCTGCCTTGGCAACAGAGCAAGACTATGTCTCAAAGAAAAAAAAAAAAAAAAAAGTAAAAATGAGCTCAATTTCCCTGCCCACACAAAAAGCCTCTTCAAATTTAAAAACTCCTTCGTTTGAAGTATTTCTTTCATATAACCAGACATTGTAAGTAATTTTTATTGTATTTGACAAGCCAAAGACTTTAGCCAGCACTTTACTATACATTTACTCAAACAAAGTAGACAGCTTTCTCTTTCAAGTAAGGGTATTTCAACATACTCAAGTGCAAAGCTTTTGAAATCAATATAATTCCACTAAATTAAAAACAAGAAAAATCTGGGCAGGCCTCAGCCATATTCTAGTACAGATGCTCTTCAATTTCTGATGGGGTTCCATCCCGATGAACCCATCATAAATGAAAAATGTTGTAAGTCAAAAACGCATTAAATACATATAACCTCTTGAACATCACAACTTAGCCTAGCCTACATTAAATGTGCCCAGCATGCTTATATTAACCTATGGTTGGACAAAATCATCTAACACAATGCCTATTTTATAATAAAGTACTGAATATCTCATGTAATTTATTGAATACCAAACTATGAAAAACAGAACAGTTGTATAGGTCCTCACCATTAATGTAGACAACTGAAAGTACACTGGACCTGAAGAATGTTTGAAGCATTGAACTGAAATTAATTGCTGGATGAAGGAGATGCTACAGCCACAGAGTTGTTAATTTCTCACTCTTATCATGAGGCTCTGGAGACAATAGCTGTTATAGGTTGAGTATCCCTTATCCTAAATGCTTGGGACCAGAAGTATTTCAGATTTTTTTCTTTTTGGTTTTTGGAATATTTGCATATACATAATGAGATACCTTGGAGGTGGGACCCAAGTCCAGACATAAAATTTATTTGTTTTATACACACATAATACACATAAACCGAAGGTAATTGTATACAATATTTTTAATAATTTTGTGAAATTATTAAAGGAGGTCAAGTGTGGGAGTTTCTACTTGTGGCATCATGTCAGCACACAAAGTTTGCATTTTGGATTTTCAGATTAGAAATGCTCAACCTGTAGAAGGCACTGGGATATGAACACCTGATGGTTTAGCAGGCATAATGTTCAGGAATATATCAAGTTTTGACTGTAGAGTTCGTTTCTTCTTTTCGTTATCTATTTCCCTAGAGAAAGGAAGCACATACTGCATCTGCCTGTCAACTCTTGCAAATCTCTCGTAATTGGCATCCGTTTCTCTGCTTTTGTTTTTGTTTTATAATTTCAACTTCTATTATAGATTGAAGGGTACTGGCTGGGCATGGTGGCTCCCAGCACTTTGGGAGGCCAAGGTGGGTGGATCACTTGAGGCCAGGAGAGCAAGACCAGCCTGGCCAACGTGGTTTAATCCCATCTCTACTAAAAATAAAAACAAATAATTAGCCAGGCATGGTGGTGCACACCTGTCATCCCAGCTACTCGGAGGCTGAGGCAGGAGAATTGCTTGTACCCAGGAGGTGGAGGTTGCAGTGAACCATGATCACGCCACTGCACTCCAGCCTGGGCAATAGAGTGAGACCTTGTCTCAAGAAAAAAAAAAAAAGATTAAAGGCTACATGTGCAGGTTTGTTACATGGGTATATTGCATGATACTGAGACTTGAGATTCCAACAATTCTGTCACCCAGGCAGTGAGGATAGTACCTAACAGGTGGTTTTTCAGCCCATGCTCCCCTCCCTCCCTCCCCGTCTAGTACTCCCCAGTGTCTATTGTCTTTACATTCATGTGTATTCAATGTTTAGCTCCCACTTATGAGGGAGAACATCTGGTATTTGGTTTTCTATTATTGCATTAGTTCACTCAGGATAATGGCCTCCAGCTCCATCCATGTTGCTGCAAAGGACATGATTCCGTTCTTTTTAAGGCTGCATAGTATTCTATGGTATATATGTACCACATTTTCTTCATCCACACCACCATTGATGAGCACCAAGGTTGACTCCATGTCTTCGCTATTGTGAACAGCACTGCAATGAACACACGAGGACATGTGTCTTTTTAATACATCCACTTCTTATAACATCTATACACCACTGCTAATCATAGCAAACACCTCTGCAGCTTCATTGCTGTGCACTTTCTTGGTGCCTTGGGTAAAACTTCTTCCTCTGCCTCAAGTTCTTTACTTCTTTCTTACTCCCGTTTGATCAGCTCCTCATTGATAAATTCTTCAGCCTCAAAGCCAACAAGCTCATCCTCCTCATCAATGTCAAATTCCACCTGTTTCCCAAGCACTAATACACTGTTACTATTCCATCAACAGCAGGGTCTTTGTTAAAGCCTTTGAATGTGTTCACATATGTCTTCAAAGCTTTCTTCCAAAAGCAATTTATGCATTGCTGTGTGACTTCTTCCTGTGCTGCAGTCATGTTCTGGATAGCACTTAGAATGTTAGAACCTTTCCAAAACTCTAGGAGCATTTGGCCAGATTCAGTCATTTCAGCAGCCTGTGCAAACATCTGGTGTACATAGTATGCTATGAACCCAGCTCTTGTGCTTTAGTCCATTGGTTGAATTAGTGCAGTTTTGTTTGGTGGCAAATACACAACATTTACATCAGGATGCATGTCACCAATATGCTGTGCTTGCCCCAGAGCATTATCTAGCATCAGAAGAATCTTGCATGGGATGTTGTTTTGCCAATAGTATTCTCTTGCCTGTGGACTAAAACCGGTTTGAAACAAGTCTTTGCACAATGTTGATGTCATCCAGGCTTTCTTCTTATGGAAATAATAAATGGGAAATGTATGCTTGCTCACATTCTTGAATGCTCTATGGTTCTCTAACGGCAACCTCTTGGGCTTCAAGCAATCCTCCCACCTTAGCCTCCTGAGTAGCTACGACCACAGGTAAGCATCACCACACTTGACTAATTTTTTTATTTTTTGTGGAAATGGGGTCTCACCATGTTTCCCAGGCTCGTCTCAAACTCCTGAGCTCAAGCAATCCTGCAGCCTTGGCCTCTCAAAGTATGGGGATTATAAGCATGAGAAACCACACTTGGCCCCAAATTTTTAAAAGGACAGTTTCTACCATGTGCATATTGCTTTTGCACCATCCTAAAGTCAGAAAATTGTAAGCTGAACATTGAAAGTCGGGGCCATCTGTACTGCTTTTATGTCCTTGGTGTTTTATCTGTTTTATTTAAAATTGTGAAAAACGAAATGGGATAATGGCATAAAAGTTTCACATAAGAATTAAGAATTACTTTTAATGTAATTTGCAGAGCAAGTCTTAGCTTCGGGAATGCTGCAGAAGAATTTCTAAGAATGATTTTAGAAGTCAGAGAAGCTTTTTAAAAACTGATAAAATGTACACACAAAAAAGACAGTGCTAGGCTGGGCACAGTGGCTCATACCTGTAATCTCAGCACTTTGGGAGGCCAAGGAGAGTGGATCATTTGAGGTCAGGGGTTCAAGACCAACCTGGCCAACATGGTGAAACCCCGTCTTTGCTAAAAATACAAAAAAAATTAGCCAGACATGGTGTCACGTGCCTGTACTCCCAGCTACTCAGAAGGCTGAGGCAGGAGAATTGCTTGAATCCGGGAGACAGAGGTTGCAGTGGGCCGAGATCGTGTCACTGCACTCCAGACTGGTGACAGAGCGAGATTCTGTCTTAAAAAAAAAAAAAAAAAAAAAAACTGTGTTGCCTCCTTTTAGAAGAATCTCCACCATCCAGGAGCCCACCCAAAGACCAAGGACTTCCCTGAGGATTATGGACTCCCCTCAAAATCCCTGCCCTGGAAAGCCAATTTTTGATTTCAGAATAAAACATTGCTGTCCTGGGAGAACTTTCATCCAATTTCCCCATATAAGCCTAGGGACCCTGATATTCACCAGGCAGTTATTTTGTCCCCTCTCTCTTAGAGGGAAAAATGAGATTAACCGACCATGACCACTATTAAGCAACTTACCACAAGGCTCTGCAAGTCCTTTCCCAGAAGACAAATATTGCAACAAGGGGAGAACGTGTTCTGTTTGCCTGTAGAAATCCTCTCTTAATTTAAAATGTGTGCATGCACCCTCTCCAGTTAGGAAAGTTATTAGAGAAAATCGGCCCAATGAGCATGCCTCCAGGGAAGAGAAAGTGATGACTGGTGTCTTCTCACCTATATTTTTTATTCCAGGGGTGATAGTAGAGGGCAGAACACCACCACCTTATAAAGTAGATACTCACTCAGGGCCACCAAATTCAGTTGTGTGCTGCAGGCCAGTTCCTTTGTATATACCTCTGCCCAAGTAAACACAAGTCCAGGGCTGTTCAGAGATTTTATAAAGTACTATCTCATTTGTAGATGCCCAAAAACCAATGAGAGTAATATCCAGATATTGCTTAATATGTTTTGGGTAGAAAACAAAGGAGAATGTAGCTAAACTCTTTGACTTATCATTGACTTTGGTGTTCTGAAAGCTCTTCTCTTTGCTAACCCTGGAGAATCAAAAGTATGCTGCTTAAGAGAAATCCTTCATCCTTGATTTTTTCAAGGTCCTAAAGCAATTACCTTTTAAGGTCAGATTTATTTGCAAAAATATGCACGTAACGAACTCCCAACCGTGTAGCATGCATTTATCTTAATGCTACACTCTGTATTCCTTGGATTGTTTTAATCTGTTTTAATGCAAGTGAAATGAAGATAGAAGCCAAAATACCATGACTTGCCAAATACTGTGGAGTTGGATGATACACAAATTAATTTTGCAAATGTAACTCAAGGGAATTTAACTGTAAGCCTTTGGCATGAAAGTAAAACCAGGAAGAGAGGGACAAAAATGCAGAGAGGTGAGGAAGGGAAAGAGGAAAGGGAGAGGGAAGAGGGAGAGGAAACTATTTAAATCCTGCAGGTGATCCCTGCCAATGGTTTTAAGAGCATGTGGCCAGGAGGTCAAGCTACACCTAGGGAATGAGAACTTGACCAACCTGAGAAAACACCCTTGGTCTCCAGAAAATCGAATAATTCACGAGTAACTTATTGAACAAATTTCAAAAAGTATCTTTCACTATCTGCAATTTTCACTAAGTGCTGCCATGTGTACATACCCCCAAAATATTTTACTACTTAAATTAAACTTGGTGACCATATCTTAGGCTACTTCCTAAATTACAACACTCAATGCCAAACATTTTTCCTTATTTTAAAATTATTAGGAAACTTTCCGTCACAAGATGATAGATAATCAATAAATTAAAAATACCTATTAACATGTTTACCATGTTTAAAAGACAATTTGTCTAGGCCAAGCTCATGCGTATAATCCCAGCAGTTTGGGAGGCTCAGGTAGGAGGGTTGCTTGAGGCCACGAGTTTGAGACCAGCGTGGACAACAAAGTGAGACCCCCATCTGTACAAAAAAAAAAAGTAAATTTAAAAAATTAGCTGGGCATGGTGGTACATGCCTGTAGTCCCAGTTATTCAGGAGGCTGAGGCAAGAGAATCCCTTGAGCCCAGGAGGTTAAGGCTGCAGTGAGTCATGATTACACCACTACACTCCAGCCTGGGCAACAGATTGAGACCTTGTCTCAAAAGAAATTTTTTTAATAAAAAATAAAAGACAAATTTTCCCCAAATTGCCATCGAACAGACATAAATTTTGAAATGTGAAACATTCAAGGAACAAACGCCTCTGGTCATTGAAGCCCCCTCATAGGTGATAAAGCATATTCAGAGATTTTAATAAGTTACTCAATTTTTCCTGAATTATTATGGGAGTGGAGGGAGATGAAAAGTTGGTTATAAAACCTACTTTCTCTCTATCTTAATTAATATGCTCTCTTTTAATTGAAGCCAACAGTGATGTTTTGAGGAATCAGCCATGCACCTAGTATTTCTAGCATATTAGACAATCAGAGTGCATCATTTTTAACACCTCATTCATCTATGCTCCAAAAAGCAATAATCATGAAATAATTCATAATAATTATTATTTTATTTGTTCTTTAGTTTAAAAACAATTTATTAAAATTAAAGAATAAATTTCAGTTTAAAAGATACTATTCAAATCCAATAAAATATTTCATGTATGAAATAAAATCTGCACTTGCCAAACAAAAATATTATATGATGCAATTAAGTCTCTTTTTTTTTTTTCACTCTTTTGAATTTTAAACACAAATAGAAACTCCAAGTAGCCACAGGGAATGACAGATTAAAGTAATTCAGGGGGGCCAGGAGCGGTGGCTCACACCTGTAATCCCAGCACTTTGTAATCCCAGGCCAAGGTGGGCAGATCACCTGAGGTTGGGAGTTCAAGACCAGCCTGGCCAAATCCGTCTCTACAAAAAATACAAAAAAATTAGCCAGCAGTGGTGGCACCTGTAATCCCAGTTACTTGGGTGGCTGAGGCAGGAGAATTGCTTGAACCCAGGAAGTGGAGGTTGCAGTGAGCTGAGATCGCACCACTGCACTCCACCCTGGGTGACAAGAGCAAAACTCTGTCTCATAAATAAATAAATAAAGTAATTCAGGCTGTTTCTTTTCTTTGCAATCCCATACTATCATTATTTATTCCAAGACTACTGTGAAAATCAAGAATATGCAGTGCCATGGTGCTTGGAAAAGGCCTCCGAAGATGCTGAGCCTTCATGAGCATCTTCTGTGAATGAATACACATAGATGAGTCCACTGTATGACTGACTGTATACCTGCAAGTGTTCCAGGTTAACGTGCAGCTAGGATACAATGTTTACTAAAGGATAAGTAATTAGGTTAAACACAGTGCCTCATGCCTGTAATCTCAACATGTCGCTTGAGGCAAGGAGTTCCAGACCAGCCTGGGCAACATATCAAAACCCATTTCCACAAAAAAAAAAAAAAAAAAAAAAAAAAAATTTAATTAGGCACATACGGTGACTCAGGCCTGTAGTCCCAGCTACTTGGGAGGTTGACATGGGAGGATCACTTGAGCCTGGGAGTTCAAGGCTGCAGTCCAGCCTGGGCCACAGAGCAAGACCTTATCTCTAAAACTAAATAAGTAAAAATGAAAATCAAGAATAAGCAATTAAAGCTAGGCGTGGTGGCTCACGCCTGTAATCCCAGCACTTTGGGAGGCTGAGGAGGGTAGATCACCTGAGGTCAGAAGTTCAAGACCAACCTGGTCAATTTAGTTGAAACCCCGTCTCTACTAAATATACAAAAATTAGCTGGGCATGGTGGCGGGCGCCTGTAATCCCAGCTACTTGGGAGGCTGAGGCAGGAGAATTGCTTGAACCAGGGAGGTGGAGATGGCAGTGAGCTGAGATTGTGTCATTGAACTCCAGCCTGGAGCTTTGCTCCAACAAGAGCAAAACTTCATCTCAAAAAAGAAAAAAAAAAAGTAATTAAAATGTGCTCATTTGAAGCTTACTCAATAGTAAACCCAGTTATCAGAGCAATTGTTAAGAATTGGAGTTTTTGGAAGGCATATTTTATCAATATTGTTTAGAATTGCTAGCATATTAAGATTTTTAAGTGAAGCACACAGATTTGTTGTGAGTTTGATTATTGCTTTTAAATTCGTTACATCAGTGCATCTTCTTACTGCTTATGTCTAGGGCCAACCATCCCCACCACTACTTCCTCCCCCTTGTGATGGCACTTTGAGAATTGCTCTATATCTAAAAACATAACTTCTTTCACGACATGATGTGTACATTTTATGGCAAGTCAGAAGCTGCATATGAGGTATTAATGCTTGCTTTTTTTTTTTTTTTTTGGAAACAGAGTCTTACTCTGTTGCCCAGACTAGTGCAGTGATGTGATTATAGTTTACTGCAGCCTCAAACTCCTGGGCCCAAGGGATCCTCCTGCCTCAGCCTCCCGAGTAACTGGAACTACAGGTATGCACCACCACATCTGGCTAAACTTTCATTTTTTTATAGAGATGGGGGTTTCACTATGTTTCTCAGGCTGGTCTCAAACTCCTGGCCTCAAGCAATCCTCCCAACTCAGCCTTCCGAAGTGCTGGGATTATGGGCATGAGCCATAGCACCAGCCAGCTTATTTCTTGATTAAAATGGCCCCTAATAAATGTTTTGGGGCCAAGCATGGTAGCTTACACCTGTAATCCCAACACTTTGGGAAACTGAGGCAGGAGGATCACTTGAACCCAGGAGTTTGAGACCAGCCTGGGCAACACTGTGACACCCTATTTCTAAAAGAATTTTAAAAATTAAAAAATTAGTTGGGGCCGGGTATGGTGGCTCACACCTATAATCTTAGCACTTTGGGAGGCCGAGGCAGGCAGATCACCTGAGGTCAGGAGTTCAAGACCAGCCTGGGCAACATGGTGAAACCCCATCTCTACTAAAAATACAAAAATTAGCCGGGCATGTAGCGGGTGCCTATAATCCCAGCTACTTGGGAAGCTCAGGCAAGATAATCACTTGAACCCAGGAGGCAGAGGTTTCTGTGAGCCAAGACTGCACCACTGCACTCCAGCCTGGGCAATAAGAGTGAAACTCTATCTCAAAAAAAAAAAAAATTAGTTGGGCATGATGGTGTCTGCTTATAGTCCCAGCTTCTCAGGAGGCTGGAAGATCGCTTGAGCCCAGGAGTTCAAGGCTACAGTGAGCTAACATCACAACAGTATACTTCAGCCTTAGTGGCAGAGAGAGACAAGAAAGCAGGAGAGGAAGGAAGGAAGGAAGGAAGGAAGGAAAGAAAGGAGGGAGGGAGGGAGGCGGGGAGGGGAGGAAAAGTTAAGTTTTAGCCTGGGAAACATGGCAAAACCTCATCTCTACAAAAAATACAAAAATTAGCTGGGTGTAGTGGTGTGTGTCTGAAGTCTCAGCTACTGGGGAGGCTGAGATGGGACGATAGATTGAGCCTGGGAATTTGAGGCTTCAGTGAGCCATGACTGCGCCACTGCACTCCAGCCTGGGCAACAAAGCGAGACCCTGTCTCAAAAAAGAAAAGAAAAAGAAATGTTTCTGTCAGGCTTCCCCTTACCCTGCTGTGCATTTTCAGCACTGCTCATTCAACCTGGCCTAATAATCACCTCTGCCTCTGGCCACCTTCATTCTCACATTGGACATATTATCAGAAGTGTTCAAATCAGTGTGACTCCATCTTGCATAGGGGCCGGATAAAATAAGGCTGAGACTTATTGGGCTGCATTTCTGGGAGGTAAAGGCATCCTAAGTCACAGTATGAGACAGGAGGTCAGCACAAGGTACAGGTCACAAAGACCTTATTGACAAAACAACATGTTGTAAAGAAGCCAGCCAAAACCCACCAAAACCAAGATGGCAATGAATGAATTCTGGTCATCCTCACTGCTCATTATACACTAATTATAATGCATTAGCATGCTAAAATACACTCCCACCAGCACCATAATAGTTTACAAATGCCATGGCAACATCAGGAAGTTACATGGCGACATCACGAAGTTACCCTCTGTGGTCTAAAAAGTGGAGAAGCCCTGAGTTCTGGGAATTGCCCAGCCTTTTCTTAGAAAACTCAAGAATAATCTACCCCTTGTTTAGCATATAATCAAGAAATAGGGCCCGGCACACAGTGGCTCATGCCTATTATCCCATCATTTTGGGAGGCTGAGGCAGGCAGGTCACTTGAGACCAGGAGTTCGAGACCAGCTTGGCCACCATGGTGAAACCCTGTCTCTACTAAACATACAAAAATTAGCTGGGCATAGTGGCACACGCCTTGGATCCCAGCTACTCGGGAGGCTGAGGCAGGAGAATCGCTTGAACTTGGGAGGTGGAGATGGAGGTGAGCTGAGATCATGCCACTGCACTCCAGCCTGGGCGACAAAGAGAGAAAAAGAAAAAAATGCAAGAGGGGAGGGGAGGGGAGGGGAGGGAAGGGAAAGGAATGGAAAGGAAGGGAAGGGAAGGGAAGGGAAGGGAAGGGAAGGGAAGGGAAGGGAAGGGAAGGGAAGGGAAGGGAAGGGAAGGAAAGGGAAGGAAAGGGAAGGGAAGGAAAAGAAGGGAGATAAACATAGCCAACCAGCAGACCTTGGGGCTGCTCTGCCTAAGGAGTAGCCACTCTTATTCCTTTACTTTCTTAATAAACTTGCTTTCACTATATACTCTATGGATTCACCTTGAATTATTTCTTGCAAAAGATCCAGGAACCCTCTCTTGGGATCTGGATCAGGACCGTGATATGGTTTGGCTGGGTCCCCACCCAAATCTCATCTTAAATTGTAGCTCCTATAATTCCTTCATGTTGTGGGAGGGACCCAGTGGGAGATAATTGAATCATGGTGGGGGGTTCCCCCATCCTGTTCTTATGGTGGTTAATAAGTCTCACAAGATATGATGGTTTTATAAGGGGAAACCCATTGTGCTTGGCTCTCATTCTCTTCTCTTGTCTGCCTGCATGTGAGACGAGCCTTTCACCTTCCACCATGATTGCGAGGCCTCACAAGCCACATGGAACTGTGAGTCCATTAAACCTCTTTCTTTTGTAAATTGCCCAGTCTCATTTTACCAGCAGTGTAAAAATGGACTAGTACAAACCCGTTTTCAGTAACAATACTAGGAACACTGAGTATGCTCAGACACACACAACATCATTCGCCCCATCAAGGAAACAAGAGGCCCCAGAGAAGGATATGTTATAGGTGAACCCTGCAGTTTTCTAAAAACAGTCAGGAGTTGGGCTGCTAAGTAAGCACCATAAGAAAGATGAATTTAATTGTTTCCACAGTAGACTCGTGACCTTGAAAATGTTTTAGGGGTGACCACAAAAGACACTGCCCCTCTTATCCTGACTTTGAGGCATTTGGGGAAAAAGGAAATAAATAGTCCCATTTGAGAGAGTCCCAAGTTGAGTCGAGGAGGAGAGAGAAACAATACGGGATAGTTTGAGGCTGAAGAGGACACACTGATTACAGAACAGAAGCTCTGGAGGCCACAGGAAAGGCTAAAGCCCATGGGAGAGAGGCTCTCCTTGCCTGTGTGGGGCAATGAGAGATGCAAGAAGGGAGGTGTGAAAGAAAAATAAATCTTGGACTCCCAAAATCACTAAGCTAAAGAGAAAATTTAAGCTGGGAACTGCTTAGAGCAAACCTGCTTCCCATTCTATTCAAAGCCTTCCTCTGCTTACTGAGATAAATGCATATCTAATTGCCTCTTATGGAAAGGCCAATCAGAAACTCAAAAGAATGCAACCATTGGCCAGGCACGGTGGCTCACACTTGTAATCCCAGCACTCTGGGAGGCTGAGACAGGTGGATCACTTGAGGACAGGAGTTCAAGACCAGCCTGGCCAACATGGTGAAATCCCATCTCTACTAAAAATACAAAAAATTAGCTGGGCATGGTGGCAGGCACCTGTAATCCCAGCTACTCAGGAGGCTGAGGCAGGAGAATTGCTTGAACCCAGAAGGCAGAGGTTGCAGTCAGCTGATCACGCCATTGCAATCCAGCCTGGGCAACAAGAGTGAAACTCTGTCTCAAAAACAAACAAACTAAAAATGAATGCAACCCTTTTTCTGAACCAAACCAATGTTCATCTTACATATATTGATTTATGTCTCATGTTACTCTAAAATGTATAAAACCAAAATGTGCCCTGAACACCTTGCACACATGTCATCAGGACCTCCTGAGGCTGTGTCATGGGTGCACATTCTTAACTTTGGCAAAATAAACTTCCTAAATTGACTGAGACCTGTCTCAGACATTTGGGGTTCACAGGATGTGACAGAGATCACAGTCAATTGCAGGAGCTGCAATTCAGACAGAGGCCAACACAAACAGGATGACAAGCCTGCTGGGTGCCTCCCTGGTATAAAGAGGTCACCTATAGAAGTGGCTTCTTAGGCCCGCCTGGAAGAAGAGCCTAGTGATTTTTTGTGTGGCCGGGTTCCTTTCCCTGAGCTGGCTGCTGCCGGCAGCTGAGGCACCAGGTCTGGAATCCGAGAAGCCAGAATGAATGAGCAGGGGCCCTGGGGCTCTTCGCTCACTTGAGGGTTCTCATTTTGTTGCGGTCTTTCTGCTCCTTAGCTCAGCGAAGTTCAAGTTCTTGTCAGAAGAATTAGACATGTGGACACTGGAGAGTGAGTGGAGTAGAATTTATTAAGCGAAAGGAAAATTCTCAGCAGAGAGGGGACATTGGGGGTGGGAGGGACGTGGTTCCCCTACCCAAAGGTGCGAAAAGTTCCTGCTGTGTGCCTAGGTTGGGGGTCTTTTAAGGACTCAGCATGGGGAGTGCATGCTGATGGGTTTGTGCATATGCAAAAAAGGTTGAAGCGAAGACACCACCCAAAGGTGGGCACGACGGTGTAGAAAACCAATTAGGAAAGGGTAGATATGTGTAAAATAGGTGAAGGGTGGGGTCAATTAGAAGAAAGCACACCAAATGGGAAGACAAGTTGTCAATCCCAGTTTGAGGATTTAACCTGTAGCTTGGCTTTCAGGTTTCAAATTGTCTTCAGCTTGGAAGTAAAGTTTTACTGGGGACCTGCCCCTAACTGCTTAGGCATCTGGCTGCCTCCTGTCACTCTCAATCATCCCCTGTATTTCTCCAGGAACCAGTCCTGTTCTGAATGGACACATTCTTTCCCAAGGTATCTTAATACCAACCCAGCTGTCTTGCTCTGGGGTAGAGTCTAAGGGTTCCCAAAGCATGATGCACAACAGAATATCCTGAGAAACTTAAACTATGCAGATGCTCAGGCCCCACCCCAAATCTACTGATTAAAGATCACAGCAGGACAAGCCTAGGAATCAGAATTTAGAGATACCTAACTGCCTCCTTTTCCCTCCAAAATTTTGATATTTGGACCAAGAACCAAAGTTTGGAAATAGTGTATAAGAAGCCAGTGGAGGCTGGGTGTGATGGCTCAAGCCTGTAATCCCAGCACTTTGGGAGGCCGAGGTGGGCGCATCAAGAGGTCAGGAGTTTGAGACCAGCTTGGCCAACATGGTGAAACCCCATCTCTACTAAAAATACAAAAATTAGCCAGGCGTGGTGGCGCATGCCTATACCAGCTACTCAGAAGGCTGAGACAGGAGAATTGCTTGAACCTGGGAGGCGGAGGTTGCAGTGAGCCGAGATCGCACCACTGTGCTCCAGCCTGGGCAACAGAACAAAACTCTGTTTTGAAAACAAAACAAAACAAGAAGCCAGTGGATCTCTTTAAGGGGCATTTTAAAGAAGTGAGATAAAGCCCCTTTGCAACTCTACCAGTTTCGGAATTATCTTAAGACTTTTGTTAATATGTAGATGATTCACTATTTTCCAGGACCCTGTGGGCAGGACACCCAGATGTCTCTGAAATACTGATAATCTGAGAAACATTGCTTTCAGGTGGTATTTTCTAAACTAAAGAAATCTGAAGAATTCCAGGACACTTGCTGAACATAAACATTTCATCTCCCCCACATTTTTTCAGGCCAACCCAAATAGAATCTTCAGAGAGGGATCTGGAAACCTTCAAATTTAACAAGCCCTCCCAGGTGATTTTTATCATTAGGCAGATTAGGAAGCACTGCTTGAAGCCAATAATTGCTCACATTTGCTGAACACACACTGTGTGCAGGGCAATGTTCTACGTGCTTTTCTGTGTATTTGTTCATTTGCTCTTAACAACAACCCCACGCATTACTGCATCAGCTTCATTTCACAAAGTAACTGCTTTCCTCACAAATCCATAAAGGATGAATTTTGCCATTTGACTCTCAGGGCCATCTCCTTTTACATATCCATGGTCCCTTAAATTATCATAGATTCTGAGCCTCTCTTGCCTTGAGATTAAGCACTGACTTGGAGTTCTCTCCATTTTACAAAGTACACCACGAAGTTCTTTGCATACATGTGGAGCTCCATACATATTGTTTCTTCTAAGAAATCAAAGGGGGCTGGGCGTGGTGGCTCATGTCTGTCATCCCAGCACATTGGGAGGCTGAGGAGGGAGGATTGCTTGAGCTCAGGAATTTGAGACAAGCCTGGGCAATATAGTGAGACCTCGTCTCCAAATAAATAAATAAAATTTAGCCAGGCATGGTGGCATATGCCTGTAGTCCCAGCTACTCAGGAGGTTGAGATGGGAGGGTTGCTTGAGCCCAGAAGGTTGAGGCTGCAGGGAGCCATGATTATGCCACTGTACTCAAGCCTGGGCAGCAAAATAAGATCCTGTCTCAAAGGAAAAAAGAAAGAAAGAAAGAAGGAAAGAAAGAAAGAGAGAGAGAAAGAAAGAAAGACAGAGAGAGAGAGAGGAAGGAAGGAAGGAAAAGAAAGAAAGGAAGGAGAGGAAAGAAAGAAAGAAGAAACAGAGAGAGAGAGAAAGGAGAAAGAAAGAGAAAAGAAAGAGAAATCAAAGAGTGGTTCTGCTTTTTGTCTGGTGCACTTGGCAGTGTAAAATTCTACCTTGATTTTGAAGATGTGGAGACAGAAGTTGGCAGCAGAACCTGCTACTGAAAGCAGAGACCTTTTGAGTTACCTTGGCTGAGAGTCAGAGTCCAGCAGAAATTGAACCAGGAAAAGGAAAACAGAAAGATCATCTGGTTTGGCTGGCTCTCCTAGCCCTGATCCTGGCTGGGGAAGAGGATTTCAGTTCACAAGAGAAAGGTAATGGATATTTCCAGTTTCCTATCACACCCCGCCTTCTACTTGCTTATCCACATTTTAATCAGCCTTCTGAGACTAATAGTTTCCAGTTTACTAAAAGCCCATACTCATCTTTCCCTTTCTAATGCCTTTTACGCTTCCCTGGACTTTACAATTTGCACATTTTATAGTTTTCTCATCTCTGACTATTCAATAACACAAACCTGACACTCCCAAGCTTTGTTTCATTCATCGCCACTCAAGGGACACTCAGAACAAATGGGTAGGCTAACAATTTTCTTATCAGGCATCATCCTAAGTCCTTCAACATGGGGAAGTTCTTCCTTGTTCTGTAATTCAAAATTACTCTATTGAAACTTAAAACACTCATTAAGCATCTATAATAGTTCAGGTTTTTCTACTTGATCCTACTACACTGGGGGAAGAAAAGGTACCAGTATCTCCATTTGTTTTTTCTCAAGACTCAATGAGGTTAGTAATTTGCCTGAAGTCACTCATTTGGTTGAGGGGGGAAAAAAGCAAGATTTGAAGCTATGTCTGACTTCAAAGTCTATGCTCTTTCCATCATATTTTAATACTCAATGTTCAAGCTCTTTTGTTCATTGTTTTATGTATTTATGTGTTATTGCCTCAATAGATATAAAAACATGTGGGCCAGGTGCAGTGGCTCACGCCTGTAATCCCAGCACTTTGTAAGGTTGAGGCGGCTGGATCACAAGGTCAGGAATTCAAGACCAGCCTGGCCAAGATGGTGAAATCTTGTCTCTACTAAAATTACAAAAAATAGCCAGGTGCGGTGGCAGGCACCTGTAGTCCCAGGTACTCAGGAGGCTGAGGCAGGAGAATCGCTCGAACCCAAGTGGCAGAGGTTGCAGTGAGCCAAGGTCGTGCCACTGCACTCCAGCCTGGGCAACAGAGTAAGACTCCATCAAAAAAAAAAAAAAAAAAAAGGAAAGAAAATCATGTGTACAGGAGATAGGGAGTGCTTCTTTGTACTGGCTATATGAAGCTCTTGGTAGAAATGACATAAAAATACCTGAGGGATTCTCTCCCTTGCCAAACCAACCTCATTAAATCATCTCTTGAAGCTTCCAAATCAAAAACCTCCTCAACCAAATTGACTTTTCAGATTTCTTATATCAGAATCATAAATCATTCAGTGGTATCTCTGGAATATAGGACTGCTGCTTAGGCGATCTCAGCTTCATTTGTTCCTGGAGATTTCATACCCTGTGCAACCTCCTTGCTCGGTGCATCTCCGTGCAGTAGAAAATTGACTCCAGGGACATAGGAGCTGTATTCTTCCCAACAATTAGATCATTCAACACAGGGAAAGCTTTTCCTTGTGCTATACATTGAAAATTACTCACTTGGAACTTAATAAAGTTATGTCAGGGTACCTTTGCTTAATATTCAATAGGTCTATACATTCTCTTATCTGTCTTGCATATCCAATAGTATTCCTCTGTTCAGTAATTTCACTATAGAATGGATGAAATGGCACTGATTTGTAGACCATTTCCAAAATTTCAGGTAAACATTTTTAAAAAGGTAAATGCAGTTAGGTGGAAGGAATAAGTTCTAGTGTTCAGTAGCAGAGTAGCGTGACTGTAGTTAACAACAATGTATTACATATTTCAAAATAGCTAGAAGAGAGGACTTGAAATGTTCCCAACACATAGAACTGATAAATACTCAAAGTATTTATCATCGATGAACACCACAAATACCCTGACTTAGTCATTACACAATCTACGCATGTAACAAAATATCACATGCACCCCATAAATATGTACAAACGTTATAAAGTAACAGTTTTTAAAAGGGGTATATAAATGTGTGTTCTCTACCTTAGCAGTCATTATAACATTGTCTTTCATCTAAGAAAAACACATGTAGGTATCAGATGGAGTTCAGGTTCTCTGTTCACTCAGCTGCTAGTTTCTCAACCTACACAACCTGAACCTGCTGACTTTTCTCCCTTGCCACCACATTTACCCTGATTCAAGCCACCATTCTTTCTTGCCCTGACTATTGCAATAACCCCTTAACTCTTGCCTTACTGCAGCATATTCCTGGCCCAGCACGGTGATATTTTTAGACAGCAAAACAAATGTTTTATTTGTTTATTTAAGACACTTCACCAAGTTTGATAACAATAATGTCCAAACTCCTTGTCATGACCTATAGGACCCTACAGAACCTGGCCCCTGCCCACATCTCCAACTTCACCTAATACCTCAGCACATAAATATTTGTTGAATGGATGTGTTTGTCTGGTTCTCATGCTGCTAATAAAGACATACCCGAGATCGGGTAATTTATAAAGGAAAGAGATTTCATAGACTCACATTTCCAATTGGCTGGGGAGGCCTCACAATCATGGTAGAAAGTGAATGAAGAGCAAGTATACGTCTTATATGGCAGTAGGCAAGAGGGTGTGTGCAGGGGAACTGCCCTTTATAAAACCACCAGATCTCATGAGACTTCCTCATGAGAACAGCATGGGGAAAAACCTGCCCCTATGATTCAATTACCTCCCACCAGATCCCTCCCATGACACTCAGGGATTATGGGAGCTACAGTTCAAGATGAGATTTGGGTGGGGACACAGCCAAACCGTATCAATTAATAAATGAATAATGCCTTTCTTAATGTTTAAGATACATACTGGCTTCACAAAAACCATATTGCTAAAATGTAACAAATGTATCACATTGTGTATTCATCTGGATGGCAACTAATTGGTAACTGATACAGGCAAACATGTTTCTTATGGAGCTCTATATCGGCTGTGTTCAAAAAAAGAAAGTTCAGCTTCATCCTACCCACTCCCATAGGCTTTTTGTAAAAGACTCTTACTTTTTCTTCCTTGGTTGACTGACAACTAATAAGACAAAACCCTACAATTATATCTATAATAATTAGCCAACTAGTATATGCTAAATATACTAGTTATATATTTCAAAATAGCTAGAAGAGAGGTATTTGTACAGAGGATCATCAGTTGACTGATTCCTATTAAACTCAATCAAGCAGTAGTAGCTGTTCCGGTAATAACAGATTTGATTGTTAGTTAATAATTATATGAATTAGAGATTCTCTTAAATTCATACAAAAGGTATTTTTAAAAGAACCTGCTTTTGGTCAGTGTGCAAATGGGTAGATTTTAAAAAATCTGCTTTTAGGCCAAGTGCAGTGGCTCATGTCTATAATCCCAGCAACTTTGGGAGGAGGCAGGAAGATCCCTTGAGCCTAGGAATCAAGACCAGCCTGGGCAACACAGCAAGACCTCATCTCTAATAAAAATTAAAATAAAGAATTAGCTGGGCATGGTGGTGTGAACTGTAGTCTCAGCTACTCAGGAGGCTGAGGTGGGGGGATTGCTTGAGACCAGGAGTTCAAGCTTACAGTGAGCTATGACTGCACCACTAAACTCCAGCCTAGGCAACAGAGTAAGACCTTGTCTCAATCAATCAGTCAATCAGTAGATAAAAATCTGCTTTTGGGATTTAAGTGACCAACCATTGCTTATTATTTTGTTAGGCTTACTACCCCTTTGATCTACTAACAATGCCTAATGAAGTCAACAGTCAGTAATTAATCAGGCATGATCTATGAATAGTTGACAAACATTAAGCAGTTAATGGATTTCAGGTAAATGACAGGCAGGCTTATTAATATGCTGATTCTATTCTGGGAACCCTCATTAGAAGATAACTGCTTCATCTTCACAATGTCAAACTTGCTTCCAATGGATAAATTATCATGATACAAAAATAGACTGCAGATAAAGCCTTTAATTCTACTTGGGCAAATCCAAGAATAACGTAAGAGTGTTACTTAAACTTACATTTAGAAAAGTCAAAGATTTTAAGGGAAAATATATAATTACTTTGAAAACATAGACTATTTTTCTAGATTTATTTATTTATTTATTTTACCTGTCACTTACTTAACAAATACTTATTTACACTGGTCAGGCATGTGAAAGAGTTTTCCAGATTCTAGAAGCAGACTCTCCAAATCATGCTAAAGGCTCACACTGAGCTCTCAATCAAACCATGATATATTTTCATGATCCGGTAAGAGGTGTCATCCATAATTTCCTTTGTTCCCATTTTGTTTATAAGGCTAGCCCAAATCTTACCGTGTCTCAATCAGTCTGAAACTCCAAGTTCACATGTATTATCAGTCAGCTAGATTATCTCTCAAAGGCAAATGAAAAAAAAAAATAGTCCTGTTTCCCAGAGATTTTTTTCTTTTTTTGAGACAGGGTCTCACTCTGTTGCCCAGGCTGGAGTGCAGTGATGCAATCATAGTTAATTGCAACCTTGAACTCCTGGGCTCAAGCAGTCCTCCCACTTCAGCCTCCCAAGTAGCTGGGACTACAGGCGGGTGCCATCACACCTGGCAATTTATTTTTATTTTTTGTGGAAACGAGGTCTCACTATCTTGCCCAGGCTTGTCCCAAATGCCTGGCTTCAAACAATCTCCCCAGCTTGGCCTCCCAAAGCGCTGAGATTACAGGCGTGGGCCACCATGTTCAACCTCAGAGATTTTTAATGTACACCGAAAGTAAATCCAAATGCTTACATATTTTAACATAATTAGAAACGATCATTTAATTCCCTACCTTCAAAATATAATATTCTTATCAATATAATCTGAATGGTTCAAGTGCACAGAATCAGCAAACACATACAGAACAATGAGGCAAATTTACATTAATGTGTTCTATTGTATCAACGGAGAGTCACAGAGCTTCACCACACTCTAATCAGCCCAGGAAATGCATCATTAAAAGGAAAAATCCTTCATTCTGATGACTTTGAGATAGCAAAAAGCAAAAAAAAAAAAAAAAAAAGAAAAGAAAAAGAAAAGTTTAGATATCAGGCTCAGCTCATAGATACCTTTGGCAATGGCTTATTTTCAAGTTGAAAATCCTCTGATTTGAAAATAAATCTTGGCTGGATGCAGTGGCTCACACCTGTAATCCCAGCACTTTGGAAGGCCGAAGCAACCAGCCTGGCCAACATGGCGAAATCCCGTCTCTACTAAAAATACAAAAATTAGCCAGGTATGGTGGAACGCGCCTGAAATCGCAGCTACTCAGGAGGCTGAGACACAAGAATCATTTGAACCCAGGAGGCAGAGGTTGTAGTGAGCTGAGATTGCACCACTGCACTCCAGCCTGGGTGACAGAGTGAGACTCTGTCTCAATAAAAAACACACACACACACACACACACACATACAAAAAAAAAAAAAAAAACACACACAAAGAAAATAAATCTTACCATTATTTAAGGAGATTTTTAAAAAAATAGTTACTGTGTAAGGGAAGGTCTTCAAAAAACAAACAAACAAACAAACTAAAGCCTAATATGGCTAACTCTTAAAAAAAAAGGCAAAGAAATAAAAGGATGAAATATATTTTATAGGCCACAAGAAACGGGCATAAATTAAGTAGTTCATAAAAACTGAGGCAAAGACTTCAAAAATAGTACTCTCTCATATAGGGATAAAATGCCCTCGGTGCAAAGAGTTACGTGTAAAACTGTGTAAGTTAACTTTCACAATGTTGTAATTTCTCTTTCTCCAAAATCCATTCTCTATTATGTTTAAATGTTGATATGCTGAAATTTAAAGAAAACTTGATAAGGTATATAGAGTAGATTAAGAGAGGCTTTTCTTTCCTCCCAAATTCAATTTAGTGAATTTAAACTATTGGTACCTAACGGAATTGTGTGCTGACTCAAACTTTTTACTCAAGTCAATTTTTTTTTTAAATTAATTTTTAGAGACAGGGTCTTGCTTTGTTGCCTAGACTGGAGTGCATTGGTGTGATCATAGTTCACTATAGCCTCCAATTCCTGGGCTCAAGCAACCCTCCTGCCTCAGCCTCTCAAGTAGCTAGGATTACAGGCACATGCCACCACACCTGGCTAATTTTTTTACTTTTTATTTTTTGTAGAGTCTTGCTGGTTGCCCCAGCTGGTTTCAAACTCCTGGCCTCAAGCAATCTTCCTACCACGGCCTCCCAAAATCCTGAGATTACAGATGTGAGCCATGGCACCCAGCCTCAAGCCAACATTTTTAACATAATTTTTTTACAAAGCTTACAGTTTAAAATGTATTTATCACAGATTACTATAAGAAATTTTCTTACTAACGATTATTTCAAATTCGAAGAAAATAACCCCCAGGGTGAATGAGGGCTTTATTCATTTTTGCTATTCATTATTTTTTCACTAGTACTCACCAACCTGGTTAAATTTTTCCTATACGTTAGAAAAGAAAAAAAAGAAAAGTCCATGAACAACCTAAGAAGTCCGAGATCAATAAATTTCCTATCTGCTTAAACTAACTGCATGGATTCTGCTGTTTACAATTAAGAGTACCAAGGGAGATAGCTGGGTATAGAATCAAGGATTATAAATCATTTTCCCTGAACATTTTGCAAAGGATTGTTCCATGGTCTTCTGGCTATAATGTTTCTGTTGAGAAGTCTGATGCCATTGTTTTTCTTAAGGTTCTGGATATGACTTATTTTTCCTCTCTGAAAGCTTTGAGACTATTTTTTCTATCCCTAGTACTCTAAAATTCCTAGTTGAAAGCATGAGTCTTTTTGCATTCCTTGGGCTGCCACATCCAGTTGTGTAGGTTGTGCACTGCATCACTTTAGGGAGCCCTATTCCCATCTTAGTCCATAGATACAACTTGGATGACTGCACAAGATGGCCTTGTGGACATTCTGTGGGACCTTACAATCTGAAGATGACTGTCATTGAGCTCTCAGAAATCTTTTGCCCAATCCTTCCTCTCAACCAATTTTTTTTTTTTTTTTTTTTTTTTAGAGACACGGTTTCACCCAGGCTGGAGTGCAGTGATGCAATCTCTGCTCACTGCAACCTCTACCTCCTGGGTTCAAGCAATTCTCCTGCCTCAGCCTCCCGAGTAGCTGGGATTACAGGTGTGCACCACCAAGCCCAGCTAATTTTTGTATTTTTAGTAGAGATGGGGTTTTGTCACGTTGGCTATGCTGGTCTCAAACTCCTGGCCTCAAGTGATCTGCTAGCCTCAGCCTCCCAAAGTGCTGGGATTACAGGCATGAGCCACTGTGACCGGCCTCAACCAGTATATCTATGTTCTATCTCTGAAACACTTTAGTCACAAACTGGACTTCCCAGATTAATCTCCTCATTTTCTTATTTTGTCTCTATTTTCCATTCCTTGTTTCTTATTCCACTTTCTGAGAGATTTCCTCCACTTTATCTTCCAACCTTCTACTGAATATTTAACTTCAGCTATGCTATTTTTAATTTACGGAATTCATTTTTAAAAATAGAATTGTATTCGCCAGGATCCAAGATCTTCTCTTGTTTCTCTGAAGATGTCAATTAGAGGTTTGTTTACTTTTTTCTTTTTTTAGATTTTCTTCCATTCCCTGTATTCTTTCTGTTTCCTTTCTCTTTCCTGTCCACTAGCTGTTTCTTTTTTATTGGTTTTTGTCTCTCTTTTGTTTTAGAGATGATATAAATGCCTCATGATTCATGGCACTGATATTTCAGAGAGGGGCACTGAAAAGCTGATTGGAAACTGTGTGCGGGGGCAGGGGGCTTCTCCATTGGTGGCTTCACTCTAATTGATCTGGTGTGGCTGTTTTGCTGAGGATCCCAATTGAGAGTCTCTGTGGTCTTTTCTCTTGGTCTGATCTGTTTCCCCAGAAAGAAATCTGCTGAAGACAGAGGAGTCACCTGGCGTCAGCATTCTCAGACTTAAGTAAGGAGAAGTGTTGGGGCATGTGGCCTTACCTTTCAGCATGTAGTTTTTTCACTCAATGCCCAGTTTCAGTGCAGCAGCACATCCTTAGCCCTACACACACAGTCCAAAAGGTCAGAGTCTGTCTGGTTCTGCTAGAATAGGGAGGCTATTGTCATCCTGCTGTGTAGCCTAGGCAAAGGCATCCAAGGGCTTAACTATGTCTCCAAATTCCATTAACCTCAAGTGTACTGTCACCACCATGGGCAACCAAGAGCTTCCAGTTCTTTGCTGTCTCTGGGATTCTGCAGAACGAGGCTGCTTCTGGCTGTTCCCTGAGTCTGGTGGCTTTTTCAGCCCTTTGGTCTGCTATTAATAAGTCGTGTGCCACTCCTTCCAGTTTCCACATTTTATTTTATTATTGTCATCTCTTTCCTCATTTTTTTGTCCTTGTGGGATTATGATTTTTTTCCACCATTTTTTGGAAAGTATTTTGGGAAGTTGAGGTGGAAAACATATGTTGAATATACCATTATTTAAAACCTAATATTCTTTCTATACTTCAAAAAAACATATGGGAGGTCTATGGTGTGCTAGTCACTTAAACTCTCCTCTTCCTCATTTATATGTCACAACAATGTAGCACCTACCTTATGGGATTATCCTGAGAATTAAATGAGGAAAAGCTGGTGAAGCACTGAAGTTTATTATAATTGTGAAAACAATGGAAAATGAAGAGGTTCACAACATGCTGACCCAAAATATGCCACTTTGGTAGATTGATTATTTTGAGCTAAAAGAAACTGAAAATCAAGAAATGCAGGAAAAGCTCTTTACCTCCCACTCAACTACATAAAATAAACCATAAATTTCCGGTTTAATAAAGGACATTTACAATTATAAAATATCTATACCAGGAGGAGAGCTATGCTGAGGCAACTTTGATCACCTGAGAGACTTATCTGCATAATAAGACAGGCTTTGTTCACCAAACATTTTCTCCCTTCACCTTCCCACAATTTGTCTCCACCACCCTCATGCCCCAAACTTTTATTTCTTTCTGTAGCTCAGGATGATTTATGCATCTCAATCATCTGGCCACCCCCTTGAGTCTAATTTTTGTGGGACTCCCATACATATGTATGTAATTAAAATTGTTTTTCTACCATTAATCTGTTTTATGTCAACTTGATTTATAGACCAGCCAAAGAACCTATAATGGTAGAAGAAAGCATTTTTCCTCCCCTGTAGGACCAAACAATACATGGCAAACAGCATGGCAAAGCCACAGGAAAGATAACATTCTCTGGGATTAATAAATAACAACAGTTCTCAAAGTGTGGTCCTGGGACTCACAGCATGATCAGCACCTGGAAGTTTGTTAGAAATGCAGATTCTTGGCCAGCCACAGTAGCTCACACCTGTGAGCTACTTTGGGCCGAGACAGATCACTTGAGGTCAGGAGTTCGAGACCCGCCTTGCCAACGTGGTGAAACCCTACCTCTACTAAAAATACAAAAATTAGCTGGGTGCTGTGGCACTTGCCTGTAGTCCCAGCTACTCAGGAGGCTGAGGAAGGAGAATTACTTGAACCTGGGTGGCGGAGGCTGTAGTGAGCCGAGATTGCACCACTATACTCCAGCCTGGATGACAGAGTGAAACTTCATTTCCAAACAAACAAAAACAAAAAACAAAACAAAAACAGAAATTCAGATTCTTGGGCCAACCTCAGACCTACCACAACAGAAACTCTAGAGGTGTGGTCCTGCAATCTGTCCTGTAACAAGCAGTTCAGGTGATTCTGATGCCTGCTAAAGTCTGGGAAATGCTGATATAGAGACAAGGAAATGAACTCCTTCATTCCAGGTTGCTGGTTAGGGACCACCCTCAATCGCTGGATATGTTTTGCATGCTAGGAAGAATAAGAACAACATTTAAATAAAAGCAGAGACATGTGGAGAGGTAACCCAGCGAAGAGATGGACTTGGAACATGGAAGACCTGTGTCTTAGCCTGTTTTGCTTTGCTATAAAGGAATACCTGAAGCTGGTAATGTATAAAGAAAAGAGGTTTGTCTCATGGATCTGCAGGCTGTACAGAAAGCACACCAACAGCACCTGCTTCTGTCAAGGACCCAGGAAGCTTCCACTCATGGCAGAAGGTGAGGGGGTGGCAGGGGTGTCACATGGCAGAGAGGAAGCAATAGAGGGGAGGGAGGTGCCAGGCTCTTTTCAACAATCAGATCTCTTAGATGTACATATTTCAGTGTGCAAAACAATAAAAAATTTAAAAAGACAAAAGAAAAAACAATCAGATCTCATGGGAACTAACAGAGTGAGAACTCACTTGCATGAGATTGACACCAAGCCATTTATGAGGGATCTGCCCCTGTGACCCAGACACCTCCCACTGTAATCGCCCAAGGGGTTCACCTTGCCCGCTGCCTAGACAGAGCTGATTCATCAAGACAAGGGAATTGCAATCGACAAAGAATAATTCACGCAGAGCCAGCTGTGCAGGAGACCGGAGTTTATTATCACTCAAATCGGTCTCCCAGAGCATTAGGGGAGCAGAGTTTTTAAGGATAACTTGGTGGGTGGGGGGAAGCCAGTGAGCCAGGAGTGCTGACTGGTCAGAGATGAAATCATAGGGAGTCGGAGCTGTTTTCTTGTGCTCAGTTAGTTCCTGGGTGGGGGCCACAAGATCAGATGAGCCAGTTTATTGATCTGGGTGGGGCCAGCTGATCCATCAAGTGCAGGGTCTGCAAAATATCTCAAGGGCTGGTCTTAGAAGCACTTTAGGGAGGGTCAGAATCTTGTAGCCTCCAGCTGCATGACTCCTAAACAATAGTTTCTAATTTTGTGTCTAATGTTAATCTTACGAAGGCAATCTAGTCCCCAGGCAAGAAGGAAGTCTGCTTTGGGAAAGCGCTATTACCGTCTTTGTTTAAATTATAAACTAACTTTCTCCCAAAGTTAGTTCAGCCTACGCCCAGGAATGAACAAGGACAGCTTGGAAGTTAGAAGCAAGATGGAGTCAGTTAAGTTAGATCGCTCACTGTCTCAGTCATAGTTTCGCAAAGGCGGTTTCACCACTAGGCCTCACCTGCAACATTTTGGGATCAAATTTCAACAGGAGATTTGGAGGGGACAGATACTCAAACTACATCAACCTGATTCTAAGCCCTGAGGTCTTGGTTTCTGTAGTTTTCTCTTCCACTCTGTAAGCTATGCTAGGATCCCACTCAGCAACTTGGATCAATAGATTTCCAATCCTTATTTTGTTTGTTCTTACAAAGCCAGTTTCCATGAAGTTTCTGGCATTTGCACCCTAAAGAATTCTGAATAATTCCCCACTCTTCATCTTTAAGAAGCAGAGTGAAGCTGACCTTCCCCATAATGTTGTCTTCAGTAGCATTGGAGAGGTGGCCAAGGGCAGCTCTTAGGACCTGGCAATTGGCTCTTCCCCTGGAAGGTTCTACAATGCTCAGAATTCACTATCTTCTCTGCATATATATACATGTGTAAATATGGACTTATTTACATGCACAAGAATCAAATTGAATAAATTTATTTCATCTTGGTATTTCTCATCCGATGAAGACATCCATGTTCATGAAACCACCACACAGGGTTGGCAAGAATTGCACTCAGGGTTCTGGACGGAAATATAGTTATAATTAAGCATTCATCAGACTGCACTCTGGCTCACTTCCTTGTTGCTAAAAGTCACGTACCACTGGATCCTGACCATCTGCAACCCTGTTGTTTTTATAGCTAGGATCTCTGACATTAGGGTCATAAGACTGTAAGAATTGATTTGTATCCCCATTGTTCCTATACACAGGATCTCTGACATTAGAATCATAAGGCTTTTGTTTAAGGATTGCTTAAGATGTTTTTCAGATCCATGAATTTCGGCAACCAATTTGAAGACTCACACAGAGGAATGGAATCAGCATGAGAATACAACTTCCTCATCTCCCTGTTCCATGACGCCCTGTGTTCTTCAACCCATCAATGATCCCCACACTTTGGCCCACTCCAAAACCCTTAGAAACTCTAACCCCAAATTCCTTGGGGAGACAGACTTGAGGTTTCTCCCCATCTCTTGGTTCACTGACCCTATGATTAAACCTGTTTCTCTGCTGCAACCCAGTGTCTTGATGTATTGACTTGCTGTATGTATCAGGCAACAAACCTGTCAGGCCTCTGAGCCCAAGCCAAGCCATCACATCCCCTGTGACTTGCACGTATACATCCAGATGGCCTGAAGTAACTGAAGATCCACAAAAGAAGTAAAAATAGCCTTAACTGATGACATTCCACCATTGTGATTTGTTCCTGCCCCACCCTAACTGATCAATGTACTTTGTAATCTCCCCCACTCTTAAGAAGGTTCTTTGTAATTCTCCCCACTCTTGAGAATGTACTTTGTAAGATCCACCCCTACCCGCAAAACATTGCTCTTAACTTCACTGCCTATCCCAAAACCTACAAGAACTAATGATAATCCACCACCCTTTGCTGACTCTCTTTTCGGACTCAGCCCACCTGCACCCAGGTGAAATAAACAGCCATGTTGCTCACACAAAGCCTGTTTGGTGGTCTCTTCACATGCACGTGCATGAAAAAACCTATTATGGTTATGTTCATACTATTCATAATATTTATGATTTTATGAATTTTCATCATACTTCTTATTCATCTTATCTCTCTTAATACTTCTTATTCATCTTATCTCTCCTAATCTTTCTATATTTCACAGAGAATTTGCTCACCCACTGAGAGTCATAAGGTCTTCCTTAGTTCAAGCTTTCCTAAACCTAGCTGATCATCAAAACCACCTGGGGAGGCTCAAAAATATAATGCCCATTTCCCACTCCAGTGCTAAATCTCATGGGGCCATTCTCTGTGCGCGCGCGCGCGCGCGCGCACACACACACACACACACACACACACACACACACACAGACATCCATACCCTAGTGAAACTAATGGTCTCTATCTATGAGGGTTTTCATTGCCCTGAAAATTATAATGTTTTCTTAATACCAAGAATATCATCATATCCTTCCTTTTGGCAGTGAAATGTGAAAAACGAGTATTTATTTGTCCTAAGAGTAATGTAGGAGGCTAAACATGCCATCCCAAATCCTCTTTAACATAAAGATAATTTTGAGCTGATTATTTTGAGAAACAGCAAACACAGAGAAGCTCTGAGGACAGAGCATAAGGTTTTTTTTGTAAGGGGAATTTACATCTATAACGGGAATCTCCATTTTAAGGGTGCCTCTCTCTCTGTACCAGGAGGAGAAGGATAACTCTTGTCAATGGAGAATGCACTGCCTTAAATCTGCATAACAAATCTTACCCTTGTTTACTATACCTTTCCTGGTCACCTTCCCAAAACTTGCCTCCCCTGCTCAGAGGCCCCAAATCACTTTTCCTTTGTCGGTATTATTAAAAGAAAAACTTCAGACAAATTAAATTTAAAAGAGATTGATTGAGTAAAGAATGATTCCCCAGTTGGGCAGCTCCGAGAACCAGAATAGGTTCAGAGCAACTCTGTTTGCTGTCACATGGTGGGATAATATTTATGGACAGAAAAAGGAAAGTGACATACAGAAAATGGAAATGAGGTACAAAAACAGCCACGTTAGTTACAACGTATTTGTCTTATTTGAGCATGGTTTGAACAATTGGCCATCAGTGATTGGCCAAAACTCTGTGATTGGCTCAAGAGTAGGTTACAGTCTGTTTACACATCCAGTTAGGTTACAGTTCCCTATTTTTGGAGAACTTTTAGTCCAAAGTTAAAAAATAAAAGGAGGCAGCTTTAACATAATTTAACCATATATAAGCCTAAATTCTATTTTTTTGTTTTTGTTTTGTTTTTTTTTAGATGGAGTCTCACCGTGTCACCCAGGCTGGAGTGGAGTGGCAGGATCTCGGCTCACTGCAACCTCCACCTCCTGGTTTCAAGAGATTCTCCAGCCTCAGCCTCCTGAGTAGCTGGGACTGTAGGTGCATGCCACCATGCCCAGCTAATTTTTGTATTTTTAGTAGAGATGGGTTTTCACCATGTTAGCCAGGATGGTTTCGATCTCCTGACCTCATGATCCTCCCACCTCAGCCTCCCAAAGTGCTGGGATTACAGGCATGAACCACCGCACCTGGCCCTATAAGCCTAAATTCTAAACACTCCTTTGAGTTACTCATTTCTGGGTATTTCCTTGTGTTACATGTGCAAATACACATGTTGTTACCAGTGGCAAATCCAACAGGTCTACAGCGAACTCAATCCTTGCCTCCTTGGAGGAAAGAATTCAGCCACAGGGCAGAAGTAGTTTCAAGGCAGAGGGAGAAACTGAGGCAAGTTTTAGAACAGGAGTGAGAGTTTATTGTAAACTTTTAGAGCAGGAATTCAAGGAAGTAAATTTCAACTTGGAAGAGGGCCAAGACAGTGACTTGATTGATCCAAGTGCCCCATCCAGCCCTTGACTTGAGATTTTATACACTGGCATTTTCATTTCTCCTCCCCTGATTTTTCCCTTGGGGTGGGCTGTCTGCATATGCAGTGGCCTGCCAGCACTTGGGAAGGGCCACATGCACGGTGTGTTTACTAAAGTTGTGCACATGTTCATTCCAGGTATTTTTCTCTTAGCAGTTAACAGTTGAGCATTCCTAGAGGAAGGTCATATACCAGCTGAACTTTGCCATTTTGCCTCTTAGTGTGCATGTGTGAGCCCACTAATCCAACTTCTGAGATCTTATCTGGAAGCAGCTCATCATCAGCTTCAGGTGTGTTCTGTCTACTGGGAGACTGTCTTCCCTGGCACTGGCTGTGACCAAGTGTTATTTTAGAGAGACAGTTTAACAATGGCCTGACCATCACCTGTGGTCACCTGACACTCCTAGGGCGTGGGGGTGGGTGGCTCTCCTGTCCTGCTCATGTCTGCCTAACTACCTACTCTAACTATGTTAACAAATTTCACTTGGTTTTCCTCTTATTAATCTCTTTTGTTACAAAGACTCAGCCAGGAATCCAGAAGGATGAAAGGAAGAAAGATTTTTCTTCTCTTCTAGTGACAAAATTAAAGCTGAGTTTTTGTCAACCTAAAAGGAAGAGGCTGTGGCACGAGACATAATTTAACGAGTTTTCTTGAGTCAAAATGAGGACAGTTGCCTGGAAAACTCAAAACCAAGTAACCTTGGATATCAGCTCATTGGGCCTTTGTTAGAAACAAGATTTTAAAAGCAAAAAAGGGGAATAGGCCAGGTGCTGTGGCTCATGCCTGTAACCCCAGAACTTTGGGGAGGCTGAGATGAGAGGATCACTTGAGGCCAGAAGTTTGACACCAGCTTAGGCAACATAACAAGAACCTATTTCTACAAAAATAATAAGCACAATCTTAATAATAAAATTACCCAGGCATGGTGGTGCATGCCTGTAGTCACAGATACTTGGGTGGCTGAGACAGAAGGATCATTCAAGCCCAGGAGTTCAAGGCTGCAGTGAGCTATGATCACGCCACTGCACTTCAGCCTGAGTGACAGAGTAAGACCCTGCCTCTTAAACAAAAAAAAAAACAAAAGTGTCCATTCTAAACATGGTTTTTTGTTTTTTTTTTAAATCATTTCAACTTTTATTTTAGATTCAGGCAGTACATGTGCAGGTTTGTTACATGGGTACATTACATGATGCTGCAGTTTGGGTATAAACAATCCCTCATCCAAGTAGTGAGCACAGCACCCAGTATTTAGTTAGTCAACTCTTGCCTCTCCCTCTCCCTCCCCACCAGTGGTCCCCAGTGTCTGCTGTCACCATCTTTATGTCCATGAGTACCCAACATTTAGCCTCCACGTATAAGTGCAAACATGCGGTGTTTGGTTTTCTGTTCTTGCACTAAACATGGTTTTGATATTTTTAGGCCAGTTGAAACTATCAATAAAGGAAAATATAAATAAATGTTCAAAATGGAAACTTGTCAATACTGTTTTCAAAAGTACCTATAATTTTCATATTTTGAAATAAAATCTTGATATTAAATACACCATTGCAAAAATATTGAGATAAAATATTTGCATGAATAAAGAAAAGCAAAACCTATTAATACATAATGATAAAGTACTATGCCAGCGTTAAAATAAAAACTTGAGACAAATTAAATCAACAGAGCTTAACTGAGCAAAGAATGATTCATGAAGGGGGCAGGCCCCAAAATCAGAACATGTTCAGAAAGACTCTGTCATTACAACCAACAAGTAGTCAAACAACATTAATGCACAGAGAAAAGGAAATGAGGTACAGAAACAGCTCCATTGGTTGCAACTCAGTGCAGCCTTATTTGAACCTGGTTTAAACAGTTAACCACCTACGATTGGCTGAAGCTCGGCTGCTCTGATTGGCTGAGACTCAGCTATTTGTTACAAAACCATACTTATAAATTAGGCTTTCGATTTGTTTACATACTGAGTTAGACTGCAGTTTGTTATACAGAACTGGTATGGAGGCCTCTAAAGCCGAAATTTAGTTTGATTTAACACCAGTCTAACAATCAATATTAAAAGTAATCTGAAATTAGAATAACCATAAAACAGAAGCTCAGGATTAACCTGAAGGCAAAGCTATAAACCAGGTTAAAAGCATATAAATTAGTCTTGTAATTCTAAAGATAATAATTATAGAAGTAGCTGACATTTACTGAATGCTAACTCTACGCTTGACATGTATTCATTATAATGTTATCTCTAATACAATCTTTATAATCACCCTCTGAAATGGAGTTTCAATAACTATTTCCATTATTCAAATGATGAAGCTGGGTTAAAGATATTAACTAACTTACCTAAGTTAGATAAGTCCATACTTACCTAACTTACATGTACTCGTACAGTGTATACCTAATACAAGTATGGGCCGGGCACGTTGGCTCATGCCTGTAATCCTAGCATTTGGGGAGGCCGAGGCAGGCAGATCACATGAGGTCAGGAGTTTGAAACCAGCCTGGGCAACATGGTGAAAACCTGGCTCCATTAAAAATACAAAAAAAAAATTAGCTGGGCGTGGTGGCGGATGCCTGTAGTCCCAGCTACTCCGGAAGCTGAGGCAGGTCAATTGCTTGAGCCTGGGTGGGGGAGGTTGCAGTGAGCCAAGATCATACCACTGCACTCCAGCCTGGGCAACAGAGCAAGACTCCATCACAAAAACAAAACAAAATGAAACAAGTATCCTTGTACTAAGTGCTTTAGCCACAATTTGAATCCCAACCAGCTTGACTACAAAGACCTCTCTCATGAGTAAAATAATTTGGGAGCAAGATATGATCATTATAGCCTCCAATTACTAAGCATCTAATACCACATAGCTTGAGAGTTACATAGGGCTTAGCATAGTGCCTACTATCCTCCAGGCAGTCAATATTTGTTGAATGAATATTTACTTCCTACTTCCAAAAAGCATTTCCTTATATTGTTCTTAACTATTCAGCACATTGGTGTGGCTAGCCCAGGGTACCTTCCCATCTAGATAAAATGAGAGTCGCAGTGACCGAGATATTCTTCCTTGGCTCTCTTGGTTCTAGGCTTCATGCAGACCACTCACTGCCCGTTTCTTCTGCCAGTGCATTGCTGCAATAGTATACTGTTTGGATGAGTTACAACTTTCTTCACATTAATTACTCTGATTAACTCCTACGAAGGTTGTGCTTGCAGTATAGCTCCTCTGACTACACTAGGAAGTCCCCTTCTCCTCAACAAGGATGTTAGTGGCCCTTTCTTGGGGTGGGCTATCTTTACCCTTCCCTGCTCTGACCCATTTATGATGATTCTTTAATTTCAGAGGATTGGCCTCATCCTTAAATCCCAACTATAAGCCTTATATGGAGCTTCTAGTCCACTATAATGGGCTGGGCTTTTTTGTTTGTTTGTTTGTTTGTTTTTTCCTTTCCTTTTTCAAGAATTGGGGTGAGGCTTAGTCATTTACTTTTAAAGACTTAGTAAGTTAGTAAAGTAAAATGGGTGAATTAGTAAATATTAGAGAGGAACATCTAATTTTAAGCAGAGCAGATGACATACAATTATTCTAAAAGAAAAACAAGAAGGGCAGCGGAAAAGAAGGAAATTTAAAAATAGAGAAAGAGGAAGAAGACCAGCAAGAGCCTAAAGAAGCGAAATCTGTGAAACCTAAAAAGGAAAAGTTTTTACGTATTGTTCTTTCCGAAGAAAACCAGGGTTTGTGTTAAAGGCCAGACTTTCGAGATGTTTCTGATATACTAAAGAACAAGTAAGAATGGAAAGGAGGCAAGGCGCGGTGGCTCACGCCTGTAATCCCAGCAGTTTTGGGCGCCCAGGCGGGTGGATCACGAGGCAGAAATCAAGAACATCTTGGCCAACATGGTGAAACCCTGTCTCCTCTACTAAAAATACAAAAATTAGCTGGGCATGGTGGCATGTGCCTGTAATCCTAGCTACTTGGGAGGCTGAGGCAGGAGAATCACCTGAACCCAGGAGGCAGAGGTTGCAGTGAGCCAAGATAGCACCATTGCACTCCAGCCTGGGTGACAAGAGTGAAACTCCACCTCAAAAAAAAAAAAAAAAAAAAAAGAAGAATGAAAAGGAATGGCCAGGTGCGGTGGCTCACTCCTGTAATCCCAGCACTTTGGGAGGCCGAGGCGGGTGGATCACCTGAGGTCAGGAGATCGAGACCATCCTGGCTAACACGGTGAAACCTCCTCTCTACTAAAACACAAAAAATCAGCCAGGTGTGGTGGCATGCACCTGTAGTTCTACTTATACGGGAAGCTGAGGCAGGAGAATCGCTTGAACCCAAGAGGCAGAGGTTCAAGCCGAGATCACGTCACTGCACTCCAGCCAGGGCGACAGAGCAAGACTCTGTCTCAAAAAAAAGGAAAGGAAATAGAAAAATAGCAGCCTTATCAAAATATAGAAGGTTCAGCAGCTGTGTACACCTGTTGAGAAGCTGATGGGGACCGGAATCCTAAATTATTGCAACAGTTAATTCTACTTTTGTATCTTTTTATATCTTTGTCATGGGAAACGAGTTAATGTGTATTTTATTCACTTTATTCCCAGATACTTCAATATTATGATATATTTTTCTTCTTAAAGATATTTTACAGCCAGGTGCAGTGGCTCATACCTGCAATCCTAGCACTTCGGGAGGCCAAGGCAGGAGGATTGCTTGAGGCCAGGAGTTCGAGACCACCCTGGGAAACATAGTAAAACCCCATCTCTACAAAAATTAAAAAGAAAAATTTTAAGTAGCCAGATGTAGCCAGGCATAGTGGCAGGCGCCTGTAATCCCAGCTACTTGGGAGACTGAGTCAAGAGAATCACTTGAACCTGGGAGGCAGAGGTTGCAATGAGCCAAGACCTCACCACTGCACTCCAGCCTGGGTGACAGAGCGAGACTCCATCTCAAAAAAAAAGAAAGACAATTAGCCAGATGTGGTGGTATGTGCCTGTAGTCCCAGCTGCTCAGGAGGCTAAGGTGGGAGGAACATTTGAGCTAGGAAGTTCAGGCGGTTGAGCCATGATTGTGCCACTGCACTCCAGCCTGGGTGACATATCGAGATCCTGTTTCTAAAAATATATGCAGATGTTTTATTTTAAACATCTGTGTGTGTGTGTGTATGTGTGTGTGTATTATGTAAACCATTTCTTTTTTGTTTTTTATTTTAGTAATTTTTTTTTTCATTTTTACTTTGCAGGAGCAAGATCTAAACCATTTCTAATAAATGAAGTTAAAGAAGACTGTGATTTTTATGCCAAACTCCATTTTTCCCTCTTCTTGGGAACTGTCTGGATGGTATTTTCCAGTTGGATGTGCTGCACGTGACATGTTCTGGAGAGAGCAGAAGTGACAGACGCCACCTCAGCATGTGCACTCTGCTCCCTCTCATCAGACCAGACATGACTACAGACTGTCATTGTGCAGAAGGTGACAGTCCCTGGGGGGCAGAGCTGCCCTTCTGACTGCACTGCTCCCCTTGGAAGAGTTAAGTGAGAAAGAAAGAAACTTTTTGTTATAGCAGCTTGGCCTAACACAACTGTACTGTCTATGCTTGCAAGGTCACGTTGCCTTCCAAATCAGTAGAGCCATCGCGGCAAATCACACTCTGAGCAGTACTAGCTTCTGCCTACAGTCACGATCAAGAAAATGAACAGGGACCAGGTGGGGTGGCTCACACCTGGAATCCCAACTTTGGAAGGCTGAGTTAGGCAGATCACCCGAGGTCAGGTGTTCGAGACCAGCCTGGCCAACATGATGAAAGCTTATCTCTACTAAAAACACACGCACACACAAACACACACAAACACACGCAAATTAGCCAGGTGTGTTGGCAGACGCTTGTAATCCCAACTACTTGGGAAGTTGAGGCAGAAGAATCGCTTGAACCCAGGAGGCAAAGGTTTCAGTGAGCCGAAATTGCATCACTGCACTCCAGCCTGGGCGACAGAGCAAGACTACATCAAAAAAGAAAAAGAAAACAAGAAAGAAAGAAAGAGAAAGAGAGAGAGAGAAAGAGAAAGGAAGGAAGGAAGGAAGGAAGGAAGGAAGGAAGGAAGGAAGGAAGGAAGGAAGGAACTGGTAATGAAAAATCAGTCAGAGAATGACTTTATATTGACAAGTTTATATTGACAAGTTTAACATACATCTTAAATCTGTCTCTTCTTTGGCCTAGAATTCTGTGTAAGCAGTTACTGAGGTTTCGGTACCTACTGTTTATGGAGACATGAGCATTGTTTAGATTTAGTAAACAGCAAAAGCATTAACTGTTTATTCCCTTTAGGTCTAGTCAGTGCTTTTCAGCAAGATGGCAAAGGTAGCAAAGTAACAGCTAAGAATTTCCTGACTGCAGTTGTCCACTTAACTGTGGCATTTCCTTCTTCTTTCGTTCCTATTACATCACTAGTGTAGCTTGTATTTCACTGTGAGAAACAAAAAGCGTGAATGTTTCCTGTTTGTCATCAGAACTGAAAGCCTTATTTGAATTTATCTTACAAATTGACTGCAGAAGTGTCACATGACACATTGGTATAAATTCCCTTCACAAGTACCTATTTTGCACACCAGCTTTTTGTACCTATAAGCTAAGAAATACAACTACTTTGTCCATCCCTAAAATTATTCAAACAGACAACCTCTAATCTAGGTGGAACATTTGTTTAGACTCAATCATTACTTCAAGCATATATCATTAAGGCTAAATCTCTATACACTGACATTCTACTTGGCATCCTCACTTGCTAAAATAATTCCAGTTTCAAGTATAAAATGTCCTGTGTGTGTAGGTTTTTTCCCCTACTTTAACTGCTTTAAAATATAAAATTCATAGACCCCACAGGAATTAATTCATCCTTTGCTTTTTTCAAATTGTCAAAATCTACTTGTCAGCATATTAATGCAAGGGTATTTACTGACTCTATTAAACACTAATCAATATGAGAAAAAATATTTTACTCTAATGAAAAAGGAAGTTCAGGAGGAAGACTAACTTTCTTACCTATGTAGATGTAATATACACACATTAAAGAAGAATTAGGGAGAGAAAATTCAAAGATAACTGTCATATCTGTACCGGACGCATCTGTGCACACTTTGATTTGGAGTCTGCATGAGGACCTAATATTTGAATTCCCTTGTAATTACCGCAGCTTTGTGGACCAGAAAACTAATAAAAAATGTATAAACAAACTAGGTGTGGTAGCTCACACCTGTCATTCCAGTGACTTGGTAGGCTGAGGTGGGAGGATTGCTTGAGGCCAAGAGTTAAAGACCAGCCTGGGCAACACAGTGAGACCCTGTCTCTATATTTAAACATATATATATCAGCCATGGTGGCTCATGCCTGTAATCCCAGCACTTTGGGAAGTCAAGGTGGGTGGACTGCTTGAGGCCAGGAGTTCAAAACCAGCCAGGACAACATAGTGAGACCCCATCTCTACAAAAGAAAAAAAAAATTAGCCAGATGTGGTGGCCCACACCTGTGGTCCCAGCTACTCCAGAGGCTGAGGTAGGAGAATTGCTTGATCCCAGGAGGTCGAGGCTGCAATGAACTGTGACTGCACCACTGCACTCCATCCTGGGTGACAAAGAGCAAGACCCTATCTCAAAAAGGACATAATTAAAAATTTATAAACAGGCTGGGAACAGTGGCTCATGCCTAATCCCAGCAACTCAGGAGGCCCAGATAGGAAGATTGCTTGAGCCCAGGAATTCAAGACCAGCATGGGCAACATAATGCTAGCTACTCAAGAGGCTGAAGCAGGACGATTGCTTAAGCCCAGGAGTTTACGGCTGCAGTGAGCTATGATCACGCCACCGCACTCCAGCCTGGGTGACAGGTCAAGATCCTAGCCCTAAAAAAAAAAATACAATAAATAAAAAAAAAAAGGTATAAATAGAAGAAAGACAACAGCAGGGACACACTATGAAGGATTATATATGGTAGGGAGGAAACAAAATATTAACTAGGCCATGACAAATCAGCTCCAATTTTGAGATTTAATATAGCCAACCCATTTGTTTTCTGAATATGTCACTGCACACACTCAGAGATCCCTTAATCAGACAAATCCAGGATACCACTAAACAATGAAAAAAGAAGACAAGGCAAGCAGCAAAAAAGCACTCTGGTTGACCAAAAACTAAAGCTTAAACACATTACTTACAGCAGAGCATCACAGTTCTGAATTAGAAACTCATTTCTAGTATGACAGGTTGTGTTATTTAAAAAAGAGAAAACCATTTCTTATGATTTTAGAGTCAATTCTGACAAGCACATTGATTAGTGTCTCTAACTGAACATAGAAAATCATAGTGGGAATTGAGGTTGGAAAGTGACAATGGTAAGAGCTTTTATAATGCGAGGAAGTAGACAGGAAAAGTATAATCACAAAGATAAAATTCCCAGCACTAGCTGGGCGTGGTGGCTCAGGCCAGTAAACCAAGCACTCTGGGAGGCTGAAGGGTGAGGATCACTTGAGCTCAGGAGTTTGAGACCCCATCTCTACCAAAAATAATAATAAAAAAATTAGCGAGGGAGAGGTGTGGGATGGTGGCATGCACCTGTGGTTCCAGCTACTCAGGATGTTGAGATGGAAGGATCGCTTGAGCCCGGGAATTCAAGGCTGCAGTGAGCCATGATCATGCCACTGCACTCCAGCCTGGGCAACAGAGTGAGATCCCATCTTGAAACAAATTAAAAAAAAAAAAAGTCCTAGCACTCTGAGATCCCTTTAAGTACAAATGAACTGTCACATTTCAGCCATCTGCAAGCACTAAAGCACTAAATGATTAAACCATATTTAGTTTTTTTGTTTTTTTTTTGAGACGGAGTCTCGCCCCGTTGCCCAGACTGGAGTGCAGTTGCGCTATCTCAGCTCACTGCAACCTCCGCCCCCCGGGTTCCAGCGATTCTCCTGCCTCAGCCTCCCGAGTAGCTGGGACTACAGGTGTGAGCCACCACGCCCAGCTAATTTTTGTATTTTTTAGTAGAGGCAGGGTTTCCCCATATTGGCCAGGCTGGTCTCAAACTCCTGACCTTGTGATCTGCCCACCTTGGCCTCCCAAAGTGCTGGGATTACAGGCGTGAGCCACTGTGCCCAGCCTCATATTCAGTTATTTTATAAAGAAAAATTAGTACACCATAAATTACTTTTTTTTTTTTTTTTTGAGACGGAGTTTCACTCTTGTTGCCCAGGCTGGAGTGCAACGGTGTGATCTCAGCTCACTGCAACCTCAACCTCCCGGGTTCAAGCGATTCTCCTGCCTCAGCCCCTATAGTAGCTGGGACTACAGGCACCCGCCACCACGCCCAGATAATTTTTCTATTTTTATTAGAGATGGGGTTTCACCAATGTTAGCCAGCTGGTCTTGATCTCCTGACCTTGTGATCCGCCACCTCGGCCTCCCAAAGTGCTGGGATTACAGGCGTGAGCCACCGCGCCCGGCCTTTTGTTTCATATTTTACACAAAAAGGAACTGTTCAATTATTTAGAAAATTCAATTGTGAGAAACAAGGCTAGATAAGGTTTTACTGTAAGTTAACTGATGACAGTGAACTCTCCCTGACCTTTACTCATAGAATCATTGTCATTGATCTAATTTACAACAGGAAGAAATACATTTTTTTCCAACAGCTGTTCTGATCTGATTTACACTACTTGCCTTGGTCCCACTGACCAATGACATAAGCTTGCAGCCAGTATTATTGAACACAGCAGTCGTAACTCATGCTTGAAATCTGTTCAACATTTCCTTCTCAACCAGGCTACAGAGAAAACAGTCACACTAGGAATTGCTAGAGACTGGATGTGGGATGGCAGTGACCCCCAAAGCAAAACAGAGCAAGTCATTTTGGAGAAGGCAACACCTTCAAGATCACAGCAGATTAGTGAAGTTCTATTTTTAAATAATTACAGTTGACCTGGTTTCTCAAGATGTTTGGAAGATGACAGAAAGATAAAATCAATGAATTCTCATTTTTGGTTTCAAAAACCATTTTGTCAGTTACAGAATTCAATACTGCAATATCTTTTTCTATTATTTGAGTTTAAAACGCGCATAATTACTTTGTCATTAATAATTCCCAGTACCTTTAGAGTCAAGTTATTTTCATTTAATTTCACATTCTCCAACTAAATATTTTCCAAAGCTCCATTTCCCTTCAATTAATTCCTTCATTCAAAAATTTGGCGGGGTGTAGCGACTCATGCCTGCAATCCCAGCACTTTGGGAGGCCGAGGTGGGTGGATCACTCAAGGTCAGGAGTTGGAGACCAGCCTGAACAACATGGCAAAACCTCGTCTCTAATATTAAAAATACAAGGCCAGTCACAGTGGCTCACGTCTGTAATCCCAGCACTTTGGGAGGCCAAGGCAGGCGGATCACGAGGTCAGGGTATCGAGACCATCCTGACTGACATGGTGAAACCCCATCTGTACTAAAAATACAAAAAAAAAATTAGCTGGGCGTGGTGGCACGCACGTGTAGTCTCAGCTATTCAGGAGGCTGAGGCAGGAGAATCACTTGAACTCGGGAGGCGGAGGTTGCAGTGAGCCAAGATCATGCCACTGCACTCCAGCCTGGGTGAGAGCGAGACTCCATCTCAAATAAATAAATAAATAAATAATAAATAAAAATACAAAAAATTACTTGGGCATGGTGGCAGGCACCTGTAATCCCAGCTACTCGGGAGGCTGAGGCAGGAGAACTGCTTGAACCCGGGAGGTGGAGGTTGCACTGAGCCAAGACCACACAATTGCACTCCAGGTTGGGCGACAAAGCAAGACTCTGTCTAAAAAAAAAAAAAGAAAAAAGCAATTTACTGAGCACTCGCTCTGCTAGGTACTTGGGTTTGAACCCAGGGATTCAACAGGGAATGTGCCTATTGAGCTTAGTAAATTTGGGAAATCAAACTGAATTAAATGTCATCTAGTTTCTCAGTGCCTCTTTGAGATAGACATTCTAGGGATGTACAAAAAAATGACATCTGAACTTAGGATGTAACAAATAACTATTTAATGTGAACATGCTACATACTTGAATTTATCCAGTACATTTACCTACATATCAAATTATCAAACGTCCAAAGGATTACAATCTATTTTTCTTCCCTAATGCCTTTCTTCCACATGAGCACTAAATGTCATGGTAAAGTGCTAATGATTCTCAAAATGCAAAACTTGGAAAAAAATTGTATAACTTTTTTTTTAGGAAAAGCACATAAGATAAACTTGAACAAAGTAATGAAATTATCTCCAGATTTTCTTTTTCAAGGCTGAGTGTGTGATTCACACCTGTAATCCCAGCACTTTGGGAGGCTGAGGTGGGAGGATTGCCTGAGGCCAGGAGTTCAAGACCAGCCTGGGCAACACAGGGCGAACCCCCGCCCCACCGACCTCTATGAATAATAAAAAATTAGCTGAGCATGGTGGTACATGCTTATAGTCCCAGCTACTCAGCAGCCAAGGTGAGAGGCTAACTTGAGCCCAGGAGGTAGAGGCTGCAGTAAGCCATGATTGTGCCACTGCACTCCAGCCTGGGGGACACGACAACACCCTGTCTCAAAAATAATAAACAAAATGTTAAAATTAAATTTAAAAACAGGACTGGGCAGGGTGACTTATGCCTGTAATCCCACCACCTTGGGAGGCTGAGGCAGGAGGATCACTTAAGCTCAGGAATTTAAGACCAGCCTAGGCAACATAGTGAGACTACATCTCTACTAAAAAATTTTTTTAAAAATTAGCTGGGTGTGATGCTGGACGACCGTTGTAGCCCCAGTTACTTAGGAGGCTGAGGTATTCGGGAGAATCACTTGAGCTCTGAGGTTGAGGCTGCAGTGAGCCATGACTGTGCCATTGCACTCTAGCCTAGGTGACAGAGGGAGACCCTGTCTCAATAAAAACGTAAGAAAAAAGAAAAGAAATCAGGACTTGGAATCCTAATTTGAAAATGAAACAGAACACAGAGTAAGCTACCTAAAACAGTAATAGGCTTACAGAAGGCTTTTTAGGAATTCTTGTGTGTTCTACTCATACTTGTATAAAATTTTAAGCATCTCCAAATGTTATACAGCTCTAAATAAAGTGGAGAAAAGGGGTAGCCAGGTAATTCAAATAATAGAATTTCTTTCTTCCCAAATTACTTACTGAAGCCATGAAGCAAAACTTACCTACACAAAAATCCAGAGATCTGTGATTAGTAAACATTTAAACCGTTGACAAATTCTTTCCTTGATATTCAACGGCATCCTTCCAAGAATGTGGTTAACCAATGAACTCAATCAAGTTCAGTTGTGTCTATGACTGTGATGTCTAAATAACTGAAAAGTAAAATATCCAAAATAGCTGCTTTTCTTATGCATTACACATACCCCAACATTATGCACACAGGTGCACCAACTTAGTCCATTTGTGCTACTGCAACAAAATACCTATAATTTATAAAGAACAGAAATTTGTATTTCTCACAGTCTGTTGGCTGGGAAGCCCAAGATCAAGGTGCTCGCAGGTTCCACATCAGGCGGAGGCCCCTTCCTCACAGATGACACCATCTAGGTGTCCTCCTGTGGCAGAACAACAGAACAGCAAAATGGGCCTAAGCTAGTTGCTTCCAGACCTTTTTATAAAAGGCAACTAATTCATTCATGAAGACAGAGCGCTCATGCCTTAAATCACTTCCCCAAAAGCCCAACCTCTTAATACCACCATAATGGGGACGAACACATGAATTTGGGGTGGTGGGACACATATATTCAAACTATAGCATGCACTTTTCAACATCTTAAAACAGATTCCCGTGGTCTCAAGAGGCCAGACTAGACAAAAATTAGGGCATCTCTTTGGTTACTCTCTAAAACGTTAAACTCTATACTGAGAGTGAGTGGAATACAAAAGTATGACATTTAATTAGACATTCTGCTGGCTGACACAAAACTTGCACTTCCTTTTTCATTAGCCAATAGGTACAGCTATAACTGTAGACAGAAATTATAATTAGAAATAATGAGAGCAATTTCTTGGATTACTCCACTTTTAAATTATATTTTATTCAGACTTATCCTTTGAAATTACTCATGATTAGCCTATCCTCTTCATGTGATAATTTAGGAAACCTCTCTATTGCTGTGGCATCTTTATGGAAAAAAAAAATTGTGTACATGCATACATGCAAGAAAGTTTCCTACAAACATCACAATTTAAAAACCACTCTATCCAAAAAGGCATTGTAAAAGTATAATTTTGCATTTTATTCATTCATTCCATCAGCTGGGAATTGCTCTATTGTACAAATACAGTTTTGTACAAAAAAATCACAAAATGTTACAAAATAAAAAAAGTACAAACTGCATTACTTAATAAATATGACTAAAAGTAGTTAAAGTGGCAATGAGATTGATTTTAAGTTGGAAACATTGTTTGACCCAGCAAACCATACAAGCTCTGTTTACAGACATTTCTACATCAATACAGGGCAATCCTATTTTGCCTTTTGAAAGAATGTAAAGAAATATTAAGACAGTGTTCTCCTGCTATAACTGCCAAGGTTGGCTCCAGACATTTATGCCATTAGTTTATAAATCTCTTAGCTGGATTCAAGAAGTTATATAAAGCAGGAGGCTTATCTTGTCACAGAGTTTTATACCATGTTAACATTCTCTTACAACAACGTGACAAATGTAAATAAAAACAACTGAGAGCACCAGACAATCTACTCTACACATCAACCAGGGTACAGAATAATCATTCTGCCATCAGCAAATATCAGACTTTCATTCAAGTAAGACCTGCTACTATCCCTTAAAAGAGGAAAAACAAAACAAAAACCAAAAAAAAAACACAAAAAAACACCTTCCCACAACCTTCCATTAAGTAATTTTCTTTAAAAGATTCGCCATTTCTAGAAAAATAATGACTTCCAAAACAACAGCTCTGTTTCATCAAAATGGAATGGGCCAAACATCTGGTAACAAGAATGCATCAATATCCATTTGAAATAATTATCTAAGAATTGTGAAATTCAAATTTCAACAACATAAAATAACTACCAAATCACAAACTCTGTTCAAAATAATACATTTCATATAAAGCACTTCTCTGGATTTACGCCTGAAAGCTGTTTGTCAAAATGGAACACGTCATAGATGAAGGTACACCAGTTTTTAAAAATGTTGTGCAAAAATACATTTTTATAGAAAATAGACTACCAGGAATGAACAAATTTACACTGTGAGAAATCAGCTTGCAAATTAAGTAATGCTCACTTTATACAGCAAATTATAAATAGCAGTAAAATCACCCAAAGCTATCATGAAACATCATTTAGGTGCCCAGCAACCTCCAGCTCTGAGAAAACATTCAAAAAGATGATTAAGGCATTACACCTACAGTAAAATCTACTAGCAAGTTTGAAAGTGCTATTACCCTGATTAAAGTTCATGTGATTCTCCAAACACAAGTTATATATGCAATTATTCCCAGGGTGTAAGGTTTTGAGACATTTCAAGAGCATGCATTTTGTTCAATATACATTTTAGACAAGGATATGGCCATAGATTTGGCAAGTTCTTCGTCGCGTTTCCTTTGCACTTGAGTTTGTTTGCACCAGTTGTCGTACTCTGGGTTAGGATAGGAGTGATCAAATACAGCATCATAGTGTCCGTTACTGAGCCAACTGAGCCAAATACTAGGCCTCAGGGAATCCTCTGGGCCCAAATAATGAATCATGGTAGACACCGTGGGACTCTCCAGCCTCCCTCCAGTAGTTAAATGGATATTCACATTCAGCATCTGCCCCATGGCCAGCAACTCCGGGTACCCGGCCCATGCCCCGTCTTGGGCAGCAGCGATGATAAACTCCCCCACGTCGCCCTCAATCAGGGGGCTGAAGTGGTCGAGATGGTCGGCGATGTAGTGCACCGTCTGCTCCCTCAACTCCCGGTGCAGGCTCTGGTCCCCATACACCGTCTTGCTGACAGCTCGGTAGAGGCAGTTGCCGTCTGGAATGATGTGGAATCGGTACTTATTCCTCTGCCGCAGATACTTGTCCTGCTTCTCCACCTCGGCCAGGTATAGGGCCAGCTTCTCGTCTCTGGGATCCGACCTGGAGACGATCACCGGCTCCGCCGCACTACTCGGGGCGGCCTCGATGCTCCCGGCGGGGGGTGCCTCGGCCTCTGGGTCGGGCCTCCGCGCCGCGTCCCCACCGGGCGCGTCGCAGCGATCGCCGCCCCTCTCCCAGCCCCTGGGGCCCCTCTCCGCCAAGTGCTCTTCGCCCCACGGACCGGGGCCGGGATCGGGGCTCCCCGGGGTCGCCGCGGGGCCTCGGTGCTTGGCGGCGGCCAGGGCCTGGCGGTGCTCGCTCAGTCGGAAGTTCCGATCGGGCCCCTCCCGTGTCGCGTCCAAGCCCGCGGGCTCGGGGCAGTCGGGCCGCAGCAGCTCCTCCAGGAGCCAGGCCGAGGAGCCCCGCCGCGGCGGGACCGGGGCTGCGGGCGCCGGGGCGAGCAGGAGGCAGCGGCCGCGCGGGGCAGCGGCGGAGCCCGCGGCGCCGGGAACGGGATCGGGCCCGTGCAGCAGGAGCCTGTCGGCGCCCAGGGCCCGCACGGTGATCTGTGCGGTGGACGTGTAGTGCGGCGGCAGCGGCGGCTTGCAGGACGCGCCGGGCGGGCCGGCGGCGGCGGAGGCGGGCGCGGCGGCCCCGGACACCACCTCGAAGCAGGAGGAGAAGGCGGGCATCTTGGCGGCGGGGACAGCGGCGGCTTCCCGGTGCTCGGCGGCCGCGGCGGGCTGGCACTCACCGGTCTCGGGCTCGGGCGCGGCGCCGGCGGCTCCCGGGGGCTGCAGCGAGACCTTGAAGGGGGTAGCGGCGGCGGGTGGCGCGGGGGCGGCGGCCGTGGGACCCGGGGCCCCGGCGGGGTAGTGGGTGCAGACGCTGCTGTAGAGCTGCATGTCCCTGCCCGCCGCTCGGCCCCTTATAGGCGCGGCGAGCCCCGGAGCGGGGGACACACCCTCCGGGCCCGGGGGAGGGGGCCGGCGGAGCGCGGTGACCCAACGGCCCCAGAATAGAGATGAGCGAAAGGCAGCCGGCCGCCGCGAGTCAGCAGCCGCGAATAGCGCCCGGGTCCCGGCCAAATTCCTGCTGCGCCACAGCGCAGGGGGGCGGGGACGGGACGCGAGCTCGACCCCTGCCGGTGCGCTCGGCCCGCAGACCCGGGGCGCCGCGCCCGCTGCAGCTGCTTCGGCCCGCGGCGGCCGCTGGGGACTCACGGAGGAAGCCGCCCGCCCCGTTGGAGCGCGTCCCGCCGGCGAGGAGGAGCGCGGTGCGCGCGGAGGCCCGGGAGGCGGGGCCGCGGTTGTTTACCTCAGGCCTCGCGGCCGCGTCACGTGGACTCACTGGAATGCGCGGCTCTTTGCGGCGCCCGATTCAGTCGCGCCTGCTCGCCCCGCCCACTCCGGCCCGCGCCCCGCCCCCTACCGCGCTCCGCCGACGTCACGGGCGTGGCCCTCGGCGCGCGAGCGCGCGCGGGCGGGGCGAGGCCGGGGGCGCGGAGGCCTGAGCAGTCCTGGGATCCTGGCTGGGCCTCCCGCCCACGTGACTCCCACGGACCGCTTCCCCCACCTGGGCACTGGGCACTGGTTTCTGCGCTGCGCCACTCTCCTCAGCGGCTGCAGTGGATGCTGCGGGATGGGAGCTGCTTGGGGCGAGTTAGCATGCTCGGAAAGCTTGCGTGGCAGGAAAGCTTCCGGCATGGGTGTGGAGAACGGAATGCTGCCTTAAAGTCTGTTTGGCCTCTGCTGGTCATGGGCTACCATCCCTGCTTGCATTCACTACTGCCTCTTTTCTTTTATCTTTTTAGAGATGGGGGTCTTACCTGTCTCCGAAGCTAGAGTGTAGTGGCGCAGTCCATAGCTCACTGCAGCCTTGACTTCCCGGGCTCAAGCGATCCTCCCGCCTCAACCTCCAGAGTAACTGGAAACCACAGGTGTGCACCACCGCACCCGGCTAATTTTCTTTCTTTCTTTCTTTCTTTTTTTTTAAGGCGAGGGTCTCACCACAGTTGCCCAGTCTGGTGTCGAACTACTGGCCTCAAGCTGTTTCCCGCCTCGACCTCCTAAAGTGTTGGGATTATGGGTCCTAGCCACCACTCGTGGAACCGCCGCGTCTTTTCCTTTTTTTTTTTTTCTTTTTCTTTTTGAGGCAAGGTCTTGCTCTGCCTTCCAGGCTGAGTGCAGTGGCGCCATCATGTCCCACTGCGACCTCGACCTCCAGGGCCCAAGTGATCCCCCTTCCTCAGCCTTGCCTTGGGCAGGGATTACAGGTGCCCAGCTAGTTTTACCACTGTGTCTTTTCTATGCATTTCCTTGGACTCACCGGTAAGGGTGAGTCCGCTAGTGGATTCTCTTGCCTTGCTAAGACAAAACCAACTTTGCACCTCTGACCTATGCCATTTGGCAAATATCTGGCTTGGGGGAAAGCAAGGAAGCCTTTTAGGCTTTTATAAACAAGCTTTCTCAGAATACCAAATGCAGTATCACTTAGGGCCCTTTGAGAATAGGTGTGAATGCTAGCCAGAGGTCAAAAGCGGTGGAGAAAGTCGTGACCTGCATTCCGGGGCAAGATAGACTATAGAAAATACTTCTACCGAGTCTTTTTGTAATACCCGCCTTTGTAAGGGAAAGCCAGAGGTAGTGGGAGACTTTTGCTATATTCTGAGCTGTGATCAAATGCTAAATTAACAGGGCCTAAACATTCGAATTGAACCCAGAGGTTGTCCTAACATTTTAGAGATAGGGAGACTGAACCTGTAGGTGATGTAGGCTGTACTCCGGTCCCCACCTTTCCGGTGGAATGTGAATTCCAGGAATTGAGAGACTTGGGTCTTGCTCTTATATTTCCATCCCCTAACACCGTGCTTGGCACATAATTGGACCTAATTAATATTTACTAAGTGAATGAGTAGATGGAAAGCGAGTTTCCAAGGTTTGTCAGACAGTGGTGAAGCCAAGATTACTATCCAGGTCCCTTGACCCTAGCCAGGGCTTTTAATTATCTTTGGGCAGTATGACTGGCAGGGTCCCAGCTCAGGTCACTCCAGCCGCTTATGTAAATTAACTCAGAAGAAGGTAAATGACTGTCTAACTTTTCAAATTCTGGTAACTACCCCATTGGGAGCTTGAAGCTCTCATGGCTAATTAGAAAAAGGAAATTACCATCCTTGGATTTCATCACTGATTTGTTGAGCATCTGTTGCTCTGTGCATGAAGCACTTCACGCTTAACTCTTTCATTAGCTGGTGTTCTGAAACAGAAGACAAGACTGTTAACAAGGCCGTCACCAAATAATATTTACCATACCCACCACGTGCCTGGCAGGACTAGCATAACTGGAGCCTGAAGGGAGATAAGGAAAATATTAGAATTTAAACCCTAAAGCAAGAGTAGATATTAACAGGTTGGGGTAAATGCAGAAAACAGCAACAACAACAACAAAACACTAGGTCCACAGAAGACACACTACCTCTGATGTACCAAGTTAGCAGCAGACAAAAACAAAGAGGTGAAGATTTGAAACATTAACATATGAATGCATTTTTAAAAATCTTTTTAGTTTGTCTGGGGGCAGTGGACTATGCAAGACTGTGTATTGGCAGTAGGAATCCTTGTCCACTCTGTATCTCAATGTGGAAAGGCTTCCTGGAGGAGGTGGTACTTCAGGAAACCTTCAAAGCAGAAATGATAGCAGCTTTGGAACTGGATGTTGTTTTTGGCCCTTGGAAGCTAAGAGAAGACAAGGCCTTGCAGGTGACAGCAAAGAGATTAGGGAGGCAAATCTGATTTCTCGTGAGTTCAAATAATTATCTATAATGTAATTATGTAATTAAAATTAATATGCATGAAAATTGCTACATGATCAGAACGATTGAAGAGTATAAGTTTTCAGGAAGTGAGTTGTTTTTATTCTGATGGTTTCCGTGACTGTTTTCCCTTCCTCAACTGTAAGCTCCTCAGAAGGATCCCAAAACTTAGCATAGAATAACTTGTAACGTTTTTGCTATATACTGTATATTAAAACATGGGAAGACTATAAATGTGATTTTTTAAAAAAAACTGTGCAAAGAAGCTGAATCCTGTGTCTTTAGATAAACATTAAATACATCCAATTAAGCTAGAAAAAACAATTCCTAGGCTAGGAGCCATGGCTCATGCATATAATCCCAGTACTTTGGGAAGCTGAGGCAGGAGGATCACTTGACCCCTGGAGTTTAAGAGCAGCCGAGGCAACATAGCAAGACCCTGTCTCTACAAAAAATAAAAAATAAAAGAATTAGCCTGGCATGGTGGCACATGCCTGTAGTCCCAGCTTCCTGGAAGGCTGAGGGGGAATAATTGCTTGAGCTCAAGAGTTTGAGGTTGCAGAGAGCCATGACCACACAATTGCACTTTAGCCTGGGTGACAGAATGAGGCCCTGTATCAAGGGAAAAAAAAGAAAAGACAGACAGACAGTAGCAAGTGTTGGAGAAAATGTGAAGTTAAAATCTTCATACGTTGCCTGTGAGATTGTAAAATGACGCAGATACTTTTTAAACAGCTTAGCAGTTCCTCAAAATGTTACACATAGAGTTAACCATATGATCCAGTAATTCCACTTCTAGGTATATAACCAAGAAAAATAAGAACATATCTCCATACAAAAACTTGTATATCAATATTCATAGTAGTAGTATTCATAATATCCAAAGAGTAAAAACTACCCACATATCCATCAAATGATGAATGGATAAACCAAGTGTGATACATTCAGACAATGGAATATTATTCAGCCATGAACAAAATGAAGACACATGCTACAATATGGATGAATCTTCAAAACAGGCTAAGTGAAGAAAGCCAGATGCAAAAGGTCACATACTGTATAATTCCAGTTATATGAAATGTCTAGAATAGAGAATAGGCTGAGGTGAGGAGGGAATGTGGAGTGACTGCCAAAGGGCGTGGGTTTCTTTTGGAGTGATCAAAATGGTTTGAAAATAGCTTATGGCTGTTCGAGGGGCTCATGCTTATAATCCCAGCACTTTGGAAGGCCAGGGTGGGTAGATCACTTGAGTGCAGTAGTTTGAGACCAGCCTGGGGAACATGGCAAAACCCCATCCCTACAAAAAATACAAAAGTTAGCCAGGCATTGTGGCACACACCTGTAATCCCAGATGCTTGGGAGGCTGAGTTGGGAGGATCCACTGATGCTGGGAGTTTGAGGCTGCAGTGAGCTGTGATTGTGCCACTGCACTCCAGCCTGGGTGACAGAGGAGACCCTATCTCAACAAAAAAAGAGAGAAAGAAAGAAAAAAGAAAATGGGTTATGGCAGGGCAAGGTGGTTTATGCTTGTAATCCCAGCACTTTGGGAGGCTGAGGCAGGAGAATCACTTGAGCCCAGGAGTTTGAGACCAGCCTGGGCAACATTCAAGACTCCATCTCTACCAGTAATAATAATAATAATAATAATAATCAGCTGAGTGTGGTAGTGTGCACTTGTAGTCCCAACTATTCAAGAGGCTGAGGCTGGAGGACCACTTGAGCCCAGGACTTTGAGACTTTGAGATCGCAGTCAGCTATGATCCTGCCACTGCCTTCCAGCCCAGGTGACAGAGCAACCCCTTGTCTCCAAAACAAACAAACAAACAAACAAACAAAAAGTTGCTAGTTGCACAACTCTGTGAATATACTAAAAACTACTGAATTATACATGTGAAGGATGAATGAATTCTATGGTATGTAAATCATATCTAAATAAAAGCTGTTTTTAAAAACCTTACCATGAGCCAGGTACTATGCTCATTGCTTGAGATAAAAAGATAATTATATTTTAACCATAAATGTCTCAGCAGCAACAATACTTATTTTGTGACATTATTGCATATATCATGGACAACATTTTATATATCTTAAAGATTTTTTCTGACAAATTCACAGTACTCTATATGATAGCTTAAATGTAATTGTTTAAATGATATAAGTGAGCTGAAGCTTACTGAAGCCAAATCATTCATGCCCAGATAAAACGGATATTTAGGGCACTAGACTAGTAGAAATGCTATTTGAATTTATAATTTTTTTATAAACTTTTTGTGTAATCTTCATGATATAAAAAATACTTTTACATTTTGTAAAGTAAACATTTGTTGAGCATTCCATGAAGCATATGGGAATTGTACACAGATATGTCATATTTTTAGTTTCGTTGGTTCTATGTGTGGTTCTCTGAGATTCTGAAAAGTGCGCAGAATATTTTCTGAATGTTGTCAAATAAAAATAGTACCTCAGCAATAAAGGCAAGCATCTTGGGAAGTGATGTGTGGAGTTGATATATATTCATTCTTTGTGTTCTGTTGGACTGACAATTTAAAGTGAAAAAATAAATAAATAAAGAGCATCATGTCATGGAAACACCTAAATATTCTTTCTCCAGCTCATCTACCAAGGCTGACGTGTCACCAGCTGGAAGTGAAATTACCAGGCAGAAGTGAAAGCTACCCTTAATTATTTAAATCTATGGCTCTTCCGAAATTGAATTTATGTATTACTTGCATAACTTGAACATTATACTAAAGAAGAGAATCACTGAAAATTCTATTATGTAAAGACCTCTTAACTCCAGAAACTTTAAATCAATATATGATAACTAGATCAAACAATCAGTAGATGTTTGGGTTTTTTATATATATATACACACATATGAAAAAAATATATATATGTATATTTTTTTTTCCCCAAGACAGAGTTTCGCTCTTGTCGCCCAGGCTGGAGCACAATGGCACAATCTCAGCTCACTTCAACCTCTGCCTCCTGAATTCAAGCAATTCTCCTGCCTGAGCCTCCCAAGTAGCTGGGATTACAGGCGTGTGCCACCACCACGCCCAGCTAATTTTTGTATTTTTAGTAGAGACAGGGTTTCACCGTGTTGACCAGGCTGGTCTCGAACTCCTGACCTCAGGTGGTCAGCTTGCCTCGGCCTCCCAAAGTGTTGGGATTACAGGTGTGAGCCACCATGCCCGGCCTATAATTTCTTATTTTCTTTCTTTCTTTCTTTCTTCTTCTTCTTATTTTTAAATAGAGATGGGGTCTCGCTCTGACGCCCAGGCTGGAGTACAGTGGCACGATCTCAGCTCACTATAACCTCCACCTTCTGGGCTTCAGTGATCCTCCCAACTCAGCCTCCCAAGTAGCTGGGACTACAGGCATGCACAACTATGCTGGGCTAATGTGTTTGGTTTTTGTAGGAGAAAAAAATAGGACAAAGTATGGAGAAAAGACTGTGACAAAAGGATAATCATTGACTCTCGAGTTTAGGCTTAGAAAAGGCGCAGATCCTTTTGATAAATAGCCCAAAGGGTCATCCAGTGATTAGCAACAGGGTTCAAATCTGTACTCACACAATGGCATTCTTCATCTTGTGGATCCGATTGACTGTTGAGAGAAGTCAAGTCTGTTACTCAACAGGGAGGTTTAAATGACATAATTTAAATAGAGTGATCATTTCCCATACACAGCCTTGACTCATTCCAGCATATGGTGAAAGAGAGGAGCCCCAAAACCTCAAGTGTTGCCGGAATTCAGTTAATTTCTATTAGAAAAGGAGAACAGTAGACTAGAACCATCTTGTTCTGTGCTCTGTTGCCTGCTTCTAGTTGCCTTAACCGATACTATGGACAGGTCTGCTAACAGTAACTAGGCCTGCACAGGTTTAAATAGAAGTATAATCATATGTCCCTTGTTTGTAAATAGCTTAACATAAAGTAGGAAAAACAAGACACCCGCACACACCCAAACGTTGAATAACTGCAGTAAATGCAGAAATCTGTTACCAAGGATGATTCTAACATAACTCAGTTGGCTGTTTGTGTGGCAACATTTTAAAAATCCACAATCTTTGTAATGTTTACCTAGTAGCTAAATGTCTGTAAATAAGTGAACGTGATAACAATATGACTTACCCCTCCTAGAGACCATAAGGGTGTTTCTGTGGGGAGCAGGCAACAGCCACACCCCACCCTCCTTCTATATGGGTAGAAGGCCAGACTGAGAAACACACCCTTCATGACTAAGAGCTCAATTGTAAAAATGCCCAGATATTATAAAACTATTTTACCAAGACTTAAGGAAATGAGAAAAGAGGACCAGGCACAGTGGCTCATGCCTGTAATTCCAGCATTTGGGGAGGATGAGAGGGGAGGATTGCTTGAGACCAGGAATTCAAGACCAGCCTGGGCAACATGGCAAAATCCCATCTATACAAACAGTATAAAAATTAGCCGGACATGGTGATAAGTGCCTGTAGTCCCAGCTACTCAGGAGGCTGAGGCTGGAGGATTGCTTGAGCCCAGGAGGTTGAGGCTGCAGTGAACTATGATCATGCCACTGCACTCCAGCCTGGGTGGCCAAAAAGAAAAGGAAAGAAAAAGAAGAGAAAAGAGGATAGATATTAAGTTACTTTAATATTGCTTTTTATTTAATTTAAAAAAGTGTGTTAAAAAATTAAAGCAATGCACATGTGTAAAAATAGAAGTAAAATTCCTTTACATCCCATCCCATCTCCCTCATCTCCCACTCCAGTGGTAACTACTGTTTACATTTATTGTATATATTTTCAGACTTTTTAATACGCATATATAGATTATATATATCATACACATGTGAGCAAAAATTTGGCATTACAGGATTATATGGTACATATTTTCTCTGCACTATACTTTTTTCTTTACTTAATTAGTATATACTGGACACGTTTCATGTCACAATATGTAGCTCCACCTTATTCTTTTTTTGTTTTTGTATTTAATTTATTATTTATTTATTTCGAGACAGGGTCTTGCTCTGTCACTCAGGCTGTAGTGCAGTGGTGCAATCATGTATCACTGTAGCCTCAACCTCCTAGGGTCAACTGATCCTCCCACTTCAGCCTCCAGAGTAGCTGAGACTACAGGTGTGTGCCACCATGCCTGGCTAATTTTTTTTATTTTTAGTGGAGAGGAGGTCTCTCTATGTTGCCCAGGCTGGTTTTGAACTCCAGAGCTTGACCGATCCTCATACCTCAGTCTCTCAAAATGCTGGGATTACAGGCAGAGTTTCTGCTAATGAGGTGACTTAGGGTGGGACCCCTGATTAGCCCCAGGATGGGGCTGATCAACAGAAAGAGCAAGTGATTAGAGGATTAGAGGGTCGAAAGTTTCAGCCCCACCCACCAACTTCCAGGAAAGGGGTTGTGGGGGACACTGGAGATTAAACTTCATAAAAACTCTTGGACAATGAAAGCTCTATTCTCTCTCCTCCATACTTCAGCCTCTGTATCTTTTCATCTCTATTCTTTGTAATACTCTTCATTAATAATAATACACTAATAAATGCAATTATTTCTCTGAGTCCTGTGAACCATCCTAGCAAATTAATCAAACCAAAGTAGGGGATCATGGGACCCCCAGATTGCAACCAGTCGGTCAGAGGTATAGGTAACAACCTACTACTTGCAATTGATGTCTGAAGTGAGGTCAGTCTTGTGGGACAGAGCCCTCAACCTCTGGGATCTGACTCTAACTCCAGGTAGATAGTGTCAGAATTAAACTGAATTATAGGACACCTAGTTGGTGTCCACCACAGAACTGCTTGGTGTGTAGAGAAAAACCCCTACACCTGGTCACAGAAGTGTTCTGTGTTGAGTAGAAATTGCAGAGAAAAAATAATTGTTTCCCTTTCACAGGAACGTATTTTTTTCCTTAAGAATCTTCTTGATGGTTGAAATTATAAATGTAACTACTATGAAGCCAACACATTGTTTTAAATGTAAATAGTTTTTATGGGATTTATTATTATGAAAATAATACATGGTCATCACAAAAAAGTCGAAAGCTATAAATAAGCAGAAGAGAGAGAGAAACAATTTTTTAAAAATAGTCCTCCCAGGGTCTTGGTGTGGTGGTTTATGCCTATAATGACAGCACTTTGGGAGGCAGAGATGGGAGGATTGCTTCAGTCCAGGAGTTTGAGGCCAGCCTGGGCAATGTGGCAAGTCCCTGTCTCTACAAAAAAAACCTTAAAAATTAGCCGGATGTGGTGGCATGAGCCTCTTGTTCCAGCTACTCAGGAGGCTGAGGTGGGAGGATCCCCTGAGCCCAGGAAGTCAAGACTTCAGTGAGCCATGTTCCTGCCACTGCACTCCAGCCTGGGCAACAGAACAAGACTCTGTCTCAAAAACAAACAAAAAAACTCACCCAGGACTGGGCGCAGTGGCTTACATCTGTAATTCCAGCACTTCAGGAGGCAAAGGCAGAGGATCACTTGAGACCAGGAGTTTGAGATCAGCCTGGTCAACAGAGCGAGACCATGTCTCTACAAAAAAATTAAAAAATTAGCCAGGCATGGTGTGGCACACCTGTAGTCCCAGCTACTCAGGAGGCTGAAGCTGAAGAATAGCTGGAGCCCAGAAGGTGGAGGCTGCACTGAGCTAGGATCACACCACCGCACTCCAGCCTGGCAGATAGAGCCAGACGGTATCTCTTAAAAACAAAAACAAAAAAACACCACCTATAAATGTGACAACTTCTTCTTCAATTATATCTGTATCAGCGGTTCCCAACCACAGCAGTTTGGCAAGGTCTGGAGGCATTTTTTGGTTGTAACATCTGGAAGGAGAGCTGCTCCTGGCATGTTGTGGGTAGAGATCGATGATCTGCTAAAGATCCTATCCTGTATAGGACAGCCCTTTACAAAAAATAATTATTTGTCCCAAAATGTCAATAGTACCAAGGTTAAGACACCCTGATACACACACACACACACACACACACACACACACACACACACACACACACACACACATACATACTGACTTTAAAAAAAAAGGGATACTATTCTGTCATCTATTTTTTACTTGATATGTCAAAATATCTTTTATGTTAAAAATACACTTCAACATCTTTAATAGCATTTAAATAAATGAGTTATTCTTGAGTATTTTAGAAATTTTGTAGCATCCCTACATAAAGACATGTGTATGTTTGTATAACTGAGATGTTTCATAAAATAACATGCATTGTTACTACCTATACTGCATTCTATTTTATATTCCATTTTATTCCTTATTTTAAATGTCAATTATAACTTAAGTTCATTTCATGGCCCACTAATGACTGTGACTTGGAATTTGAAAACCAATGCATTACAGCTTCAGTTTTACTCTGATAGGTTATTGTATTTACAGTACAGGCCAACTCTCACTTCAATACATTTTCTGAGCAAATGGAATCATTGAAAAACAATGCAATTTTTTAATGTGTTTCTTTAAGTAACCTGTAATTTATGTTCTGAACCAGTACATTTTTAGAGTAAAAAGGGTTCTTATTAATAATTATTTCAGATATCAGGTGTAAATTGGGAGTGCCTAGAAAATATAGAATATATGATCAACCTATTAATAACTGAGATGGAAAATAGTTATTTTCATTTTTCTCTATTTCCTCTTATAGCATTCATTCCTCTATCATACCCATGAACACCTAGGATCTCTGATATTTGGTGAATGTCTTATAATTTGCTAATGTAAGCTAGAATCGGGACCTTCAGATTCTACTCCCAGCCTCAAAACTAATTGTTTGACTTTGAACAGATCATTACATCTCCCTGGCTCTTAATTATTCCTTCTACAAAAGAAGGTTTAATGATCTCCATGATTTCTTTCAACCTTAAAATTATATGACACTTATGCTGTAGGAAATGATATGGAAACAACTTTTAAAAGCTTAGAGTGTAAATGGGATAACTAAATTATGAAACATACTGGCCTTCACCAAAATACAATTTCTTAGAACTTTTAGAACATTTCAATACAAATGCCTGCATAATACCCGGGCTGGGCTCAAAGAGCAAGCAGCCAGATGGCTAATAACGTTGGAGACCTCAGAAGTGTTCCCTTCCTCTGCCTACCCAGCCACAATTCCATGAAAAGATAAGAGTACCCTGATGATAAGTAAGAGTAAGTTTCCCAGAAGAAACACAGAAAAACACCGAGAAAGAGAGAGAGAGAAAAAGAAAGAGAGAGAGAAAAAGAAAGAGAGAGAGAAATAGAGAGTCTAGGATTGGAGAAAAGTATGCTAAGAAGTTAAGTGAGAGGTTGACTTCACAATTTTGTTAGAAGTGGACCCTAAATAAAATCATGGCTGCTGAATAGATTAATACTCATACTCATGTTGAATGACACATAGCCCATAGAGTTGTTGTTTTGGGGTTTCAGGGGTTTTTTTTTTTTTTTTTTTTTTTGAGACAGGGTCTCTGTCATCCAGGCTGGAGAGCACTGGCATGATCATAGCTCATAGCACACACAGATTTTTTTGTTTTGTTTGTGTGTTTGTTTTGAGACAAGGTCTCACTCTGTCACCCAGGCTGTAAACTCAACCTCCTGGGCTCAAGTGATCCTCCTGTGTTAGCCTCCCAAGCAGCTGAGACTACAAGTGTGTGCCACCATGCCTAGCTAATTTGTTTTTGTAGAGGCGAGGTTTCTCTGTGTTGCCCAGACTGACCTTGAACTCCTGTGCTCCAGTGATCCTCCGGCTTCAACCTCCCAAAGTGCTGGGATTATAGGCATGAGCCACTGTGCCAGGCCTAATACACAGAGTTTTAAGAGTTACTGACTTTGGAGGGCATTTGTCATGTTTGTCACTGCCCAGGGTCTTTTTAAACACACTTTCCTCACATTAAGAGCCCTTCTTCTGCCAGATAAAAGCCTGGATTCATTCTCCCAGGTACCCATGAAGCAATGTCCAGGATTCAACTGAGGCTCCATCCGTCAAACACACTCACTCACCCAGGACTTAAATCCTGCAATGAGTAACAGGAAGAAGCTGAAGTGTGGTCCATCTTGTGCCAGAGTCCCCAGCAATATCCATACAAACCGTGCTGTCCATATACATTGGCAGGGGGATAGATGTCTTCCCTGGAGCAATCCCTTCTACAGTGTGGGGTTGTTCCAACTTAGCTCTCTGGAGAATTCTCTGAACTTTCTAAGATCATTTTATATATTTAAAGCTACTTAGAGAGAATGCTGTTGCTTGCAACTAAAAACTTTGACAGATCCCATATCTATAGTATGTTTTGTCTAGTAAAGTTGCATAAATGAGATACGAAGTTAATTTTGTCCTAAAGGATAGAAGTCTCGTTTGAAGCAATGAAGACCCTATTCTGGACTTGAAATATGGCAGAAGCAGGAGAGTCAGGAGTCTGGCCATGTTGAAAAATGGACAGTGTGGAAGCAGAGTAGTGAGAATGAGCCAGCCACTAGAAGGCTTTGAAACCCAAGCCTAGATGTGTGTTTTCATTGGAAGAGCAAAAATTAGCCCTTGTACAGGTTTTCTTAAGTGTGAGGTGCTTAGAGCTGCTTGTAGCATCAAAGACATGAACATTTCCAGGATTAAGGTTAAAACCTACCTTAATAGGTGGTCTCAATATTATCATCTCATTAGATTCCCAGGAAGATAAATCTAGAAGGAACCTCAAAAGAAGAAATCATAGTATCTTGGGAATAAAGGGAAGATTGGGAAGAAAAAGGATAGTAAATTAAAAAAAATTTTGGAATAAGGCTAAATAAGGCCAGGTGTGGTAACTCATGCCGGTAATACCAGAAATTTGAGGGGCCAAGGTGGGAGGATTGGTTGAGGCCAGGAGTTCAAGACAGGTCTGGGCAACATATCAAGACCATGTCTCTGCAAAAACAAACAAACAAACAGAAACTTTAATTGCAGTGTTCTTTCTAAGGGTATGGGAATAAAAGATTAAGGCTAAATACAGTGAACTCCGTTGTGCAATAGGAATCTGTGCTTGAAGTCATTATGGTCAAGCTAATTACTTGCCTGTTTTAATAATTAATGGTTCATCACATGACTGATATTTATATCAGTCATAACCATTACCAATCATTACCAGGATGCCTAAGTTAGGCATCCCACAGTCTTCGTAATCATATGTATATTCTGCCCATACACAATGATGGTCACTGTGGATAGGAAAAATAGGATGTATTATAGAAGAAAGTATATTTCATATGTGAAATTTCATTCATTTGTTCTAAGAATGGGTTCTCAATTAGTATTTACTTATTGATCATGGTGTGTATAACTTTCACAAATGTTATACTTTCACATATATACTGTGATTTGGGGGGAATTGTGAAAAGGTAAAAAGTAAACTTGTTATCACTACAACTATTAATGGTGTACCTGCAGGAATTGCTCACAGATAAGGCAGGTTGCGGGTCATTGGTGTTTCTGTCTTACAGCATGCAAAAGAAGTCCTTTCCCTTCCATTCATGAAAGTAAATTGGAATGAATTAAAGGGGAGGATTATATGGAAAACTGTGAATTATATTTTAGAAAGAAATAATTCCTAAAGAACTTTAGTCTATTACTGGCTGATCGCAACACACCAATGTGTATCATCTTTCCCTTGAAAACTTTGCATTCCATTCTTCTTCAATTTCTTGAGTGCATTTTAATTGAAAAATAGCAGCGATTCACTCAGGAAAACGCCCAATAAATACAGTGGGAGAACATTTGAGAAAAGAAATACATGATAAATGATATGGTTTGGCTCTGTGTCCCCACCCAAATCTTATGTTAAATTGTGAAACCAAGTGTTGGACATGGGGCCTGGTAGGAGGTGATTGGATCATGGGGGCAGATATCCCCCTTGCTGTTCTTGTGATAGTGAATGAATTCTTAGGAGATCTGGTTGTTTAAAAGTGTGTGGCATCTCCCTGCTTTGCTCTCTCTACGTGTTTGCATCCTCTTCACCTTCCTTCATGATTGTAAGTTTCCTGAGGCCTCTCACCCATGCTTCCTGAACAGCCTGCAGAACTGTGAGTCAATTAAACTTCTTTTCTTCATAAATTACCCAGTCTCACATAGTTCTTTAGAGCAGTGTGAGGGTGGACTTATACCAAGTCTAACAAAATAGAGTAAAAATCAACAGCATATTAATTCTTTATTGTTATGCAACAAATCACCCCAAAACATAATGGCTTAAAATGACAATACATATTTACTGTCTCTTCAATTTTTACAGATCAGAAATTCAGAAAAGCTTGGCTTAGTGGCTCATGAGAACAGAGTCTGATGTCAGCAGAGGCTGCGGCCATTGGGAGGCTTGACTGGGGCAGGAGGTTCTGCTTCCAAGGTGGCTCACCCCAACAAGTGTGGGTTGTTGCTGGCTGTTGACACATGGGTTTTGCCAGGACTGACTGAGTGTTTTCACGGCATGGTGGCTTGCTTCCCTGAGAGCCAGGGATTCAAAAAGGAGGAATGCAAAAGATTTGATGCCCTTTATGACCTAGTCTTGGAAGTCACACAACATCACTTCCACCACATGGGTCAGCTTTGACTCAGTGCGAGAGGAGGCTATACAAGAAAGTGAGGGGTGAGGGTAAAATGAAAGTGTATGCCATGAGGTAAAGAATACTGGGCGCCATCTTGGAGACTAGCTATTATAAAAATAAGGAAAATAAACAGGGTGAATCCAGTCATAATAACTTAATTGTACATTTAAAAATAACTAAAAGAGTATAACTGGATTGTTGGTAACACAAAGGATAAATGCTCGAGGGGATAGTATCCTCTTTTCCATGACGTGATTATTACACATTGCATTCCTGTACCAAAATATCTCCTGTACTCCATAAATACATATATGCCTACTATGTACCCAAAAAATTAAAAGTTAAAATAAAAAATAAGGGGAATACAATTAGAAGGGAAACAGGACTTTTCCTTTACATAATAATGGATGGAGGATATCTTAAGTCTGATATATTGGGGTTGTTCAGAAAAGTTGGGAGCTACTACACAAAAGGTCTGAGGAACCTAGGACCTAGGTCTGGATAGAAAAGAAAGGTTGCCAAGAGTGGTAGCTCATGCCTGGAATCTCAGCACTTCGGGAGGCTGAGGTGGAAGGACTGCTTGAGGCTGAGAGTTCAAGACCAGCCTGGGCAATATAGTAAGACTTTGTCTCTACAAAAAAAAATTTTTTAATTAGGCCGGGTGCAGTGGCTCACATCTGTGATCCCAGCACTTTGGGAGGCCGAGGCTGAGGTCAAGAGATCGAGCCATCCTGGCCAACATGGCAAAACTCCATCTCTACTAAAAATACAAAAATTAGCTGAGCATGGTGGCATGTGCCTGTAGTACCAGCTACTCAGGAGGCTGAGGCAGGAAAATCGCTTGAACCCAGGAGGTGGAGGTTGCAGTGAGCTGAGACCACGCCATTGCACTCCAGCCTGGTGACAGATCAAGACTCCATCTCTAACAAACAAACAAACAAACAAATTTAAAATTAGCTGAGCATGGTGGTTTACGTCTGTAGTCTCAGCTACTCAGGAGGCTGAGGTGGGAGGATTGCGTGAGCCTGGGAGGCAGAGGTTGCAGTGAGCTAATGTCACACCACTGGACTCCAGCCTGGGTGATAGATTGAGACCCTGTCTCAAAACAAATGAAAAGAAAACAAAGGGCGATGGCCCCCAATAGAGGCTAGTTCCTTGGGATATATTTTGGGAAAGTGGAGGGTGGGAGAGAAAAAGCTGAAGGGAAGGCAAGGTAGGATTTGGACCAGGCTCTTTTTTTTTTTTTTTTTTTTTGAGACAGAGTCTCACTCTGTCACTCAGGTTGGAGCACAGTGGTGTGATCTCAGCTCACTGCAACCTCTGCCTCCTGGGTTCAAGAAATTCTCCTGCTTCAGCCTTCTGAGTAGCTGGGACTACAGGTGCGTGCCACCACACCTGGCTATTTTTTTTTTTTTTTTTTTTTTTTTTAGTAGAGACAGGGTTTCACTGTGTTTGCCAGGATGGTCTCGAACTCCTGACCTCATGATCTGCTTGCCTCCGTCTCCCAAAATGCTGGGATTACAGGTGTGAGGCACCGCGCCCAGCCAATGGACCAGCCTCTTCTTCAAAGCTTAGATCCCAATGGGATGCTTCAAATTTCCGAGATAGTCTTCCTTTATGTCTCCAAATTCATTTCGCCAAAATAGAAGGAGATTCAGGGGCCCTTCAGTACTATTCAGATTCTACAGAATAGTAAAATATGAACTAGTAAAACTTGTGAATACATCTTCATGGATGTGGCACAGAATGAAGAACAACAACTGAACTGGCACAACAAGGCTGTTCCTTACACCAGGTTGCATTTTTACCTAGCTAGGCCCTATAGAAACAAGAATCCTATGAACAACATCAGAGCTACTGTTGCATAAAGATAGGAAGGGAAGAACTAACTACTACTGACTGCTTAATATGCGCTAGGTGCTGGGCTAGGTGGTTTCTACAGACTGATCATTTAATACAATTCTCCATTCTCCACATTTCTTCTCTTCTCCCTTTCCTTTCCTTTCCTTTTTCCTTTCCTTTTTCCTTTCCCCTTTCCTTTCCCCTTTCCTTTCCCCTTTCCTTTCCCTTCCTCTCCCGAGACAGGTCTCTCTCTGCCACTCAGGCTGGAATGCAGTGGTGAACAACTATCAAAACCTGCCACCTTTAACTACTCTGACCAGTTTCCACTATTTCAAAATGTGCGGCCTGAGCAACACGGCGAGGCCCCATCTCTACAAAAAAAATTTTAAAAATTAGCCAGGAATGCCGGGCGTGGTGGCTCACGCCTGTAATCCCAGCACTTTGAGAGGCCAAGGCGGGTGAAAAATGAGGTCAGGAGATTGAGACCATCCTGGCTAACACAGTGAAACCCCGTCTCTACTAAAAATACAAAAAAATAGCCAGGGGTGGTGGCGGGTGCCTGTAGTCCCAGCTACTCGGGAGGCTGAGGCTGGAGAATGGCATGATCCCCAGAGGTGGAGCTTGCAGCGAGCCAAGATCACGCCACTGCACTGCAGCCTGGGCGACAAAGTGAGACTCTGTCTCAAAAAAAAAAAAAAAAAAAAATTAGCCAGGTGTGGTGGCCATGCCTGCAGCCCTAGCTACTTAGGAAGCTGAGGCAGGAGGATCACCTGAGCCCCGAGGTCAAGGCTGCAGTGAGCTAGGATTGCACCAGTGCATTCCAGCCTGGGTGACACAGTGAGACCCTGTCTCAAAAAAGAAAGAAAAAAGTGCCCAGAAATGATTGTAACTTATAGATCATACCTTTTAAAGGAGTTTCTTCCACTTCCTTGTATTTTCCCCATTCCCAGCAGACAGGAACGTTGTTTGTGGTGTTGAATCAGCTTTGATAATGTAGATAAGAAACATAATTTATGGCATGGAAAAACCCAAGTCTGCAGATGACCACATGAAGTGGCCTACTTAAAAGTTCTCACATGAACTTTTAAGTGAGAGAGACATAAATTAAGGTATTTTATTTAAGCCACTCTTCTTTGATCTTACAGAAGCTAGACTAGTACTCTAATAAATGAACTTGTCAAAGATCACGCAGTAACAAGGAGCAGTCCTGACATATCCTTGCTTTCCAAGTTCTACTCTATCACCTCCCACCATACACCTTGACAAGGAGATGTACTTGCCAAAAAAAAAAAAAAAGAGAGAGTTATTTTGGCTCCCAATATTCTTATATATTCAGTTTAATAAATATCTGAAAATGAGAGTTCATTCTGTCAATTTTGTATCCTATAGAGTGGAGAACCAAAACTATGTTTCTTCCAATGTTTTAATACAATAAATCCCCATTATGCTAAATATTAAACTTTTTAGATTTGAGTTCTGCTTATGCACTGTTTTGAGGTTCTGACTCATATTTTTTCTTTCTCTCAATCTCTCTCTCTCTCTCTCTGTCTCTCTCTCTCTCCCTCTCTCTCTTTTTGAAACAGGGTCTCACTCTGTTGCTTAGGCTGGGGTGCAGTGGCACAATCATGGCTCACTGCAGCCTCAACCTCGTGGGTTCTCAAGTGACTCTCCCAGCTCAGCCTCCTGAGTAGCTGAGACTATAGGTGCACACCACCATACCCAGCTAATTTTGAAATTTTTTGTTGAGATGAGGTCTCACTATGTTGCCTAGGCTGGTCTTGAGCTCCTGGGCTCATGTGATTCTCCTGCCTCGGCTTTCCAAAGCGGGGAGATTACAGTCATGAGCCACCGTGCTCAGCCATGATTCATTTTCTGTGCCACACAATCTATCTGTGGGATATAAAATTTATTGGTTGTTTTCAAATGCAGTGTTCTCTGAGTATATTTTTCTTGTAACCTTATACATGTGATTACCATCATGCCATCTTTATATAACTCTTCCTATTCATACTAAAACCAGAAACATACACAGCTGATAAGGCTGGGTGCGGTGGCTCACGCCCGTAAGCCCAGCACTTTGGGAGGCCGAGGCAGGTGGATCATGAGGTCAGGAGTTCGAGACCAGCCTGGCCAACATAGTGAAACCCTGTCCCTACTAAAAATAAAAAAAATTAGCTGGGCATGGTGGCAGGCGCCTGTAATCCCAGCTACTCGGGAGGCTGAGGCAGGAGAATGGCTTGAACCCGGGAGGCGGAGGTTGCAGTGAACCGAGATTGCACCATTGCACTCCAGCCTGGGCGACAGAGCAAGACTCTGTCTCAAAAACAAACAAACAAACGAACAGAAACAAACAAACAAACAAAAAACACATACAGCTGATATTCAGCTAACAGCTACTGGTATAGTCATACAGATTGGAAATAAAATATTGAAATACTTCCATATTCGTTGGTGAACAGCCAACATCCTATGGCTTCCAAGGTCCCCAGATGTCCTTGTGCCTGTATGGTCCCTCTCTTAGATCTCTGAATCTACACAGCACTCAGAAACCAGCAAGGAGCCTCCAGCTCCATGACCTGAATTCTTTCTGATATTAATAAATATTAAAAATATTTAATATCATTTCTGGGAGCATATCTAGCCTGTGGCTTGCAAAGTAACTTTATGAGAATTTCTATAGCTAATCATTTCAATAATGCCTTTGAAAAAGCTATCAGTAAAAGATGCTATCCTTCTGATAGCTTTATGTCTTTTCAAAACCTTTATGTATAGCTTCATGACTTAAGGTAAACATTTGTAGTAGTTTTTTTTTTTTTTTTTTTTTTTTTTTTTGCGACAGAGTCTCACTGTGCTTCCCAGGCTGGAATGCAGTGGCATGATCTTGGCTCACTGCAACTTCTGCCTTCCAGGCTCAAGCGATTCTGGTGCCTCAGACTCCCAAGTAGCCAGAACTACAGGCGTGCACCAACACGCCCAGCTAATTTTTGTGTTTTTAGTAGAGATGGGGTTTCACCATGCTGGCCAGGCTGGTCTCGAACTCCTGATCTCAGGTGATCTGCCTGCCTTGGCCTCCCAAAGTGCTGGGATTACAGCTGTGAGCCACCGCGCCTGGCCCATTTGTAATATTCTTCCAAGGACTTTCCACTGAATCTCCACTAACCTCAGTACACACACACAATTATTAAGCAAACATAGTTATTTCCCTGCACTATGAGAAAATAGATTAAACATAAATCAAACCTACTTACTATAGTTTAACCATTTTTTTCCAAATAATTCTGTGTTCCCAGAATGAAAAGTGCCCTGTTTGTTTACATTGTGAAATCATCATCTCTTTAGCCAAGGTTCACACTTCATATAAGCCACACTTGTGCTGGTAATTATGGAGCAAAGCCCTATTTAAGCAAACAAAAATGTTTCTCTTTTCTGCTTTCTATTTTAATTTGTAAAGCTTTTGTTGTCAGCCACAGTGATCTTACTTGAAACATATGTTACAAAGTGTATGATGTAAAACATTTAGCAAACTATTTGACATATTCTTTACACAGGGAATGGTTAGCAATCATTATTGTTATTATCATCATTATTATTATATCTCTTAAGCACAAATCTCATACTGTTATCCTTCTGCTTAAGATCCTATGTGACTCTGTCACCCAGGCTGGAGTGCAGTGATGCGATCATAGCTCACTGCAGCCTGGAACTCCTTGGCTCAGGAGTTGACCCACCTCAGCCTCCCAAGTAGCTGGGACCATGGGCAGCATGAGAAGCCACCGTGCCGGGCGTCATTGCTTTTCTTAATACAGTTTGCAGTGTTCTTGGTGACCAGGTCTAGCTTCCTGTTCAGCCCTCTTCTCTCAGCACTCAACCGTGTGTCTCTCCTTTATCTTCCACTCATAGGAAACAACATTATTCCCCCTAAATAGGCCCTGTCTCTTTAATCTCTAGGCTTTTGTACATACTGTTTCCTTTGCTTGGACGTTCTTCATCTGCGTAATGCCTGTTCATCTATAAGGTCTCAATTTCAATGATGCTGCTTCCTTGCAAGTCTGCCTCTCGTCTACATTTATAACAGCCTGTGCTTAACAGCCCATGAACGTACCAAGCCTTATAAATGCATCATGCAGTTACTTGCCCATTTCCTAGATTACAGACTCTTCAGGTAAGGAAATGATGGTTATCTTTTCCCTGTTGAATCTTCATTTGGGCTTTCCATTAGTACAGTGATTGTTGAATAAATCAACATTTAAATCACGTAAATCAACGAACTTACATTTTCTCATAAGAACAATACATTCTTTCAGTTTGAGGAAGTTTACATATATCCAATAAGACTCAAACCAAAACAGAAATATGCAATTACTATGTGTAAATATATGAATGCCTCTTACATCTTTCTTTTCATTTCAGGGCCTACAAAATGGTGGAAAGGATATTTATTCAATCGTATTGAATTTTGAGGGCTGGAACAAAGACATGATTATAAATGTATGAAAGGCAAATAAACCTTGGGACACCAAAAATCACTGAGCTAAAGGGAAAATCAAGCTGGGAACTGCTTAGGACAAACCTGCTTCCGTTTCTTTTCAAAGTCATCCCTCTGCTCACTGAGATAAATGCATATCTAATTGCTTCCTTTGGAAAGGCTAATTAGAACCTCAAGATAATGCAAACACTTTTGTCTTATTTACCCTATGCCGTCCTGCCTTTGTTTTGAGTTGTCCCACCTTTCTGGACCTAACCAAGGTTCATCTTACATATGTTGATTGATGTCTGACATCTCCCTAAAATCTGTAAAACCAAGCTGTGCACTGACCACCTTGGGCACATATTGTCAGAACCTCCTGAGGCTGTGTCATAGGCATGTGTCCTTAGTCTTGGCAAAATAAACTTTCTTTCTTTTTTTTTTTTTTTTTTTTTTGAGACAGAGTCTTACTCTGTAGCCCAGGCTGCAGTGCAGTGGTGCAATCTCAGCTCCCTGCAACCTCTGCCTCCCAAGTTCAAGTGATTCTTGTGCCTGAGCCTCCCAAATAGCTGGGACTACAGGTGTGTACCACCACACCTGGCTAATGTTTTAATTTTTAGTAGAGGCGGGGTTTTGCCATGTTGGCCAGGCTGGTCTCGAGCTCCAGGTCTCAAGTGATCTCCCCACCTTGGCCTCCCAAAGTGTGGGGATTACAGGCGTGAGCCACTGCCCCTGGCCAGATTCAAAGATTCTCTGGTTGGCAACCGGTTGAAAGAGTCATTATCTGAAGATCTGGGATCAATAGAAAGGAGTATCTGGGTTAAGATGAGGGGTTGTGGAGATCAAGATTTTATCATGCAGAGGAAGCCTCTACGCAGCAGGCTTCAGAGCTCTTATCAGGCCTAAAAAGGGGCCAGGCTGTTAGTTAATTCTCTTTTGGACCAGGGAAAAAAATCCAGAAAGGGAAGGGGATTCTCTACAGGACATAGACTTTTCCCCCACAAGAGACAACTTTGCAGGGCCGTTTCAAAATATGTCAAAGAAATATATTTTGGGGTAAAATATTTCAGTTTCTTTCAGGGCCTGCTATCTGTCCTGTGATGCTAAACTGGAGTCAGGTTGGAATTTGCTGTCTTATTGCTATAAAGAGTCTGCTTTGTCAGTCTTAAGATCTCTGATTTAACATTAATGCTGGTCAGTCATGCCTGAATTCTAAAGGGAGGAGGGTGTCATGAGACATGTCTGACTCTCTTCCCATCGTGACCTGAACTAGTTTTTCAGGTTTCTTTGGAATGCCCTTGACCTAGAGTCAGGGCCCATCAGTTGGTTAGGGGGCTCAGAATTTTATTTTTGGTTTACAATTATAATTAATTTTTTAGTAGTACATTTATAGACATCAAGTTATGTAAACTTGATGTTCTTTCTTCACTAAGCACATTTTCAACAAATGTATTCGAGATTTTTGAATGCCCAGCTTATGAATTATATATTATTATATTACATTATATTATTTGTTTTAGAGACAGGGTCTTTCTCTGCCACCGAGGTTGGAGTACACTGGCATGATCTTGGCTCAGTGCAGCCTCCACCTCCTGGGCTCAAGTGATCGTCCCACCTCAGCCTCCCAAGTAGCTGGGACTACAGGTGCATGCCACCATGCTGGTTAAGTTTCGTATTTTTTTGTGGATATGGGGTTTTGGTGTGTTGCCAAGGCTGGTCTCAAATTCCTGGGCTCCAGCAATCTGCCCACCACAGCCTCACAAAGTGCTGGGATTATAGGTGTGACCCACCATGCCTGGCCTGAATTATATAATTTTTTAAAAAGATGATCCAGATGATCCATAGTTAGTTTCCCTCTTTCCTAAATATTATAATCATAGTATCCCTAATTAATTTTTTTATTAATAAAGTAACTTTATTTAAATGTATCTTGTCACAGGGGAGAGACATATATTTGTAGGTATGTTTAGAACTACATAGGGCAGATAAATAAGGAAGTGGGAATGGACTATTAGTCTGCAAAAAATAAAATAAAATGAATAGGAAGAGTTGCAAGTAACGATGCTGAAGTTTGAAGCATAAGAGGAGAATCAGATTAGTAATTAGTATGATTAACTGCATCATATCTTTTTTTATTATTCTTATTTTTATTTATTTATTTATTTATTTTTTTGAGACGGAGTCTTGCTCTGTCGCCCAGGCTGGAGTGCAGTGGCACAATCTCAGCTCACTGCAAGCTCTGCCTCCCGGGTTCACACCATTCTCCTGCCTCAGCCTCTCCGAGTAGCTGGCACTACAGGTGCCCGCCACCAGGCCCAGCTAATTTTTTTGTATTTTTAGTAGAGATGAGGTTTCACTGTTTTAGCCAGGATGGTCTCGATCTCGCGACCTCGTGATCCACCCACCTCGTCCTCCCAAAGTGCTGGGATTACAGGCGTGAGCCACAGCGCCCAGCCAACTGCATCATATCTAATTTAGAAATCTTTAAATTAACTTATATATATACCATATATGCCTGGTTATATTTCTATTCTTTGGTGGTAAAAATTATTCAGTGTCGTTGATTTTTTTTTTAAATGTTAGAAGTACTCAAATAATGATTTAGTTCAAAATTAAAGCATAAAAAGGAGAAAAGGGCCCTCAGCCTTCTGATGATGTTTTTGGACCAAAGATCTACAATCTTTTCCCAAGTAGAAAATTGAATACATTCCGTGTTACAAATAAAGGAGCCTTGCTGTTTTTAGACTGTGGACCTCCACACTGCACTCTGAGCTCCTAATTTCTAAAGGCATCCAAGGGTTTAGAGCAGGTGAATTTGTCAGTACTACTTGTTTTTGGAGAAAAAGAGGTATAAGAAAGTGGAAATTGACTATTAGACTGCCTACCTGAAAAAAATAAAATAAAATAAATAGGAAGGGTTGCAAGTAAGGATGCTGAAGTTTGAGGAATAAGAGGAGAGTCAGACCTGCAGATGTGGCTTCAAGCTGGACTGAAGAGGTGGAGTTGCCAGGAATAATAAGGAGTGTCAAAAGAATACATTACTAAGTGAAAAGAAAGTCCACAGAATGGGAGAAAATGTTTGCAAATTAAATTTGATAAGGAATTTATCCAAAATGTATAAAGAACTCTTACAACTCAAAAAGAAGATTGCTGGGCAAGGTAGCTCACACTCATAGTCCCTACACATTGGAAGGCCAAGGTGGGTGGATCTCTTGAGCCCAGGAGTTTAAAACCAGCCTAGGCAACATAGTGAGATCCCATCTCTACAAAAATATAAAAATTAGCCGGGGGTGGTGGTGCATGCCTGTAGCCCCAGCTACTTGGGGAGCTGAGGTGGGAGGATTGCTTGAGCCCAGGTGTGAGAAACCACTCTGAGCAATATGGTGTGACTCCATCTCTACAAAAAATAAAGCAGTTTGGCCAGACATGGTGGCACAAGCTTGTAGTCCCAGCTATTTGGGAAGCTGAAGTGGGAGGATCAGCTGAGCCTGGAGAGGTTGAGACTGTAATGAGTTGTGATAGCACCACTGCACTCCAGCCAGGGCAACAGAGTGAGACCCTGTCTCAAAAAACACACAGAATCAAACAAACAAAAACCAAAAAGACAACCCAAATTTTAAAAATAGGCAAGAGATCTTAAGAAACATTTTTCCAAAGGAAATGTATGAGTGGCTAATATGCACATGAAAAGATGCTTAGCACCATTAATCTCTATGGAAATGTGAATGAAAACCAGAAGCTACCGTGTCTTACCCATTCAACTGCCTATAATCAAAAGCCCATAATTAAAAGTCTGTAGAGAGGGAAAGTAGGTTAGTTGGTTGCCTGGGGCTGGGGAATGGAAAAGTTGGGGGAAATGGAAAGTGATTTCTAATGAGTACAGGTTTCTTTTTGGGATGATGAAAATGTTCTAAAATTGGTTATGGTGGTGGTTGATAACTCTGCGAATATACTAAACATGTTTAGTGGGTGAATTGTATTGTATGTGAATTATGTCTCAATAAAGTCTAAGAAACAAGACAATAAGAAGTGCTGGCCAGTATGTAAAGAAATTAGAACTCTTATATAGTACAGGTGGGAATGCGAAGTGGTACAGCCACTTTGGAAAACAATTTGGTAGTTCCTCAAAAGGATAAATAGAGAGTTACCATATGACATAAGAATTTCTTTTTCTTTTTTTTGAGGCAGAGTTTCACTCTGTCTCCCAGGCTGGAGTACAGTGGTGTGATCTCGGTTCACTGCAACCTCTGCCTCCCGGGTTCAAGCGATTCTCCTGCCTCAGTCTCTTGAGTAGCTGGGATTACAAGCGGGCACCCACCATGCCCAGCTAATTTTTATATTTTTAGTAGAGAGAGGGTTTCGTCATGTTGGCAAGGCTGATCCCAAACTCCTGACCTCAGGTGATCTGCCCACCTCGGCCTCCCAAAGTGTTGGGATTACAGGCGTGAGCCACCGCACCCAGCCTGACATAAGAATTTCACTCCTAGCTATACACACAAGAGAAGTGAAAACATGTACACACAAAAAATCAGACACAAATGTTCATAGCAGCATTATTTATAAAACTCAGAAACTGAAAGCAACTCAAATATCCATCAGCTGATGAATGGATAAATAAAGTGTGACATAAAACACGATGGAAAATTAGCAATAGAATAAGTAGTGATGTAGGTTACAACATAGATGAACCTCAAAACCATTGACCTAAGTGAAAGAAGTCAGTCAAAAATAACCACAAATGTAAGATCTGATTTCCATGAAATGTTCAGAATAGTCAAATCTACAAGAGACAGAAAATAGATTTAGCAGTTGCCTAGGACTGGAGGGAGAATGGGGAAGTGAGAAGTGATTGCTAATAGGTACAAGTTTTCTTTTTAGGACAATAGAAATGTTCTAAAATTAGATTATGGTGATGGTTGCACAATGCTGTAAATATATTTTACAACATTGAATAGACGCCTTTAACTGGTAGACTTCATGGCATGTGAGTGATATCTTTTTTTTTTTTTTGAGATGGAGTTTCGCTCTTGTCACCCAGGATGGAGTGCAGTGGCGCGATCTCAGCTCACTGCAACCTCTGCCTCCCAGGTTCAAGCGATTCTCCTGCCTCAGCCTCCTGAGCAGCTGGGATTACAGGCACCTGCCACCATGACCAGCTAATTTTTTGTATTTTTAGTAGAGACGGGGTTTCATCCATGTTGGCCAGGGTGGTCTTGAACTCCTGACCTCAGGTGATCTGCCCCCCTCAGCCTCCCAAAGTGCTGAGATTACAGGTGTGAGCCACCACGCCCGGCCCTGTGAGTGATATCTTAATAAAGCTGTTAAAAAAGAATGAAGAGGCATATTATGCTCAGTTGAAGTACTGACTAGAACAAGTCTCTACTCTCTCAGGCTCCATCACCCTCTCATCCTTTTCCTCTTTCCTCTTGGTCTCTTCTCTGTCATTTCTTTCTCCATGACACAACACACTCTTGTCTCCAAAACTTTTTCATTCTCCTACCTCCTTCCTCAAAATGTGGCACTTTCCTTTAACTGGCTCTATTGCTTTTTTTCCTGTTTCTCTAACTTTTGAAATTGACATGTAATAATTGTACATATTTATAGGGTACATAGTAATATTGCAATACAAACAATGTACAGTGATCTGATCCGGGTAATTAACATATCCATCATCTCAAACATTTATTTCTTTCTTTTCTTTTCTTTTTGTTTTGTTTGTTTCTTTTTTTTTTTTTTTTTTGAGATGGAGTTTCACTCTTGTTGCCCAGGCTGGAGTGCAATGGGGTGATCTCGGTTCACTACAACCTCCGCCTCCCGAGTTCAAGCAATTCTGCTGCCTCAGCACCACCACACTCTGCTAATGTTGTAATTTTAATAGAGACGGGGTTTCTCCATGTTGGTCAGGCTGTTCTCGAACTCCCGACCTCAGCTGATCCACCCACCTCGTCCTCCCAAAGTGCTGGGATTACAGGTGTGAGCCACCGTGCCCGGCCTCTATTTTTCTTTTAAATCTGAATGTGATCTCTCCTTCCCATTCTAGGCACTCATGCTCCTCCAGAGCTAAGCTTAGAAAACAAAAGAACACAGGGATAGGGAAACAAATGATCTCAAAATAGTTGATGGAAAATAGCAACTTCTCTTTTTCTGCAGGGCTTCCTTTTGACTGTGATTTTCCTTTTCCTTTTTGTTTTTTCCAGACAGAGATTTTTCTCCATCTCTGGCTCTTGAAGTGAGATCAGAGACTCAAAAATACCACACTGTATCATTTACTTGGGCATTTTCTCAGAAGGGGATTAACTTTGGCAAGAGTTTGGGTGGTGACAAATGACTCAGAGATAAAAGATGAGTCAAGAAGCATTGCTAAAACTGTGGTCGCTTCGCATCAACCTTAGGGATATGGTACTTTGCAACTTGGCAACCATAACATTATATTGATTAGTCTAATGGATTCTTTCTGAGTATGATAGCAAAGACAAAGGCAGAATATTCTTAGTATATCACTAAATTCTATCGGTCATTATTTGATACTTAAAAAAATACTCGTCCCAAGAAGCAAGGTTTTAGCCACACAGCAGTTTTCATATTACTGAAAAACCCGCTAGGGAGAAAGGCACTCTAGTGGATCTCTATTTACTCAATAATAAAAGCAAGATCAAATGACCTTTATTTAAAAACAAACAAGCTTAAAAAAAATGGCAGGCAGAGAAGGGAGTCAACTTTTTCTCAATCCACTGCTTGAGAAATTATCTGATTAATGTTAGCTCTGGAAATTTTTATTTATTTATTTTTTATTTTATTTTATTTATTTATTTTTTTGAGACAACGTCTCGCTCTGTTGCCCAGGCTGGAGTTCAGTGGCATGATCTTGGCACACTGCAACCTCTGCCTTCCGGGTTCCAGCGATTTTCCTGCCTCAGCCTCCTGAGTGGCTAAGATTACAGGCATGTTGCCACCACACCTGGCTAATTTTTATATTTTTAGTAGAGACAGGGTCTCACCACGTTGGCCAGGTAGGTCTCGAACTCCTGGCCTCAAGTGATCCACCCGCCTCTGCCTCCCAAAGTGCTGGGATTACAGGTGTGAGCCACCGTGCCCAGCCCAGAAATATTATTATTATTATTATTATTGTTGTTGTTGTTGTTGTTGTTGTTGTTATTTGAGATGGAGTCTTGCTCTGTAGCCCAGGCTGGAGTGCAATGGTGCAATCTCGGTTCACTGCAACCTCCACCTTCCGAGTTCAAGCTATGCTTCTGTTTCAGCCTCCCGTGTAGTTGGGATTACAGGAGTGTACCATTAGGCCTGGCTAATTTTTTTTGTATTTTTAGTAGAGACAGGGTTTCACCATGTTGGCCAGGCTGGTCTCGAACTCCTGATCTCAGGTGATCCACTCACCTCAGCCTTCCAAAGCGCTGGGATTACAGACATGAGCCACCATGCCAGGCTGGAAATATTATTTTTAATACAACTTTTGGACAAAAACCACATGATAGTGACTAATATTTATTGAGCCCTTAGTATGTCCCAGCCACTGTTCTAAGATTTTTACATGTATTCACTTAGTTGAACTTCACAATCACTTTATGGCATAGATACTATTATTTCCACCACTTTACAGGTGAAGAAACTGAAGCATAGAATACATAGTAAGTGGCAGGGTAGAGACTTGAATCTAAGACAGTCCTATTCCAGAGGACACACTCTTTTTTTTTTTTTTTTTTTTTTTTGAGAGGGGGGGTCTCATTATGTTGCCCAGGCTGGAGTGCAGTAGAACACACTGCAGCCTTGACCTCCCAGGCTCAAGCAATTCTCTCACCTAAGCCTCCCGAGTAGCCTGGACCACAGGTGCAAGCCACCATGCCTGGCTATTTTTTTAATCATTTGTGGAGACAAGGTCTTGCTATGTTTCTCAGGCTGGTCTCAAACTTCTGGGCTCAAGTGATTCTCCTGCCTCAACCTCCCAAAGTGCTGGAGTTACAGGCATTAGCCACCATGCCCCACCAAGGACACTCTCTTTATTTATTTATTTATTTTTTTGAGATGGAGTCTCGCTCTGTGGCCCAGGCTGGAGTGCAGTGGTGTGATCTCTGCTCACTGCAAGCTCCTCCTCCCAGGTTCACACCATTCTCCTGCCTCAGTCTCCCGAGTAGCTGGCACGACAGGCGCCCGCCACCACGCCCGGCTAATTTTTTGTATTTTTAGTAGAGACGGGGTTTCATCCTGTTAGTCAGGATGGTTTCGATCTCCTGACCTCGTGATCCGCCCGCCTCGACCTCCCAAAGTGCTGGGATTACAGGCATGAGCCACCGCGCCCGGCCTGGCATTCTTTTAACTGGCGTGTCATACATATTGCCTTTTTCAGTCTAAAGACTTTCCTGGGAAGAAAGTAAATTCCATTTAGTCTCATGAATACATCTTGAGATCTATTCTCAGTATCTATTGTGATGAAGATGCGTCTTAATTCATGTTGATTCTGAAGGTCTTTTAGTGCTTTTCTTGAGTGACATTTCTAGGACCCATCTAAAAACCTTGTCAATTAAAAGGAGAGTGTATTATCCTATAAATATTGTATTTATCCAGTTGAGAGAGGTCAATCATTAATTGTTTGAATGCCTAAGTGAACTGTAGTAAGCATATTTGTGAAGAATAGAAAGTGGGGTCTTGGGCTAGGCATGGTGGCTCATACCTGTAATCCTAGCACTTTGGGAGGCTGAGGCAGGAGGATTACTTGAGCCCAGGAGTTCAAGACCAGCCTGGGCAACATCATGAGACCCAGTCTCAAGAAAAAGAAATTTTAAAAAACAGAAAGTGGGCTCTTAATACATAAAGTTCTTAGATAGTATGCTAGAGTTTCAACAACCCACATTTTATCAAGATAACACATAATTAACATCATACAAAAGCATAGAGTGACTTAAATTTTAGTGCACAATAATAGCAGTGAACTGTGCTGAAGTGTCTGTATATTACTTACATTTAAATTATACCACTGATAATGAAGTTTTGCATGCAAAACCATCTTAAGAAAAACCTCTGTAAGGACTTTACCATCTGGGATCTAGTTTGACACTTAGGATCACTTTGCTCCCGGTATACAGGCAATACCACTGAGTTCAGAGATGTTTCGTAACTTTAAAATAGTTTATTATGTTTCTCCTCATTTTATAACTGATAACTAAGAGTTTCGCATATATACTCTGTGTGTGTGTGTGTGTGTGTGTGTGTGTGTGTGTGTGTTTTGTTTGTTTTTGGGATCTTGTTCTGTCACTCAGGTTGGATCGTAGTGGTGTGATCATGACTCACTGCAGTCTCTACCTTCCGGACTCAAGCAATCCTCCCATCTCAGCATCCTGAATAACCAGGAATACAGGTGTGCACCACCACGCCCTGCTAATTTTTTTATTTTTTTGTAGAGATGAGGTCTGAGTTGCCCAGGCTGGTCTTGAACTCCTGGGCTCAAGTGATTCTTCTGCCTTGGCCTCCTAAAGTGCTGAGATTACAGGTGTGAGCCACTGTGCCCAGCCTTAATAAATTTCTAAATCCACAGGCATAATAAAAGTGAAAATGGAGATTGACTTGCTGACACATTGGTGTCAGTGCTGCTGAAGCTTGCGCTTTAACAGCAGTTCCCATCAGGAGTCCAGGATGATAGAAATGGAGATTTAGAGCTATTTTTAATATTTTAAAAAGATGAATGAAACCATAGTTTCATAAGGTTACACAAACTAGTTAAATACCAATTCCTTTGCTTGGAGTATGTTAACAGTGTGGTTATCACACCGGTAATTCACTATGAGCTCTCCAGAAAGGCATTCGTTCATCTTTCTTGGGACAATGCTCAGTGTGTACCAAGCATATGGTAGGGAGTAAACAGTTATTTCGCGCAGTGACTGCATGCCAACAGACACTCTCATTGGCTGCTGATGACATCATAGAGACTTCTGGGATTTATTAGATCAACCAGATGGTTAGAGTGATATGACACGCTAGAGTTTTAACAACCCAAGTTTTATCAGTTTAACACACAATTAACGTCATACATAAGTACAGAGAGTCTGTTAAATTTTAGTGGGCAATAATGGTTGTGAATGGTCCTAAAGTGCCTGTATATTACTTACATCCTTGCTTGTTGGTATCAACTAACATTTTTGTTCACTAGCAGGACATTAGAACAATGACACTGATATGTGCAATTTTAACAATATTTATTTATTTATTTTGAAACCGACTTATGAGACTGGCTAATTTGTGTGTGTGTGTGTGTATTTTTGGTAGAGATGGGGTTTCACCATGTTCCCAAGGCTGGTCTCAAACTCCGGGGCCCAAGCAATTCACCTGCTTCAGCCTCTTAAAGTTCTAGGATTATGGGCGTGAGCCACCGTGCCCAGTCTGATATGTGCAATTTTTCTATTGTTAAACTTTTGATAAGGTATAAAAGACTACACATTGAGTGCAGGGTACTCTGCCTAGGTGATGGATGCACCACAATCTCAGAAATCACCACTAAATAACTTAATCATGTAACCAAACACCACCTGTTCCTCAAAAACCTATTAAAATAAAAAAGAAAGAAAGAATAAAAGGAAAAAAGCAATTAAAAAGCTTTTGATAATTATTTTTACCTGATAAATGGATGGCTTGATTTTGCAAGAGAAAAAAGAGATACACAATTGAAAGAAATGCCTTCCCAATACATACATTTTAGCCAGAAGAACACTTTCAAAGGAGTTCAATTCACTGGGAAAGCTAATGAAAGGACTTTCCATCAAGGTCCACACACACACACACACACACGTATATATAAGCATATGCTCTCTCTTTATATATAGCATATAAATACACACACACACACACACACACACAAACACAGAAAATACCTTTCCCCTTTAGTCCCCTCCTCTCTACCCCTACCTGTCTCATTTCTCCAGCCTAACTGCAGAGTTGAATGCAGCTTTACCAGGGTTCTCTGAAACTCAAGCATAACAAATAAAGAGAAATCTTGTTTCCTGTGGCCATTACTCAAGGTAGGTGGAGGGGTCCTAAGAGACGGAAAAAGGTGATGGGATACTGGCAAGGCAGGATTCTGGCATTCCTGGGTCCTCTCACCAAATACCTTCAAAATTTCTTTTTTAAGCATCTAATATACTTTGCATTTCTCTTTAAGTCTCTAAATACTGAAATACTGAGCCTTAACTTTCAAACCAGGAGGTGGCTTAAACTCAATTTGGGGGAAAAGGAATCTGCTTTGAGAATAGAATGCCAGTTTATTTTCTTCTCCTTTCTTTTTTTAAGTTAAAAACAATTCTTTTTTTGTAGAGATAAGGTATCACTATGTTGCCCAGGCTAGTCTCAAACTCCTGGGCTCAAGCAATCCACCTGCTTCTGCCTCCCAAAGTGCTAGGATTACAGGCATGAGCCACCACCCCAGCCTAATTTATATTTATCTATATTTATATTTGTTTATATTTTTCAAAGTTTCCAAATACCAAATTGCAAATACCAAAATATGTAGATATTGCTTTTGTGGTCAGAGAGCAAAACAAGAAAATTTATTTTTAAAGTGATATACTGTAGAACAGGGAAATAGGCAAACATCTTCACAGCCGTTTGGGAACAGGTGAAATCCAAACTTTGGAGGCCAAATTGTCATGGCCACTAACAGTAATGCTACAGTAGGATTAAGTATGGTTTACAAAGTGCTTTTATGTACATTTTCCAGTGTACATTAATAGTTACAAGAGACGAGTTCCTCCCCACAGCAAGATTAGTATCTAAATGCTGGCTTCCTGGATATATAAGAGAGATGTGAGGAAACCAGGGAATATGAATTCCCCCTGACATGGTTTGGATTTGTGTCCCTATCCAAATCTCACATGGAATTGTAATCCCCAGTGTTGGAGGAGGGGCCTGGTAGGAGGTGATTGAATCATGGGAGCAGACTCCCCATTGCTGTTCTTGAGATAGTGAGTCTCACGAGATCTGGTTGTTTAAAAGTGTGCGGCACCTTCCACTTTGCCCTCTTCCTCCTTCTCAAGCTGTGTAAGATGTGCGAGCTTCCCCTTCATCTTCCGCCATGATTGTAAGTTTCCTGACAACTCCCAAGTCATGCTTCCTGTACAGCTTGTGGAACTGTGAGTCGATTAAACCTCTGTTTTTTTTTTTTTAAATTACCCAGTCTTAGGTAGTTCTTTACAGCAATGCAAGAACAGACTAATACACCCCTCATATTGATTCATTTATTCAGAAAATCTTGAACATTTACCATATCCCAGATAAAGCTATGAACTTTGAATAAAGTAGAGAACAGGATAAACATGGTCTCTGTTCTCTGAAAAGTTACCCGCCAGTTGAGCGGTTGCAAGGAAAAGTAAACAGATAAAATAATTGAAACATCTATTACATGCTATGAGGAGGTAGTTCCCTCCAGCCAAAGACCACCAGGAACACACCTGTAGTTAAAGATGTTGGATTATTGCTCATTGCATCAAGAACACACACCATATAGAATTGTGGGTTGTGTCAGTAAGAGGGTGTTAGAAAGAATCTGGTTGGAAGAAGCTAGCTGAATGATTTTGGAGGAAGGCCTAAGGTCATGGTGACTTGCCCTAAATTAGGTAACTGTCAGAAAGAGGGGACAATTCTATGATTGGGTATAGAAGCGGCAGTCACTCATTTTTATTTATTTTATTTTATTGTTATTATTTTTAGAGTCAGGGTCTTGCTCTGTCACCCAGGCTGCTGTGCAGTGGTGTGATCATAACTCACTGTGGCCTCAAAGTCCTAGGCTCAAGCAATCCTCCCATCTCAGCCTCCTGAGTAGCTGGGACCACAGGCACCTTTCCGGCTGCAGTCAGTCATTTAACAAGAGAGGAGAAAAAGTCTGGTATTTTGTGGGTCGTACAGTGGCCTTGCTTTTGTAAGTGCTTAAACAAACTTACGAAATAGGCTTGTTATCTCTCATTCTGTTATGGTCTCAGGATAACCTTGTCAGAGTTTGCTTCTGTGAGATCATCTATGTCTAAGAGCAGGGAAACAGAGCCCAGCTGTTGCTGCCAGGACACCTTCTGAAAGCCAGGGGCTCCTCTTTGTGTAAAGTTCCTCTCTTACAGCTGATGCTAATTTTTTTTTTTTTTTTTTTTTGAGACAGGATCTCATCCTGTCACCCAGGCTGGAGTGCAGTGGTGCTATTACAGCTCACAGCAGCCTCAACCTCCAAAACTGAAGGGATCCTCTCATCTCAGCCGCACAAGTAGCTGGGACTGCAGGCGTGCACCACCACACCCAGCTAATTTTTGTGTTTTTGATAGAGGCAGAATCTCACTATGTTGTCCATGCTGGTTTCGAACTCCTGGGCTCAAGAGAGCCTCCTGCCTCGGCCTCCCAAAGTGCTGGGATTACAGACATGAGCCACTGCTCCAAGCCCTATTTTATGTTATTTTTTCCGTGATTCAGAATCAGTTGTGGCCAGGCATGATGCCCAGGAGTTCAAGACAAAAAATAATAATAATTAGCCCAGGCTGGTGGCATGTACCTGTGGTCCCAGCTACTCAGGAGGCTGAGGTGGGGGGGTTGCTTGAGCCTGGGAGATGGAGGCTGCAGTGAGCTATGATTGCACCACTGCATTCCAGTGTGGGCAATAGAGCAAGACCCTGTCACAAAAAATAAATAAACAAATAAATAAATAAAACGAAAAGTAACAACAACAACAAAAAAACCCACAAATAAAATAAATGAAATAAAGTCCTTCTCTCTCAGCCAAGCTGTGACATTCCCTTCTGTACCCCGACAAGATAATACTTGCATGTTTAGTGACCGAGCATTTGCTCTACATAAGTAGTCAATAAGTAGTTTTGAGGATCATCTATTTATAGCTAACAGTGACACAGGCCCCAGATGCTCCCAATAAACAGAAGCAAATGCCAGTCCTGTGACTATAGATGATGGCAGTTATGATATTGGCAGCAGTTGGAAATGATGGTTTTGAAAACAGTGAAAAAATCATGAAGTATGTTCTATTTTTTTCATCGCCTCACCCTACCTGAATTCACTGCCTGCAGCTTTCTATTGTAATTCGAAACAACTATATTAGGCATGTGTTTGTGTGCTGTAGATGCTGTCTTGAATACCATGGCAACTGCGTGCTCTTAGTCAAACATTTTGTCTAGATTATACATTTAGAATTTTTTAAATGATATTTAGAAACAATGGGTATATTTCTGTAATAGCTTTAGACATGGAATTCTTGCTCAGAGACACGTAAAGTTAAGCTTAAGTGAAAGAAGGGTGGGAGATCAGGAACTGACAATGCTGAGGAGGAAAAGCTTAGTTTCCAATAATGGAAGGCTTTCAACCATTATCTTTTTTCTTGTAATCTTAACACTTTGAGAGATTGAGGTGGGAAGATCACTTGAGCCCAGGAGTTCAAGACCAGTCTGAGCAACATAGTGAGACTTCTGCCTCTACAAAAGATAAAAATAAAAAATAAATTAGCCAAGTGTGATAGTACAAGCCTGAAGTTCCAGCTACTAAGGAGGGTGAGGTGGGAGGATCCCTTGAGCTTTGGAGGTCAAGGCTGCAGTGAGCGGAGATTGCACCACAGCACTCTAGCCTGGGTAACAGAATGAAACTCTGTCTCAAAATATATATATGTATATATTTTATAGGAATGGGGTCTTGCTGTGTTGCCCAGGCTAGTCTCAAACTCCTGAGCTCAAGTGATCCTCCCATCTCAGCCTCCCAAGTAGCTGGGAGTGCAGTTGTGCACTACTGCACCCAGTTCACAATCATCCTCTTGTTGGCAGGTACACTTCCAATGTACACAAGTACAGACGGCAATGGAAAAACAACTGGCCTGTTAGCCAGGAAGCCTGTGAGTCCGGAAGTCCTGCTCAGGCTTCCTGGCTCTGCTACTAAGTGTGTGATCAAGAGTTTTGTGCCTTAGTTTCCCTATCTGGATGATCAGAAAGTTGGTCTAGAGATCTCCAAGGTCCATGCAGCTTTATGCTTGTGAGATGAGGCTTTCTCTTTCTGAGGCCATGCACACTTGAGAGCCCTTCCCTTGTATTTCCTTATACATAGAGCAGGAGTTCAAGCTTAGAATTATAACAAACTTTAGTTTAGACTCTGACTCTTCCCACTTATTTGCTATGTGTCCTTGGGGAAAGTTCTTTATTTGTGAAATGGTTCTTATAATAGTAACCAACCTCATAGGGTTGTTGGGAGGACTGACATGAGTTTAATATTAGTATCTAGCTCATATGTTATGTGGATTATGTGAGACAATACGCACAAAATTTGTTTAGTACTGTGCTTGGCTCATCAAAAGCAATCAATAAATGTCAACAAATATAAATAACAACCTTAAAGGACATTTTTCCCTTTTGAGCACCTCTGATGTAACACACAGCCAGCCAGCCTTATGGAATTAAAACAGACAAACAATTTTTTAAAAATCTCCTTATGGTAAAGTAATCTTTAATTTAATTTAATTTTTTTTTTTTTTTTTTTGACACAGGATCTCACTATGTTACCCAGGCTGATCTCCAACTCCTGGCCTCAAGCCATCCTCTCGAATCAGCCTCCCAAAGTGCTGGGATTACCGGCATGAGCCACTGGGCCTGACCAAGAAATCTTGGGATACAAAGTGTCCCAAGTAAAATAGTAATGCAGCTGCACATTTCTTGAATAATCATGACACAATTTAACATCTGTTCCCTGGGACTAACTGGTTCATGCCACTAACCCTCACCACACTGGGATTTTTCAGGCCTGGATTTCAGGTTAAGAGGGCTTTCTGTGTAACTATCTAAAAAATACTGTGCCCAGGTCTAAGCCTTTGAAGAGAATTGCCTCTGGTCAGTGAAAGTTTACCTGCCTGCTCCTCCAGCTTTTCACTCTGTATCTTAATCTTATTATTTAGTTTATCTAAAAGGAGCTGTCTCTTAGTATTGCTTTCCTATCCTAAGTGACCTACACACACGGGTGCAGTTATATTTGCATGTTTTGGCCTCAGCTGTTTACTGCCTATTAATCAGCTATCATAGCGGTAGCTACTAAACCCATATTAACATCAGAGTTACTTCTGATCCCTCTGAATTTAGTTTAAGAAGATGATTTGGGCCGGCCGCAGTGGCCCAAGCCTGTAATCCCAGCACTTTAGGAGGCCGAGGTGGGCAGATCACGAGGTCAGGAGTTCGAGACCAGCCTGACTAACATGGTGAAACCCCATCTCTACTAAAAATACAAAAATTAGCTGGGCCTGGTGGCGTGCACCTGTAATCCCAGCTACTCAAGAGGCTGAGGCAGGAGAATCACTTGAACCCAGGAGGCGGAGGTTGCAGTGAGCCAAGATTGCACCACTGTACTCCAGCCTGGGTGACAGAGGGAGACTCTGTCTCAAAAAAAAAAAAAAAAAAAAAAAAGAAGAAGAAGATGAAGAAGATAGTAGGGCACAGTGGCTCACACCTGTAATCCTGCACTTTGGGAGACCAAGTTGGGAGGATCACTTGAGGCCAAGAATTTGAGACCAGTCTGGGCAACATAATGAGACCCTCGTCTCAAAACAATAAAAAATGACAAGTAAAAATTAAAATAATTAAAAAAATTAGCTTGGTAATTCCAGCTATTAGGGATGGTGAGGCAGGAGGATCGCTTGAGGCCAGGAACTCTTGGCTGCAGTGAGCTATGATTTCACCACTGCACTCCAGCCTGGGCAACCTGTGAGTGAGACTCTATCTCAATTAAAAAAGAAAAAAAAAGACAATTAGAAATGTGCCATGTACATGTATATCCAGACACAAAATTATAAGTAATCATTAAAAATTCAAACATTTTAAACTGGGCATAGTGGTACATACCTATAGTTCCAGCTACTTGGGGGGCTGAGGCAGGAGGATGCTTGAGCCCAGAAGTTCAAGGACGAAGCCTGTGAATAACCATGGCACTCCAGCCTGGGCAACATAGCAAGACCCTGCCTCTGATTTAAGTAAGAAATAAGTATCCTAAGTGATAGTCCTTCATAACCCCATCCACAGATAATAACCCTATTAATGTCTTCTAAATTTTCTCTATACATGTTCTATACATTTGTCTTCATTGAAATGGAATAATAATTAAAATCATTTGAATAATTTGTCATTGGTTTCTTTTGTAATTTTATTTTATTTTATTATTTTTTATTTTTTAGAATCTAGGTCTTTTTCTGTCACTCAGGTTGGAGTGAGTGGTGCCATCACAGCTCACTGCAGCCTCAATCTCCTCGGCTCTAGTGATCCTCCCACTTCAGCCTTTTATGTTTTTGTAGAGACGAGGTCTCACTCTGATGTCCAGGCTGGCCTCGAATTCCTGAACTCAAGTGATCCTCCTTTTTTGGCTTCCTGAAGTGCTGGGATTAGAGGCTTTGTAATTTTAAATTAAATGTGTAACAGTAAAAAATCGTGTGATTCATATTTTGATAATTATATTTCCAACTGGCATATAGACATTCTAAGAGTCCTCCAGAGCTGGGACTGCAGCTGTTTTGATCATCAGTATGTCCCCAGAACCCAGCACTCCACCTACTACACAGCAGGTACTCATTAAATATATGTCAGCTGAATGTTGAGTGTATGAATGACTAAATAACAAAAATGCTACAGACTTCTCAGTGTATTTCTGGGATCGTTCTTCTTATTATTATCATTATTTTCAATGACTTCACTTCCAATGATATGAAATAATTCTTAAGTAAAGTTGCTTGATCAAATTCATGAACATTTTACATTTTTATAGATAGCTTCAAATTGATCTGCAGAGTTTATACTAATTTGTACTCCATCAACAATGAATTAGAGAGCCTATTTTCCCACACTTTCCAAAAAATGTGGAATTTTACAACAAAATACATATGACTAAAGAGAGGATTATTTTAAAAGTTGATTTATTACATCTCTGTAATTGTGAGGAGGAGAGAAATGTTATTTTTGTTTTTGGGGGGAAAGTTGGGAAAGATAAAACAGAGTCCCCTTTAAATGAGAGATTTAGGTCTATTGAACTTTGCAAAATTTTCAAAAATAATTTGATCTTGGATGTAGCTGAAATATGGATTGTCATATGTGTATGATATATAGTTGCAATTGCTCAATTTTTTCCTCAAAAAACTTAAATTACATAGTAAATGTTTAAAACTCTTTGTGGAAGTATAACACAATACAGAAAAGGGCATATATTATAAGTCTTTGGTCCAGTAAATTTTCACAAACTGAATATATTTATGGAGCTAGCACCCAGATCAAGAAACTGAATATTCTTAGTACCCCAGAAGCCCACTGAATAAGTTCTCATTTATACAGGTGTCTGTCTCGATTATGTCCGAAAATTGATTGTATGTAGAGCAGTAATAATAGTAATATACATTTTCTATTAATATATTTAAGTCACATTTGTATATAGTTACATATGTATTGTGTAGGGATTCTTATTGAAGTTTTTCTGTGGAATTCCTCTCATCGTTATACAACATGTTTTAAAGACAGGTCAATAGAAATACATAGAAGATCCCTCACGTCATGCATAGCTAAAATTAAAATCACTGATTACCCTGCACATTCTTAGAGGTTTCCAGATAACGCTGAACACCAACCATGCAAGTCATAGAAACAGCTGAGGACTCTGTGTAACACTCAGTGACGAGGGTGATTCAGACCCATGGCTATTATTAGAGCAAGCAAGTGTTAGATGTGTAAACAGACTATTAAATAATGCCCTTGGAAGAGGGTAAGAAAGTGAATCTGAGTATCTGGCCCTTAATCTCTCCAAACTGTACCAGTCCGAATCCAAATGTCACGTCAGTCCCTATTCCCGCTGCTCTTGGCCTTGGACTCTGCATGTCTGCTGCCAGGACAGAGTCGAGCTCCATGTGGCTGTGTCTATGAGTGACCTGGACTCACCTCTCTTTGTCAAGTGCTCCTCCAGGAAGAAAGGGAGAGATGGGTGTGACGGTCAAGAAACAGTCCAGAGACTCCAGTAGGCACATTTCTCAGATCTTTTGTCACATTTTACTGTGACTTCAACTGAAATTGTTGTCTTATTGGGCTTTTTAAAAAGTGCCAGAGATCCTTTAGTAGTTCATAAGCGTGATGACTGGGTATTCATGCATATGTGTGAGATGTGCCACCCTGGCAGGTGTGGTGGCTCCCACCTGTAATCCCTGCACTGTGGAAAGCTGAGGCAGGAGGATGGCTTAAGCCCAGGAGTTTGAGCCCAGCCTCCGCAACAAAGTGAGAACTTGTCTCTACAAAGAATATAAAAATTAGCCAGACATGATGGTGTGCACCTGTGGTCCCAGCTATATAGGAGGCAGAAGTGGGAGGATCCCTTGACCCAGGAGGTGGAGGCTGCAGTGAGCCATGATCTCACCACTGTACTCCAGCCTGGACAATAGAGCTAGACTCTGTCAAAAAAAAAAAAAGAAAAAAAGAAACCTGCCACCCTTGAACCTCATTATGACATCAGCACATTACCTGTCTGACATGAAGAAAAGAAAAAAAAAGTGCCAGAAACAACACAATAATTGTATGATTTTGTGTGGGTGATAATTACATTTTACATTTGAAGGCCCAAGTCTGAAAGGTGAGCACCAGCCATATAAATGGAATCAAAGCAGAAGTTAACACAACTCTCTCCAGTGAAAATAAAATCAGTTGCACAATGAGACAAACTGGTATAATATGAAATACATTTGGGCTTTGTCCCCAGTTCCTGACATGGAGCTCCTAAATCCCTTGTAATTGCCCAAGTGATAATGGTGATAGGAGCATCTTCTGTTATAATATTTGGTTATTATACAAAGTTGTTGAACACCTCAGAATTTCCTGAGTGATAGGAAATTCACCACTGCTGGGTTTTTTTGTTTTTTGTTTGTTTGTTTGTTTGTTTTGAGACAGGGTCTTGCTCTGCCACCCAGGCAGCAGTTTGACACAAACTGCTCACTGCAGCCTCGAACTCCCAGGCTTAAGTGATCCTCCCACCTCAACCTCTTGGGTAGCTGGCACTACAGGTGCACATCACCACACATGGCTAATTTTTTTTTTTTTTTTTAAGAGACAAGGTCTCACCACGTTGCCCAGGCTGGTCTTGAACTCCTGGGCTCAAGTGATCCTCTCACCTCGGCCTCCCATAATACTGGGGTTACAGGCGTGAGCCACTTGGCCTGGCCCCACAAGCACTTTTTATCACACCTGAGTTTATGATAATGAGGTGACTTATGGCGGGGTCCCTAGATAACTTCAAGATGGGGCCAACCAGTTGCTAGAAAGAACAAGTGATTAGAGGACTAAAGTATCAGAACATTCAGCCGCACCCACCAACCTTCAAGTATCAGAACATTCAGCCCCTCCCACCAACCTTAAAGTATCAGAACATTCAGCCCCTCCCATCCACCTCCAGGGAAAGGGTCGTCAGAGGCACTGGAGATTAAACTCTGTAAAAACTCTGGGACAATGGAAGCTCTGCTCTCCCTCCTCCAAAACTCACCCTCTGCATCTCTTCATCTGTATGCTTGCTAATATCCTTTATAATAAACTGGTAAACCTAGGTATTTCTCTGAGTTCTGGGAGCTGTCCTAGCAAATTAGTTGAACCCAAGTGGGGACTGTTGGAGCTCTGGTTTGTGGCTAGTAAGTCAGAATGGGTGGCCTGGACTTGAGATTGGGATCTAAAGTCTTTGTGGACTGAGACCTCAGGTAGATAGTGTCAGAATTGAATTGAATTACAGGACAGCCAGTTGGCTGGTGTGTAGGGAAAAACCCACACCTGGTCACAGAAGTGTGTTCTGCGTTCTATCTTTCATTGAGCATGTGAGTAGAAAGGAAAAAAATATTTGTTCTTCCCTTAATGCAGAAAAATTTTTAAAACTAATTCTAAATGTACCAAATAATTACAAATATCACTTTTTTTTTCTTTTGAGACAGAGTCTCATTCTATCTCCCAAGCTGGAGTGCAGTGGTGTGATAACAGCTTACTGCAACCTGAACTCTCAGGCTCATGCAATCTTCCCACCTCAGCCTGCCCTGAGGAGCTGGGACCACAGGCAGGTGCCACCACACCAGGCTAATAAAATTTCACTTTCATTTGGCAACATTCGGAACCTCAGTAAATTAGAGAAATCGTTGAAAATAGAATGAAGTTCAATGTAAGTTTGAGGCACAGCACTTGGAGAAAATCATCAACTTGCTGGGTGATATTTTTGTGTATTTTTCTCATTTTATCCTTATAATGGTACAATGATTTAGTTACTGCTATTACTGCCGTCTTATAACTGAGGATGCTGAGATAAGTGACTACCCCTCATGACCCACCTGGTCGGGGATGAAGGGAGGAGAGCACCCTGGTCTCTTTGACTCCAAAGTTTGTTCTCCTAAATAGTATGTTCTATGAAATGACCACATATTCCTTCAGCTCAATGATTCTACAATCTTTAGCCTAAAATGTGAATATGGAAATAGGTCAAAGCCAGAAGTGGCTTTAAATGCCACTTTCATGGATTCCTGCTGTATACCAGGCATGGTACCAAATGTGCCTCAAGGATGTCATCTTTTTTTTCTTTTTCTTTTTCTTTTTTTTTTGCAGACAGCATCTTGCTATGTTGTAGGTTGCCTGGGCTGGTCTTGAACTCCTGGTCTCAAGGGGATCCTTCCACCTCAATTCCCAAAGCATTGGGATTATAGGTGTGAGCTGCCACGCCCAACCAAGGATGTTCTCACTTAATCCTGTTACAACCAGTTTTCTGATGAGTCTTAGAGAGGTGAAGAAGCTTGCCCGAGATCAAGCAGGTAAGAGGCATGGAGGTGGGGTTTGGCAGCAGGTCTGTCAGTCAGACTAGAGACTACAGTGCTTCCTCAAGGGGACTTCTAAACAGATGAAACATATCAGAAAAGTAACACTCTAGCTTCTGTCTTTGTTTTAAGGATAATCCTTAGGCATCTTGGAGGCACATGGTTCTGTTTGGTCAATTACATGACTGCCCCTGTTATTTGTGGGCCCAAGGCACAAGTATGGGTGGAGGCCCACATACCAAATGACTAAATGTATAAATACAAACCAAGCTAACATGCTGCTAAATAGATTATGTTCGATCTTTCTACCTAGATAAACATATCTTTAGGATGTGTGGAAGGCCAGGTTTCATTTTCTAATTCTCCGACTCCTTAGCATGACAAGCCAGGGGGTGACGACATGAGGCACTCCTCTTCCTCTGCAATGATGGATCGTGTGCTGCGCCCCCAGCCCTCCAGCCTGCAGGAGCTCTGGGCTGTACATCACCCTCCAGGGTCTCGGATGCGTGCCTGGCTGCACCATCTACTCTTAAGAAGAGGGCCCCCAGGAAGGAGCTGGAGCAAGGCCTGTAAATCAACCTGAGGCCATTTGGCAGGGAAGTCAGGGGTGCTGCGTACTTTGAAGCTTGATCTAGACAGGGGCTGTGTGACTGTTGGGTAGGCATGGCACCTGGGCTGCATCTCCCCATCCAGAGGCTACAGTGGAGGAAATTCAGCGCAAGGCCCCGCTATGCTCAGGGCTGCTCCTGCTGGGCCTATAGGCCCAAAGTACTGCTTGTGGTGCAGAGCCAAATTCAAAGAAGCATCCTTGGCCGGGTGCAGTGGCTCATGCCTATAATCCCAAGCACTTTGGGAAGTCAAGGTGGGTGGATCACCTAAGGTCAGGGGTTTGAGACCAGCCTGGTCAACATGGTGAAATCCCATCTCTATAAAAATACAACAAAAATTAGCCAGATGTGGTGGTGGACAACTGTAATCCCAGCTACTCAGGAGGCTGAGGCACAAGAATCGCTTGAACGCAGGAGGTGGAGGTTGCAGTGAGCCGAGATCGCACCACTGCACTCCAGCCTGGGTGGCAGAGTGAGACTCTGTCTCAAAAACAAACAAACAAACAAAAAACAGAAAAAAACCCCAAACAAAAAAACAAAGCGGCATCCTTGAAACAACCAATATTAGTTTGTTTTTTGCTTTTTGTTATGTTTTTGTTTGTCTGTTTTTGAGACAGGGTCTTGCTGTTACCCAGGCTGGAGTGCAGTGACACTATCACAGCTCACTGCAACCTAGACCTCCTGAGCTCAAGCAATCTTCCCATTTCAGCTTCCAGAGTAACTGAGACCACAGGTGTGTACCACCACACCTAGCTAATTTTATTTTATTTTATTGTAGAGACGGAGTCTCCCTATGTTTCCCAGGCTGGTCTCAAATGCTTGACCTCAAGCGATCTTCACGCCTCAGCTTCCCAAAGTGCTGGGATTACACATGTGAGCCCCCATGGCGGCCGCCAATATTAGTTTTTAAAACTATTTCCTGTCTTTTAACTTTGCCTAGGTTCTAAAACATTCAAAGTTATCCATTTCTGGCTGGGTGTGGTGACTCATGCCTGTAATCCCAGCACTTTGAGAGGCTGAGGTGGGAGGATCACTTGAGGCCAGGAGCTCCAGACCAGCCTGGGCAACGTAGTGAGACCCCATCCCTACACAAAAATTTTAAAAATTAACTGAGTGTTGTGGCTTGCACTTGTAGTCCCAGCTACTCAGGATGCTAAGGCAGAAGAGCTACTTTAACTCAGGAGTTCAAGACAGCAGTGAGCTTGATCACGCCACTGTACTCAACGTGGGCAACAGAATTAAAGCCTATCTCTAAAAATAAAATAAAATAAAATAAAAATTTAAAAAAGTTATCCAGTAAATATATCCCAGAAATAATTCTTCAGTCCTCCTCTTTTCACAATTTTCTACCATCTCACTGGCTCCAAAGGCCCTCTGACCACACATACCCCCTAATCAAGAAAGAGAGTCTCTCTCTGTAATACCCAGGTCAATTTCTCTGGCCTCCCTACTTCCCTTCCTCCTTCCTTCCCTTTCTTTCTTTCTTTTTTTTTTTCTCACTTCCTTTTTTTCTCCAGCTTTTAATTATGTGAACCCTTTTAGCTCTCCTTAAGAAAAATTCCTTGTTCCTCTTCCAGCCTAGGTTTCATGTATTCTTAGATTTTTGCATCACAGATATTTTTAACCAAGGAAAAGAGGAGCACTTAGGGATGAGGGTGGGCAGGGGTGTTAAGAGAAGGTGAGTGGGCAATGAGTAGATTCCCTGGGTTGGGAGACTGGGTGCATAGAGAGTTGATATGGTGAGAAAGACCAGGTGCCTTGGCTGGAACCTAAAACAAACAAACAAACAAAAAAACCTGTGAAAATGAGAGTCAGGTAGGCACCAAATAAATTGAATATATTTTACCTTTTATTTGTTTGTTTGTTTGTTTGTTTGAGACAGGGTCTCGATTTCACGCAGGCTGGAGTATGGTAACACGAGCCTGGCTCACTGAAGCCTCAACCTCCTGGGCTCAAGCAATCCTCCCACCTCAGCCCACCAAATAGCTGGAATTACAGTTGTGTGCCACCATGCCCAGCCAAATTTGGGGGATTTTTTTTGGTAGATACATGGTCTCGCTGTATTGCCCAGGCTGGTCTGGAACTCCTGTGCTTAACCCATCCACCCATCTCAGCTTCCCAAAATACTGAGATTACAGGCATGAGATACCATACCTGGCCATATTTTGCCTTTTCTTTTAGAAATGTGTACACTAAAAGACTAATTTATGACATTAAAATTCAGGGAAATCACTAAAAATATATATGATGACTTTCAGGAAATTTTTTTTTTAATGCTTAATTTGATTTCTTGACTACTGTGTGTTTTTCTATCTTTGTTTTACTTTAAAAACAACAACAATAGAGCTGGGCATGGTGGCTTGAGCCTGTAAACCCAGCTACTTGGAGGCTGAGACAGGAGGATTCTTTGAGCCCAGGAGATGGAGGCTGCAGTGAGCAATGATCACACCACTGCACTCCAGTCTGGGCAATAGAGTGAGGTCCAGTCTATAAAATAAAAATAAAATAACAACAATAAAAAATCATTTGTGAAAACCAGATATACTCCCAAAACATCAGGATATACAGTTTGGGCAACCCAGTATACGTATTACGAGCTATGCAACATTGGGAAGAGAGTATTCACAGAAACTGCAGTCCACATCATTGAGTTCAAATGAGTTATCGATGATGGTTTTTCCTTTGAATCTAGAATATTTTTCTAAATGTAAGAAATACCTGCCAGATTGATTGTATTGTACTTAGCTTATATGAATGTTAACATTTTATTTTATTTTTTATTTTTAGAGAAAGGGTCTCACTGTTGCCCAGGCTAGAGTACAGGGACATGATCATAGCTCACTGCAGGCTCCAGCTTCCAGGCTCAGGCAATCCTCCTACCTCGGCCTCCCGAGTAGGTAAGACCACAGGCATGCATCACCATGCCCAACTATTTTTTTAAATTTTTTTTGTAGAGATAAGGGTCTCCCTATGTTTTTCAGGCTGGCCTCAAACTCTTGGGCTCAAGCAGTCATCCTGCCTCAGCCTCCCAAAGTGTTGGGATTACAGGCCTGAGCCACCACTTCTGGCAGAATGTTAACATTTTAAACAAGAAATAGCATATACCCTAAGGTACATGCTTTCAAAGGTTGATATATTCATAAGTGAGCTTGTTTTCCTACTGAGTTGTATTTTTCTTCCTTGAATTCCATTTTGAATTGTAAATCAAAAGTAAAATTCTAAGCCCTCCTAACCATCTGAATGGACTCTCCTCTCAGCCAAGGGTGTTCCATAGTAAACCTGAAAAAACTAGTTCAGGCCATGATGGGAAGCAGGAGCCAGACATGCCTCATTATACCCTCCTCCTTTTTGGAATTACTGATAGAACAGACTCTTTAAATCTGATAAGAAACATTTGCAATCTATTCTCTCTGAAGGCTGCTACCTAGAGACTTCAGCCGCTTGATAAAACCTTGGTCTCAACAACCCCTTTTCGTAGCTCATACATTCCTTTCTATTGACAGTAATTCTTTCAACCAATTGACAACCAGAAAACTTTAAAATCTACCTATGACCTGGAGCCCCCTCCCCACTTTGAGTTGTCCTGCCTTTCTGGACTGAACCAATGTACATCTTACATGTATTGATTGATGTCTCACGTCTCCCTAAAATGTTTAAAACCAAGCTGTATTTGACCAACTTGGGCAGATACCACCTAAGGCCGTGTCATAGGCATGTCCTTAACCTTGGTAAAATAAAATTTCTAAATTGATGGAGATCTGTCTCAGATACTTTTGGGTTCACAGAATGATACTGAGAAAATAAGAACGGATCTACGTTTTATCAATAAAATTTTAAACTTATATTAATTCATAAAATAAGATATGGTATATCTGTCTTTGTTTATAGTGCTTGTTTTTTCTTTTAAGTTTTTAATCTGTGTTTTGAAGGAAAATGCATGTGTCTGTTGCAGGTTTCTTATGAAGCATTGCTGGCAAGGGGACATCTGGCTCTTGTAAAATGAAATGAAAGGCAACATTTTCCAACAATTGTTAAGTATCAAGTACTTTGGAGTAGCTTCATCAGGATAGGATTGCTGTTGTGGGTTGCTTGGTTAATTCTAGAGTAGGCAGTAATGTAAATTTATATCAGCTATTTTGAACCTGTAATTTTGCAATAACTAGACCTTAAGACATGAAAGCGTAGTGGTTCAAATATGAATCATCATTACACTTCTTTCTAAGATCTGTTCTACAGTTTGAGTAGCTTTTCCACTAGAAGTGACACTCAGCGGGTAGGTGGGCTTTGAGTCCTTTTGTCCCACTAAAGTGAATCATAGCCATAAAAGTTTTGTTTTTTGTTTTTGTCTTTTTTGTTTTTTTGAGACAGAGTCTTATTCTGTCACTTAGGCTGGAGTGCAATGGTGCCATCATTGCTCATTGCAGCCTTGACTGCCTGGGATCAAGTGATCCTCCTGCCTGGACCTCCCGAACTGCTTTGGGATTACAGGAGTGAGCCACAATGTCCAGGCTCAAAAAGTTTTAAAATATGACTGTATACTATTTAAGATTACTCTTTGGAACCTTCATTGTTGTTTAGAAAATCTGATAATTTTTTAAAGCTATCAACAAAAGAGCTTAGAGCTCAGAATGTAAGAACTGTGCAGTAATTGTCTCCTAAATTTGGTACTAATCATATCCTTTCACATATTATATTTAATTCTCGGCTTTGCTTCGAAAAGAAGACGAAACACTTGGAGAGAGTTTAAAGGAAAGCCATAAAAATGATTAAAGGTTTGGAAAACAAGCTCTGTGAGCTTCGGCTTAAAGAGGCTTTTCTTATTCTGCCAGTGGCACAGAATGTGAGCCCAAAGTAGAGGAAAGCTTTCAAATGAAAGACAGCTAATATCTTTGCTACCATATAGAAAGAATTTAAGTTAAATATTAAATATCCTCACAATGGGATGATTTACCCAAAAGACCATCAAAAAGCACTGTGCAAAGAACAATTAGAAATAGGGTAGATTTTTGGCTGGGCATGGTGGCTCACACCTGTCATTTCAGCACTTTGGGAGGCCAAGGCGGGAGGATCACCTGAGGCCAGGAGTTTAAGATCACCCTGGCTAACATAGCAAGACTTTGTCTCTATTAAAAAAGAAAAAAGAAAAGAGTAGATTTTCAACTGGTGGTGTTACAGTAGATAGTAGATGTGAGCAGGGCAGGAGAGGGCCCCTCCCACCCCCACAGGGAATGTTAGACAACCATCAGTTGATGATCAGATAGTTGTTAAGCTGTCTCGCTAAAGTAATAATTGGTCACAGCTGGTACCAGCGAAAGGCAGTCTCCCAGTAGACAGAAACACCAGAAACTAGAAACTGGTGATGGGCGGCTTCCTGATAAGATCTCAGGAGTTAGGTGAGTGGGCTCCAGCATGCCCACTAAGAGGCAAAATGGCGGAGTATAACTGGTATATGACCTTCTTCTAGAAGCACTCAACTGGTAAGGAAAGGACGCCTCAAGTGAGCATGTGTACAACTCCAGTAAACGTACTGTGCATGCGGCCCCTCCCAAGTGCTGGCAGGCCACTGTGCATGTGGACAGCCCACTCCAAGGGAAGAATCAAGGGAGAAGAGACACAGACCCCGGAAGAATGCTGAGGTAGAACACCCCAAGTCAAAGGTCAAATCACACACTTGAATCTCTCAAGTCATCTTCTTGGCCCTCTTCCAAGTGTACTTTACTTCCTTTCATTCCTGCTCTAAAATTTTTTTTTGGAGGGGACGGGGGACAGAGTCTCGCTGTGTCGCCCAGGCTGGAGTGCAGTGGCTCAATCTCGGCTCACTGCAAGCTCTCCCTCCCGGGTTCACGCCATTCTCCTGCCTCAGCCTCCCGAGTAGCTGGGACTACAGGCGCCTGCCACTACGCCTGGCTAATTTTTTGTGTTTTTAGTAGAGACGGGGTTTCACCGTGTTAGCCAGGATGGTCTCGATCTCCTGACTTCGTGATCCACCCGCCTTGGCCTCCCAAAGTGCTGGGATTACAGGCGTGAGACACCGCGACCAGCCTCCTGCTCTAAAAGTGTTTAATGAACTTTTACTCCTGCTCTAAAACTTGCCTCCGTCTCTCTCTCTCTTTCTGCCTTATGCCCCTTAGTCAAATTCTTTCTTCTGAGGAGGCAAGAAATGAGGTTGCTGCAGACCCATCCAGATTCACTGCTGCTAACAGTAGGTAGGAGAGAGCTTTGGCCTATCTGATGCCAAGTAAAATGTAATCAACGGCCTCTTGAAATTTCTTTTGGTTTCATGATTCTAGGATGATTTTCATTTGTATAAGTGAATGGCAAATGTTATGCTACAAATGGTGAGATCACAACCACAAAGTGGCATTCAAGATCTCAGTCAAACCCTGATGATATAGAGGAGTATTAAACCTGTTGCTAATCCAGTAAATATGACTGGATAGTGATAACGACAATATTGACAAAGAGTCCAGTTCTATTGTTGCTTAGGCCAATTCATTAATGATTAGAAAATATAAATTCCCCAGCTGGGTGAGGTGGCTCATGCCTGCAATCCCAGCACTTTGGGAGGCTGAGGCAGGCAGATCACCTGAGGTCAGGAGTTTGAGACCAGCCTGGCCAACATGGTGAAATCTTGTCTCTACTAAAAAGTACGAAAATTAGCTGGGTGTGGTGGCAGGTGCCTGTAATCTCAGCTACTCTGGAGGCTGAGGCAAGAGAATCCTTGAACCCAGAGGCAGAGGTTGCAGTGAGCGAAGACCGTGCCATTGCACTCCAGCATGGGTGACAAGAGTGAGACTCTGTCTCAAAAGAAAAAAAAAACAGTAAAGAAAAAGAAAAAGAAAATATAATCTCCCCAATTGCAGCTTGGCTTCATTGATAGCTCTATAAAACTCGAGAGAAATCATAGGAAATCATGCTTACTATAGGTTTAATTGTTGCTATGGTCTGAATGTGTGTGTCTGATATGATGAGGCTTTGTGTCCACACCCAAATCTCATCTCAAATTGTAATCCCCATGTGTTGAGGGAGGGACCTGTAATTCCCACGTGTCAAGGGAGGGAGGCGACTGGATCATGGGGACAGTCTCCCCCACGCTGTTCTCATGATAGTGAGTTCTCACAAGATGTGATGGCTTTGTAAGCGCCTGGCATTTCCCCATTGCACTTCTCTCTCCTGTTGCCGTGTGAAGAAGGTCCTCATTTCCCCTTCACCTTCCACCATGATTGTAAGTTTCCTGAGGTCTCCCTAGCCTTGTGGAACTGTGAGTCTATTCAACCTCTTTCCTTCATAAATTACCCAGACCCAGACCCAGGTAGTATATATATAGCAGTGTGAGAACGGATTAATACAGTATCCCCCCGCCAAATTTAAATGTTTAAATCCTAACTCCCAAGGTGATGGTATTAGGAGGTACCCAGACCCAGGTAGTACATTTATAGCAGTGTAAGAACAGATTAATACAGTGTCCCCCCACCAAATTTAAATGTTGAAATCCTAACCCCCAAGGTGATGGTATTAGGATGTAAGGCCCTTAGGAGATGATTAGGTCATGAGAGTAGAGCCCTTGCGGATGGAATTACTGACTGTGGTGTAATATGAAATGTATTTGGCCTTTGTCTCTGGTTCCTGTTACAGAGCTCTAAAACTTAGAATTTCCCTAGTGTCTTTTGTTATTGATAATGAGCCCCTTTGATAACACCTGAGTTTATGCTGACAAGATGACTTAGGGTGGGGTTCCTAGATAGTTTCATCACGGGGCTGCTAACCAGAAAGAACACATGATTAGAGGAGTAGAGGGTCAGAACTTCAGACCTACCCACCAACCTGCAGGAAATGGGGGCCACTGGAGATTAAACTTTATTTTAAAAACTTTTTTTGAGACAGGGTCTCACTCTGTTGCCCAGGCTGGAGTGCAGCAGTGCAATCAGAGCTCACTGCAGCCTCAACCTCTTGGGCTCAAGTGATCGTCCTGTCTCAGCCTTCTGAGTACCTGGGACTACGGGCATGCACCGCTATGACTGGCTAATATTTAAAATTTCTGTAGAGATGAGGTCTCCCTAACAGGTTGCTCTTGAACTCCTGGGCTCAAGAAATCCTCCTGCTTGTGCTTCCCAAAGCACTGGCATTACAGGTGTGAGCCACTGCACCTGGCCAAAAAACTCTCAAACAATGATATTTTATGAGTTCCAGGTTGCTGAACACTTGGAGGTGCTGGGAGCGAGGGTGCTCAGAAAGGCCATGGAAGTTCTGCACCCACTCCCCCATACCTTGCCCTCTGCACTTCTTCATCTGACTGTTCATGGTATCCTTTAAAGTAAGCTGGTAAACGGATCTAGAACTAGAAATACCATTTGACCCAGCCATCCCATTACTGGGCATATACCCAAAGGATTATAATCATGCTGCTATAAAGACACATGCATGAGTATGTTTATTGTGGCATTATTCACAGTAGCAAAGACTTGGAACCAACCCAAATGTCCATCAGTGATAGACTGGATTAAGAAAATGTGGCACATATACACCATGGAGTACTATGCAGCCATAAAAAAGGATGAGTTCATGTCCTTTGCAGGGACATGGGTGAAGCTGGAAACCATCATTCTGAGCAAACTATTGCAAGGACAGAAAATCTAACACTGCATGTTCTCACTCACAGGTGGGAATTGAACAATGAGAACGCTTGGACATAGGGTGGGGAACGTCACACACTGGGGCCTGTCGTGGTGTGGGGGGAGGGGGGAGGGATAGCATTAGGAGATATACCTAATGTAAATGACCAGTTAACCAGTGCAGCACACCAACATGGCACATGTATACATATGTAACAAACCTGCATGTTGTTCACAGGTACCCTAGAACTTAAAGTATAATAAAAATAATAAATAATAAATAATAAAAAAAGCTGGTAAACATAAGTGAAGTGTTTTCTGAGTTCTGTGAGCCATTTAGCAAATTAACGAAACCTGAAGAGGGGGTGATGTGACCCTCTGACTTATAACCTGTCAATCAACAATACTGGAGGCCTGGATCTGAGATTGGCTTCTGAAATGGGGGCAGGCTTGTGGGACTGTGCCATTAACCTGTGGGATCTCACACTATTTGAAACAGTGTCAGAATCAAATTGAATTACAGGACACCCAGTTGGTGTCCACTGGAGAATCGCTTGGTCTATGAGGAAAAAACTCACATATATCTGGTCACGAAAGTGTGCCATATGGAGTATGAACGTAGAGAGAAATTTTTTTCCTTTCTTTTCTTTTCTTTTTCTTTTTTCTTTTTTTTTTTTTTTTGAGACGGAGTCTCCCTCTGTCACCTAGGCTGGAGTGCAATGGCACACTCACTGCAATCTCCACCTCCTAAGTTCAAGCGATTCTCCTGCCTTGGCCTCCCCAGTAGCTGGGATTACAGGCATGCACCACCAAGCCAGGCTAATTTTTATATTTTTAGTGGAGATGGGATTTCACCATGTTGGCCAGGCTGTTACCGAATTCCTGACCTCAGGTGATCCACCCACCTCCGCCTCCCAAAATGTTGGGATTACAGGCATGAGCCACCGCGCCTGGCCTTTTTTTCCTTTATAGTGGCTTTATAAAAATGATTTGAAAGTGCTCCCTTGCCCTCTTCACCATGTGAGGACACAGTGAGAAGGTGCTCTCTGTAGAGCAAGAAGTTGGCCCTCACCAGACAGCAAGTCTCTTGACTTCCCAGTCCTCAGAACTGTGAGAAATAAATTTCAGTTCTTCATAAGCCAACCAGTTAATGGTATTTTGTTATAGCAGCCCAAAGGGACTAAGGTAATTATGAAGACTAATAACTCAAAAGCACTGTTATGGCAATTTTAGCAACTAAGAAAAATTGCCTAAGATCAGAGCGTCATAAACTAACATGTTTCTTTATCTGCAGAGTCCTTTACTTGATATTAATTTTGACCATGTATACTCTTGGTGACTGTGAGGGCTCACCATGATACAGATGATAAGCTGTACAAACATGCCCACAAGTGTTCACTGTGTGAGCAAGAGTGAGGAACTATGTATACTCAGCATTTTCTGGATTTGCTTGGTATTAGAAATATTGGGGTTTTGTTTTGTTTTGTTTTTATTTTTCTTAGAGACAGTCTTACTCTGTCGCTCAGGCTGGAGTGCAGTAGTGTGATCATAGCTTACTGTAGCCTCAACCGACTGGCTCAAATGATCCTCCCACCTCAGCTTCTTGAGTAGCTGGGACTACAGGCATGCACCACCATGCCCAGCTAATTCGATTTATTTTTTGAGACAGGGTTTCACTATGTTGCCCAGGCTGGTCTTGAACTCCTGGACTCAAGCGATCCTCCAGTCTCAGTCTCCCGAAGTGCTGGGATTAGTGAACCACTATGACTGGTGGTTTGTTGTTGTTGTTGTTGTTTTCCCCTAGAGACAGGTTATTGCTCTGTCATCACCCAGGATGGAGTGCAGTGGCCCAATCATAGCTCACTGCAGCCTTGACCTCCTGGCTCAAGAGATCCTCCTGCCTCAGCCTCCTGAGTAGCTGGGACCACAGTCAGTATTACAAAGGTAGGTTTGAAATGAAAGTCTGTAGACACATCTCCTGTCCTCAAAAGAACAAAATATACCAAAGAAACATATATTGTATTTGCTAGTACGACCATACTGTTTATTATATAAATACTTTTTTAAACCAAAGTTTCTATACACTAGAATTTGGGGGAAGACATAATATCAAACAAAGAAAATTCAAAATTTCACTTTAAACATTACTTTGACAGTAATATAAGTATTTTGCCAAACTTTATTAACCTAAACCTAATAATGAAAAAAGTAGAAAAATCAAGAATGTGGGACATTGTTTAAGACTATTGGGAAAAATGTCATTATCATAGAAATATTTTTAGACAGAAAAATTGTTGTAGATTAAGAATTAAAGAGAAATAATCAAATGCAATGTACAAATCTTGCTTGGAACCCAGATTCAGAAAAATAAAACCCAGCTCTAAGACATTTTTTAAATAACTGGAGAAATTCAAACATAGACTGTATATTAGATAATATACAACTAATGCTAATTTTCTTGTTTGATATTATGATTGGTTATATAAAATATATCCTTATTCTTAGACAATCTCTCTCCCTCTCTTCCTCTCCATATGTGTGCATGTGTATAAATAGCCAGCTGAGGCTGGGTGCGGTGGTGCCTGCCTGTAATCTCGGCTGCTTGGGAGGCTGGGGCAGAAGGATCACTTGAGCCCAGGAGTTCAAGGGTGTAGTGCATCCTAATTGCACACGTGAATGGTCACTACACTTCAGCCTGAACAATATAGTAAGAACCCATCTCTTCTTTGTTAGGCCACCATGCCCAGCCTGTAATTTTCTTAATAACTTGAATACTGCATAAAGTTCATCTAAACGAACTGCCCACTGAATCAATCCAAATTGACTAATAGAGACGGGGTTTCACCACGTTGCCCAGGCTGGTCTTGAACTCCTGAGCTCAAGCAATCCACCCACCTTGGCTCACAAAGTGCTGGGATTACAGATGTGAATCATTGTGCCTAACCTACCATTAGACTTGTGACTTGTAATTGGTCAATCACAATCCTTACCATGTTCATTTGTGATTTGCTAGATTGGTTGGAACTTGAATAATTTATATTTGGATTAGAGAATCGCTCTGGAATGCCACAAACCTGTTTTGCTTTGCTGATTAAATTCTTTGTTGCATGTTTTGCAAAAGGAATCCAGCTAAATTACAAAATGCTACACACCCAGTAAATGCTTCAGAAACACAAGTTGCACAGAGCATTTTATTTCTTCTCAGGAGCCACCTGAGTCACCAGATGACTTGTTGGGTCTTGAGAGCCTGCTTGAATAGAACAGGCTTGAGTTGTCAGAGAAATTGTTTGTGGCATGTTATTTCAAATAAGGTTCAATACATGTTTTATGGATTTTTTCTTTTAATACAAATAATGCAAGATATTTTGGTAAACTTTTATTATTGAAACAATATTTAAATTATTTTGCTTTGTCATATAGGGATTGAACAATTTGGAAGAGTTGGGACTGCTAAAATATTTCAGGGAGCATGCAATGCATTCTTGCAATAAGAGGCAAAACATCACACAATGTCAAGAGAATGCCCCTCTCTATTTTGTGAAAGGCAAGTTCAAAGATTTTCTGAATAATCACCAAGGATACCTAGCAATTATGATACGGTTTCTTTTCAGGGGCAAAAGCAACAAGCCTTGTGCCATGGATATATTTGTAGCTAATTATTTGTTACATAACATGATATGATATAAATCAGATTGGGGTATAAAATTTTCACAGAATGTATTCAGAAAGGCCCACTCTTATACATTCAGGGCTTTGGTGCCCCATATTGTTGAAAGGTTGCAGGGAATTGACTCATTAACTGAATACCACTTCACCCCATGGGTCAGTTGACTTTAGTGGATTACGAACAACTTGAGAATTAATCACAGTAAACAAAGTGAGTGGAATTTTCACTCCCCTTGACTCTACTTTCATGGTTCTTTGCCCTCTGTTATTAGGTATTGTGTGGGTTTTATTCAAAGTTGTATATGTGTCAACCTCCCCCTCAGGATCATACAAAATCAGGGACGATGTTCTACCAGTATTTTCTTTATCAGAGGCTTTTGTATGTTACCTTGTACAGACAGTCGTTGACTTATCATGGTTCGATTTAAATTTTTCAGCTTTACAGTGCTGTGAAAGCAATACATGTAAGTAGAAACTGTACTTCAGGGACCCATACAACCATTCAGTTTTTCATTTTCAGTATAGTATTCAAAAAATTACATGAGATATTCAATACTTTATCACAAAATAGGTTTTGTGTTAGATGATTTTTCCAACCATAGGCTAATATAAATGTTCTGCACATGTTTAGGGTAGGCTAGGCTAAGCTATGATGTTTGGTAGGTTAGGTGTATTAAATGCATTTTCAACTTACGGCATTTTCAATGTATGATGGGTTTATCAGAAGGTAACCACATCATAAGTGGAAGAGCACCTGTACATACAAATGCCTCAATAAATGTTTATTGGATTAATTGATTGGGGGTTGAAAGATATGAAGGAGTCAAGAATGATTACATTTCAGGCAAAATACATTGACTGGGCAATTGACACAAAGATGGGGTAAGATAAATGCATTCTGGTACCATTTAGAGCAGATTTAATATCATTCACATTATTTAGGAGCAAGTGAAAATGGCCCTTTGGTGTCCTTTTACCCTTCCCTCTCTTGTTCTCTTCATCTTTAAGCTTTGTACTCGTGGAAATAATTGACTATTGAGTTTCTGAGGCTGCAGGAAATGCTTAGAAATGACTGAACCCGTAATCCAAGTGAGCCGAGAGACCTTTGGAAGAAATATTTTTTACTCATTTTTTTTTGAGACAGGGTCTCGCTCTATTGTGCAGGCTGGAGTGCAGTGGCACAATCAGGGCTCATGGCAGCCTCTTCCTCCTGGACTCAAGTGATCCTCCAATCTCAGCCTCCTGAGTAGCTAAGACTTACAGGCAAGCACCACCACGCCTGGCTGATTTTTACTTCTTTATTTTCTGTACAGATAGGGTCTTCCTAAGTTGCCCAGACCGGTCTCAAACTCCTGAGCTCAGTCAATCCTCCCACCTCGGCCTCCTAAAGTGCTGGGATAATAGGCATGAGCCACTGTGACAGACCTATCCATGCTTTTTTTTTTTTTTAAGTTATTTTTTACTTAATCGTAGCTACTAAACTGTTTCGGAAAAGTTTGAGCCGTATTTCTACGAGAACAGCAACCTGCTAAAAGCATTGCCAGAAAGTCAGACCCCTTCCCCACCCCTGCCCAAACCCCCCGCTCCCCCCTGGGCCCCAGGTCCTTAGGGGTCTTGCTAGTGTCAGCCCTGGCCCCTCACCTTGTTTCTGTGTGGAGTTAAGGAATGTTTCCTGAAAGAAGATGTAAATAATTAGGGAGATTCTTCCTTCTCTTTCCACCTATTCCTCCTTACCCCAGACAATCCACTAACACCTTCTAGAGCAACAGAAATTTAAAATTAACAACTGACGCCAACTTCATGGAGTCACAGGCCAAAATTTCATGCATAAAAACAATACATCAAGTTCCCAGAGCACTTCCAGATAATTATTAGAAAAATGTTTCCTTTACCTTATTACTAGGACCACTCAGTCCCTATAAATAGGATTCCATTCAAAAAAAATCACTGAAAGGCAGGCGCAGTAGTGTGCACCTGTAGTCTGAGCTACTAGAGAGGCTGAGGCAGGAGGATTGCTTGAGGCCAGGAGTTCTAGACTGTCCTGTGCTATGATCATGCCACTGGACTCCAGGTTGGGAGACATAGGGAGGCGTGTCTTTAACCAAACAAACAAGCAAAAACAATCATCATTTCCAAGTAGGAAGTGTAATGTGAGCTGTAGTGCCCTGCCTAGGTCCCTAGCATCATTTCAGGACTAAGGGACTCATTCCACAGCTGCTGGGAATGCTGGTACTGACAATTTCCACCTGAGAGAGTGAGAGCCCTAGAAAGCCCAACCCCAAAGGCCACATTTTCTTTCCACCACTCTGGGGCATTGAACCACTCAGTGTATAAAGGACTAGACACCCCCACCTCCAATTTTGGACTACTTGAAAGGGCCAACCCAGACAAGTCTGGGGTACTTGCACAGCTCCCTTTCTCTGATACCCACCCACCTTTCTATCCACAGGGCTTGGCTCAAGCCATGTTTGTATCACATGACTTCTCCCCTGGCCAGGTCACATGGTGCAACTGGGCCAATCCAATGCTTTCTTCTGGGAATCTGGAAAAAGGCTTGAGAAAGTTAATCTCTGCCTGATACATGTGGCGAGTGTGAGGGGCCTCAGCCTGCCTAGTGGACTTGAGAAGGAGCAAAACATGGTCCCAGAAGACAAAAATGAAGGTATTGTGAAAGAAGCCAAGATGAGAGAAGAACCAACTACATAATTTGTTACATCCAATGCAAAATGAAAGGCAGAGCCCCTTGTTCAAAAAGCAGGACAAAAGTACTTTTAAGGAACTAAAATATAAAGCTCTTTCCTTTCTTCCATGGTCTTTCAGTTTGTTCTGGTGTGTTTTATTTGCTATTTGATGCTATTCCAGGTAAAGAAAAATTGAAATTCGATTTTCAGCAAGAAACGGGGTCTTGCTGTATCACCCAGGATGATCTCGAACTCCTGTTCTCAAGCGATCCTTCTGCCTCGGCCTCGGGAAGTGCTGGGATTACAGGCGTGAGCCACTGCGCCTGGCCTAAAAAAAATTTTTTTAATTAAAATTATTAGTATACATTTTACCATTTGTCTTGTGCAAAGTCAATCTTTCTTCTTTCTTCCAGGGGGGACGCTTGAATTGATTTTATGGAGCCGTAAGGCATTAAAGATACCTTTTTGTCCATTTTATAACATGTTATCGTTTCTTCTTCTTTGTTTTTAGCTCTAAAACAAATCCTAAAGTCCGTAATTACCAAGTAAGTTACTACTTTTATAAGTTCTCATTTAATACTGCCCTATGTTTTCTAAAAGTTCTACAGTGAGCAATCATTAATTTCTTATAATTAGATCTAAAAAAATAAAAATAGCAGCCAGGCGCGGTGGCTCACGCCTGTAATCCCAGCACTTTGGGAGGCCGAGGCAGGTGGATCACGAGCTCAGGAGATCCAGACCGTCCTGGCTAACACAGTGAAACCCCATCTCTACTAAAAATACAAAAAATTAGCCAGGCATGGTGGCGCGCACACCTGTAGTCCCAGCTACTCGGGAGGCTGAGGCAGGAGAAGCTCTTGAACCCAGGAGGCAGAGGTTGCGGTGAGCCAAGATCACGCCATTGTACTCCAGCCTGGACAACAAGAGTGAAACTCCGTCTCAGATGAATACATAAATACATAAATAAATTAAAAAAGGCTACTCTGCCTATGGGGTAGTTCTGCTCTGCCTATGGAGCAGCCACCCTTTTATAAAAAATGAAAATAAAAAATAATAACAATAAATTTTGTTTTGATAAATGAGTAACAGAAAAGCCCTTCCCTCAACCCTTGTTTCTTGGTCATCTGTACTACCTATTTTTCTTTTTGTTAAAATTGACATAAATTCACATACCATAATGTAATGCCTGTTTTCAATGAAAATATGAGAACATTAACTTATATGTAGAATCATTGAAATTATATAATTCATCTTTTTTAACTGCTACATGCAGATATATTTTGTTCTTACCAGAACTGCATAAAACTAACTCAAACGTTTTTGTTTCACTTCTTAATATGTGCACATTCTGTCAATACTCTCTTCAGTTTACTGATTAGTAAGGAAAGACTAAAAGGAAAAGGAACTACGAGTTGCCCCATCTTCCCCTTTCCTTTAATGTCCTCATTGTTGAGGGTGTCAGCTAATATACGGAAATAATACAAGAAAGGATATGATGGAATTCATTGGTTATCCATATTTCTTAGAATGCTGTAGGGGAGCTACAATTTCTCCTTTTTCCTATTACCCAGCTAGTCCTAAGAATTAAACTGACATAAGACCAACTAACAGGAGAAAAGTATACAGATTTAATGTGGTAACATTTTCACAGGAGCTCCCACAAGAAAAATGAAGACCCAAAGAAGAAGTTAGGGACAAAAGCTATATACTGGGTTGGACCTAGAGGAGTAATTTGTGAAATGTGGCAAGACAAAGGGGTCTGGGCTAGGGCAGTTAATTGTTGAAAAGTGGCTAGGAAAACAAGGCATAGTTTAACAAGGTGTATTTGAACATATTTCTCTGGGCCTCAACTCCCTGATTCTGGTGATATCTTCCTCCTGGTATAGGGAAGACATCTTTTACATAGGAGTTTTAGTTACTGCTTTCAGGAAGAAAAAGAGAAGGTCAGCATGCCTTTCTTGCATCTGCTGCTTTTCAAGTGCCTGTAACTCAAAATAATCAGTATGTGAAAGTGGCATATTTCGGGGTAGCATGCTCTGAACCCTTTCAATGCCATGGCCATTGTCTGAACTGCATTGGAAGCAAGTTCTGGTCCTAAGAAAGTGTGGTCCACCAAGGCTGTCAGCACCTCTGCTTACTCAGTCCCAGATATAACATGCGTTGAGTCTTGCTCAACTCCCGTCCATGGTGGATTTGTCAAAATTCTGTGCTCATGGGCAGCACAAACACAACATGTGAGCTAGGGTGAACTGGAGCCCATGGTAGACATGCATATTTTGTGTATCTCCTCTGCTTCACACACATGTTCCATGGGCCCAGCAGAGTTCACTTAGAAAATACAAGGTGAAAGGTATAATTATGAAGGCCATGGAGCATTAAACCAAGCATGGTGCCCTAGTAAGCCTGGAGCCATGTGCGCCTGACAAGTCATGCTTCCATGATGCCACCCAGGGTGCAAAATGGAAAAAGAGATGTGATGGTTCCCACACCCATTTCTTCTCATTAGTAACATGGGACACACCTGTAGTGTTACAAGTCCAAGGGTGAGCTGGTTTTGTACCTTTCACTCAAGGGTCTTAATGAATTTAATTACATTCACTCAGTGACTTTTGTTTTTCCAAATCGACAGGTCTGAATCATGTTAGTCTGTTTTTAAATGGAAAGCCCTTCTGATAACTTGAATGCTTTGTCATGATCCCTTCCTGTAACTTCTCCAGGCTCACTTTTTTCCCCCCTAACCAAGGGCTGTGAATGTGGGAGCGCACTATCCTAGGCCAGGTGCAGAGACAAACTAGCTATCCTCTGTGCTATTCCATTTACTTGACTTTTGCACGGCAGCTGCACACTTTTTCATCTTTCAAGAGTTACAAAAACCAAGAGCTCAGTCGCTGGTGCCTGGCTGTCTGGATTTGAATCTCATTTCCACCATTTGCTTACACACCTGCATGCTTCAGTTTCCTCATCTGTAAAGTGGGAATACTATTAGGTTGGTGCAAAAGTAATTGCAAAAACCACACCTAATAAAAGTCCTTACCACAAAAGGTTGTGAAGATTAAAAGAGTCACTATATGGAGCATTTAGAATCTTGTCTGATAATACTAAGTGCTATTCATGTATTTGCCATTTTTATTCCTCCCCCACATATAAAGGTCTTTATTCTTTTTATAGTAAAAAGTACACACCAAGTATAAACTTTTAAATTGAAAACTTGGCAAGAAAAAACATCACTCATAATTCAGGAATTGACCATTGATGGCTTTTTGTTTTGTTTTGTTTTGAAGTACAGGTGGGGTCTCCCTATGTTGCCCAGGCGGGTCACAAACTCCTGGGCTCAAGTGCTTCTCCCACCTTGGCCTCCCAAAGTGTTGAGATTACAAGCGTGAGCCTCCATGCTCAGCCCGTTGCTAAAGTTTGATGTATCTCTTCCCAATCTTTTTTCTTTCCTATGCACACGTGTTTTTTTTTTCCTTTTTCTGAAACTGGGAATAAATATACATGATACATGGTAGCCTCATTTAGTTTCACTATATGCTATAAATATATTTTCATTGTTACAAAATCATTTTAATGCCTGTATATTATGTCATGGCATAGGTATACAACAATTTATTAAGGAAATTCGATTTTGAAAACATTCGGGGTTGGGTGCAGTGACTCATGCCTATAATCCCAGCACTTTGGGAGGCTGAGGCAGGTAGATCACTTGAGGTCAGGAGTTTGAGAGCAGCCTGATCAACATGGTGAAACCTCATCTCTACTAAAAAAAAAAAAAAAAAAAAAAAAAAAAAAAAAAAAAAAAAAAAAAAATCCGGGCATGGTGGCACACGTCTGTAATCCCAGCTACTTGGTAGGCTGAGGCAGGATAATCGCTTGAACCCAGAAAGTGGAGGCTGCTGCAGTAAGCCAAGATCATGCCATTGCACTCTAGCCTGGGCAACAAGAGCAAAACTCTGCCTCAAAAAAAGAAAAAGAAAAAAGAGAACATTTGGGTTTCTAGTTTTTCAGTGTTATAAGCCATATGATGCAAACAGTCAGTTTGGTGTATATTTCTATAGAATATATTTTTCATCTCTATATATAGGTCCCCAGGTAATGTTTAATCCTTCTCTTAGGTTATATTTGATAGCTCAGAGTTCGTCAGTTTACAGACTTAGGTTGTATCATTTTTCTTTAATTGCATTATTTAACATTTGTCCTTAATTAAAGCTCCTGTGCCACTTTTCTGCCCACAAATGTGTCCTCGAATTTTTTCACCTTCATCGATTAGTTAATTCTCTACTTAGTGAGCTTACCGTATCCACAAACTTCAGAGCTCCTGGTATACCTAGTCTTCCAAATCAATTATAACACTATCAAAGTTGTTTAGCTCAAGAATTGAAGCTTTAGATTATTTTCCATGGCTGCTCTTTAAATGCTTTCCAAAACAAACCATTCTGTGGTGAAATCCTACAATAGTAAGTCATTAGAGCTGAGGGGATCTTTATAGATCTTATTAAAATCTTCTTACCAGAGGCCCTGGGGATTTGAACAATAGATACAGTCTCTCTACCCCTGTCTATACTTATTTACCGTCTCAAAAACTTTTAAATTAATAAGACTTGATTTCCCCTTTATCTTCCCTTCTGAAGGCCAAATGCCTCTTGCCCCTTTCAGAAATTGAGGAGTCATTTCTGTGTATGCTGCACATGTGACACTGTGTGTGTGCGTGTGTGGTGTATGTGGGTATGTGTCTGTGGGGGAAGGGTATGTGTTCATGTAACAAGTTGGATAAAGCATTGGTATTTCTTATATAGTTGGAAATTCCTATTTTATGCCATGAGCTTGTCATATGAGCAGGCCTCAAACTAAAAGGTCAAATAGACAAGTTCCTCTTCAGTTGTTTTGCTTCTGGGAAACCCAGCTCCATCCCTTGGGTCTGAGAGGAACTGAAAAAGCAAAGTCCCACAAAGCTGTGAGTGTTTCAATATTATCCCTATTGGAGCTGTGGCATTAAAGAAGATGTATCAGAAGGTATGACGTCATACTAACTGCTAACACTGCGGATTTTGACCATCAGCTAGAATAAGTCATATTTACAAGTTTCACATCAGTCATTTACTCAATAAGCATTTAGTGATTATAAAACTGCTTTTGCAAAATTATGACAATGTGTAGGGAAACACTCTCCCCAAACTGTTTTTCCTCTACTTTCACACCAGAATAATCACCAACACAGGGGAAGACTTCTGTGACCAAATGTCGGAGGGGCATTCCCCACACACCAAGCAGTGGACACCAGCTGGGTTTCCTCTAGTTCAGTTCTGACATTATCTACCTGGAGATAGCATCAGATCCCACAGGTGGGCTCAGTTCCCAAGACTGCCCTTCCACACACACAAGTCACAAGTCCAGGCCTCTGGAACTTCTGACAAACCAGCTTCAAGTTGGGGTTCCCACAACCCCCTCTTTGGGTTTAATTAATTGGAGGGAGCAGCTCACAGAACTCAGAGAAACACTTACCTACGTTTACTGGTTTATTATAAAGGATATTGCAAAGGACACAGATGAAGACGTGTGTAGGGAAAGGTAAGGGGGAACAGGCGCAGAGCTTCCATGCCCTCCCTGGGTGCTGGTCTCCAGAAACCTCTACTGTTCAGCTATCTGGAAGTTCAATGAACCCTGTCCTCTTGGATTTTTATGGAAGCTTCATGACATCAGCATTCCTTCCCTCAGGGCATAGCGTGGGATGTTCTCCTGGGAGGGTCTTAAACAATTGGAAAGGCAGGTGAGGGGGTTGGTGATGGTTGCGGGGGTGGACATGACACATTAGAGTGAAAGGAGGGCAGGAGAAGGTCAGAGACCTGCCTCTGAGGCCTAGCACACCCAACATTCTAACAAAAGGCTGTAACAGAGGCTACAGGAGTTATGTATGAGCCAGGAACCATGGGTGAAATCCAATATATATCATAATGTCACAGACAGTAAGAAATCTGACATAGTTGATTCCATCTTGCTTCTGGCTTCCCAGCTGTCCTTGGCCATTCCTGGGTAGGCCAAACTAACTTTGGGAGGAATCTAGTTTATGGTTTAATGTTAAAGCAAAGATGATAGCCCTTTCCAAAACTAAGCCATCTTTGTAAAACTAATGAAAGGCTACAATGTTAGGCTTATAGAGAGGGGCCTGGATTCCAATAAGATAGGCATGGTTTCTTTTATTTATTTACTTATTTATTTATTTTGAGATGGAGTCTCATTCTGTCACCCAGACTGGAGTGTAAATGGTGCGATCTCAGCTCACTGCACCCTCTGCCTCCAGGGTTCAAGTGATTATCCTGCCTCAGCCTCCCAAGTAGCTGGAACTACAGGCACATACCACCATGCCCAGCTAATTTTTGTATTTTTAGTAGAGACAGGGTTTCACCATGTTGGCCAGGCTGGTCTCGAACTCCTGACCTCAGGTGATCTGCCTGCCTTGGCCTCCCAAAGTGCTGGGATTACAGGCACAAACTACCAAAACTGGCCTCTGGATAGGTATAGTTTCTACAATCCCTTACTGCTCAGGGTTCATGTGGCTAGAGGTCACAAGATTGATGACTTTCCCAATTGCTCCTGTAGATAATGTCACTGTCATAGAAGCTAGAATTGGTTTTTTTGAGCTATCTTTCACACTGACTCCACCTGGGGTTGTGACTCATGACTCAATGGATCCTGTGACCTGACCCAGAAGTGGACTCAGCCCAACCAATCAGTATCACCCATTCCCCAGCCCCTTCCCACCAAATTGTCCATAAAAACCCTAACCCCCAAGCATTTGGGGAGACTCATTTGGGTGATAGCTCCAGTTCTCCTGCATGGGTTGGCCTCACATCAATTAAACTCTTTCTCTACTGCAGTGCTGTGGGCTCAATGGATTGATTTTGTCTGTGCAGCAGGCAGGAAGAATCTGTTGGGTGATCACAATTACCCTGCATGGCTAAGCACTGTACTAACTGTTAGGGATACCCAGAAGTCCTTGCTTTCAAAGAGTGTGTGATTTAGCAGCAGAAGGAGATATAATTGTAACACATTATAATAGGGTAAAACTGTAACATAATGGGTCAGTTGCCCAATGTGCAAAGCAATGTGCTGAGACACCAGGTTGCATCAGAGAAAGAGGTTTCATTGTAGGGCTGCCAAATGAGGAGACAAGAGGAAACCTCAAACCAATCTCCCCAAGGAGTTTGGGGATAGGGTTTTCAAGGGGTTTGGAGTGGGCTGAAGTGTGGAGATTGTTGATTGGTTCTAGAGTACAGGGTAAAGTTGCGGGACAGGGAGATGAAGAAGCTGTATTCTCATGCTTATTTGGTTCCTCTGTTGGGGGTCTTTAAACTGGTTGGTGTAAGTGATTCTGTCAGAATTCAGGATCTGCTTAAGCAATTTCTTTTTCTTTCTTTCTTTCTTTCTTTCTTTCTTTCTTTCTTTCTTTCTTTCTTTCTTTTTTCTTTCTTCTTTCTTTCTCTCTCTCTCTCTTCCTTCCTTCCTTCTTCTTTCTCTTTCCCTCTCTCTCCTTTCTCTCTTTCTTTCTTTCTTTCTTTCTGTCTGTCTCCCAGGCTGAAGTGCAGTGGTGCACTCTGCTCACTGCAGCCTTGACCTCCCAGGATTAAGTGATCCTCCCACCTCAGCCTCCTGAGTGGCTGAGACTACTAGGCATGCATCACCATGCCTGGCTATGCTTAAACAATTCTTAAACAAAAGCCTTATGATTCTAACATAAGAGATCCTATCTAACATCAGAAATTCTATCTATGGGAACATGGAGATGCAAATGGTCAGTATCTAGTGTTATGTGACCAGGAAGAAAGTGGGTCAAAGTGCAGCCTGATTAATGCTTAATTATAGTTATATTTCTGTCCAGAATTCTTGTTAACCTGTGAGGATGGCTTCAAGAGTAGGCATAAAGACATGCCCAAACTATGAGATAGCAGGAGAAGAGGAGTGGCTGGGCATGGTGGCTCATGCCTGTAATCCCTACACTTTGTGAGGCCAAGGTGGATGAATCACTTGAGGTCAGGAATTCGAGACCAGCCTGGCCAATATGGTGAAATCCCATCTCTACTAAAAATACAAAAATTAGCTGGGTATGGTGGCATGCACCTGCAGTCCCAGCTACAGCTGGGACTCCCAGCTTGGGAGGCTGAGGTGGAAGAATTGCTTGAAACTGGGAGGCAGAGTCTGCAGTGAGCCAAGATTGCACCACTGCACTCCAGCCTGGGTGAGAGTGAGACTCCATCTCCAAAAAAAAAAAGAAAAAGGAGAAGAGAAGGATGAGAATAGAAATTGTGATTGTTTGCCCACCATCCCTAGCACCTCTCCTCTTTGGGCAGCAGTCATAGGGTGAGAGAGTTAATCTCAGCTCTAAGGCTGGGCCCTGAGGAATCTAAGTCACTCAGTGATAAGGTTTGGATCTGTGTCCCCACCCAAATGTCATGTGCAATTAGAGTCCCCAGTGTTGGAGGTGGAACCTGGTGGGAGGTGATTGCATCATGAGGGTTGATCCTTCATGAATGGTTTAGCACCATCCACTTGGTGCTATTCTCGTGATAGAGTTCTCACAAGATCTGGTTGTTTACAAATGTGTAGCATCTCCCTCCTTGCTCTCTCTTGCTCCCACTCTGGCAATGTGACATGCCTGCTCCCCCTTCACCTTCTGCCATGATCATAAGCTTCCTGAGCCCTCCCCAGAAGCCAAGCAGATGCCAGCATCATGCTTCCTGTGTAGCCTGTGCAACCATGGGCCAATTAAACCTCTTTTCTTTATAAATTACCCCCTCTCAGGTATTTCTTCATAGCAGTGAAAGAACAGGCTAATACCCATTAGGACCCACAAGCCGAACTCACTGGACACAGGGCATCCCAAGGTCGCTGGTCTTGGTTCATGTGTCTCTGCTCAGGCCATTGACAAGTGTGGAGAGGTTTTCAAAGAACTTCCGAGGAAGAAATGTTTATGCTCCTTTTTTTGTTTAAATTGAAATATAATTGATACATCATAATATGCACCCTGAGGATGGATAAAATTCAGTGGTTTTAGCATATTCACGAAATCGTGCAACTATCACCACTAACTAATTTCAGAACATTTCACCTCTCTCAAAAGAAACCTCATACCCTTGCTCCCTCCCTGTAGCCCCTGGCAACCATAAATGAATGTTTTCTTTTTCTCTCAATGAATTTGCCTATTCTGGATGTTTTATGTAAATGAAATCATATAATTTTTTTCTGTCTGGCTCCTTTTGCTTAGTATTATCTGTTCAAGGCTCATTCATCTTGTAGAATATTTTAATATTTCATTCTTTTTCACAGTAAAATAATATTCCATTATATGCATGTATTTTGTTTATCCATTCATTAGTTGATGGATACAGGGTTCGTTTTCACTTTTTGGCGATTATGCTGCCATGAACATTTGTGTCCAAGTATACATATGTTTTCAGTTCTCCTGGGTAGATACTTCGGTGTGAAATTGCTGGGACATTTGATAAATATATATTTAACTCTTTCAAGGCTGAGCACTGTGGCTCATGCCTGTAATCCCAGCATTTTGGGAGGCCGAGGCCGGGGGATCACTTGAGGCCAAGAGTTCAAGACCAGCCTGGCCAACATGGCAAAATCCTGTCTCTATTAAAAATACAAAAATCAGCCAGGCATGCCAGTAAACGCTTGTAGTCCCAGCTACTTGGGTGGCTGAGGCACGACAATCACCTGAACCCAGGAGGCGAAGGTTGCAGTGAGCTGAGATCATGCCACTGCACTCCAACCTGTCGCCTGGGTGACAGAGCAAGATGCTGTCTCAAACAAACAAACAACAAACAAAAAAAGAAAAAAAAGAAAAGAAAAAAAAAGAAAAAAGAAAAGAAAAAACCACTTAACTCTTTGAGAAACTGCCAGACTGTTTTTTCCAAGGCACTGCACCATTTTATATTCCCATCAGCAACATACAAGGGTTCTAATTTATCTGCATCCTCATCAAAACTTGTCATTGCTTGTCTTTTTTGAGTATCACTGTTCTAGTATGTGTGAAGTGGTGTCTCATTATGGTTTTAATTTGCATTTCCCTAATGACTAATGAGGCTGAACGTCTCTTTATGTGCTGTTGGCCATTTGTATATCTTCTTTGGAGAAATACCTATTCCATTTCTGTTTCATTAAAAATAATTTTTAATTAAAAAAATTTTAAATGTCTTATTTTTATTTACTTATTTACTTATTTTGAGACAGTGTCTTGCTCTGTCACCTATGCTGGAGTGTGGTGGCTCAAACCCATCTCACTGCAGCCTTGGCTTCCCCAGGCTTAGCCTCCTGAGTAGCTGGGACTACAGATATGTACCACCATGCCTGCCTAACTTTTTTGTAGAGACAGGGTTTCACTATGTCCCTCAGGCTGTTCTTGAACTCCTGGCTTCAAACAATCCTCCCATCTCAGCCTCCCAAAGTGCTGGGATTACAGGCATGAGCCACCACACCTGTTTTTTTTCATCTTTAAATTGTGCTATTTGTATTTTAATTGTTGAGTTTTGTAAATGTTTTTTATATATCCTGGATACCAGACTTTGATTAAATATATGATTTGTAAATATTTCCCCAAATTCTGTGAGTTGTCTGTTCATGCTCTTATTGGGGGTCAGAACATGGTACCCCAGATCATGACACCTTGGCATGCTGACTACTTTGAACTGAAGGATATTGGGAGAACTTGCCCCCAAAACAAAGTCTCTTTGACCTTCTCCCACCCTCTGTTCTCCCTCTCCCCTTTCTCTCCCAAGCTGAGTTATAGAAACTAGAATTTATCTGCCCAAAGCAAGCCATAAAACCTAGGAAGGTCATTCACTGACCTCCTACCTCCCCACCGTCCCCCCTGCACCCTGAAGATCCTTATGTGACCTGTGTTCTGCACATAATGGAAAAGGGGAATGTCTTATATTAATAGAAACACAGAAAGGAATGTGAACAAGCACGCCTTGCTAAGCTCCCACCACTACAAGTTTATTACCATTACATCACACCCCTTTCCTGTTTCTCTGCAACTGTTCACTTCTTCCATCAGACTCAGCACAAAAGCACAGTCTTCCCTGGGTCTTCAGGTCTTCACTTTGGAAGGCTCCCCTGTCACGTAAACCTTGGTTAAATAAATTTGTGATGCTTTTCTCTTGTTACTCTGTCTCTTGTTATAGGAGTATCTGCCATGACCCTTGTGATGGATGAGGAAAGGGTATTGGTTTTTTCCCCTACATTCTTTTGTTTTAGATGGAGTTTCGCTCTTGTTGCCCAGGCTGGAGTACAATGGCGCGATCTCGGCTCACTGCAACCTCCTCCTCCCGGGTTCAAGCGATTCTCCTACCTCAGCCTCCCAAGTAGCTGGGATTACACGCATGCACCACCACTCCCGGCTATTTTTTTTTTTTTTTGTATTTTTAGCAGAGAGGGGGTTTCTCCATGTTGGTCAGGCTGGTCTTGAACTCCCAACCTCAGGTGATCCGCCTGCCTCGGCCTCCCAAAGTTCTGGGATTACAGGCATGAGCCACCGAGCCTGGCCCTTCCCCTACACTCTTGAGAGAAATTTTGGAGGGGAAACCCTCTCTCCCTCTGGACATTGGTATAACTGAGGCCTGGAATGGCTGCAGACATCTTGCTCTAGGCCTTGAGGATGAGTCCAGAGAGTTGGAGGAACGTGGAGTTAAAACCACTGAATTGAGCCAATCCTCCAGAGAACATAGTGTCTTATCTCTAAACTCGCAGGCTCACAATCTAATGCATTTATGCATTGTTTAATTTTGGTGTTCAGTTACCTGCTGCTCAAAGTGTCCTAAATGTTCCAGTAACCAAACCCAGCCTGAGAGAGAGGAAGTCTTGACAATTTCCTTCTCAAATCAAACCATGGAGTTTGAGAATTAACCTTCAGCAATACCAACAGCAACATCTTGGACTTTATCCAAACATTAAAAGAGTTGTGAACAGTATCGCCTCAAAGACAGGGAAGCGGAGAGATAAAAACGACCTTCCAGAGGTAGTGGCTTATAGAAACTACTGTTGCTTTGTTAATTAAATGTTAGTTTAATAATCTTTTATATCTGCATTAATTTTTCTGAGATATCATCTATATTTTAATAGTCTTTGAGCAGATGAACAGGGGAAAGACTGAATAGATAATTTACCTCCCCAGTCAGGAAATCATTCTGATTAAATGGGTCCTGGAAAATCTCTACTTCCTCTCTTTTGGCACAGAGGAAGTGTTCAGCTGTTTTGTTTTCAAAAACCTCAAGGTATATCAGTTAACCAGCTGTCCTGGATGTGGTTTTGCTAGTTTGTGTATGGTTATTGAGTGATTTATCAACGGAAAAAGAAAGAATGAAAGAGAAAACACAAAAAGGCAAGGCATGGACAGACACGAACATAGCAAAGAGATCTACAGCCTCCATAGGTGAATTTCATTCTTGTTTAGAAAGTCTAGTGATGGTAGATGTCACTCAATGCCCACTTGATTTATTATTTTTTTCTTAAAAGAGAACTCCTTGCTTCAGGAATCAAAACACCAAACCAAAACTTTGTTCTGTGGCTCTCTCTCAGCCCATTTTCTCATAAAGATTTAGTAACAAGGATTAGGTATTGTGTTCCCAAAACCTTCCTCTTAGACAACATTGAGCCAGATTATCTAAATGCCTAACCTACCACCTGGGCAATAGAAAATCTGGGGGAAATGCATGAATCCTTAACGCAATGCACCACTCAATGAGTCTGACCCAGATGCTATAAAAAGCACATTTTCCTTGCAAAGTTAGTGGGTCACACATGAGTTGATCTGTGGATTGCACAGACCTTATATTTGATTTTGGGGGAGCTGATACCGGATTTTTCTGGTTAGTGCTGCTCTCAGCATTTTGCTAAGTAACACTGCACATTGGAGAGATGAGGAGCTTGCTCAGGGCCATGTAACGGGGGTCACCTCAGCAAACCAGCCAGAAACAGAGCGGGGACAGGGCAGAAGTGTTGGGCAGGACAGCTGTTTCAGGGCTCACTTAGCTCAATTCCCTGAGTTTACAACAGCCATCGCCATGTTTTGTAGAATGACCTCCCAGAACTTCCTGCTGTTTTTCTCTAGGCCTGAGCTTGGACAAGCCTTTAGTAAATGCTTGCTGTTGCATTTTATCAGCTCATGTCCTTTTAATTGAGTTACTAATTAATAAGAAAACATTTCTTACATCATCTACATATCTTCTGTGTGACTTTGTTCTGAGCTGTTGGAAATCCTTTTCTAGAGTGGCCTCCAACCACATTTGCTGAAACAGCTGCAACTAGCTGCATTATTCATTTCCCTCTCTTGCTTCATTCTTCTCCATGGCACTTACCACCACTTGATATATTATATATTAATCTGTTAATTGTTTATGTGCACACACGAATATATGCTGTAACAGTGAAGAAAATTGTTCATCTGCATGTTATTCCAAATGCCTAGAAAAGTGCCTTGCAAATAGTAGGTAGATAATAAAGTTTTTATGCAATTAATAATGTAATGAATTTTTATTAATTATATTATTTTAATGCATTTTGATTTGCTAATTCATGTGTTTAAAATACCATGCATACAGATTAAGAGCATGAGTTCTAGGCACAGACAGATTAATTAAATCCTCCTTCTTCCACTTATAAGCTGTGTGAACTTGGGCAATCCTATAACCTCTCTATGTCTAGGCTTTCTCATTAACGTAACAGGATAATAATGCTATAGCTCTCAATAAGTTTGTTTTGAGTATTAAATGGTATATTGTGTTAATATATAAAGCACTGAGAACAATACCTGCGACATGGCACATAAGCACAATGCCTGTGAAATCTCATGTGCTCAATAACTGTTAATAGTCATTACTCATTCATTCAACAAAAACGTATTGAATGTTTACTATAGGCAGATGTTAGAAATACAAGGTGAACAAAACCAAAAATAGACCTTTCCCCTATGGGGCTGTGGATGAGAAAGTTGTCAATCAAAGTGTTAAGAACTGTTGTGTCCCCCCAAATTCATATGTTGATGTCCTAACTCCAATGTGGCTATATTTGGAGATAGGGCCTCTAGGGAGGTCATTACGATTAAAGGAGTTTGGCCGGGCTCGGTGGCTCACGTCAGTAATCCCAGTACTTTGGGAGGCCGAGGCAAGAGGATCATCTGAGGTCAGGAGTTTGAGACCAGCCTGGCCAACATGGTGAAACTCTGTCTTTACTAAAAATACAAAAATTAGCTGGGCGTGGTGGCGGGCACCTGTAGTCCCAGCTACTCTGGAGGCTGAGACGAGAGAATCACTTGAACCAGGGAGGTGGAGGTTGCAGTGAGCTGAGATCGCACCACTGCACTCCAGCCTGGGCAATAGAGCAAAACTCTGTCTCAAAAAAAAAAAAAAAAAAAAGATTAAAGGAGGTCACAAGGGTGACCTAATCTAATCTAATGGGGCTGGTGACCTTATGAGAAGAGGAAGAAGCCGAATGCAGTGGCTCACGCCTGGTAATTCCAGCACTTTGGAAGGCCAAGGTGGGAGGATCACTTGACTTCAGGAGTTCAAGACCAGCTTGTGCAACACAGTGAGACCCTTGTCTCTGCAAAAAAAAAATTAAAAAACACTAGCTGGGTGTAGTTCCAGCTACTCGGCAGGCTGTGGTGGGAGGATCGCTTGAGCCTGGGAGTTCCAGGCAGCAGTGAGCTGTGATCGTGCCACTGCACTCCAGCCTAGGTGACAAAGCAAGAACCTGTCTCAAAAAAAAAAAAAAAAAAAAAAAGAGGAGGGGAAGAGTAAGAGATACCAGAGATTAATACTTCTCTCTCTCTCTCCATCATTCTCTCTCTCTCTCTGTCTCCTTCTCTCTCTCTCTCTCTCTCTCTCCTTCTATCTCCCTCCACCTGTACACAGAGGAAAGGCCATGTAAGGACAGAGCAAACAGGCCACTGTCTGCGAACCAGGAAGAGAGGCCTCACCAGATATCAACCTTCATGGCACCTTGATCTTGATCTTTCCAGAACTGTGAGAAAATTAACTTCTGTTGTTGTTTAAGCTGCCCTCCAACCCCGTCTGTAGTATTTTGTTACGGCAGCCCAAACAGACTAATACATCAAGTAACCACACAAATGCATGTAGAATTAAAACTGACCTAACTGTTAAGAAGAGGAGATAGGGCAAGAGTATATTTATCGAGGGTATTCTATCTGGTCAGAGATGAGAGAGCAAGATTTTTCTGGGTAAAGTTAACAAGGTATATGGGGTGGGGTGAATATGGAGTGGGGAATGGTCCCAGATAGGGCCAATTGCTTGTGCAAAGGCCCTGGGGTGAGAGAGAGCACAGTTTATTAGAGAAACAAAATGGCAGCTGTGTGATTGGGGTGCTAAGAGTGAAGAGGAAGGTGATACAGGTGAGGGTGGAGAAGAGGGTGAGGCCTAACTTCCCAGGACCATGCAGGATTTTCACTGCTAACTTGGGCCACTTGCACACCAGATTGGAGCTGGAAATGGTGGGTATGGGAGACAGAGATCAAAATAACCTCTAGATGTCCACTTGCATAGCTGGTAAGTCACGGGACCATTCATGATAGGGAAGCCCAGGAGAGAACCAGATTTCAAAGAGAAAGTCATGAATTTGCACGTGTCAAGCTTGTTGTGCTTTTGAGTCACTTAGAAAGAGACATTTGTAGGCGGATCTATCTACAAGTCTAGACTCAGACAGAGGCCTGAGTCATGTCATTACACTGACAAGGTGGGAGAGGTGATTCAGGACAGTCGTTCTCAGACTTTGAGTTTCAAGACCCCTTTACACTCTTAAAAACCATCAAGGACCTCAAAGAGCTTCTGTTTATGTGGGTTATATCTATCCATATTTAGTATATTAGAAATTTAAACTGAAAAAATTAATATTAATTTATAATAAACCTGTTTTACCTTAGCATAACATAATGATTTTAACGGAAAATCATTGTAATTTTTCAAACCAAAAAACAAAATATTTGTGGCTGGGCATGGCAGCTCATGCCTGTAATCCCAGCATAATTGCAACACTTTGGGAGGCCGAGGCAGGAGGATCACTTGAGGCCAGGAGTTTGAGACCAACCTGAACAACATAGGGAGACCTTATCTGTACAAAAAAAAAAAAATTAGCCGGGCATGGTGGCACACGCCTGTGGTCCCAGCTACTTGGGAGGCTGAAGTGGGAGGATTGCTTGGGCCTGGGAGGTTGAGGCTGCAGTGAGCCACAATCATTCCACTGCACTCCAGCCTGGCCAACAGAGTGAGACCTTGTCTGAAAAAAGAAAAAAAAATTATGAGAAGAATAGCATTGTTTTACATTTTTGCAAATCAATTTCATAACTGGCTTAATGGAAGAGAGCTGGATTCCTATAGCTACTTCTGCATTGAATCTGTTGTGATACATTGTCCTGATTGAAGCACATGAAGAAAATTTGACCTCAAGGAGGACTTTATGGTCCTCTGGATAGGGCCTTGGGGACCCCCCAGAGTACTTAGACTGCAATTTGAGAACTGCTAATCTAGAGAGATGCTACAGTGTATGAAGAGACGAGAGCTGGGCTCAAGCCTCAAGGAGCACCCACGTTTAATAGTCAGGAAGGAGAGGATAAACAAACAGGTCAGAGAGGAAGCACTCAAAAAGGTAGGAGGGGACCCAGGAGCAGCACCCGTGGCGTCAGGAAGCTAAGGCAGTGCCAGGTATTCAAAGGAAGAGTGGTCGAAGTGCTTCTGAAAAAGTCAAGTCAGAAGAGAAGTGAAAAATATCTTTTGACTCAAAATGTGTTTGTCTGACCAGTTCCATGATCTGAACATACTTACAGGGAAGGGCAGACTGAGAGGGGAATACTGGGGTAAGGATAAAGGTGAGTGTGTCAAAGAGTGATAGTTGCCTCCTCCTCCCATTCATTCTCCTTTTCTATGGTATTAGGATCCTGATTATTTTTTGTTGTTGTTGTTGTTGTTTTATGTTGTTTTATGAAAGAGGATCTTGCTCTGTTGTCCAGGCTGGAGTGCAGTGGTGCACAGCTCAGTGCAGCCTCAAACTCCTGGGCTCAAGCAATCCCCCCGCCTCAGGCTCCCGAGTAGCTAGGACCACCATGGGCTAGGATCTTGATTTTTAACTTATCACATGGCCAACCAGAATAAACAACGACATTTACCCCCTTGCAGGTAGGGGTAGCCAGGAGACTAAGTTCTACAAATGAAGTAGAAGTGGTTTGTAGCTACTTCTGGGAGCCCCCTGAAAGACGGCTGTTCTCTTGGCTACTTTTCATCTCTTCCGCCCTCCCTTTGGCTGTAACACAGACATGATGGCTGGAACTGGAGCAATCATTTAGGCAATGAGGTGACCACAAAACACAGAGGACTGGCAAGACGCAAGGAACCTGGGTCTTGAGGTCTTGGTAGAGCACAGCCACCTCACCAGCCTTGGATTGCCAATTGCTGCCTAAAAAAGAAATGAACTTCCATCCTGTTTAGACCGTGATTATTTGAGCGTCTATTATTCACAGCCAAACTTAATTCTAACTCTTACAGTGAATGAGTGGTTTTATGGATATGAAGTTGAAGGGGTTTTTCTCTAATGGTTTCATTTTCTTTGTGAGGTAGGATGTGAGATCATAGGACGACAGCGAAAGGTTGCAGAGTGAGATCAAAGAGGCAAGTATAAGAGAGTCTGAAATTGCTGTGGCTGGGCGTGGTGGCTCACACCTATAATCCTAGCACTTTGGGAGGTCAAGACAGGAGGATTGCTTAAGCCCAGGAGTTTGAGACAAGCCTGGGTAACATAGTGAGATCCCATCTGTACTACCAAAAAAAAAAAATTAACCAGGTGTGATAGTGGGCTATAGTCCTAGCTACTCAGGAAGCTGAGGCAGGAGGATCGATTGTTTGAGCCCAGGATGTCAAGGCTACAGTAAGCCGAGATCACGACATTGTACTCTAGCCTAAGCGACAGAGCAAGAGCCTGTCTAAAAATAAAAAAAATATTAAAAAAGTAGAATTCTAAGAGTGAGCTAGGGAATAAATCAGGCTAGTCTTGAGTGCCTGTGCTGGATATTCTCTGGTCTCCAACCCAAGTTTTCATTCTTCTCCATCCTGCTGTGGTTCAAGAGCTGATTTTTTTATGCACTTCTTCATTCAAGCTCCCTCCCAGCTCTGTTGGGTTCTTGAGTTTGGTCATCCGGAGGTGCCTGCAGAATAGTTGGGCTGAGCAGAGAGACAGGTTGGGGTAATAGTTTCCTGTTTGTCAGTTGCTGCATTCCTTTACTGAACTGAAGACCGTAGCCCCAGCTACCTGCTAGGCTGCTAAGTTCTGGTAATGTCCCCCCTTCCCCCTGCAGGATGAAAGGTGGAAGCTTGCTGGGTCTCCTTATCCCCACCCACACCTTTGTAAATCTTCCTTTTCTTCTTTCTTTTTTCTTTTTTTTTTTTAATAGAGACTGGGTCTCACTATGTTGCCCAGGCTGTTCTCAAACTCCTGGCCTCAAATGATCCTTCCCACTTCAGCCTCTCAAAGTCCTGGGATTACAGGCATGAGTCACAATGCCCAGCCTTCCCTTTCTTAAGCCTTCCTCAGTTACCCTTTCTAAGTGTGTCATCTGTTTCCTGATGGGACCTTGCCTGGTACTAGGGCCATCTGAGGTTGGAGATCACAATTTATGGTAAAATCAATAGGTCTTGTGGTTTGACTTCCCTTGCTGTACCAAGATGCCCAGGTGTAAACAGAGAAAGCAAGTTATAGTTTAGCCAGCTGCATACACCATGAGGAGAGTCAAGTGAGCTACCAAATTGGCAGCTAATATTGAAATGATGTAAGCTGATGATGGAGGAAGTGAAGAAAGGATATGGTAGAGGGCCTGGGAGGGAGCAGAGGAGTTATCCTGCTCCTTACTGGAGGATCTGGCGGATCAAAAGGCAGGGACCCTGGAGTGGGCAGGAGAAGATGAACCACAAACTAGAGGTTGAGAAAGCATGGTCAGAGAGTGAGATACTTGAATTAGTGAAAACAGAACTGGTCAGACAGAGCTGAAACCCATTTAGGGCCTTTATATGTCCCCAGGGCAATTACTATGAACAGGGGACACTACACAGGGAAATTAAAGAAGAAAAATATTGTTCTCCTCTCTGGAGGACTTAACAGTTGAACTAGGAAGGCAGATGAACAGTGCACATAAAATGCCAACTGAATGGAACAGAGTATAAAAAGATGTTCAGAGGAGGAAGCCTCCCCCAAGGCTGGCCCATTCTGAAAGATGTGGATGTCTTAGTCCCTTGTCTGTTGCTTATAACGGAATACTTGAAACTGGGTAATTTATAAAGAAAAGGAATTTATTAATTTATTTCTTACAGTTGTGAAGACTGGGAAGTTCAAGGTTGAGGGACTGCATCTGGTGAGGACCTTCATGCTTGTGGCAGGGGGACTTCCTGCAGAGCCCCAGGGAGATGCAGGACATCAAATGATGAGGAGGCTGAGCGTGCTTGCTCAATTCCCCCTTCTTCTTCTTATAAAGCCACTAGTGCCTCTCCTCTGATAACCTATTAATTCATGAACCCTCTAATCTATTAATCCATTTTTATGACCAGAGCCTTTATGACCCAATCATCTCTAAAAGGCCCCACCTCTCAATAATGGGATTTACGTTTTAACATGACTTTTGGAGGGGACAAACTTTCAAACCATAGCAGTGGAGGAGGTAGGACTCGATAAAAGCTTTGAAAGAAGGGAGCCTTTGGGTCTGAGAGAGCTGGGTCACTTTAGGCAGGGAGGTTGTGTGAGCTACAGGGCCAGGCATGCGCAAGGAGTTTTGGAATGAACCAGATTAGTAGGAGGGCAGAGTCTGTGGAGAGGAACACAAAAAGAAAAAACCAAGAGATGTGTCAGGGGCCCCCAAGACCATCTCTAGAATTGATGACTTTCTAGAAGGATTCACAAGACTCAGAAAACAGTCATACTCACAGCTGTGATCCATTCCAGCAAAAGCATGCAAAACAAAATCAGCAAAATGCATGGGGCAAAGTCAGGAGGAAACCAGACACAAGCTTCCAAGAGTCCTCTTGGAAGTTACCAGGATGTAGTTAATTCCTACAGCAGCAAATTATGACAACACCTATGAAGTGTTGTCTACCAGTACCAGTCTCATTAGTGACTCAATGTTCAAGATTTTTATTGAGAGCTTGTCACCTAGGGACCCACTTTCTAGCAGTACAGAAATTCCAGACTCCAGGAGGGAAAGCAGGTGTTCAGCAGGAACCACACTGATTGCACAGTTTAAGCATATTGAGCACCACTTCTCAGATAGGGAACGGCAGGAGCCCTTCCCAAATCCAGGTTTCCTGGTGCCAGCCAAGGGCCAACCTTGCAAGCAAGCCTTTCTAAGGGTAGCAGTCTCAGAACTGGTGCATTAAACTCTTCTCCACAAGGAGTTAGTAAGGGATTGTCCTAGGAGGACTTTAGACACTAGCTCAAGGGGATTGGGCTTCATCCTGTGTACCGGATGAAAGGCTATACATTAGAAAGACTCATGGGAAAAAGGGTGGGCCAGTCTGGAAGTGATGTGTAGCATGTTGAAGTAAGAATCACTGGAAGAGGCCAGGTGTGGTGGATCCGCGACCGTAATTCCAGCACCTTGGGAGGCTGAGGCAGGAGGATCACTTGAACCCAGGAGTTCAACAGTGGGGCAACAAAGCAAGACCCCATCTCCACAAAAATAAAAAATCATAAAAATAATTTTTAAAAAGAATGATTGGAAGAAAGAAAAGGCAAGAGAGGAGAGCAAATGGCTGAGCCTGAATGGTGGTGGTTAGCATGGGGACAGTTGTTCATGTTTGGAAGATCCCCAGTAATAGGGGGCTCAGAGAGGTGCTGAGTCCTAGAGTAGAACCAAGTTATTAAGCAGAAAATATAGGAAGAAAAACTTAGACTGAATTCTAATTTTACCAGGACCTCCAGACACTTGACCCTGGGGATCACCCCCCACAGGGAATGGGTGGGACTTAAGGCCAGCACATTTGCATCGATGATAACAGTAACTCACACCTACATAGCACTTTGGAGTTTACAAAGTGTTTTTTGCATATACTGCATTCTAAGGGCAGGTAGTCAACTTGTATAGCTCATAGAGCTGAGACGTGCCAGGGCCAGACCTGAGCTCTGGGTTGTAGCAGGAGCAAAGAGGATTTTCAAAGTTATTTCCAAAAAAGAGTCCCTATTGGAAGCACCGATTCTAGTACTGCTGTGTAAGGTTTTCCCTCAATGGTGGGTATGCTGAGGGCCCACCCTTGCACCAGCTCAGCCTCTGTCTGCCATGCTTCAGAGCATTTAATTTACTCTCCCTGCGGGCACTCTCATTTCAGCTTGCCCTGAGGACTTTTCTGACACTCCACCTTCAGGCCTGCACAGTCTGGTGGTGTTGAGTCACGGGAACTTAACTGATGGGCACGGCCTAGGCAGAAGGAGCTGGCTCATAAACCTTTAAGCCTTCCTACTGTGCTCTCACCGTTGGCCCCAACTTCTCTTTTCACTAGGCTGGTCCTTCTCAAACCATATTCTAAGGATCTCAGTAGGCATCCTGTAGGGGAAAAAAAGTTCTACGCTTTTAAAAAAGGAAGCACTGGAGATTACATATACTTATAATTATTTTCAACAGCAGGATTTCTCAGAGCCTTTAACATGGAACATGCAATATGCATTTTTAAGAGGGAGATTACAGCCATGGTGTTTTAGAAGATCTGATAAATGCTCTGTGCTGTGAGATGCTCTCACATCTTCTATGTGAGAAGATGGAAAGGGATTGTTAGTCTAAATGATGAGCTCCATCTGCCTTGTCATTGCTGGGTTCCTAGTGTGTAAATATTGGTTAAATCAATGAATTGAATGATCTCGAATTGAATCAATGAACTGAATGATCACAGAAGTGCCACTGGCCCTTCTGTGCTGGTGGGGCTAAAACAGGTGATGCTAAGTTTTTCTTTTCTTTTCTTCTCTTTTTTGAGACAGAGTTTTGCTCTTGTTGCCCAGGCTGGAGTGCAATGGCATGATCTTGGCTCACGGCAACCTCTGCCTCCTGGGTTCAAGCAATTCTCCTGTCTCAGCCTCCCAAGTAGCTGGGATTACAGGCATGCGCCATCACGCCCGGTTAATTTTTGTGTTTTTTTGTTTGTTTGTTTGTCTGTTTTTTAGTAGAGACAGGGTTTCCCCATGTTGGTCAGGCTGGCCTTGAACTCCTGACCTCAGGTGATCTGCCTGCCTCGGCTTCCCAAAGTGCTGGGATTACAGGCATGAGCCACCACACCCAGCTGATGCTAAGTATTATCTCCAGATCCCAAAGCACAGGCCAGTGATACGTCTTCTCTTAACGGTCTGAGAGTATTACTAATGATTAATGATGACGTTTTTCAAGTTTTTATATTGTGCATAGTCTCTGTTTCTTCCAAGTTATTTTTTCTTCTGTTTTCCTTGGTGCTGGTTCCTCTTCTGTCCATCGTGTTTTAGGCTTTTCTCAAATATCCAGTGATTCTTTGCAATCTGTTTATATTTAAGAATTGGAAACTAAAAAGATGATTTTGTATTCTGCTGGAGGTGAAGAAAGCCAACTGTGAGCCTCATGATGCTGTGGCCTAACTGGGCCATTTCACTGGGAGACCTTCAGTGTTGGTGTCTTTGGGTCTTTTCTCTGGGTCTTTTCAACCTTGATAGCGAGGAGACTTCCAATCTCTTACTTGTGTGATAGGACCCCAACTGCCAGCGTTCTCAGAGTCCAGCTGGGGGCAGCACTGGAGCTTCCTTCATTTACCATGGAGACTTTCCCTTTTTTAAAAAAAATAAGATGGATCATTTTATTATTATTAGTTAATTTATTATTTAATGAAGACAAGATCTTGCTCTGTCACCCAGGACAGGATCTTGCTCTGTCACCCAGGCAGGAGTGCAGTGGTTAGATCATAGCTCACTGCAGCTTCCAACTCCTGGCCTCAAGAAATCCTCCTGCCTTGGCCGCCCAAAACGCTGGGATCACAGGCATGTGCCACCCTGCCCTGCCAAGACTTTCACTTTATCTCACTGTTTTCAGTACAGGTACCACCCTCAACTGTGTCTGGAGCCCTCTGGTTCAGACATCACTTTTACCCTCACCAAGAATAAATCTCTAATTTCTGACAAAGTATAGAAGTGCAAATGTCCCATCTGTATGAACCAGGGAAGGGGATTTGAGGTCTAACTGCTTCTTCAGATCAACTGAAATGATCTTTCAAGATTGTCCGATTTTTCAACCCTCTTCACTCCCACTTCCAGAGGTACCTTGTTTTGCCAATTCCTGAGCTTTGTGAAGGCTCTGAGGTGCAAAAATTTTGTTTCTTGGGTTTTTGCCGCTGGTTTGGGATTTGGCTTTCTCATGCCTGCTAAGTCAGTTACTGCTTATCCTTCTGCTTTTCAGCTTCTGATATTTGGTTGCTATTTTGTTCCTTGAAAAATATTTCTTTTTCTAGAGACGAAGTCTCACAATGTTGCCCAGGTTGGTCTTAAAATCCCGGGCTCGAACAATCCTCCTGCGTCAGCCTCCCGAGTAGTTGGGATGACAGCCATGCACCACCATGCCCAGTTTGACTGCTATTGACTCTTTCCCGTTCTTTTAGGTCCTGCGTGTCTGTATGTTTTTCAAATATCTCTTCTACCCCACCATATCCCCGTCACTTCAGTGGGGATGTAGGATGCAGAACATGTCATTGTGTACGTTTATCCTCACATCCTCACACTTTCTTTTTTCTTTCTTTTTTTTTTTTTTTTTTTGAGGGAGAGTCTTGCTCTGTCGCCCAGGCTGGAGTGCAGTGGTGCAATCTCGGTTCACTGCAACCTCCGCCTCCCAGGTTCAAGCAATTCTCCTGCCTCAGCCTCCTGAGTAGCCGGGACTACAGGCGTGTGCCACCATGCCCGGCTAATTTTTCTAACTTTAGTAGAGACAGGGTTTCACCATGCTGGACAGACTGGTCTCAAATTCCTGACCTCAAGTGAACCACCCACCTCGGCATCCCAAAGTACTGGGACTACAGGCATGAGCCACCATGCCTGGCCTATCTCCCCACCTTCAACTAAAGGGCTTGACCTCTCATGGCCGTTCCTGTTCTTCCCTGGTTCCCACTCTCACCATCTCCCACCTGGATGATTGTCACAGTATTTCAAGCCACCCTGGTCCAAACTTGCCACACTTAGCTCATTCTCTAAACTGCAGTTAAATTGCTCTATGACTGAATGATCATGGGAAGGCCTGGGCCCTTTCTCCTCCCCTCCTCTCTACCAATCTTGGCATCAAACACATCAGCAAGCCATGGTAACTCACCTGTCACTCCCTGAACACATAATGCTGTTCTTTTCTACATGATCTTGTTTCTGCTCCTCCCTCTGCCTTGTGGGGCTTTTTTACAATTTTTCACCTGGCTAACTCTTACTCAACCTTTGAAATTTAGCTCTGGTGCCATATCCTCTAGGAAAGGTACCTCTGAATCCCCAGACTAAGTGAAGGTTTGAGTGCGGACAGCCTTGGAGAATGGGAGAGAATGAGGAAAAACCTATCAAGGAGAAATTCCCTAGACTAAGCATGACTGTGAGGTGAAAAAGCAATGGTGTCTTACATTCAGGTTCAAGTTCTTTTGTGTTATCTGCTGCTCAGGAAGCTCCCTCTTTTTCCTCAAAGAGTCAGCAACATAAGAGTGACTTAGTGGCCTTGAGTTCCTCGTGATTTCGCATTGAAGGAGAGGAGAATGATTGGTGCTTAGGGAGAAGCTGTGCTGGGAACACATTTCAGTCATAGGCAAGTGGGCAAATGGACAAGGTAGGAGAATAAAGTCCCCTCCTCCTGCATCCATACTGAGAATTAAAATTAAAAAAAAAAAAAAAAAAACATAGGGATGGAATCACTAGGCATGGTGGCTCATGTCTGTAATCTCAGCACTTTGGGGGGCCAAAGTGGGAGGATCACCTGAGCCCAAGAGTTCAAGACCAGCCTGGGCAATGTAATGAGACCCTATCTCTACAAAAAAAGTAGATTAAAAATTTTAGCCGGGCATGGTGGTGAGTGCCTGTAATCCCAGTTACTTGGAAGGCTGAGACAGGAGGATTGCAGGACCCCAGGAGTTGGAGGTTGCAGTGAGTTATGATTGCACCACTGTACTCCAACTTAGGTGACACAGTGAGACCCCTCTTTCAAAAGAAAAAAAAATCATAGGGAAAATATTGAGATACATAATTAAGCCATTTAATTTGGACATAAAAAAAGGCAGAGCTAGAAGTCTAGAGGATTTTTGAACGTCTAGTCTGTTAATTATAATAACACTAAGAGAAGATTTTATTTATTTATTTATTTATTTAATTTTATTGTTTTTGAGACAGAATCTCACTCTGTTGCCCAGGCTGGAGTACACTGGTGCAATCTCAGGTCACTGCAACCTCTGCCTCCCAGGCTTGTGCCTCAGCCACCCAAGTAGTTGGGATTATAGCTGTGCGCCACCATGTCCAGGTAATTTTTTGTATTTTTAGTAAACACAGGGTTTCTCCATGTTGGCCAGGCTGGTTTCGAACTCCTGGCCTCAAGTAATTCACCCACCTCTGCCTCCCAAAGTGCTGGGATTACATGCGTGAGCCACCATGCCTGGCCAAGAGAAAATTTAAAGGAAAGAATGAGTTCATTCATAATCCCACCTCCCTAATATAATCGTTTTTTGGTTTTTTGTTTTTATGTTCTGTTTTCCCTTTCATTCTTTGACTATTATAACTGCAGGCATTTTTACATGGCTTTTACTCACAGGACATAAGTAATTTTGCGTGTTCCTTTTATGAGGTTATACATAGTCTTCGTAATCTTTCATATGAATCATTATCCCCTTTGTATAAAGAGGAGAAATTGAGGAAATTGAGCCTTAGAACCTTGCTGTTTGTCGTCATACCAAATTAAAGGCTAATGTCCCTTTGTCAGAGAGGCAAGTCCTTGGGGTGGAGTATTCGGTGGTTATGCTCCATCCCCTCAAATATCCCAGCTCTCCAGACGCATGATTACATAAGTACATTTTGGTGATGGGAGTTATGGGATCAGAGGGGCAGTCTGTGGCCACAGAGGAGAGAAGGTGTCACAAGCCAAACTCATGATCTTGGGCACATTAGTCTCAGTAACTTATTAACTGAGCTAAGCAGTTTGAAAAGAAATAAAAGCAAAAGAAAACAAGCCAAAGTACAAACCGTATCAAGCTTTAGAGTCTGAAGACTTATGAAAAGGGATCAACAATATAGTAGTAAATGAGACAGTGTTGACGCCAAGATAGGTAGGGGTGCAATTAAAATTCATTAAGACACAACAAGAAACTCTAGTCCAGGCTTGTTGCAGGTAAAAGGGACTTTGCCAATGAATTATTCAAGAAGAATTGAGCTGAATGAGGGAATCCTCTCTTGGGTTGGCAATGGTTCAGACTTACTTCGAACTTTCTCCCCAGGTAAGAGTATAACAAAAGTAACTAAGAAGCGTGTTCCTTTGTTACTTGAGCACTTTGTGTGTGGTTCAAACCACCCTGGCATTAGTCTTCCTATTATAGCCTGAACCTTTCCTAGTGATTTAAGAAAAAGAATATTAATAATATAATATTTTATTTAAAAATTAATAACAAGTTTGAGTCAAGTTTGTGGAACCCATGTGAACTCTTCTTTCTATTATTTGAAGCAAAATTTTAAAACCATATTAATTAACCCAACAGTTTTGAGCACATTTTTGAGGGGCCAAATGCAGTGCCCGTTTCAGTGATATAAAAATACATAAGGCTTTTTCCTCAAGATAATCATAATCTAGTGGCTTAATTATTCATCCTCACATTTTCTTGTGATTTAAAAAAAAATATTAGCATGGATACAGGTGGTAGAGATTTTATTCTCCTGTCCATTCTCAGCACAGCTTAGATCTACACATATACAACTTAGAGCAGTGCGACCTGGCACACTCCAACAGTGGTGGGGCACTTTCCCAAGAACACAACGACACTTCCAGCCTTTGTTCCCATGGTGCGACCCCCTTTCCTTTTCATTTATCTAGACTATACGCAGCCCTTTTTCTTTTTCTTTTTCTTTTTCTTTTTTTTTTTTTTTGAGACAGGGTCTTGCTCTGTTGCCCAGGCTGGAGTGCAGTGACACCATTATAGCTCACTGCAGCCTTGAAATCCTGGGCTCATGCAATCCTCCTGCATCAGCCTCCCAAGTAGCTAGGACTACAGGTATGTGCCATCACGCTGGCCTATTTTTTTGTATTTCGTAGAGACAGGGTCTCACCATGTTACCCAGGCTGGTGTTGAAATCCTGACCTCAAGAGATCCTCCTGCTTTGGGCCTCCCAAAGCGCTGGACTTACAGGCATGAGCCAAGGCACCTGGCATATTCAGTCTTTATGTCCTGGCTCTGCATCAGCTTTTCCATGAAATACTCACTGGAGATTCCTCCTTAGGGATCTCTTTTCTTTCTTAGAATTTAACTTTCTTCACGCTTCCGACATCATTTGAAGTTTTCAAGCTACAAATCAGCACTTTATTATAGACTATTTTGTATGAAACAGTGTCATTTTCCATGCATTAGTTTTGTCTTCTCAATTAATATGCCAGAAAGCAACACCTTACCTCTGTCTTCCCTCCTGCACCTAACTCAAGGCTAAATACTTACTGTGTGATTGGGCCTGCCATTCTAATTTTGCTACCTTTGTTTCTAAAATCCTAATTGTTGAGTTCTCCCATCGATATCTGATGGCCAATTTATTTCATAATGGTAATTTATTTTGTCACATCTGGATCGCTGATTTCTTAGTTAAATTTAAATGAGCCTTACATTTTTAGCCTAGATGTAATATTTCAAATCTAATACTGTCATTACATAATCACTAATACATTCTATTAGGAACGTGATTTTTACATTATGTTTGCAGCGATATAATAAATATTAAGTATCTGTGCTATGTATCCAGCCATATTTTGTTGTGAAATAAAAGGGTACATTTGGTTATAAGAGAGGAAGTAACAATTAGAAACTACTTCCACTATTTTCTTTATTTATATTAATTCTTGTGCTTTAAAGTACTTGTTGGCCGGGTGCAGTAGTTCACGCCTGTAATCCCGGCACATTGGGAGGTCGAGGCAGGTGGATTGCTTGAATCCAGAAGTTCAAGACCAGCCTGGGCAACATAGTGAGACCCAGTCTCAACACAAATTTTAAAAATTATCCAGGCATGGTGGTGCATGCCTGTAGTCCCAGCTACTCAGGAGGTTGAAGTGGAAGGATCGCTTGAGCCCAGGAGGTTGAGGCTGTAGTGAGATGTGATCCTGCCACTGTGCTCCAGCCTGAGCAACAGAGTGAGACCCGGTTTAAAAAAAAATAAAAAAATATTTAAAAGCACTTGTTGCTGCAGTTTTGCAGTGAATTCTAAGAATAGATTTCTCCTGCTGTCCTGTCTCTGGATTTGATTTCTTTCCTGCTTTTGTGCTTGGGTCCTCTTCAACTCTGACTAGACTTTCAATATTGCATTCATCAGAGACTCATTTGTGGGATCCTGAGCAAATTACTCCATTCAACTGAACTTTCTCTGAGCTTAATTTTCACTTATGAAAAAGGGATGATAATATTATTGCACAAAGTTGAGTTAAAAATGCATAAGATAGAAACATTTTCTGAATCTTAAGAACCTATACAGATATCAGATATCATCATCATCATCATCATCATGATTACCATTTATTATCATCATCACTATCTTGGAATTTGCAAAGTTGTTTAAGAAGTATGGCTTGATAGGACACTGGTAGTGTGTCCTATTACTACCTAGTTACTACTAGTGGTCAGCTATGTCATTTTCCTTCTCCTTCCTGAGCACTTGGAAGAATAAACTTTCCAGTTCCCTTTGCTGTTTGGTGGAACGATGGGACTCTGATCAGTGAAGAGTGGAAGGGGTCAAGGCATTTAATTTCCGGTACCTGACTCTTTTTTCTTCCCTTGGTAAAGTGGCCCAAGAGGTCTGTGTTTTGTGTTTTGGATACTGCTGCTGCTACAAGAGAATGAGGCTTCTATCATCTGGGTCCCTGAGTAGTTGCGTGGAGTGGAACTCACTGTCAACTCTGTGGGACTTGTAGTGTGAATGAGAAACTAATTTTTCTTGTGTTGAGTCACTGCAATTTGAGATTGTTTATTATTGCAACATAACATAGCCTATCATGACTAATACACTATTATGGGCCTCAGGATAAAGAAATTCCAGATCTAGGTATGGCCTAACTACCTATATATCCTTGAGCAAGAGGAATAACATATACTATCTTTTTTTTTTCTTCTTTTACCCAAAAAAATATGTGTAGAGACAGTCTCACTATGTTGCCCAGGCTGGTCTTGAACTTCTGACCTCAAGCCATCCTCCTGCCTTGGCCTCCCAAAGTGTTAGGATAACAGGCATGAACCTAATGTGTTGGGATTACTGGCATAGTTTCCCCACGCCTAGCCCTTTAAAAAAAATAGACATGAGGTCTTACTATGTTGCCCTGGCTGGTCTAAACTCCTGGGTTCAAGTGATCCTCCTGCCTCAGTCTCCCCAAGTGCTGGAATTACAGGCATGAGCCATCACACGCAGCAAAGTATACTATCTTGAAGGTCCCTTCAGCTCCAAAAACTTTGGCATTGCAACAATCCAAAGCTGTCCTATGTCAATGACGAAGAAATGTGAACTTTTGTTCAATGGAAAAAGTAACTTCAGCTATATCAAACCACCCCCCAAAGAAGGAATCAAGCTAGAAATAACTAAAAGTTCAGAATTGAAATAACATTTTTAAATTGTTTCATGCACATACCTGCCTTTTTAAGAGAGTATATTAAACCTAGTTACATTAAAAGTAGTCAGTGAGTCATGGTCATTATTATGAACCTTAGTTAAAATAACTAAATAACACTGTAAAAGACAGTGATGTCCTCAGGGCCAGTGACAAACAAAGGTTTATTTGCTTCTTGCAATGGTCTAGACTTCTCGTGTTATTTAAATTTCAGTTTTGGATTTCTATAGTCTTTCAATGCCTTTGTGCATTACATTTTTTTAAATGACAGGATCTTGCTCTGTTGCCCAGGCTAATCATGAACTCCTGGCTGCAAGTAATCCTCCCACCTTGGCCTCCCAAAGTGTTGAAATTACAGGTGTGAACCACAGCGACCAGCCCATTACTTCTCATTGCTGTCAATGGACTGATTGTCTACAATAGCCCAACTCCCCACTTTAACTGTAGAAAGTTAAGAAGGAGGAGGAGGAGAAGGGGGAGGAGGAGGAGGAGAAGAAGAGGAGGAGGAGGAAGAAGAAGAAGAAGAAGAGGAAGAAGAAGAAGAAGAGGAAGAAGAAGAAGAGGAAGAAGAAGAAGAAGAAGAGGAAGAGGAAGAAGAGGAAGGAAGAAGAAGAAGAAGAAGAAGAAGAAGAAGAAGAAGAAGAAGAAGAAGAAGAAGAAGAAGAAGAAGAAGAAGAAGAAAAAAAAAGGAAAGCCAACCTCACATTCTGTGGGAATTGAACATACTGAAAAAGATATAGGGCCTGAATAAGAGGTTAAGAAGACTTCCTAGAAGTAAAGCAAATAAGTTTTAGGCATGAACTCTGTAGACTCTATGGGTGCCCATCTTTTTGCCAAATTTTTACTCTCACAAATATTGCACGAAGATGAATTTCCAAGATGACTAAACTCCGGCTAGACAGTGTGTTAATGTATTTGATTTTCTGCAGCAACCCAGCAGCACAGATTCATAATTAAATTGCTAATGTGTGTTTGAAAGCTTTAGAGATACTTCTTCAGCCATCAACAAAACTAACATTGTCAGAAGAACTGAAATAATTTGCTCCTCATGACAGTTTGGTGAGACAAGAAGGCAAAATAATTAAGTATGGAGGCTCTGGAGCAGAATTGTCTGTGCTCAAAGCCTGCTTTTACCCCTTGCAAACTGTATGAACTTGGGCAAGTAAATCAACCTCCTGTGTCTCCACTTTCTCATTTCTAAATTGGGGGTAATCCTGTTCTTGCAAGGGTGGGCTGCTCTCTGAACTATTTTAGCTCACCCACATTTGTTAAACATCTTTTTTAAAACAAATTTTTTTTTTTTTTCAAAATAGGGTCTTGCTCTGTCACCCAAGCTGGAGTTCAGTGGCTTGATCACAGCTCACTGCAGCCTCAACCTCCTGGGCTCAAAGTGTCCTCCCACCTTAGCCTCCTCAGTACCTAGGACTACAGGTGCACACCATCACACCTGGTAGTTTTTGTGTTTTCTGTGGAGGCTGAAAGGGTTTTGCTGTGTTTCCCAGGCTGGTCTCGAACTCCTGAGCTCAAGCCATCTGCCTGCCTTGGCCTCCCAAGGTGCTGAAATTACAGGCATGAGCCACCACACCCAGCCTCTTGAACATCTTTAAATTCACGAATGCAAGCCCAATTCTAACATTTATTGTGCCAGTCAATAGGCCACTACATTCACCAATAAAAACCCATTTCTGACAGTCAGTAAATTAATTAGCACAGGGCAGCTTGTTCATCAATATTCAATTCACAGCAGAGCTTGGTGTAGTCCTTTTTATAATGCGGGCTTCCTGATTCTAGCAACAGTGAATGGGCCATCTCAGAACCATACATTCCTGATTGGCACGTTGGTTATAGCATAATCTACGTAACAGACGTGTAATACCTTTTAGTGTAGACTGAAGAATGCCCAGGTAGATTAACAGACATGGTAACAATAACAAACTTGGGTTTCACACTACCGTATTCTATGTCTAACATTCCTCTCTAGTTCTCAAAATTGCTAAATTTGAATTTTAGTACTACATTTCTGAGACAGAGTTTGAAGCTGCAGGATGATAAAGGGCGCTTAATATCGCAGATGCAGAAGTGTTAATAAGAGAGCCATGCTGACTGCCTGGTAAAGTGTGACTTGGTGGTACCTTGTGGGGATGCCTTGACTCTGAGTCTAGTCCTCATGTAGACAGCTCTAAACACTGTATTTTATCAGTTTATTCAGGTGAGACTACAGGGGAACATTCACACTAGCCAAAATCACATTTGCTGTCTAGATCAAGACTTTCTTGGCATCTATGTACCCAAGAACATGAATTAGTTATTTGCATGTTGCCCTGTGACACTAGAAAAAGAACAGAGAGAACCAGATGGTCCTACGGGCACTTTATCCAAGTTATTGTGGAAAAACCTCACGAATGTCCTGCTTCTCAAGAGAGTAGATCCTTCTAGGGTCTGATTAAATGGGGCCCCAGGAAGGATCTCTGCCTGATAAATTCTTATTAACTACCTTATTCACTGATTCTAAGATATACAGTTTTTCACTTTTTTTTGACGGGGGAGGGGGGGTTGCCTACAGAGTCTCTGTCGCCCAGGCTGGAGTGCAGTGGTGCAATCTCAGCTCACTGCAACCTCTGCCTCCCAGGTTCAAGTGATTCTCCTGCTTCAGCATCCCAAGTAGCTGGGATAACAGGTGCATGCCACCACACCTGGATAATTTTTGTATTTTTAGTAGAGATGGGGTTTTGCTATGTTGGCCAGGCTGGTCTCAAACTCCTGGCCTCAGGTAATCTGCCCACCTGGGCCTCCCAAAGTGCTGGGATTACAGTGTGAGCCACTGTGCCTGGACAGTTTTTCACATTTCTAACATAAAATTTTGGTGTATCATTTTGGTATATCCTTGAAATTGTAGTGTATCATATAGCCCATGGTGTGTCAAGGTATAATCATAGTTGGCAAGTGTTTTTTTCTAAGTGGCACAGAAAATAAAGACACATCCTAAAGGATGCAATCTTAGACGGCATGAAATATGGTGACTGCCCTTGTATTACTCTCCAGACTTTGACTTGTCCTGAACCGCCTCACCCTAAATTCCAATATGTGGGTGACAGTTTTCCTAGGTTATGTTCTAGGCACTAGGATCCACTCTGGTCATTTGAACAGACTGGAGATCGCCCAAACTTCCCTCAGCAGTAAGTTTACAAATTCTCTCTCAGGTGGGCTCACTTCTGCAGACAGCTAAGCCCTACCATTTATTTATGTATTTATTTATTTATTTGAGATGGACTCTTGCTCTGTCATCTAGGCTACAATATGATGGCACGAACACAGCTCACTCTATCCTTGACTTCCCAAGCTCACGTGATCCCCCTGCTGCACCCTCTTGGGTAGCTGGGACTCTGGGTTCTTGGCTAATTTGAAAAAAAAATTTTTTTTTTTTTTTTGGCAGAGATGGGGTCTCCCTATGTTGCCCAGTCTAGTCTTGAACTCCTGAGCTCAAGCAATCCTCACCTTGGCTTCCCAAAGTGCTGGGATTACAGGCCCAACCCACCCCTGCCATTTTCTTCACGTTCACTACTATTTCTTTCTCTCTTTTTAATTTTTTGTAGAGACAGAGTCTCAATGTTGCCCAAGCTGGCCTCTAGCTTCTGGGCTCCGCCCACCTTGGCCTTCCAAAGTGCTGGGATTACAGGCGTGAGCCACACGCGGGCCTGCTCTCTTTTAAACAGTGATGATCTAAACTTAGCTCCAAATAGAGGAAATCCTTTACTCCAGTGCTCAAGGACATTTGGCGGCAAGGATCCAAATTCCACATCCACAGTTGCGCCTGCCCCAAACCCCCTACTGGGCTTGTCATCTTGGTTTTCAGCTTTAGTCGGCTGACAAATGCTTATTGATAGACTTTCACAGAGTGGATATGCTGTCTCACAGCAGCAAAATTTAAGACATTAAAATGATCTAGTCTCAGGAGTTTTGCCATAAAGGATTTAGTAGCATTATATTGCCCTGGCTAAGAGCCTTACTATGTCCTTCCAAAGACTTTATTTAAGAACTTTGGTTGTGGATGAAGCATGACATAAAACAAGTTTACATAACAGAGCCTCCACCACATAATCATATATTATAGCTGGTGATAAAAGAAAAATAAGCACTTCGCATGTGATGACGCTCTAGAAAGAATTTAAATTACAAACCTAAACTGAAACCTCTTGGCTCTTATTAGACTATAGAACTGATACTACCCAACTGGAATACATAAATTACTATGTTTAGAGTCAGCACTTGACTCTTAATCAAATTCTCATGCTAGTTAATCTGAGATGTTATCACTTTTAATAACTGGTAGGCGATATTTTTATATAAATACATATTCTATTTATACCTGTGGTATGTCAGAGAAGCACTTCAAATTTTAAAATTGTGCCTGAAGTCCTATTAACTGAACAAGTAAAAACAATGTTAACTTATGAAATGTTCAATTTTTTAAAATTGAAATCTTTATTTATTTATTTATTTTGAGACAGGGTCTCACTCTGTCGCCCAGGCTGGAGTGCAGTGGTGCAGTCTCGGCTCACTGCAACCTCTGCCTCCCGGGATCAGGTGATTCTCATGCCTCAGTCTCCCAAGTAGCTGGGATTACAGGCGTGCATTACCATGCACAGGTAATTTTTGTATTTTTAGTAGAGACAGGGTTTCACCATGTTAGCCAGGCTGGTCTTAAACTTCTGACCTCAAGTGATCTGCCTGCCTCCGCCTCCCAAAGTGTTGGGATTACAGGCATGAGCCACCGAATCCAGCCAAAACACTGACATCTTTAAACAATGTTTTCCCTAGTAGTGGTTTAGGAAGAAGGAATAGAGTCCTTCAAAGGCCTAGTTGGTATTTCTCTTGCAGTTGCCTCATGCATGTGCTGCGTGTTTTTCTGCTTTATAGATTACCCCAACTTTGAGAAACATTCATTATCCAGTTTTTACTTGTGAGAAAATAGAGGCTCTGAAATGTTAACTTACTTGCCCAAAATTCTAAATCGAGTAAGTTTCAAAGCCTGTATATATTTAATATTTACTGCAGAGTTCATGAGCTTTCCACTAAAGCCATCAATGAATTTAGCATGTGATAAAAGAGGCCTGGATTTAATATGACAAATGTTTTGACCACATCAACGCCAGTTACTACAGGTGAGAATCTGATCTGAAATAAACAATTTTATAAGCCGGAACACCTGTGAGATAAAATACAGGTAACTGACAAGAAGAGAAGTATTATGTAGTTAACGGTTTCAAAAACAATCATCATCATAGCGTGGTCTCTTAGACACTGAAATCTGAAACTCCTTGATATGCTATAGCAAGGTTTCAAACAAAGATGTTCTGTTCAATGCATGTTTTTGTGGGATGGCGTAACTATGCAGACTATATCAGTCAACAAATGCTGTACAGAGCTGACCAATGACTCATGAAATCTTCTGTGCGATCTCTCTCCTCAGTTTCAAACGATTCATTTATAATTGCACTAGGAAAATAGCCAACAGCTTGTCACATTCTTTACACTGTCTTGGCCCAGCTCTAAACAGATAGGTTTTGAAATTTTAACTTAAAATTTTAATCTTTATTTTAAAACATGTATATACATTGTGGTAAAATATCACTTAGGAAAAAGAAAAGTTATTGTAGATATATAAATTTCTTTCTTTTAAAATACCTTTTGATTATATAATAAAAATTCCCCAAATAAAGTCTGAAGTTAGAGTTTGTAATTAAAAACCTCCAAAGAGTAAAAGTAACTCTTTTTCTCTTCTCTCTTCATCTCCCCCCCAAAAAATAAGCCTTCACAGAAGATGATTTTGGCATTGGTTATGATGTTTTATTGGCATTTGGGGCTTTTAATCTTTGTCTTTAAACATAATAGTAGTGATAATGCTACAGTGCTTTTCTTTTCCTGTTTTGAGCTTCTAAATCCAGCTAAGTTATTTTCACTTACTGTTACAAGACAGAGAAGAGGCCGGGCTCTGTGGCTCACGCCTGTTATCTAGCACTTTGGGAGGCCGAGGGGGGCAGATTGCCTGAGCTCAGGAGTTAGACTAGCCTGCACAACGCGGTGAAACCCCGTCTCTACTAAAAATACAAAAAATTAGCCTGGCTTGGTGCTGTGTGCCTGTAGTCCCAGCTGCTCGGGAGGCTGAAGCAGGAGAATTGCTTGAACCCGGGAGGCGGAGGTTGCAGTGAGCCCAGATCGCGCCACTGCACCCCAGCCTGGGCGACAGAGCGAGACTCCGGCTCCAAAAAATAATAATAATAATAATAAGAGAGAGGAGAAAAAACTTATTTTTCTGTAGATAATATATTGAAATGCAGATGTAGTATAGACAGTTCTAAACCAGACAATGACATTTTAAAAATAAATTTAGCCAGTCGTTTACAGAAAAACAATGACATACTGATATTAGAATAGGTGTCTCCTATTAGTTGACAATGAGTGATACATAATTTAAAACTAAGGATGACAACAGTTTCACTATTAACTCTTATTATTGTAGAAACCTGGTAAAATTGAATTCCACACTAGATGGTATAGTTTAAGACTTAACGCCTCACATTCTGACCTCATTAAATAGAAATCTGTTTAATCTCTGCAAGGAAATATTTTGTCCAGGAACGCCTACGTTTGTGGCAGGTGGAGACAGCTTATTAGGCAGCCTGCTCTCCTCTTATGATGGCCTTGGTCCGGGATCGCAGGGCTCATTATGTCATGAGCATAGTTATTAGATGGGTTCACTGCTTTTCCTCCTCCTTGAGGGGGACCTTTGGCACACGCTGGGAGGCCATGAAAGCCAAGGCCACCGAGCTGCGGGTCTGCTGCGCGCGTAGGAAGCGAGAAGCTCGGGAATTCAAGCCCCCGCAAATGCGCGGGTCCACGAGGTAGGCTGAGCTCCGCGCCTGGGTAGAGGAGGAAGCGAGCAGGGTCCAGGGGCACGGCGGGAGGCTGAAGGGTTATTTACGGGGGTGCAGCTTTCCTCTGGGGTATCGCAGCAGCCTCCAGGCTGTGGGAGTCTTGTGGGGAAGCCTTGAGGCAGGCGGGACAGTGAAAGCGCAGCGGGGTGGCTTGGGAGCCCGCCCCGCCTCCTCCTCCCCCTCTCCACTCCCCTCCTCCCGCGCGTGCTCCCTCCCCATCCTCCTTTCCATCTCTTCCCCCTTCCCCCACTCCTTCCCCCTCTTCCTTCCCTCCACACCTCCTCTACTTCCTTTCCCTCTCCCCTTCCCCCCCATCCCCAACCTTCTCCCTATCCCCCTCCTCCCCATCTCCTTCCCCCTTCCCCTCCCCACCCCGTTCCCCACCCCCCTCCACTCGCGGCCCTCCCCGGCCCCCGCCCACGGATTCCCGCGCTTCGCCGGTTACCTGGGAGTCGCCATGGCAACGGACGCCGGGTTCCCGACTCCGACTCAGGAGAGCGAGCGGCTCCGCGGGAGGCGCACGTCCGGGGCTGCAATGGCGAACTGGGGCGACTCGCCTGAGACAGAGGAGGGCCGGAAGATCATGGAGGGCCTCGAGGCCTCTATTGAACAATTCCAGTTCAACCCCAGGTGACCAGCGGGAGAGGCAGTCCCCGCCGGCCCGCCCCGGAGCCCTCGCGCCCCGGCCCTCGCTCAACGCCTTTCCAGGCCCCTTGCTCCAGCCGCTGGGCTTCAGTTTTTTGTTTGTTTTTCGAGGGGATCACTGTCCGAAAAGAGCTGCAGTTTTCACTTCTTCAAGTGTATAGCTGGACACTAAGAGCACGGACTCTGGAGCCAGACTGCCCGGATTCCAGAATCTTGGCGACCCTCTCACAGGGGCCGTGAGTTAGGCGACTGACTGCTCTGTGCCTCAGTTTTCTCAGCGGGAAATAATCGTTCATGAATGATGAAGAGTAGTGCCTGCTTCATAGATCATAGTGAATATTAAATGAGCTAATCTAGGACACAGTACCCGTCTTAGTCCCCTCGGGCTGCTGTAACAAAACAACATAGGCTGGGTGGCTTATAAGCAACAGGAATTTGTTTCTCCCAGTTCTGGAGGCTGGGAAGCCCACTGGCAGATTCCAGGTCTGATGAGGGTCCCTTCTGCACAGACAGTACCTCCTGGCTGTGTCTCCACATGGTGCAACGGGCAAGGGAGTTTTCCCCCACGTCCCCCACACCCGCTCCCACCCTGCTTTTAGAAGGGCACTAATCCCATTTATAGGGCTCCACTTTCATGACCTAGTCACCTCCAAAGTCCACACCTGCTAATATCGTCATCTTGGGGGTTAGGATTTCAACATGAATTTTCAGGAGACACACTCAGACCATAGCAGAATCATAGAAGTGTTTGCCGATGTCATTATTTGCTATTCCTTGATCCTTGTTTAAAACCCGTCCCTTTCATAATCCTTTGCCCCCTGTGTTCTAGCTTTGTTGTTTATTTGGATAATGTAGAGCTGATGTTTCTGGGAAAATGCAAATTTCTTTCTAAAAACCTTTTCAAATCAGTAGGTAGCCAGAATTAGCTTAGCTGCTATGGGAGAACTTACCGTTGTATAAGGCAGGGGCCTCATGGTGCCAGGTGGGCTGGCTTAGGGGCAAGCCCCTCACACAGACACAGCTCCAGGGTGAGAAGAAGGGACCACAGGTGTCCTAGCCCAGCAGTGGGACTGACCCAGTGAGGCAATGCTCCTGGGCTGGGCTTCCCCAGCTTCACTGTATTCAATGGGTACGTTTGTTAAAATGGGTCAGGGTGCACGGGACCTGGTCTAGTGGTGGTTGTGAATAGCATTTATTAGAGGCAGCACGTGATAAACACCAGAGGCACACAGCGTCTACCCTGTTCTAGTGTTTGCTGATAGGAATGGTGTCCTGCCCTGGACTCCTTGGCATTCCATGGTGGGGTAGCTCCCAAAAAAAAATGCACTTGCCAGGCTCAAGAGCAGACCGATGGTGCCGGGTGCTCTTTGGCTGAACAAAAGAACCACTGATGCCCATATTCCTTCCTCTTCACCCAAAGTACTAGGGCGACTGAGCTGGTGCCTGGGTGTGAATGAGAGAGGCTCAGGTGCTGAACGTGGTCCACAAAGCAGACGAAAGCCCGGCCTTTGTGGAGTTTGCATCCTAGTCAGGAATTGATGATGAACTAGATAAACAAGTAAACTATGTAATAAGTTAGATAGTGGTTAGTGATAAGGAAGAAACCGAACATGGGGAGGGAGAAGAGGAAAGTGAGTAAGTGTGTGAGAGTGTGTGTGTGTGTGTGTGTGTGGCAAGTGGGGAGGGAGCTGTGATTTAATTTTTGTTTTGTTTTGTTTTGTTTTTTAGAGTCAGGGTCTCACTCTGTCACCCAGGCTGGAGTGTAGTGGCACAATCATGGCTCAGTGCAGCCTTGAACTCCTGGAGTCAAGCGATCCCTCCACCTCAGCCTCCTGAGTAGCTGAGACGACAAGCACACCCCAGCCTGCCTGGCTAATTTATTTTTAATACAGGGTCTTGCTGTGTTGCCCAGGCTGGTCTCAAACTCCTGGGCTCAAGCAGTCCTCCAGCCTCGGCCTCCCAAAGTACTGGGATTACAGGCATGAGCCACCATACCCGGCCTGGACTGCAGATTTTAGAAATGGTGATCAGGGAAGGCTTCACTGAGAAAATGACACTGGGGTGAAGACTTGCAGGCTTGAGGGGGGAGCCCTAAGGATCTATCAGGCTAGCAAGTGTTCCAGGCAGAGAGAACACTGGGTAGAAAGATGGTGCCTGGATGTCCTAGGAGCAGCAAGGAGGCCAGTGTGGCTGGAGCAGAGAGGGAGAATAGTGGAGGTGAAGTCAGAGGGAAGGGGGACGGTGCCTGTGGCGAGGGACTTTAGACTACCTTAAGGACTTCAGCTTTTACTTTGAGATGGGAAGCCATGAGGGGATTGGAAAAGAGGAGTGACATGATTTGATTTATCCTTCAATGGGATTACTCTGACGGCTGTTTAGATAATAGACTATAGTGAGGACGAGGGCAGAAACAAGGAAACAGGAGACTATTACAATATTCCTCATGGAAGATGACCATGGGGTAGCAGTGGTTGGAGGTCCGGAGAGACTGTGATGAACAGGTAGAATGGAATTGCCAGTAACCCGGATGGGGAGGATAATGAGATGAACAGGTCTGAAGGGAATATCATAAGCTTACTTCTGGTCATTATATGTCAGCAGTGACTATTAGACATCCATTTAGGCTGTTAAGTAGGTAGTTGATTAGATGAGTCTGAAGTTAAGAAGAGAGGTTCAGCTCGGCTGTATCAGTTTGGAAATAATTAGCACAAAGATGGTGTCTTAAGCTGAGAGCCTTGGTGACATCAGCCAGGAAGTGAGTGTAGTTAGAGAAGTTTATGAGCCATGGGGCACATCAAAGTTCTGTGTTCTTTGAAGAGGAGTAAAAGGAAGCAATATTCTTATTTAGCCCTGAGAAATATGCCACAGTGAAAGTTTAACACACCTAATGTTGTCTTCATTGACTGATTTATTAATAAGCATTTGTAGGATGGACAATTCTAGGATTCAGTGAGAAGAGTCATTGCATTTTATTAATACATATTCATAGGTCTGTTTTCCAAAATAAATTAGGACGTTAATTTTGTATGTAATTTATTTTAAAAAACATAATTATCTTCCCCAAATTCTGTTTTATGCATAACCACCAACTTATTATTCAGAAATAGAATTGCTGAGACTATAAATAAAGACTGTGTAGGAACCACTTAGCTAATTTGTTGTGATGTGGGTTTCCATTCTAGGTAGCAGGGTTGTTAGCTAAAATTAGAGACATTTGGAATTTGAAGGGACACTGAAGAATAAATCTTCCTCATTCAGTTAGATTCTGAATGAGCTGGAACTTTTTGAGTCAGTCACATAAAGAGTTAGGACTGGTGAAATCGGAGAGTCATGGGCTTATCCTCATCAGGGAGTTAGAAGAAGAATCTGCCATTTCCGGCTGCCCCTCTGTCACCCAGGCTGGAGTGCAGTGGTATGGTCACAGCTCACTGCAGCCTCTGACCTCTGAGCTCAAGGGATCCTCTCACTTCAGCCTCCTGACTAGGTGGAGCCGCCGGTGTGTGCCACCAGGCCCAGCTAATTTTTTTTTTTTTTTTTTTTTGTATTTTTGTAGAGACAGGGCTTCACCACGTTGCCCAGGCTGGTCTCAAACTCCTAAGCTCAAGCAGTCTGCCCACCTTAGCCTCCCAAAATGCTGGTGTGAGCCACCACACCCAGCCTGAACCTGATTTTAAAATATCATATTGTATTATTGTAATATTATGGTACCAGAAGGAATACCTGAAAACATAATTTCAAGTTTCTAAATCATATCCTGAAAAAAAATTGGTAAAAACTATTCACACTCCATAAACCACCCATGATAGGTCTTTTGCTTAAAATGGGAAGGAACAGAAGAACATACATGTTCATGCTTAATGAAAAATGTGGCTGAATAGTAAAAAGGAGCCGCTTAGCACTGGGTAGGGTAAAGGATTGCATTTCTAGACTGGAAAAGTGAATCACTGGGATCTGTTAAATGTGCAGCAGTGTAGACTATACAGAAACAGAATTAGTTCCCATGGCTGTTTATATTTACTATATTGATGTAGCACTCAGGGTCCAGACAGGAGGCAGAAACCTCACTGCTAATTTCAACAGGGACTATTTCCTGTTCTCTGTTAAATAGTAAGAAGGATTTTTAACTAGTGAAAGGCAGTAAGGTGGTAAAAGAAGACTCTAGACAATACACTGATAGCAAACACAAAAAGCAGCTATGACCTCCAGGTCTGAGGAAGAGGAAACAGGGCAGAAACTAAGGAGTTAGAAGACCCGCCCTCAAAGGCTGAGATTAGGAATGATACCTCTTTGGAGAAGACATGGTGGGAGAGAAACTTGCCAGAGGGTGTGACAACTGCTGGTCTGCAGGGATGGCTTGCCCAGTGGCTGCGAAACTTGCTGAAAGGTACAGACAGGTCAAAGTTCCTTACCTAGCTGCGAGATCCAAATGTTCGTTCCTGGAAGTCCTGACTTTTAAAAGTTCTGCCTTTTTTTTTTTTTTTTTTTTTTGCTGCCTTTTTTCCATTAATCTTTATTACTGGGCACGGAAACACTAAGAGGCACCCCAAAGAATCCTCTGGGTTCCAGACAGAGTTCTCCTTGACTCCGTTGTTCACCAGCAACCCAATTGCCCCTTGGTATTCAGAATCAATCCACTTCAGCCAGTAGAGTGACTCCCTTTTCTGCCTTTGTTTCAGCAGCATAAGGATCACAAAGTGACCAGTCATCAGTGTCATCTAATTCAATAGAATTTCTGTTATGTTTTCTGCTGGAAACATTCTTCCCTTGTGAACTAAGACTTCCAAACCAGCAGATCCTAAAGTTGCAGAGACAGGAAACTATAATTTTGGGCGTGAGTTATGAGGCATAAGAGTGAGAGGTGCCTCTTCATTCTTGGACCTATGACTGTAGGAGAGATAGCACCATATACTGTTTCAAAGCATATACTGCATCCTGTGAGACAGAACTGCATTCTTTCATGGATTTGCTTCTCCCAAATATTGCTGGCAGTGCAGGTGTGTGCCACCATGCCCAGCTAATTTTATTTTTTTTATTTTTATTTTTTTGTAGAGACAGGGTCTCACTATGTTGCCCAGGCCATTCCTGAACTCCTGGGCTCAAGTGATCTTCCCGCCTCGGCCTCCCAAAGTGCTGGGATTGCAGGCGTGAACCACTGTGCCTGGCCTTAAATGAATCTTCAGTAAGCTATTTAACCTATTAGGCGAGCCACTTCTGGGTGATGGGTTATATGATAAGATCACTGAATTCCATGGGCATGAATCCATTGCTGCCTGTCTTTTGCTGTGAAATGAGTTCCTTGATGGGAAGTGGTGCTGTGAGAATACCGTGATGATGGATAAGATGTTCTGTAAGTTCATGCTCGGTGGTTCTGGCCAGTGCAGTATAGTCAGGGAATGCAAATCCATATCCAAAATAAATGTGTGTTCCGGTGAGGATGATGGAAGAAGTTCAGTGCTATCAACCTGTCGCTAGGTGGCTGGCTATTCCCTGTGGTTCATGCTGCCACGTTGGGAGCTCAGTATTGATCTCTGCTGTTGACTAGTTAGACACTCAGCACCTGTGGTAGCCAGGCCAGCCTTGGTAAGGGGAAAACCACATTGTTGAACTCCTGACACCATGGCCATTTTGTTCGAGGGCCATCAAGCAAGCAGGGGTGGCTGCAAAAGGAAACTGAACGATATCCACAGAGTGTGTCATTTTGCCTAATTATTTAACTACTTTCTCTGTAGGGGATTCCCTTGGGTGGGCATTCAGATGCCGCACAAACACCTTTACAGTCTGTGCCCATTTTCAAAGGCTCATCCACAGAACTCTTCCCAGACATTCTTGACATCCATCTCTCAATCTGTTCCTTCCAAGTTCCTGACCATCTTGTTAACTGTTTAGCAGCTGCCCATAAATTAATGTCAATACATAATTCTGGCCATCCTTCATCCAGAAAAAGTAGACAACCAAATATACTGCTTTCAGTTTATTCAGTGAGAGGATTTTCCTTCATGATTGTGTCATTCAGGGTCACTTCTGAGTGTGGCTGTGAGACTGCAGGTAACTACCAGCTGGTGAGGAACCCATCTGTGAATCAGGCTTGAGGTTTTTTCCCTCAGTCACCTGGTCATAAAGAACTTCTCGGGTTGGGTTCTCAGGGCTTCAACTTTAGTAGGCATGGTTCAATTTTTCCCCTCATTAACCTTGACCTTGTTGAGTTGGTGCCTACCAAAGTTCTCTATTTTAAATTTACCATTCTTTTCTTTGGAATAAATTACTATTTTCTAGGTATTACAATTTACTTTTTTCTAAAACTTATTCTAACCAGCCATAGTCACCAATGATGACTCCTCTCTTTTATTTTTATTTTTTGAGGCAGGATCTCACTCTGTCATCCAAGCTGAAGTGCAGTGACACAATCCAAGCTCATTGCAGCCTTAACCTCCCAGGCTCAGGTGATCTTCCCACCTCAGCCTCCCAAGTACCTGGGACTACAGGTGTTTGCCACCACACCTGGCTAATTTTTGCATTTTTTGTAGAGACAAGGTCTCGCCATGTTGGCCAGGCTGGTCTCGAACTCCTAAGCTCAAGTGACCCACCCACCTCAGCCTCCCAAAGTGCTGAGGTTACAGGTGTGAGCCACTGCACCCAGCCTGATGACTCCTATCTTAATGTCACTTTTATGATGACTGCCATGTGGTAATTCTCTGCTTTTTTTCTATATTTATTAGAGCTTCCCATCCTCATTTATTTGTTCATTCATTCATTCATTCATTCATATCAGTATGGATTGATGGATTCCTATTTTATTCAATGGGTTATAATCTGATGCTTTCATTATTTATTTTGATGCTTAAATTGTCATATATGGCCAGTGGTTGTTTCTTCAATCTAGTTTCTTCATCATTTTTACATTTTCCCATCATCTTTTGAGCATTTCTTCACTTTATGGCAAACAAAATGTTCCAGGCTCATTTTATACTTTTGCTTTCTATAATTTTATATACTTTTATTCCAATCTTGGAATGAACCATTTTTTCAAGGAGACTTCATTGCTTTTAGTGGAGGATGGTTTTTAGAAACCAACATCTAGGGCCAGGTGCGGTGGCTCACACCTGTAATCCCAGCACTTTGGGAGGCCGAGGCAGGTGGATCACTGAGGCCAGGAGTTTGAGACCGGCCTGGCCAACATGGGGAGACTTCATCTCTACTAAAAATACAAAATTAGTCAGGTGTGATGGTCCACACCTGTAATCCCAGCCACTTCGGAGACTGAGGCGTGAGAATCACTTGAACCCAGGAGGCAGAGATTGCAGTGAGCTGAGATCACACCACTGCACTCCAGCCTGGGTGACAAAGCAAGACTCTGTCTCAAAAAATATACTGAAACAAAAAGGAGAAGAAAGAAAAGAAACCAACATCTGAGTGTTAGATGTGCTCATCACTACTGGAGTGCCATTCTTCTAGGCCCTCTCATTGGACAGAACTAGAAACAGATATGTATAAATATATGCACATGTATATGATATATGTTCACATATATATGTGCACACATATATACACCTACAACTATTTATATATCTATTTATCTATATTTATAAAAGTACGCATTCATACCAATTCTTCCCATTCCATTCCATTGTCTCAGAGAACTTTCTAGTCTACTCTTTCCCTATGTTTGTAAATATCTTTCCTAGAACTGAAAAACTTGACTTCTGTCATTTTGAGAACATTTACTTACTCATTCAATGTATCCAGTCTCCCACTATTGTGGTCCTCTCCTCTGTCTGCCACCTCTGTGCTGCTGCCCCTGTTCCCCCAACTGACCCACATTCTTAGCCACCAGGCTTGCTGTTCTTCTATGCCTGACTCCCAGTTTTTTTTATGGCCCCATGTCATTGACCACTATGTTGATTCCTTCACCCTGAGAAGGGAAGAGAATGGAAGGCAAAAGAAGGTAGAAAAGAAAGTGGTTACATATGATTTTGATAGGTACAACTGTGGGGAGACTTAATCCTAGGCTGAGGGTACTGTTAAGGTACAGATGTATTTGGGGGAACATTTAACTAGTAGATATGTGACACATGAGTAAGTTACATGGAGTGTATGTAATGAGAAATGAGGCTCACCACTACCTCAGAATATATCGCATATTTTTATTTACTTGTTTACTGTAATTAGTATATGGAAAGCTGAAAATTTTGTGGGATTAACTGAAGATCTTTATTTTGAATATCAAGGAGTTTTCATGTTAAATGGCCTTTTTTAGTTGATATTGCTCTGCTTTAATAGTTTTTTCCAAATATGATGAAAAAACTATGACATTTCAAAACATCAGAGTGACAGTAGAAACCACCACCACTGCAGTACTAATAATGAGTAACATTTCTTGAGGGCTTACTGTTGTATGAAGGTTCATTCAAAATACTTCTAAGTATTAACACACTAAATTCTCACAGTAAGTCTATGAAGTGGGGACTATTATTTTCCATAAGAGGAAACTAAGGCACAGAAAGGTTTAGTAATTTATCTAATGTCACTTAGCTACAGTATCAGTCAGGATGCTTTCAGCTACAGTTGACAGAAACTGCCAACAATTGCACTTACTCTATGACATTACAGGGAGACTGGAGGTATGACAGGTTTCAGAGCTAATTGAGTCAATGGCTGAGCAAAGTCATCAGTCAAATTTATTTCCATCTTTTTTTTTTTTTTTTTGAGACAGAATCTTGCTCTGTCACCCAGGCTGGAGTGCAGTGGTGCGATCTCGGCTCACTGCAGCCTCTGCCTCCCAGGTTCAAGCTATTCTTGTCCCTCAGCCTCCCGAGTAGCTGGGATTACAGGCACGTGCCACCACACCCAGCTAATTTTGTATTTTTAGTCGAGACGGGGTTTTGCCATATTGGCCAGGCTGATCTCAGACTTCTGACCTCAAGTGCTCCTCCTGCCTTGGCCTCCCGAAGTGCTGAGATTATAGGCATGAGCCACTGCGCCCAACCTATTTCCATCTTTTTTGAAAGCTCATCATCTATGCCCTGGCTGGCCCCCCTTGTAGTCACCTAGTGACTGTGCCAGTTCTTGGCATTACTTCCACCCTTGGCAATGTCCAGAGACAAAGAAGAAACCTCTCCTCTGGTGCCCCCTTTGTAGGAGTCTAAAAACCTTTCTTACTAGCCCCCAACAGACCCTTCCTAATGTCTCCCTCTTCAGACCTGGGTTCTACACCCGTCCCTGGACATCCACTGCCAAGCAGAGTGGGATAACTGTGATGGGCTTAGCCCAGCTTGGAGTTATACTTGGCACTGTGGATATGGTCAACTTCATCTGAGTTCTGTGGGGGACAAATCTGAGGTTTGGCCAGCATGCAAGAAGAGGGGAGTTGCCATGGGGTGCCCCGCATGGGGGTATGCTCTCGTCAGCAGAAGAGGTGGGATAGAAGCACAGACATTCTGCCTTTGGCACCTACACTGAGAAGTCTGATAATTCTACTTGGGCTTTTGTGGTTCTCTTATTTTAGCTGACATTTTAGAAACAGTTGTGGTAAGTTTGATCAAATTGACAGAGTGCATCCAGAAAATTGCCTTCTTAATGCTGTTTGAGATGCCTATCCTTAGAAATCTGTAGAAGGAATTTACAAACACTTGTTCCTGGCCTATTCACATTTTTCAGGAATAATGCTTGAAAATCAAATATAGGAAGGTGGTATGATCATCTTAAAGAAACAATTCTCAAACTTTTTGGTTTCAAGACCTCTCTGTAGTCTTAAAAAATTATTGGCACCCTCAAAGAGATTTAGTTTATGTTGGTCCTATCTATTGATAGTTGCCAGATTGGAAATTTAAAAGAAGAAAATTAAAATATATTGATTCACTTAAAATAAGGATAAATCAGGTATGTGTTAATAGAAATACCATGTTTTATTTATTTTATTTTATTTTTCTGAAACATGTGCTCTTTCTGTTGCCCAGGCTGGAGTGTGGTGGTGCTTTCATAGCTCACTGCAGCCTCAACCTCCTGGACTCAAGCAATCCTCCTGCCTCAGCCTCTATAGTAGCTGGAAATAGCATATTTTAAAGAAAAACTAGCTGTATTGTTCTAAAACAAAAACTTTCATGAGAAGAGTGTCACTGTTTTACATTTTTGCAAAGCTTTTCCATGCCTGGCTTAATGGAAGAGAGCTGAATTCTCATAGCTGCTTCTGTATAATCTGTAGCCTCTGGAAAACTCCACTGAACATTTGTGAGAGAATGACAGTAAAAAGACAAATAAAATCTTAATACTATTATAAAATTAATTTGATCTCACAGATTTTCTAATAGAGTATCCCAGAACCCCAGGGGTCCTCGGCCCATACTTTGAAAACCACTGTCTTAAAGGATTTCTGCTGAATAGGCCTATGCATAATCTAGAATTATTTCCAGCAGTAGCACAGGCAATAACAGTATGGAAGATATTAAAAGCAGGTATATAAATTGATCATATCTCAGAAAAGTGGAAATCAGATGACTAACCATAGAGCAATATGCCTCAGTCCAGGGAATTTGATAATCTCATTATCTTCATTAGCTCCAGATCACAAGAGCTAATTCAGAGGCTTCCTCACCTCACCAACCTCTTAGAATACTTAAAATACGATATGATTTACACAAAAAAAGACGCATTAACATCTATTTCTAAGAAAATATCTATGACTTAAAGCACATTTCATTTCCTTTGTTTTCAGACTTAACATTTCAGATGATTTAAAGATTGGCTTTTTCAGCACAGACCATGCCACTCAAACTGATTCCAGTGAAATACTGTCAGTAAAAGAATTGAGTTCATCTACGCAAAAGTTAGCACAGGTAAATCTGAATTTGTTCTGAAACTTCTGAGATAATTTTTGGCGTTAATTGCCTTCATGTTTCTTTCATAGACAAAAGTGAAATAATTAAAATTTTTAAAATGTTAGCATCTTTGACAAACAGCTGAATGATAGCTGTGCTTTAACAAATTATTAATATAAGCTACTACTTATATTTATGTCATACTTACATGTTAATTTGTTTAATAAAGTATTTTGTTACTCTGTTGGAAATTCTTTTGACATCTGTGAACATTTTCTATTTATGACACTTTAAAAAATTATCAAACATCTTTGCATATATAATGAATAACTGTGTAACCCACCATCCAGCTTTGTCAAATTTTGACATTTTGTTATATTTTCTTTGAATTTTTTTTTTTTTTTGAGACAGTGTCTTACTTTGTCACCTAGGCAGAGGTGTGATCATAGCTCACTGTAGCCGCCACCTCCAGGATTCAGGTGATCCTCCCACTTCAGCCTCACAAGTAGCTGGGACTACAAGTGCATGCCACAATGCCCAGCTAATTTTATGTATGCTTTGTAGAGATGAGGTTTTGCCATGTTTTTCAGGCTGCTATTGAACTACTGGGTTCAAGCAATCCACCCACCTCAGCCTCCCAAAGTACTGAGATTACAGGTGTGAGCCATCGTGCCTGGCCTGGATCTTTTTTGATTGTAAAGGAGCATAGTATTGCATGTACGTTGGAGATCAAGAGTTATTATTAAAAACCCTAATCAACAAAGCTGTTACATGAGGTAGCATACCACTATACTCTTGTCTACCTTGATTTTGTTTTTACACTTGGAAGTCGTTCTATATTGACACATAGAGTTTCCTCATTTATTTCACAAGTACATTACATCACAAAATGTGCATCATATATTTAGCTTTCCATATTGATGGACATTTTGGTCATTTCTAATATTTTACTGTGATGAATAATCCTGCACATACTCATATGCCAGTAAATCTGTGATGTAAATTCTTAAAAGTGGAATTTCTGAGTCAGAGGATGTATGCATTAGTCATTTTGAAGGATATTGCCAAATTGCCCTGCATAGAGATTTTACCAATTTACACTCCCGCTAGTAACTTTTGAGGATGTCTCTTTCCTACATATTTGCCAATTTATTGTCTTCTTTTATACTTTCAGAAACATTTTATAATTTTATTCTTTCGTAACTAAGTGTGTCCAAATGACCACGTTCTGGTCAGTAGGATTCAGATGGGAATGGTCTGTGGCAGCTCTGAGGAACCTTCTTTGAGACACGGTTCACATGCGCCCTCTGTTACTTCTCCCTTCACTTTTTCCCTTCCTGCTACTTTCCATTCCCCTTCCCTTCCCCTTTTCCCTTCCCCCTTCCCTTCTTCCCTTCCCTTTCCCTTTTCCCTTTCCTTTCCCCTTCCCTTCTTCCCTTCCCTTCTCCCCTCCCCTCCCCTCCCGGTTCCCCTTCTCTCCAGGTTCCCCTCCCCTCCCTTCCCCATCCCGGTTCCCTTCCTTTCCCTTCCCTTCCCTTTTCCCTTCCCTTCCCTTTTCCCTTCCCTTCCCTTCCCTTTTCCCTTCCCTTCCCTTCCCTTTTCCCTTCCCTTCCCTTCCCTGTTCCCTTCCCTTCCCTTCCCTCTTCCCTTCCCTTCCCTTCCCTCTTCCCTTCCCTTCCCTTCCCTCTTCCCTTCCCTTCCCTTCCCTCTTCCCTTCCCTTCCCTTCCCTCTTCCCTTCCCTTCCCTTCCCTCTTCCCTTCCCTCTTCCCTCTTCCCTTCCCTTCCCTCTTCCCTTCCCTTCCCTTCCCTCTTCCCTTCCCTTCCCTCTTCCCTTCCCTTCCCTTCCCTCCTCCCTTCCCTTCCCTTCCCTCTTCCCTTCCCTTCCCTTCCCTTCCCTTCCCCGTCCCGGTTCCCTTCCCTTCCCTTCCTGGTTCCCGTCTCGGTTCCTCTCCCTTCCTGTCCTGGTTCCCGTCCCAGTCCCCTCCCCTCCTATCCCCTCCCTCCTCCCTTCCCTGTTTCTCTCCCCTCCCCTCTTTTCCCGGTTTCCCTCCCCTCCCCTTTCTTCCTGGTTTCCTTCCCCTTCCCTCCCTTACCAGTTTCCCTCCCCTTCCCTTCCCGGTTTTCCTTCCTTTTTTCCTAGTTTCCTTCCTTTTCTTACTTCTTCCGCTAGAGCATGGATCCTACTGTTTGAACCGTGAGGTTGAAACAATATACAGCAGAGTAATAAGACGGAAGAATCTTAGATCATTTCACCCATTGATTGCCAAGGTAGATTTCTAGGGAGAGAAATTAACTTATTTCTCGTTTATGCTTCTGTTATTTTGATTTTTTTTTTTTTTGAGACAGAGTCTTGCTCTGTCGCCCAGGCTGGAGTGCAGTGGCACGATCTCAGCTCACTGCAACCTCCGCCTCTCAGGTTCACGCCATTCACCTGCCTCAGCCTCCCGAGTAGCTGGGACTACAGGCGCCGGCCACCACGCCCGGCTAATTTTTTATATTTTTAGTAGAGACAGGGTTTCACCTTGTTAGGCAGGATGGTCTCTATCTCCTGACCTCGTGATCCATCTGCCTCGGCCTCCCAAAGTGCTGGGATTACAGGCGTGAGCTTTATTTTTTGAGACAGGGTCTCACTCTGTCACGTAGACTGGATTGCAGTGGCAGGATCATAGGTGACAACAGCCTTGACTTCCTGGGCTCGAGTGATCCTCCCACCTCAGCCTACTGAGTAGCTGGGACTACAGGTGTGTGCCACCACAGCTGGCTAATATTTTTTTCTATTTTTTTGTAGAGACAGAGTCTCAATATGTTGCCCAAGCTGGTCCCAAATCCCTGGCCTCGAGTGATCCTCCTGCCTTGGCCTCCCAAAGTGTCGGGAATACAGGCATGAGCCACCAAACCTGGCTATTTGGATTTTTTGTTATAGCTGAACCAAAATCTGATACAAATGTTAAATCAGATTAAGGATGTCTTCTTCTATTTCTAATTAATAAGAGGCATTTAAAAAAATCATGTATGACTGGGTTTGAATACTTTTCATGGACTTATTGAGATGATCATGCACTCATATGGCTTTTCTCCTTTATCTGATGATGTGGTAAAATTTGGTTTTTGAATAGTAAACCATCCTTGACTTCCTGAAATAAACCTAACTGGATCATAATATTTCCTTTTGCATTTCTGCATTATTTGCTATTATTTTATTGAGGATTTATTTTCCTCTGTTTTAAGCGAGATTGCCCTATAATTTTTTTCTTTTCTTTTCTTTTTTTTTTTTTTTTTTTGAGACAAGTTCTTGTTCTGTTGCCCAGGCTGGAGTGCAGTGACAATCATAACTCACTGTGACCTTGAACTCCTGGAATCAAGCAGTCCTCCCACCTCAGCCTCCTGAGTAGCTGGGATTACAAGAGTGCACCACCTTGCCCAACTAATTTTTAAATTTTTGGTAGAGATAGAGTCTTGCTACGTTACCCAGGCTATACTCTATAATACTCTTTTCTTACACTATTGTTGTTCAATCTTGGTACCAAGATCACAGTATCCTCATAAAATGAGAAGTGTTCCCTAGTCTATTCTCTGGAATACTTCACATAAGATTGGGAATATCTATTTCTTCAATGTTTGTTAGAACTGGCATGTAAAACTGTGCTTATTTTTATTGCTATTGTTATTTTGTTATGTATGTATTCCCATTTTCTTAAATATTCTGGGTCACTTTTGATGTTATGTTTTTCTATTAAAGTATTTATTTTTGGTAAATCTTCAAATTATTGGTATAATATTTATTGTCTTTTATTATTTTTAAGTATTGTATCTGTAGTTATATTCCTTTTTAAATGTTTAATGTTGTCTGATATTGTCTGCATATCTCCTCTCTTTTTTCTTAGTGACTCTTGGCAGAATTGTCTATTTCATTATTTTTTATTTCAGACACTCAATTTTAGGATGTATTAATCCTCTATATTGTATCTTTATTTTCTAGTTCATAAATTTATTTCCCTATATTTATTATTCCTTATTCCTTTCTGTTTACTCTTTCTTTCTTTTCTTTTTTTCTTTCTTTCTTTCTTTTTTTTTTTTTTTTTTTTGTTCGTTTATGAGACAGGGTCCACTCTGTTGCCCAGGCTGGAGTGTAGTGGCAGAATCATGGCTCACTGCAGCCTTGACCTCCTGGGCTCAAGTGATCCTCCTGCCTCAGCCACTTGAGTAGCTGGAACTACAGGCACATGCCACCACACCTGGCTAATTTTTACAATTTTTTGTAGAGATGGGGTTTCACTATGTTGCCCAGGCTGGCCTCAAACTTCTGAGCTTAAGCGATCCTCCTGCCTCAGCCTCTCAAAATGTTAGGATTACAGGTGTGAGCCACTGTGCCTGGCTTTTTTTTTTTTTTTTTAATCTCTTGAGTTGGATCTGGGTATCAATTAGGATAGCATATAGCTCCGTGTTTAGAAAAAACAACTGCATTGGCTTCATAAAATATCAAGAGGTATAGAGTTAGAGAATCCAGAGTTAGTGCAGTAGCTCTCTGATCTGTGTGATGTAGATTCATTTTATCTTCTCACATCTCCACCATTAGTGCCTGACTTTTGCTGCCCTAGTTCTGATCCAGTAGCAAGATGGCTGCTCCCCTTCCAGCTTCTATGGAAGGAGAATATGGGAGAAGTAGGGAGGAGTGGTAATAGCTATCTTAGGAAAGCAAAAACTTTCCATAGAAAGCCTTGCCATATGTTTCTTTGGCCGTAACTGTATCACATGATCACTTGACCTACAAGGAGCTATAGAGAAGTATTTTAGCTATGCACATTGCCGCCCGAGACAATGTCATGGTTCCATCAGTAAAGAAGAACCATGATGCCGGATATTGGGCTGACAGCTACCAATGCCTATAGATCGTAGATTTTGAGGCTTTCTTCTTCTCTTTTATAGGCAGTTAAAACTACAAATTTCCCACTAACTACATTTTTAGCTCCTACAAACTTTGAAATATAGTATTTTTATTAGTATTTAAATTTAAATACTCGAATTTTTCATTTGTTCATTTCAACTGTATAATAAGAAAGTTATTAAATTTTCAAAGATGCTTTTTAGAATATTTTTATATTGCTGATTTTTAACTTCAGTGCTTTCTTGTTGGAGAACGCAGTCCTTGTGCAACAAATTATCTGGTGTTTGTTGCAATTTGTGTTGAGGCTTTGTGTGAGGTCAGTCTTTGTCAATGTGGCATAGATGCAGGAATTTTTTTTTTTTCTCCCCCGAGATGGAGTCTTGCCCTGTCACCCAGGCTGGAGTGCAGTGGTGCGATCTCTTCTCACTGCAACCTCCACCTCCCAGGTTCAAGCGATTCTCCTGCCTCAGCCTCCTGAGTAGCTGGGATTACAGGGGCACGCCACCACGCCCGGATAATTTTTGTATTTTTAGTAGAGATGGGGTTTCACCATGTTGGCCAGGCTGGTCTCAAACTCCTGACCTCGTGATCTGCCTACCTCAGCCCCACAAAGTGCTGGGATTACAGGTGTGAGCCAACGTGCCTGGCCAGGAAATTTTAAAAAATCTGTATTTATTAATTATTGAATTTATGTATTTTTTCTATATGAAGGCTTTGGCCATATTGTCCATTTTGTTCAATGTTAATTTATCTGTATCAACATTCTTTGGGCTAGTATTTACCTGGTAAATCGTTCTGATTTCTACACTGACATTATTTCTGTGTTGTGTCTTAGATATATCTCTTATAAATTGTATATAGTTTTGAAAAATCCAACCTAATAATTTCTTTTAATAGCTAATTTATTCTATTAGTATTAATTTTGACTACTGATAAATTTGTATTTTCTGCCAATTTCTTTTTTAATTTCTCTTTATCTTATTTTTCTATACCTTTTTTCTCCTTCCCTACTCTCCAATGATTGTATTAACTTTTCTTTAGTTTCTATTCTCTCCTCTACTAATAATTAACTATTTTATCTTTATTCTTTTAATGATTAATCTCAAATTTGAACATTCAACAGTTGACTAGAATTTGTAATTTCTACCGTACAGTACAAGAAATGTAGAACCTTTATCTCTAATTGTGTCCTTCTGTCTTTTTTATTATTATTATCAAGTATTTCAGTTGTTTTCTCCTAATATTTTTGCAGTTAACTCTTCATATTGTTTTATGCAATTAATGCTTGTTTAGATTTACTCAAATTTACCAATTTCTTTGCTCATCGTTCTTTCCCATATCTCAGTACTTCTTTCTGCGCTTAATTTTCATTATTTCTAAAGATCTTTTGACCCTTTGTTCAGCAAGGATTATAGTGTACTTAGCATTAATATTGCACAACTTCATGTAAAACGCAATAACCTTGTAACTGTTTACCACCCTCCCATCTTTTATGCTGAGTATCATACGTATTGCATCTATTATACATACATTACAAACTCATGATGTTTGCTTTAAACAGTGCTATAAATTTTAAGCTAATAAGAGGAAAGCTAGTATTTTATATGTACCTAGATATTTACAATTTCCTTTGCTCTTTATTATTTCCTGAAGATCTAGCTTTCCAGCCCAAATTATTTCTCTTTAGCCTAAAAAACTTTATTTAGCTATTCTCCTACTGTAGGCAAAGAATTTCTGTTTTATTTAAAATGTTTTTACATTGAATATAGAATTCCGGGTTGACAAGTTGTGTTTTGTTTTGTTTTCTCACTTTACAATTGCTCTGTAGGCTTTAATAGTGTCTAAGAAAATAACCATTATTAGTCATTCCAAATGTTATTCCCCTGTATGTAGCTGTTTCTTTTCTGTCTGCTTTCAACATTTTCTTTTAATCTTTGGTTTTCAACAGCTTGATTATTATGTACCTAAGTGTGGTTTTGATGCATTTATCCTGCTTGGATAAATAAATTAAGCATCTACAATCTGCATGTTTCACCAAATTTGGGAGATTTGGAGCCACTAAATATATCTTCAAATATTTGTTCCACCCCACTTTTTCTATCCTCTCCAATTACTTGTATGTTAGACTTCTCATTATTAACTCACAAGTCCCTAAACTCTGTCCATTTTGTAAAATTTTAAAAATCTTTCTTCTTTCTATTTTTTATTGATACATCTTCAAGTTCACAGTTTTTTTCTGCCATCTTTGTTCTTCTGTTAAGTACTTTCAGTGAAGTTCAAATTTTGGATATTGTATTTTTCAATTTGGGAATTTGTTTTCTTTATCAAAATTTTCTGTTTGTTGATATTTCCTTTTTTCATTTATTACAGCATATTTTGCTTTGCTTCATCATGCATAGTTATAATAACTGCTTTAACATCTTTGGCAATTCTGACATTTTGGTAATATTGGAATTGGTTTCAATCATCTTTTGTCTTGAGACTGAATCACATTTTCCTGTTTTTTTTTTTTATATATATAATCCAAGTAATTTGGATTATATTGTGGACAGTGTGGATGTTATCTTCTGGGTTCTGATATAGTCCCCTAAAGAATGCTGAAGTTTTTTTGTTGTTGTTGTTATTGGTTTTGTTTTTTTGTTTTTTGTTTTTTTTTTTTTTGCACACAATTAACTTGTTTGGATTAAAACAGAAAATTATATCTTTTTTTTTTTTTTTAGCAGCCCAAATCTTGGTTTTGTTATATTATCTCTAGCTGGGCTATTTGCAGTCTGCCCCATGTATGTATCTCTCAGGGATGAGCCAGAGGTTTGTTCAGAGGTAGGTTTCATTTTTGTTTTTTGCTTTTTTGTTTATGAGACAGAGTCTCCCTCTGTTGCCCAGGGTGGAATGCAGTAGCACAGTCATAGCTCACTGCAGCCCCAAACTCCTAGGCTCAAGTGATCATCCCATCTCAGCCTCCCAAGTAGCTGAGACTACAGGCTACACACCACCACGCCTGGCTAATTTTTAAATTTTTTGTAGAGATGAGGTCTCACTATGTTGCTTAGGCTGGTCTTAAACTGCTTGCCTCAAGTGATCCTTCCTCCTTGGCCTCCCAAAGTGCTGGGATTACAGGCATAAGCCATCATGCCTGGCTTGTTCAAAGTTTTTACAGTGATTTTAGAGTTCCCCTTTCTGATTTTTTTTTCACCTGGGACCCCACCCAAACACTGTCACTTAACCTCTCAAAGTCTTGATATTCTCACCAGTAAAATAAAACCTCCTATATAGTATGAGGATACTAAAATGAAATTCTTCCCAGGATGCCAGTACACCAGGCGTCAAGTTCCAAACTAACTGTGAGTTAGAAACCATTTGCAGATTTTGCAAGGGGAATGTTTCACATTAGACAAATGTCTCTCAGCTTTTGAATCAGATCAAGGACAATAAAGAAGGTCAGGGAATGAAGAGAAAAAACTGCCAAAGCAGACTCTAGAAAGAACTATTGCCATGGTTCTTATGGGAGAAGGGCAGCAGAAGCAATCCTCCTCAACTCAAAGCTAGGAAGGCAGGCTTCAATGGAGCTTGAATGCATTTGCTGCTATTAGAAGACACAAAGGACTGGTGCTTGACTCATGCTTGAGGAAGCCAAAGGGGGCTGTGATGAGAAGATAGAATGGCTTGATTGGGATCAGTCTGCACTTCCAGAGTTATTGGGGTAAAGGATGTGTAATTGTTTCCCGTAAACCATATGTGGCCTTGAGAGAGAGAGAGGTGAAACCAGTGTAGGGTCATTTTGGGTCCTGTCCAGGAGAGTTATCTGGAAGAACAAAGGACCCCTAACAGCAGGGAGAAGAAAGAGGTGAACTCCAGATTCATAGAACCTGAGGAAGGAGTAGCAAGTGACCACTCAGAGTAGAGAAGCATCTGCTTAGGTCAAGATATAGCTACAAAAGAGAGGGTCCCAGCAATCAGAATCTCTAGAGAATCTACATCAGTGCCCAAGGGAAGAAGAGGAGTTAGTTCTCCTGTCCTGTAGCACCATGGTGAAGCCACCCCACCAGATAGGAACATCCTTGCCCCTCTATCACTGCTGCCTTGTTGCTTGTGGAGATACAGCCACTCGGGTGCTGGTGAGGAGGTGAGCAGAGAGAGCTCAAGGGTGAATCACTCTTTTTCATTACTCTCAGCTTGGAGTAAAGGGAAAAACCTTATGAATGAAGTTGGAAGCATTTTAACTCATATGTGTGTGTGTGTGTATATATATATATATATATATATATATATATATATATATATATATATATATATATATATTTAGACGGAGTCTTGCTCTGCTGCCCAGGCTGGAGTGCAGTGGTGCGATCTTGGCTCACTGCAACCTCCATCTCCCGGGTTCAAGCTCCCAAGTGGCTGGGATTACAGGGGCGCACTGCCACACTTGGCTAATTTTTTGTATTTTTATTAGAGACAGGGTTTCACCATGTCAGCCAGGTTGGTCTCAAACTCCTGACTTCAGGTGATCTGTCCACTTCAGCGTCCCAAAGTGTTGGGATTACAGGCATGAGCCACCTCACCTGGTAGTTATATTCTAAATGCTACTCTGAGGCTGTATTTGTAGCGATGTAGGACTATGTTCCCATGAATGAATAGAGAAGTCATGGGATTTTGTCGTTTCCATTCAGAGCAGGGGAAGATTACATAGAGAATAAATTTTTTTTTTAGATCTCTCTTTTTTTCTTCTTTTAAGTTTTTGAAGAGCTGGAGTCTCACTCTATTGCCCAGGCTGGTTTCAAACTCCTGGGCTCACCTGAGTTTCACCCACCTTACCCTCCCAAAGTTTTGGGATTACAGGTGGGAGCCCTAGTGAATACATTTTAAATAGATGGGGGCAGATAAAAATACATTGTGTTTTGATTATTACAAATGGTTCTTAGTCAACATGCTGGTTACATATTTAAATGCTTGTGCTAGTAGATTCTCAGCAAATGATGATTCTTGCCTCTCTTTTCTGATCTGAAATCCACATCTTGAGAACTATACCTTTTGAGGTATGACAAGGCCAATATTAACACAGATATTTTCTTCTGTGTGGGAAGAAACTGCTAGGAAACTCTTGTCTTTTAGTCCATCATCATATCTTAGTTTGGCAAATTAATTGTCACTTTGAAAGCCTGGCCACCTAGGATGGAATTACTGGAATTCCACAATGCATACAATCATCTTAAAAATCAGGACAGACCTCTGACCAGGAACCCAGCTTATATGTCCAGAACCAGAGAATGAATTGGAATTTTTACACAGAGGACCTTTACTCTCTATCATAATGTACATTTTTTCCATTTTTATTTAATGTGTGTATATATATATATATTTTAACTTTTAGGTTCAGGGGTACATATGCAGGTTTGTTACATAGGTAAACTCATGTCACAGGAGTTTGTTGTACAGATGATTTCATCACCCAGATACTAATGCTACTTCCCACTAGGTATTTTCCCTGATCCTCTCCCTCCTCCCGCTCACCACCGTAAGTAGGCCCCAGTGTGTGTTGCTCCCCTCTTTGTGCACATGAGTTCTCATCATTTTGCTCCCACTTAGCAAGTGACAACATGCAGTATTTGGTTTTCTGTTCCTGTGTTACTTCGCTAAGGATAATATTTTCCATTTTTAGATGATGAAATCCCTCCAGGTAGATTTTGGGTTCCTCAAACAATTGCTTCAGTTGAAGTTTGAGGACCGACTGAAAGAGGAATCTTTGAGTCTCTTCACCATTCTGCATGACAGGATCCTAGAAATTGAAAAGCATTATCAACAGGTAAATGTTCTCTTATTTCTTTTGTTTTATGTGGATTGATACTGTGCTTAGATGTGTATGCAGTGCAGTTTAGAATTTAGTAACTTGTGAGGGCAGTGTAATTTGCATTAGTTGTGTCTCATGTGGTAATTAATACACAGAGCTTCACTATGTGTCAGGGACTTGTGTAAGTACTTAGCATATGAACTGATTTAATTCTCACATTTACCTTATGAAGTAGGCACAATTATTTTCCCTCTTTTACAGATGAGAAAACTGAGGCACAGAAAGGCTAATTAACTTGTTCAAGGTCACCAGTTAAAAAACAGGAGAGGCCAAGCACACATGCCTCTAATCCTACCACTTTGGGAAGCCAGGGTGGGATGCTGGCTTGAAGCTGGGAGTTCAAGACCAGCTTGGGCAACATCGTGAGACCCTGTCTTTACGAAGAATAAAAGCATGAGCCAGATGTGGTGTTGCAGGCCTGTAGTCCTCAGCTACTTAGGAGTCTGAGACAGGGGAATCACTTGAGCCCAGGAGTTCAAGGCTTCAGTGAGCTATGATCACACCACTGCACTCTAGCCTGGGTGACAAGTCGAGACCCCCGTCTCAGAAAACCAAAAAACAAAACAAACGGACATTACTATTATTTCTGTGCCATAAAAACAAGCAAACAAAAACCATCTTTTGCTGACCACACCATGTTAAGTACCATGCTAAGCCCTTAAAATATATTTACTCTTTAAATCTCTCAAAATGTTAAAATGGAAATCCTATTGTCCGTGATTTACAGATCAAGAAACAGCTTGCCAAGGTTAAGTAACTTGCTTAAGGTCAGACAGATAGTTAAAGGGAGCAATGATATTTAAATTCAATACCATCTGACTCTAAAGCCTATTTGAGGCTGGGAGGCGATGGCTCAGGCCTATAATCCCAGCACTTTGAGAGGTTGAAACAGGAGGATAGTCTGAGCCCAGGAGTTCGAGATCAGCCTGGGCAACAAAGCAATACCCCATCTCTACAAAATAAATTAAAAAACAAATTTTTTTTAGAAAAGTATAAAGCCTATTTCTTGTTTATACTCCATGCTGAAATCAGAATTGATATGAGAATCATGGGTATTATTTTTAATGCACTCTCTTCTATTGTTAATCTAAACAGATCTAATCAAATCATTTGATTAATCGGAAAATAACTCTAGTTTGCAGACTAGCTGTATAGATTTCTTTTCATGAGCATATTCCATTCAAAAAGTACAAGGACTAGAAGAAGATAGGCATCACAAATAGACTTTACTACTTTTAAAAGCAATTCTAGGAAGGCACTGAAAGACTTTACTCAAGTGAAAAATGAAATGAAGTGTTCAAATTATCTGTATATATTTTATCTATATGATCTCTCTATTGCTTTTGGTTGAGTATAAGTAAAAATAAAATGTGTCATAACGGCTGCAGGGTGGGAGAAATGATTATGAACTGAAGTTTTCAATAGATTGTGATGATTCAGATGATGTTTTTTTACTATGAGTCCCTCCCTAGTAGGTGTGGGTCATATTTGGAAATACATTATGGTGCTTATTGCATTTATTTTTGTTTGCAGAATGAGGATAAGATGAGAAAATCCTTCAATCAGCAGTTAGCTGATGCCATAGCTGTTATCAAAGGAATGTACCAGGTGAGTTTCTGTTTCTGGTGCCGTAGTTGTGGGCAAGGCTAGCTTCAGCTGCTGTGTGCAAGGAGTGGGGATCACCTTGGCTTCCCAGTCTGTGTTTCCAGCTCTGAAGGCCTGTTTCCTCGATTTTCAGGTCACCTTAGAGGGATCAGGCCTAGGACTGTTTATGCTCACATTATAATGCTTTCCAGAAACTGGAAAATTCTAATCTGGTATTCAGGACACCTGGGCATGTACCAAAGTAATCCAAAGTTTATTTGGTGAGGCCATAGCTGAATAGACTAAGGTCAGATGGTCCTAAGAGAGAGTTCAGAGAATCTGTAGTAAATTCCAGTGAATGGTCTCTGACCCTTGGTGGATTAACTTTTCTAATGACAGGGACATTTCTATCTGCCAGACACATGCTTCATTTTCCTTCACAATGGGAAAATTCCTGCCTTTAGTGGTTTTCTTAGACTCAGCAAAGACTCTGTGCTTTGTTTAGCATTTATAACTATATTCTCACTTCGCATTTCAATATACTTCCATAAATAAATTTTTTGCATACTTCTTTTTGGGCACTGTTTACAAGTTTCTTATCATAGCACTCAACACATCTGTATTTAATTATGTAATTGCTTGTGAAGTATCTCCGTTCCATGCCAGACTGTCAACCTTAAGGATCTCCTGTGTGTTACTCTCTGCTGTGGTTCTGCCTTTAGCGCTGTGACTGGTACGTAATTAACAACCAGCTGCTGATTGCTAAATGCATGAATGGTCACCTGTACCTGTGGCAGACAGTGGTGACGCCTACTCAAATGTCATTCTCTCCACTGCACATTCTCCCCACTGCTTTTTACTGACAGGGGCACTTCCAACTATAGAAGCCAAAGTGCTAGATTCTTCCTCTTCCAGCTCCCTTTTCAGCTATAGCACAGACATAGGCAAAGTCAGGTCCCTAACCAATGAGACCTGAAGGTGAGTTGGCTGTGAGATTTTGGAGGAGGTTGTTCTTTCTCAGTAAAAGGGACTCCTGAAGATATCACTTCACACTGGTCAGAATGGTTATTATTAAAAAGTCAAAAAAATAACAGATGCTGGTGAGGTTGCAGAGAAAAGGGAACACTTGCTTATACACTGCTGATGGGAATGTAAATTAGTTCAGCCACTGTGGAAAGCAGTCTGAAGATTTCTCAAAGAAATTAAAACAGAACTACCGTTTGACCAAGCAATCCCTTTGCTGGTTATATATCCAAAGAAAGATAAATCATTCTACCATAAAGACACCTGCATGTGTGTGTTCATTGCAGCACTGCTCACAATAGCAAAGACATGAAATTAACCTAGATGCCCATCAACGGTGGACTGGATAAAAAAAAATGTGGTACATATACACCATGGAATATTACACAGCCATAAAAAATAATAAAATCACATCCTTTGCAGCAACATGGATGGAGCTGGAGGCCACTATTCTAAACAAATTAATATTGGAACAGAAAACCAAATACTGCATGTTCTTACTTATGAGTGGGAGCTAAACATTGAGAACATATGGACACAAAGAAGGGAACAATAGACACAGGGGCCTACTTGAGGGTGGAGGGTGGGAGGAGGGTGAAGATCAAAAAACTACCTATTGAGTACTATGCTTATTACCTGCATGATGAAATAATCTGTACACCAAACCCTGTGACGTGCAATTTACCCATGTAATAAACCTGTACATGTACCCTCTGAACCTAAAACAAAAATTGGAAAGAAAAAAAAGGGTTCTCATGGAAGACCCTTTCTTTTTCTTTGCTTGACATTTTATGTCTCCTTCTGATGCTTGGATTTGCTGCAGCCACTGTGAAACCAAACATTGAGATACTCTGGATGTGCTGAAGGTAGCAAGGTGGAAAGATAAGAAGCAGAGGGGTCCTTGGTAATGTCATGGAGCCATGAAAGTAACCCTGGACTTGCCCTGCCTCTGGCCTCTTATTCATGAGATAACAACCCCTCAGTGTCTAAGCCACTGTTAGTTGGCTTTTCAGTTACTTGCAGCTGAAAACATCCCAGGACAGATTGCTCTGCTAACGATCTCTGTGACTCTGTGCCAAACTGTGTTTCCAAAGGCATCTGTGACACTGTCTCCCACTTACCTGCTCTTGTGCAATGTTTCTCTCCCATCAAGAGGTGGAATCTGATTCCCCTCCCTTGAATCAGGGCTGCCCTTAGTGACTTGCTGATAAACACAGAATGTGGAGGAAGTGAAGCTGCGTGACTTTTAAGTTAACGTCAAAAGAAGTCTTGCAAGTTCATCCTTATTCACTCTGAATGTTTCCCCTCTACATTGTCCCTCCCTGAATTGAGCTACCATGCTGACAAAAGCCCATGCCATATGGAAGATCTACATGTAGGTACTACTGGGTCTCCAGGCTCATCTGAGCCCAGCCTTTGAGTCACCCCAGCCCAGGAGTCAAAAATATGAGTGGAGAAGCGTCCAGATGACTCCAGCTGCCAGCCATGTAGACTCTTTTTATGTGAGGTCACAGGTCTTACAGAGGAGAGATAGGCCATCCCTGCTGTGCTTCTACTAATTCCCGACTCATTGAATTTGTTTTTTTTTTTTCTTTGTTTTGCTTTTTATTTTTGGGTCTTTTTTTTTTTTTTTTTTTTTTTAGAGACAGGGATCTCACTGTCTCCCAGGCTGGAATGTAGGGTGTGCTCATAGCTCACTGTAGCCTTAAACTTCTGGACTCAAGTGATCCTCTGGCCTCAGCCTCCTGAGTAGCTGGGACTACAGGCATGTACCAGCACACCCAGTTAATTTAAATATATATATATATATGACATGGGATCTTGCTATGTTATCCAGGCTGGTCTTGAACTCCTGTCCTCAAGTAATCCTCCTGCCTTAGCATTCCAGAGTGCTAAGATTACAACCATGAGCCACTGTGCTGGCCTAATTAATATTTAATGGAAGAAGACGGAAGGAAGAAAGAGAAAGAGGGAAGGAGGGAAAATGAGCATTATCTGTAGCAGTTTTATATATATTGATTTTGTAACCAAAAATCTTGCTAAATTCTTGTGTTTATTTTAATAAGTTTTCTATAGACTCTTTGGGGCTTTCTATGTAAACAGTTATGCAACTGAGAATAAATATTTTTTGTCACTTCATTTTTCATCCATAAACCATGTAATCATTTCAGCAGTGGCCTGTCTGGAGCAGCTGCTGCAAAGATGCCGGCTGCAGCAGGGGAGATATGGCCAGGGCTGTACACTCTACTAAGCTGGCAGGAGCCAGGAACAAGCAGGAGTGGTGCTCACCTTCTGAGTTGGTGATGGGGGAGCTCCACGCTCCTAGAGGCAGCTGCAGCTGCCCAGCCATGGCTGCAGACCCAGGCATCCCTGTGCTCTTGGGGGCCTAGGAAGCCCCCCTGCTCCCACAGGCTCGGAAGTGCCTACTCCTGCTGCCTGGCCTCTCCTCACTCCTGGCACCCACTCTGATTTTGAAGCAAAGTTGTGGCCAAGCCCAGGCGCTGTTATGACCCAGCCAGGTGTGTGTGTGCTTGGGATGGTGCTGACACACCAGCCCTCTGCTGCCTTGGCCCCCTCCAGAGTTTGGGTGCCAACAAGCATGGGAGGGAGGCCAAGGGGGCACTGAGGGTGGCACAGCACAGGCCTGCAGGTGTCCCTTGGCATGAACAGCCTGGGCACCATGAACAGCAGCAGGAAGCGACAGGCTCCCGAGTGGAAAGGGATGTGTCGCTGGTGAAGCTCCACCTTCAACCCAGGGGTGGCCTGAAGCCTGGGGGCCAGGCTGCCAGTTCCACAGACTGGAGTGAGAACTTATGGTGCTTTTTTCAGGCCCACCTATGGCTGCCCATTGACCAATCAGCATGAGCTTCCTCCCCTCTGAAGCCCATAAAAACCCTAGACTCAGCCAGACTCTGGCAGAAGTGGGGATGACCTGCCTGCAGAGAGGAGTTATTCGCTGTGGGGTCTTCTCTCAGCTAAGAGCTGAACAGATATCAGGATGACCTGCCTGCAGAAAGGAGCTACCCACTGTGGGTCTTCTCTTAGCTGGGAGCTGAGCAGATGCTGGGATGACCTGCTTGCAGAAAGGAGCTACCCACTTCAGATCTCCTGCAAGCTGTACTGTTGCTCAATAAAGCACCTCTTTGCCTTACTCACCCTCCAGTTGTCTGCATATCTCATTCTTCCTGCGTGTGGGACGAGAACTTGGGACCCACCAAATGGTGGGACTAAAAAAGCTGTAATAAAAACAGGGCTGAAACACACCCCTCGCTCACCACACTGCAGGCAACAAGACGGAGAGAAGAGCTGCAGCCCTTGGGGGCGCCCAGACCTAGGAGCTCCCTGAGCCAGTGTTGTGACACCCTCTTTGGGGCTCTGCAGTTCCTGGTGTCTCCAAGCTTCCAGGTGCCACTGTGTTCCCCTATGCCAGCAGTGGAAGCCACTTGTGGTATACCTGGTCCAGCTGCAGCCTTGCAGGGAGCTGGCACCTTTGTCAGCACCTGGTGCTGCCTGCCCTGCTGCAGCTGGCATGCCTAGCTGTGTGTAGTGGCTGGACCCTGCACTCACTCATGCACCCCTTGTCACTCTGCATCTGGCTTGCCCTTGGCAGGCATGGGATCCAGGCTGGTAGTATGAGCCGAGCACAGCCTGCCCGGCCAAGCGGGTGGAATGAGCACAGCAGGCCTGGGCAAAACTCAGGCAAAAGTGCCACTGACCACAGAGGTTTCTGGCTGGCAAAGCAACACCCCAAGGATCCTGTGACAGCATGGTGGCACATGCTTGTAGTCCTACCTACTGAGGAGGCTGAGGTGGGAGGACTGCTTGAACCCAGGAGTCTGACGTTACAGTGAGCCATGATTGTGCTGCTATACTCCAGCCTGAGTGACGGAGCATGACCCTGTCTCTAAAAGAAAAAAAAAAGATGCATTTAATCTATCTTATCCGGTATTATTCTTGTTTATAATGAGAGAGTAAGTCAGAATTTCGTGGTTTTTAAAAACATGCTTTTGGCCAGGCTCATGCCTATAATCCTAGCACTGTGGGGGGCCGAGGCAGGCAGATCACTTGGGCTCAGGAGTTTGAGACCAGCCTGGGCAACATAGTGAGACCCTGCCTCTACAAAACATACAAAAAGATCAGCTGGGCATGGGGACATGCGCCTAGGGTCCTAGCTACTTGGAAGGCCGAGGTGGGAGTATCACTTGAGCCCAGGAAGTTAAGGCTGCAGTGAGCCATGATCATGCCACTGCACTCCAGCCTGGGTGATAGAGCAAGACCCTGTCTCAAAACAAACAAACAAACAAACAAAAAACAAAAAACACATGCTCTTATAGTTCTTTGTGTCTTCTACAATTTCTGGGACATTGATCTATTTCTAATGTATATCAAATGTTCAAAAATATAGCTGAATAATGAATATTACTCTTTGTCCATATGCTTTATACTTCTAGGAGTAGAAAGCTATGAAATGATTAAATTCTTCGTATTCATCAGTTTTTCATAAATATGTGTTGGTTAAATATGCTTAATTGTGGTTAGTTGACTTAAGAAAAAATTGTTTATATTAAATTAAATTAAAGTCATTATTGGAATCTTTGCTTTGGCTTGTTGGCATCACTTTGATCCATGACCTCAGACAGCCTTCCAGATCCTGGCCGCCCAGTTTGTTAAGGCTTAGTCATAAGGAAGAACAGAGGAAAGTTGAAAATAAAACGAAGTGCTATATACACTTTTTGTAGATTGACAAGTATAAATGACTCTCTGCTGCCCTCTGGAGACCAGTTAAGGTCACAAGTACCTGTACTTTTTTTTTCAGCTATGAACAAGTTTCTAAATTTATTTAACTTTTGCTTCTGGTCAATCGAATACAGCAAAGATAAAGAGTTGTATGTAATTATGTTACATAAAAGGGTAGTATCTGTCTTGCTAGAGTCTCTCTGTTGGCTATGTGAGAGGCTATGTTGGGGAAACCCACGTGGCAAAGAATTGAGTATAGCCTCTGGCTGACAGCAAGAAACTGAAGCCTCTAGTCCTATAGCTGAAAAAAAAGTGGATTTTTCTACAAACTGAGTGAGCTTGGAAGCAGATCCTTTCACAGTTGTGCTTCAGATGAGACCAAAGCCCTGGACACCACCTTAATTGCAGCCTTGGGAGACCCTGAACAGAGGACCTACCTGAATTCCTGACCAACAGAAACTGTGAGATAATAAGTTTGTGTGTGTGTGTGTGTGTGTGTGTGTGTGTGTGTGTGTGTGTGTTTTAACTTAATTTTTTTTCTTTTTCATTAGAGACGAGTCTCACTATGTTGCCCAGGCTGGTCTCAAACTCCTGGCCTCAAGTGATCCTACCACCTCAGCCTCCCAAGGTGCTGGGATTATAGGTGTGAGGCACCGTGCCTGGCCAAACGTGTGTGTTTTAAGCCACTACATTTGGGGTAAAACTTTTATGCAGCACTAGATAACAAATTCATCTTTCATATTTAGTAAGCCATTGAATCCTACCAGTTTTTTGTTGTTGTTTGGTTGTTTGGGTATTCGTTGTTGTTGTTGTTTTTGAAACAGAGTCTTGCTCTGTCTCCCAGGCTGGAGTGCAGTGGCACCGTCTCTGCTCACTGCAACCTCTGCCTCCCGGGCTCAAGCAACCGTCCCATCTCAGCCTCCCAAATCGCTGAGATTATAGGCGTGAGCCACCATGCCTGACCATCCTGCCAGTTTTTTTACCTCCTAAATCCACGTCTTGTTTGCCTCTGAACTAGTTTCGATAGTCAGCGTTGCTCACCTGGCCTGTGGCTGGTGCCTTCTTATCCCTTTTGGTCTTCATTAAGTCCATCGTCTGCCCAGTCATCTGGGTGGTCGTTCAAAACACAAGTCTGACCATATCCTGCCCTGTTTAAATCCTTCAGTGTTTCCTCCATGCCTTTAGGATGAAGTTTAAGTGCCTTAGCATGGCTTAGAAGGTCCTTTTATGTCTTCACTTTTATCTGTTTCCACTTCTTAGCTAAAACTTTACCCTCCCACAATACTGGGCCGTCGCCTGCTTCCCTCAGCTCTCCTCAAGTTATTAACCACCTCCCTGGAATTTTCACATAATGTCCCTTCTTGCTCTTTCTCTGCTGTATAATAGCTACAGTGAATTGTATCACATTTACCCAGTACATATTGATCTGTCCACTAGACTCTTCCTGCAGAGCAGGGACCGAGTCTTACTCATCTTTGTATTCTTCTCCCAGCAGACTGCGTGGCATGTAATAGGTTTTTGACAAATTTTATTGAATAAAGGGTTGAATATGATCAAGAAGAGTGTCAAGATATCTCGACCTACACCATGGTACTGGAAATAGATCATGAATTCCTAGTGGAAATTTCCTAGAATAAAGGCAATCCATAATGTCGAGGTCTTTAACTGTTCTTTCACTCACGTTTTGATTCATTTCATCCACCCATTGTCTGATTTTCCAGCACAGGCCCAGAGCCAGTCCTTGTACTCATTGTGGATAATCCAGTGGTCAAGAGAGATAATAAACTTAGCAATTACAGTCCACATTGGAGGTTTGTACCCAGTGGGTGCATAACTCTCTGTCAATTTGGGTGAATAGTTAAGGAAGACTTTTAGGAAAAGGTGATTCCTATGCTGAGCCCTGAAGGACAATGAATATTTGGGGGAGATGGGGAGAAAACAGGGAAAGAGAAGAGAGGGTGGGGAGGTGATAAAAGAGATTTTGAGGAATTGGTTCATGTAATTATGGGGGCTGGCAAGTTTGAAATTTGCAAGGCAGACCAGCAGGCTGGAGACCCAGGAAAGACTTGATGTTATAGCTTGAGTCCGAACGCAGTCCTCTAGGAGAATTTCTTCTTCCTCAGAGAATCTCAGTCTTTTTCTGAGAAGGCCTTCAACCTATTGGATGAGCTCCATCTACATGATGGAAGTATGAAGGGTAATCTGCCTTACTCAGAGCTACCTATTTAAATATTTATCTCATCTAAAAATACCAGCAACATTTAACGTTTGAAAAAGAGTACCATGGCCTAGCCAAGTTGATGCATAAAATTAATCATCACAGATACATATATGCAACTATATAGATGTATGTGAATGTGTATATATAAGTGTGTAGATACATTTATGTATATCCTAGTTCTGTCTATGGAGAGCGCCTAGAGGCAGTGACACTCCTATAGCAATGAGTACACCTAGAGTTCAGCTTTTAGATTTAAATGATATTCTACACTAAAAGAAACCAGGGCTTTTTGGAGGAGTAGCCAACTCCAGGGCAGGGACAGGGAAAATGGAAGAAGGACCTGCAATATTTGTCGTAACTGAAGCAAGGAAATGCTCAAAAAATTATGAAGGCATGTCAGAACACAGGAGTCAGCTGGTAGGGGCTTCCTTCATTCCACTTGGCCAATCTGGGAAAATCCATGCATCAAAATAAATAATGATAATTATGAATTGTAACCATTTGAGTAAAATAGGAATCCATGAGCTCACTGTTATAAGTAAATAAGTGAATAACTAATGCATTTATTTATTTCAGGAAAAAGTTTGTCTTACGGAAGTACTAAAATATCTCCCTACCAATGCATATTAATACTTTAACTGGGAGTAAATGCATATTAATTAAGGAGTATAACATGTATTAATTAGTAAGTATAATACTTATTAACTTTAGAGTGAAGAAAGTTAATACTGACACCATCTTAACTAAATGATAAAAGTTAATATCTCTATTATAAAAACCTTCATTATCTAAAAAGGTTGATATATCGCCTTTGAAGTAAGCAATTGACTTGCTTCCCATCCAGTATTGTCCTAGTCAATCTAAATGTTCACAGAGTAATTATTCCCTAGTTTAAATGTTGCAAACTAACACCGGGACCTTAATGAGAATGATGGCACCAAAATATAGAAATTTTATTTTAGAAAGTTAATGAGACAATTGAAATTCCAAAAACACTTTCCTTGAACAGCAGGCAGTAACTATTTTGATGTTGTTACTGAACCCAAGCTAGAATTTCTTTTTTTTTTTCTTTGAGATGGAGTTTCGCTCTTGTTGCCCAGGCTGGAGTGCAATGGCATGATCTCAGCTCACAGCAACCTCTGCCTCCCGGGTTCAAGCCATTCTCCTGCCTCAGCCTCCAGAGTAGCTGGGATTACAGGCATGTGACACCACACCTGGCTAATTTTGTATTTTTAGTAGAGACGGGGTTTCTCCATGTTGGTCAGGCTGGTCTCGAACTCCGGACCTCAGGTGATCCACCCACCTCGGCCTCCCAAAGTGCTGGGATTACAGGCATGAGCCACCGTGCCCGGCCCCAAGCTGGAATTTCAAACTCCTGTGTTTGATAAGTGAATTGTGCAGCCTGATTGAACTTTGTCATACTCAGGCCCTCAGGCCTGGATGTCTGTTGCTCCTGTCAACTTGACAGTTGTCAGAAAGAACCTCTCGATGAAGGACAAGTGGTCACATGATTAGGCTGGGATTTAAACTAAAGGGTAATACATTTTTTAGTAAGCCACCCTAAGATGGGATGTTAAAATGGGACTCTTGGGTTTCAGTTTCATCCAAAGCCCCAAAAGTAAATAACAAAATACTGCTCAAAAGTGAGGTGTGGCTGGGTGTGGTGGTTCATGCCTGTAATTCCAGTGCCTTGGGAAGCCAAGACAGGAGGATGGCTTCAGCCCAGAAGTTAGAAGCTGCAGTGAGCAACGATCATGCCACTGTACTCCAGCCTGGGTGACAGAGCAAGACCCTATCTAAAAAGAAAAAAAAAATAGATGCCAGCAGGATGTTCTTTGAAGGACATTCCAGGACTTGGTGGAGCAGCTTAATTGGCCAGTACTAGCCCATCATCCATCTCCAGGAAATATAAGAGAGATCTTGAATTTGGAAATGGACAAAGCTGGTCAAGAGGACCATTTTGGGGAAAGCAGGCAACATGGAGTGCTGACCTGTAAATGGGAGAGAGAAAGAGAGTATTTCTCCTTTGAGCCAAGCAAGAGTGGAGTTTTAGACCTCTTGGAGAGCTTGACAAGCATTCCTGGGTCTGAGGAATGTGAGGACTGGTATGGGACTTGCCAGAAAAATTTCACAGAAGAGCAGGAGGGGTGATGGGGCAGAAGCCTGCTGACAAGGACCATCTGGAGAGGTGACAGGATGCCAGCAGAAGGGCAGGTCCTAGGACAGAAGCCAGTGAGGCACTGCTCTTGTGAAGGGCATTGCAGGATGCCAGGCCAGCATGGACCCTCCTGGGAACCAAAGGCAGCAGGTTACTGTCAATTGACACTTGTTTCTGTTCCCTTAACGTTTCTCCCTCTCCTCTGCACCAGATAGTTGGAGAATCTCAAATTGCAGAAATAAAAGAAAGAGAGGCTCAACCCTTCTCCTCCACTGCAGACTGCCAAATCTAAGGGGGGCCAGAGTGGTGGGAGGACAGAAGCATTAATGGGTGAGAGTTGGCTAGACTAGAATTTTTTGTTTTGGTTTTGGTTTTTGCTTTCTTCCCATTTTCTTTCTTCCTTTTATTTTGTTGTCATTGTCTAAGGTTAAAGTTGTTACTAAGTTAAAAAAATAAAGCCATGGTGTCTTCCTGAAAGTCCTAAAAGGTGAGAACTATGAGACTAGAAACTAGATTTGCAGGGGCAGTGTGGGAAAATCACACTGCTTTCTGCTATCTCCCACAGAGTCCAGCTCATTCCATAAACACTAGTGAAACATCAGAAACATTCCAGGAGATGAAGAAAAATGAATTCATTGTATTTGGACCTTACAACCATTTTTTGAAAAGCCAAAGGTAAATCCCTCCAGGTGGATTTTGGGTTCTTCAAACAATTGCTTCAGCTGAAGTTTGAGGACCGACTGAAAGAGGAATCTTTGAGTCTGCACTAATAAAACAAGGTTAGGAAGCATGTAAAAGTAAAACTTTTTTGTTCTTCCAAAGAATTGTGGCCCTCCCTGTCCTGAAGTCCAGAGTGGCCGAGCCCATCCAGAAGGCAGGCTGGCTCAAGCACCTCTCAGTGTGGTACCTGGGTGAGATTTTAAATGAGTTTCCCAGGGCACTTCCGTGACATGCTCTGATGAAGATGACTTGGCACCAGTCAGAACATCATTCCCTAAACAGCCTGCATCACTTTCTCATAATTTTTAGTGCATTGGTTTCTGCGCTGTCATGCAATCTTTGTTTTGCTGGCTTAAAAACTTCTGTTTTAGATTCAGAGGGTATATGTGCATGCTTGTTACATGGGTATATTGCATAATGGTAAGGATTGGGCTTCTAGTATATCCATCCCCCAATATTGAACATTGTATTCAATAGGTAATATTTCAACCCTAGTCTCCCTGCCACCTTTTTCCCTTTTGGAGTCCCCAGTGTCCATTATTTTCGTCCTTATGTTCATGTGTACCCGTTGTTTAGCTCCCACTTAGAAGTGAGAACATGTGGTATTTAGTTTTCTGTTCCTGCATTAATTTGCTTAGGATAATGCCTCCAGCTCCATTCATGTTACTGCAAAGGACATGATTTCATTCTTTTTAATGGCTGCATAGTATTCCATGATATATATATTAATATATTACATTTTCTTTATACAATCAACCATTGATGGACATTTAGGTTGGTTCCATGACTTTGCCATTGTGAATAGTGCTGCAATAAACATATAAGCGCAGGTATCTTTTTTAAGAGTAAAATAAACCCAACCTATTCAGAACATAAAAATTAGTTAGAAAGTAAGCAAATAATAAAGTGACCCCAAGAAGAGTGTTCACAGGATAGAGAAAGGACATAGGGGTGGAAGGTGGGTGGGTGGGAGACCGGTGCTAAGGTTTCCAGAGCAGGTGGCATCTGGATTTGAATGAAAAATAGCCACAACAGGACTAAATGCTGGGATATAATACTTACTGGGGGCTGTCTTTGTTGTAGGCACTATCCAAAATTGCTTACATGCATTATCTTATTTAATTCTCACAATTCAGGTATTATTATTAATAGTCCCATTTTACAAATGATAACACTGAGACACTCGGGGTTTAAGAAACTTGTTCAAGGTCCCAAGCTGACAGAGCTGGTCTGCAGACTCAGGCTATCCCACTCTAATACCATTCTGCTAGAATGACAAGCAAAAGTTTGTTGGGTCGGCTAAGAGGGAACTCCAAGTACAAAGGCACAGAGACCTGTGGCAACGTGGTGTTTCTGAGAAGTTGGATGCCGAGTGTATCAGTATTGATAAAATGCCCAGTTTGGGTGAAGAAAGAGGAGAGAAGACTGGCATGAGATGCTGGCCAGGTAAGTTGGCAGCAGATCATGAAGGCTGCCGTTTTGTATACCAGGCTAAGGGAGTTGGATGTTAGCCCGTAGGAGGAGATGGGGAGAGCTGTATTTTAGAAAGGTTATTTGGCTACTGGATGAAGATTGGAGGGAAGTGACAAAACAAGAGGCAGGGAGGCTAGTTTTAAGAAGCTTTTACAATATCCAGGTGAACAAGGCAAGTACGAAGATTGTAGTGGAACAGGAAAGAAGGTGACGAGGTTTGGTACAGAATTAGGGGTAGATCGAACAAGTTTGATTAGTTCGTGAAAGAGAAGAAGGGGCTTAAAATGGGTTTCTGGCTTATGCTGCTGTTAATAAGGGGACGCAGAAAGGATGACAGTGAAGGTGTTGAACTCTGTTTGGATCTGTTGGATACGTAATGCCTAGTAACACTTAAGGGCCCTAGTAGAATAAATGTGTGTTGACCTTAGCAGAGTGTTTGAGCTGTAGACATATGTAAGAATAGATGTAAAGACTAGATATACATAATCAATACTCTTGTTTAAAAATCACAAAATTTAAGGCCAGGAGCGGTGGCTCTGTAGTCCCAGGACTTTGGGAGGCTGAGGCAGGCGGATCCCTTGAGCTCAGGAGTTTGAGACCAGCCTGGGCAATGTGGCAAAGCCCTGTCTCTGCAAAAAAATTACACATATTAGCCAGGCATGGTGGTATGTGCCTGAAGTCTCAGCTACTTTGGAGGCAGAGGTGGAGGCAGAGGTGGGAAGATCACTTGAGCCCAGAAAGCGGAGGTTGCAGTGAGCCGATTGCATCACTGCACTCCAGCCTGGGTGAGAGTGAGACCCTGTCTTAAAAAAAAAAAAAAAAAACTAAATAAAAAATCTAAATAAATAAAATCACAAAATTTTAAAAGCTGATATTGGATATTGTCATATGGAGTATTCTTTTTCACTCTTTTTAATTCTACTGTACATTCATTTTTTCATACTGTATAGATTATGCCAGTGCTGTTCATAGCCACCTTCATATATTATTCTTCTTAGTCTGCTGGTATTCATCATATTAGGACAATTTGAGCTTACAAATCTAACTCTTTTGAAATATAACATTAAGTATATTAGCAGATATTACTAGGTTTTGCTATATTTCCTGTATGTTGTATGTACCCAAATATATTAGTAACAAACACACAAAGAATCAAATGGTTTCTTTATAATTTCAAAAAGAGTCCAAACTAAACCACAGGTTTTGCATAACAGTGTTGAAAATAAGATTTTTAAATGCTGGAAGTAAGTAACATTATCCACTTTTAAAGCATTTCATCCTTTTTTTGGTTTTGTAATATAGTTCTTCAGAGTAATGAATGCAGATAGGAAGCATCTAAATGCTTAAAACAAGATGTCAAGGTGTATTACTTCTTTCAACATCTCCATTCCAGTCTATTGAGGCAATTAGTTGCACCATTGATGTTTACTTCCTTTTCTACATATTCAAATTTTTACTGTCTTCCCTTCTAGAGGAATATTAAAGTAGGATATTCACAAATCGTGATGTCAATTTACTATTAGGATTTACTATTATTACCTTTTTCCAGCTTTACTGATGTATAATTGACAAATATAAATTGTATATATTCAAGGTATACAATGTGATGATTTGAAATACATTGTATAATGATTACCACAATCAAATTAATTAACACATACTTCCAGTTACTACTGTGTGTGGGGTGGGGGGCGGTGGCAGTAAGGACACAAGATCTGCTCTCTTGGCAAATTTCAAGTAAACAATACAGCGTTATTAACCATAGTCACCATACTGTACGTTAGATTGCCAGAACTTATTCATCTTATGACTGAAAGTTTATACCCTTCGACCAACATCTCCCCATTTTCCCTGTGCTCCAGCCTTTGTCAACCACCATTCTTTTTTTTTTTTTTTTTTTTTCTGAGATGGAGTCTGGCACTGTCACCCAGGCTGGGCTGGAGTGCAGTGGTGCTATCTCGGCTCACTGCAACCTCCACCTCCTGGCTTCAAGTGATTCTCCTGCCTCAACCTCCCAAGTAGCTTAGATTACAGGTGTCCGCCACCATGCCCAGCTAATTTTTTGCATTTTTAGTAGAGACAGGGTTTCACATGTTGGCCAGGCTAGTCTCGAACTCCTGACCTGATGATTTGCCCGCCTAGGGCTCCCAAAGTGCTGAGATTACAGGCGTGAGCCACCGCGCCCAGCCTGTCAACCACCGTTCTACTCCCTGCTTCAAGTTCAACTTTTTTGGATTCTACATATTAATGAGATAATACACTATTTACCTTTTTATATCTGGCTTATTTCACTTAGCATAATGTCTTCCAGGTTCATCCATCTTGTCCCAAATAGCAAGATATCCTTCTTTTTATGGCTGAAAAATATTCTATTGTATTAATATATACATTGTACATACTACCATTGTAAATATTCCATTGTGTGTGTGTGTATGTGAGAGAGAGAGTGTGTGTGTGTGTGTGTGCGCGTATGTAACGTTTTCTTCATTCATCTGTTGATGGATATTTAGGTTGTTTCTATATCTTGGCTATTGTGAATAATGCTGTAATGAACATAGGAATGCAAATATCTTTAAGATCATGATTTTATTTCCTTTGAATATATACCCAGAAGTAGGATAGCTGGATCATATGGCAGTTCTAGTTTTAATTTTCTGAAGAACCTCCATACTATTTTCCATAATGGCTGTACCACTTTACATTCCCATCAACAGTGCACAAGGGTTGCCTTTTCTCCATACCGTTGCCAATACTTGTTATCTCTTATCTTTTTGAAAATACTCATTCTAATAGCTCATTCTTATCATAATGAGGTAATATCTCATTGTAGTTTTGATTTGCATCTTCCTGATGATTGGCGATGTTTCATGTAACTGTTGGCCATTTGTATATCATCTTTGGAAAAATGTTTATTTAGGCCTTGGCCCATTTTTTAATCTTTTCTTTTTAAAAAAATTTTACAGAAGGATGTCTTGTTATGTTGCTCAGGCTGGTCCCAAACTCCTGGCCTCGAGTGATCCACCTGCTTCAGCCTCCCAAGTAGCTGGGATTATAGACACAAGCCACCATGCCTAGCATTTACTATTGCTTTATTAAACTTCTAATTTTGTTAATGCATTGTTTTTCTTGATTTGTTCAACTGCATATCTGTGTTCTCTTGCGTCTCATTGAGCTTCTTAAAGATAATTATTTTGATTTACTTATCAAATGATTTGCAGATCTCCATTTTTTTGGAGTCAGTTACTGGAACTGTATTCATTTTCTTGAGAGTGTCATGTTTGCCTGATTCTTCACTAACTATATAGCCTTATGTTCGTGTTTGTGCATTTGGATGAGCAGACACTTCCTCCAGTCATTACAGACTGGTTTTGGTAGGTAAAGATTTTCTTCTTTTGGGTCCCTAAGCTGATAAGATTGCCTCCAGGATTGCAGTTGAGTAGGGTTGCAGCCGAGTTACGTGGCTGCTGCTGGGTCTGCAATGGGGACCATGTTAGTGGGCCTATTACTAGGGGCTTGAACAGGCTTGGATCCTGTCTGGCCCCTGGAAAGAATAAACTGCTTCCAGGACCTTAGTCTGTAGAGTTGGTGCTGGGTAAAGAAGATTCTTCAGGTTTCACAGTTGGGTTTGCAGATGGTGGGCCTGTTACCAGACACACAGATGAGTGTGTATTCCTTCAGGTCCCTTGTAGTGTTCCTGCTGGGTTACTGAGTTGGTACCTGGGCAAGGAGAAGTGGCCATGGACCATGGCTGACAGGAGCTTGAAGGGAATTACAGGGCTGCTTCATGGCTTACACTGAGACTGGGGTCTGCAGACATGCCTCCAGAGACATAGAAAGGTGTGCCTCCTGCCAGGCTCCTGGGCAAGCAGGACTGCTCCTGGACCATGGCTGAGTGGGCTCGAGCTGGGTCACGGGGCTACTTCAGGCTTCTCCATCAGACTGAGGTCAGCAGCTTGCCTCCAGAGGCATTGATGGGCATGTTTCCTGGCAGATCTCTGGGTGGACAGGACTGCTTCTGGATGAAGGCTAGGAAGGGACAGAACTAGGTTGCAGGCCCACCCCAAGATCTGCAGTGGAATCAAAATCAGTGGGCCTGCCTTTGGGGCACAGAAAGGCATAGCTTTCAGCAAGCCCCTGGGTGGGCAAGACTGCTCTCAGACTGCAGCTGAGAGGGCTGGGACCAAGTTAAAGGGCTGTTTCAAGATCTGCTGTGAGACTGAGGTCAGCCAACCTGCTTCTGAAGGCACAAATAGGCATGACTCCCAGCAGGTGCCTGGGCAGGCAGGACTGGTCTCAAACTGCAGCTGAAAGTGGGTTTGGTTGAGTTACAGAGCTGATTCAGGATCCACAGCTGAGACTGAGGCCTGTGGGCTTGTCACCAGAGGTACAGGTGAATGTGATTCCTCCTGGATTTCTTGGCAGATGGTTCTAGAGGCAGGACCAAGTCCACAGGGCAATGAAGCAATTTCTGGGTTTGTAGCTGGGACCATGGTCAGTGAGCCTGCCACCTAGGTGCAGCCTGCCAGTCAAAACAGCCCTCCTCAGTCTTGGGCTCCACTAGAGTTTTGCAGTCTTCTATCCAGGTCCCAAATCTCCCTCAAGGGAACTTTTGTCCACGGATGGCTGCCAAATTCTTGTTGAGTAGACGTTCTCCTAATCTTCCATCTCGCTCTTTACTATTGTAGTTTACATGGCTGATACAGTAAGAGTAACTGACCATGCTTTGTGTTTTATAGGATAACACTGTGCTACATAGTGCGTAATACTTTTTAAGCATATATTTCAATATAAATAAAGTTGCTTACTAAAATTGTATGCAGGTTACAAAAATAACCTTCACAAAACAGTAGCTTAAAAGATGAAATGTTTTCTGGTGGTGTCTAATTTTTAATGCTGAGTGTCTAATTTAGTGTAAGTGCCTAATTTTTAATGCTTAGTGTCTAATTTTTAATGCTGCTTTTTTTTGTCCCTAGCAATTCTTTGAGGTAGAAGAAGAGAATGTTTCTTTGCAAGATGCGAGTACTGTCAAAACAAATATTTTGTTAAGAAAACTGAAAGAGAAAGAAGAAGTTATTAAAGAATTAAAAGAAGAACTAGACCAATATAAAGATTTTGGATTTCACAAAATGGTAAGTTTCAAGGCAAGGAATAATTAATTTTAATATACATAAATAAAGTCATAAATAGTTAAAAGCTTGAGTTAATGATAAATTAAAATCCAATTGCTGCATTTTGGGCATCTCCCCATAATATAAGCCAGTCTAACTCTTTTCTGCTCAATGGCCTATTCTAGAAAACCCATAACAATATGAATAGGAGCAATATAATGAATAGGAGCAATAAAATTAAAAATACAATTTTTGTTTAAATGGAAATAAAATAACTTACCTCCCACTGCAAAAAATGTCCTACTCTAGAAGAGTGTGGGAGTGGATTTTTGTTGTAACCGAAGACTCCCACCTTTTTTTGCAGTCAAAGTAGTTTGAAAGACACAAAGCTAATCTTTCCAAGCCAGAGCTTCCAAGAAGCCAACTTGGAACAGAATGACATTTAAATAAAAATATCAAGAAGAAAAATCCCAGAGGATTTTCCCCTCAGTTTTTCCTGTTGCAGTGGGAGCCAGGAGCTGCTTTACTGGTTAGACAAACTACTGATGGGAGCAAAAATGGAATGACTGAGAAGGCAGAAAGAAGAACCTAAACTCCTGTCAAGGAGGAAGTTTAAGGGCTTTGGAAAATGTGGATCCTGAGAACGAATTCATTGTCATCTCATGTCTGCTCTGAGCCACCGGATGTCCCAGGCCCAACCATGGTCCAGAGCTGGAGAGGATTTTATTCTTAAGTTCTAAGAACAAGAAGCTGATTGTTTGATTTGGAAAGGCTAACAGATGCTGGGACCCAGGAGGAATAAAAGTCTATTGAATAGCAATAGCAGGTATCAGATACTTCATCGATGGCATCTCTTCTCATTCTCACAGTTCAGTTTGCAGATGAAGAGGCAGAGACAGGGTGGTTAAGTAACTTCCTCATGGGCAAACGTAGTAGATGGTAAAGATGGTACATGAACCAAGGTTCACCTGAATCTAAAGTCCACTTACAGAGGGGGAGCTTTATCCTCTACAGTAAGAATTAAAGGTTGTAGTGAATATATAATATACATATGCATATAGAAAATGTACAGATTATAATGTATAGATTATGTTATCATAATATATTATAATATGATATATTATAATACATTAATAATTATTAATAGATTAATACACATAGAGGGCTACCCTCTTTGGGTCCTCTCCCTTTGTATGGGAGCTCTGTTTCCACTCTATTTCACTCTATTAAATCTTGTAACTGCACTCTTCTGGTCCGTGTTTGTTACGGCTTGAGCTGAGCTTTCGCTCACCGTCCACCTCTGCTGTTTGCCGCCATCGCAGACCCACCGCTGACTTCCATCCCTCTGGATCCAGCAGGATGTCTGCTGTGCTCCTGATCCAGCGGGGCGCCCATTGCCGCTCCCGATCAGGCTAAAGGCTTGCCATTGTTCCTGCATGGCTAAGTGCCCGGGTTGATCATAATCGAGCTGAACGCTAGTTACTGGGTTCCACGGTTCTCTTCCATGGCCCATGGCTTCTAATAGAGCTATAACACTCACTGCATGGCCCAAGATTCCATTCCTTGGAATCCATGAGGCCAAGAACCCCAGGTCAGAGAACACGAGGATTGTCACCATCTTGGAAGAGGCCCACCACCACCGCATGGCCCAAGATTCCATTCCTTGGAATCTGTGAGGCCAAGAACCCCAGATCAGAGAACACGAGGCTTGCCACCATCTTGGAAGTGGCCTGCTGCCATTTTGGAAGTGGCCCACCACCATCTTGGGAGCTCTGGGTGCAAGGACCCCCCAGTAACATTTTGGTGACCCACATGGGACCTCCAAAGCGATGAGTAATATTGGGACCACTTTCGCTTGCTATTCTGTCCTATCCTTAGAATTGGAGGAAAATACCGGGCACCTGTCGGACAGTTAAAAACGATTAGCGTGACCACCGGACTTAAGACTCAGGTGTGAGGCTGTCTGGGGAAGGGCTTTCTAACAACCCCCAACACTTCTGGGTTGGGGATATTGGTCTGCCTGGAGCCAGCTTCCACTTTCAATTTTCTTGGGGAAGCCGAGGGCCGACTAGAGGCAGAAACCTGTCATCCCAAACTCCTGGCAGTAGCCGGTTGAGATCATGGCACAGCCAGAAGTTTCTACTCAACAGTCGCCCATGCGTGCACCCCTACCTTTCCTTCTGACCCATATTCCCCGATTATGCCCCCTCCAAGCAGTGGGAGGAGGAGAATTTGGCCCAGCTAGAGTGCATGTACCTTTTTCTTTCTCAGACTTAAAGCAAATTAAAATAGACCTAGGTAAATTCTCAGATAACCCTGATGGCTATATTGATGTTTTACAAGGGTTAGGACAATCCTTTGATCTGACATGGACAGATACAATGTTACTGCTAAATCAGACACTAACCCCAAATGAGAGAAGTGCCGTCATAACTGCAGCCTGAGAGTTTGGTGATCTCTGGTATCTCAGTCAGTTCAATGATAGGATGACAACAGAGGAAAAAGAATGATTCCCCACAGGCCAGCAGGCAATTCCCAGTGTAGACCCTCACTGGGACACAGAATCAGAACATGGAGATTGGTGCTGCAGACATTTGCTAACTTGCGTGCTAGAAGGACTAAGGGAAACTAGGAGGAAGCCTATGAATTATTCAATGATGTCCACTACAACACAGGGAAAGGAAGAAAATCCTACTGCCTTTCTGGAGAGACTAAGAGAGGCATTGAGGAAGCATACCTCTCTATCACCTGACTCTGTTGAAGTCCAACTGATCTTAAAGGATAAATAAGTTTATTACTCAGTCAGCTGCAGACATTAGAAAAAAACTTCAAAAGTCCACCTTAGGCCCGGAGAAAAACTTAGAAACTCTATTGAACTTGGCAACCTCGGTTTTTTATAATAGAGATCAGGAGGAGCAGGCGGAATGGGACAAACGGGATAAAAAAAGGCCACCGCTTTAGTCATGGCCCTCAGGCAAGCGGACTTTGGAGGCTCTGGAAAAGGGAAAAGCTGGGAAAATCGAATGCCTAATAGGGCTTGCTTCCAGTGCGGTCTATAAGGACACTTTAAAAAAGATTGTCCAAGTACAAGTAAGCCACCCTCTCATCCATGCCCCTTATGTCAAGGGAATCACTGGAAGGCCCGCTGCCCCAGGGGACAAAGATCCTCTGAGTCAGAAGCCACTAGCCGGATGATCGAGCAGCAGGACTGAGGGTGCCTGGGGCAAGCACCAGCCCATGCCATCACCCTCACAGAGCCCCAGATATGCTTGACCATTGAAGGCCAGGAGGTTAACTGTCTCCTGGACACTGGCACAGACTTCTCAGTAATTTTTTTTTTTTTTTTTGAGACAGAGTCTCGCTCTGTCACCCAGGCTGGAGTGCAGTGGCGCGATCTTGGCTCACTGCAAGCTCCACATCCTGGGTTCGCGCCATTCTCCTGCCTCAGCCTCCTGAGTAGCTGGGACTACAGGCGCCCGCCACCACACCCGGCTAATTTTTTGTATGTTTTAGTAGAGACAGGGTTTCACCGTGTTAGCCAGGATGGTCTTGATCTCTTGACCTCATGATTCGCCCGCCTCAGCCTCCCAAAGTGCTGGGATTACAGGCATGAGCCACTGCACCCGCCCCCTTCTCAGTCTTACTCTCCTGTCGTGGACAATTGTCCTCCAGATCTGTCACTATCCAAGGGGTCCTAGGACAGCCAGTCACTAGATACTTCTCCCAGCCACTAAGTTGTGACTGGGGAACTTTACTCTTTTCACATGCTTTTCTAATTATGCCTGAAAGCCCCACTTCCTTCTTAGGGAGAGACATTCTAGCAAAAGCAGGGGCCATTATACACCTGAACATAGGAGAAGGAACACCCCATTTGTTGTCCCCTGCTTGAGGAAGGAACTAATCCTGAAGTCTGGGCAACAGAAGGACAATATGGACGAGCAAAGAATGCCTGTCCTGTTCAAGTTAAACTAAAGGATTACGCCTCCTTTTCCTACCAAAGGCAGTACCCCCTTAGACCCAAGGTCCAACAAGGACTCCAAAAGATTAAGGACCTAAAAGCCCAAGGCCTAGTAAAACCATGCAATAGCCCCTGCAATACTCCAATTTTAGGAGTACAGAAACCCAACAGACAGTGGAGGTTAGTGGAAGATCTCAGGATTATCAATGAGTCTGTTGTTCCTCTATACCCAGCTATACCTAACCCTTCTACTCTGCTTTCCCAAATACCAGAGGAAGCAGAGTGGTTTACAGTCCTGGACCTTAAGGATACCTTTTTCTGCATCCTTGTACATCCTGACTCTCAATTCTTGTTTGCCTTTGAAGATCCTTCAAACCCAATGTCTCAACTCACCTGGACTGTTTTACCCCAAGGGTTCAGGAATAGCCCCCATCTATTTGGCCAGGCACCCAAGACTATTAGCCCAAGACTTGAGCCAGTTCTCATACCTGGACACTGTTGTCCTTCGGTACATGGATGATTTACTTTTAGCCGCCCATTCAGAAACCTTGTGTCATCAAGCCACCCAGGTGCTCTTAAATTTCCTTGCTACCTGTGGCTACAAGGTTTCCAAACCAAAAGCTCAGCTCTGCTCACAGCAGGTTAAATACTTAGGGCTAAAATTATCCAAAGGCACCAGGACCCTCAGTGAGGAATGTATCCAGGCTATATTGGCTTATCCTTATCCCAAAACCCTGAAGCAACTAAGAGCGTTCCTTGGCATAACAGGAACTGCCGAATATGGATTCCCAGGTACGGCGAAATAGCCAGACCATTATATACACTAATTAAGGAAACTCAGAAAGCCAATACCCATTTAGTAAGATGGACACCTGAAGCAGAAGTGGCTTTCCAGGCCCTAAAGAAAGCCCTAACCCAAGCCCCAGTGTTAAGCTTGCCAATGGGGCAAGACTTTTCTTTATATGTCACAGAAAAAACAGGAATAGCTCTAGGAGTCCTCACACAGGTCTGAGGGATGAGCTTGCAACCTGTGGCATACCTGAGTAAGGAAATTGATGTAGTGGCAAAGGGTTGGCCTCATTGTTTTTATTTTTTTGTTTGTTTGTTTTTTTGAGACAGAGTCTCACTCTGTCGCCCAGGCTGGAGTGCAGTGGTGCCATCTCGGCTCACTGCAAGCTCCGCCTCCCAGGTTCATGCCATCCTCCTGCCTCAGCCTCCCGAGTAGCTGGGACTACAGGTGCACACCACCACGCCTGGCTGATTTTTTGTATTTTTAGTGGAGATGGGGTTTCACCGTGTTCGCCAGGATGGTCTCGATCTCCTGACCTTGTGATCCGCCCACCTCAGCTTCCCAAAGTGCTAGGATTATAGGCGTGAGCCAACATGCCCGGCCGGGTTGGCCTCATTGTTTACGGGTAGTGGTGGCAGTAGCAGTCTTAGTATCTGAAGCAGTTAAAATAATACAGGGAAGAGATCTTACTGTGTGGATATCTTACGATGTGAATGGCTTACTCACTGCTAAAGGAGACTTGTGCCTGTCAGACAACTGTTTACTTAAATATCAGGCTCTATTACTTGAAGGGCCAGTGCTGCGACTGCGCACTTGTGCAACTCTTAACCCAGCCACATTTCTTCCAGACAAAGAAGAAAAGATAGAACATAACTGTCAACAAGTAATTGCTCAAACCTATGCCGCTCAGGGGGACCTTTTAGAGGTTCCCTTGACTGATCCCAACCTCAACTTGTATACTAATGGAAGTTCCTTTGTAGAAAAAGGACTTCGAAAAGCGGGGTATGCAGTTGTCAGTGATAATGGAGTACTTGAAAGTAATCCCCTCACTCCAGGAACTAGTGCTCAGCTGGTAAAACTAATAGCCCTCACTCGGGCACTAGAATTAAGAGAAGGAAAAAGGGTGAATATATATACAGAGTAGTATGCTTACCTAGTCCTCCATGCCCATGCAGCAATATGGAGAGAAAGGGAATTCCTAACTTCCGAGGGAACACCTATCAAACATCAGGAAGCCATTAGGGAAATATTATTGGCTGTACAGAAACCTAAAGAGGTGGCAGTCTTAGACTGGTGGGGTCATCAGAAAGGAAAGGAAAGGAAAGGAAAGGAAAGGAAAGGAAAGGGAAATAGAAAGGAACCACCAAGAAGATATTGAAGCCAAAACAGCCACAAGGAAGGACCCTCCATTAGAAATGCTTATAGAAGGGGACCTCTAGTATGGGGTAATCCCCTCCAGGAAAGCAAGCCCCAGTACTCAGAAGAAGAAATAGAATGGGGAACCTCACGAGGACATAGTTGCCTTCCCTCAGGATGGCTAGCCATGGAAGAAGGAAAAATACTTTTGCCTGCAGCTAACCAATGGAAATTACTTAAAACCCTTCACCAAACCTTTCACTTAGGCATTAATAGCACCCATCAGGTGGCCAAATTATTATTTACTGGACCAGGCCTTTTCAAAACTATCAAGCAGATAGTCAAGGCCTGTAAAGTGTGCCAAAGAAATAATCCCCTGCACTGCAGGCCATACATTTCAATCCCTGTATCTTTAACCTCCTTGTTAAGTTTGTCTCTTCCAGAATCAAAGCTGTAAAACTACAAATCATTCTTCAAATGGTGCCCCAGATGCAGTCTGTGACTAAGATCTACCACAGACCCCTGGACCAGCCTGCTAGCCCATGCTCCGATGTTAATGACATCAAAGTCACCCCTCCCGAGGAAATCTCAACTGCACGACCCCTAGTACACCCCAATTCAGCAGGAAGCAATTAGAGCGGTCATCAGCCAACCTCCCCAACAGCACTTGGGTTTTCCTGTTGAGAGGGGCACTGAGAGACAGGACTAGCTGGATTTCCTAGGCCGACTAAGAATCCCTAAGCCTAGCTGGGAAGGTGACCGCTTCCACCTTTAAACACAGGGCTTGCAACTTAGCTCACACCAGACCAATCAGATAGTAAGGAGAGCTCACTGAAATGCTAATTAGGCAAAAACAGGAGGTAAAGAAATAGCCAATCATCTGTTGCCTAAGAGCACAGTGGGAGGGACAATGATCGGGATATAAACCCAGGCATTCGAGCTGGCAATGGCTACCCTCTTTGGGTCCCTTCCTTTTGTATGGGAGCCCTGTTTCCACTCTATTTAACTCTATTAAATCTTGCAACTGCAAAAAAAAAAAAGTACACATAGAAATATCGACACATGCATACAGGAAAATCTGAAAAGTTATATGTCAAAATGTTAACACTAGGAAGAAACACTTATGGGTTGCTCATGCCTTTGAATACAATTTATGGTTTATCTAAATCCCTCACTAGTACTCTTATTTAAAACTTCAACGTTATAAGAGATAATGAATCAAACACAAACCATTCTAAAGGATCGTATTTAAACTGGTTTAAATGTTTGCTTTAGGTGTTTACTTTGTTAATCTATTAGAAATCTTTATATCTAGAAAAAATTGAGCACCTTCTAAGCAATACAGCATTGTGTCAATAGCATAGATCTAATAAAATTGAATATTAATTTTTGTATATATCTTGGACTAGGAAGCACATTCAATTTTTGCATTTGCCTTTGAAAAACCTTTTCTTGGGTTTACATTTACTTTTACTTTTTGAAGAAAACAATTTAATAGAAAAGACTAAAAACTGTAATAGTTTGCTTTTAATCCTGCCTTGGCCAAAGACATCCAGTGTAGATGTGGCAAGGCAATTTTGATCCATTTATTTCCCATTTGTGAAATGCAACATGATACCCGCCTGGCTAAACTAGAGAGTTATGATAAGAACACCTGCTGTATTGAATGTAAATTGCTTCAAGTTCTTTGAAGAAATATTCATGTATCAATTCAGGTATTATAAGGAAATGCACAAATCCTTATGGCCATCCGTTTATGTTCCATAAAATGTACCAAACAGACCTCTGGACTGTTGAGAACACCCCAATTGGGTAAGACAGCTCCCTATACTCTTGAAATATTTACACCTCTAACTTTTCTCTTCAGCTGGTTACCTGGCCCAGCTGGACATTCTGGGGAAAGCGTGAGGATGGGCTGTGGCTTTGTGAAAAGGAGAGCAGGTGGGAGCCACACCGGCTCATATGTAAGCAGGCTGTTCTCTGGCTTTCAGTGGCATCCAGAATACTCTGGTTATTCCAATGTAGTTAGTCCCCAAAGAGCACATTAGAATTTCTGTAAACACTCTTAATATTTGAGGAAGGTGAGGTGATTCTGATTAACGGGGTGTATGGATTTCTCCTGGAGACCCCGACAAAGCATACGTGTCTGCTCTCCCCTCCTGACTGCTCTGCTCTCCCCTCCTGACTGAGGGTGATGGAAAGCATACGTGTCACCATTTCAAGAACACAGACATGAATGCCACAAAGGCAGGTCATAGCTTATATCAAATAAAATGAAACACACTTTTTTCCTACATTCTCTAAGAACAAACTTTCCTAAAACCTTAAGTTCTAGATGATCTTTTTTATTTGAAATTTCATCTGATTCAACTGCCCCCTCTAGTGGTATTTTAAAAACCCCTGGGACACCAAGTCTCAAATTAGATTGGGAACACGGGATTTGGAAAAACAATTAAAAATTTCAAAGTAGCAGTGGAAGTAAGTTGAAAAAAAAAGTGAAATAAACAAGTTTTATTTAGTTTATCTACAGTTATCTAGTTTACTCTTACTGATTATCAAATTACTTCAATAGCTTTATAATTAATAAGTAGTTGTAATTTCTCATCTCCAGATGGGAACATCCTGAATGTCGAATTTTCCCAAGAGCAACTTCATTCAAGGGATGAAATGTTCAGGTTTTATTCGGTGGGAAATCAATGTGACTCAGCTGCATACCATTGTAGCCATCAGGTTTCCATGCTGTCCGTTGGCTAATCCTCTTGAGAATTTATAAAGGAGGTTAGCCTTTATGTCTCTGTAATTGTGTGTGTGTGTTTCTGTGTGTGTGTGTGTTTCTGTGTGTGTGTGTGTGTGCCTGTGCATGTGTTTTAATTTCAATTGGAGCTGGCATTTTGAATAGACTTTTTATTTTTCTTATCCCAACACTGATGAGCCCTGCAACCATCACCCACCTACCTTCCATTGCGAGCATATCTGCTTGTTGCTGACAGCTCTGAAACAGAGCTGTCATTCAAGAGTGGCAGCTCTGCAGGGTTGCACTGCCCAGAGTGCCACTTTCCTGGTTGTCACTCATTGGGAAAGCACCTGCTCTTCTCTGTGACTGTCATGAGGCATGGGCTTGCATCAGAACTCTGCTCCTCCCCAGAAAATTGAGATGTCCAATTCAATGGAGCCTGTGGAGGGGAAACTGCTGAGAAGGCACAGAAAGTGCTCTGAAGCAGGACTTCTCAGACTTTACTGCTCACATGCATCACCTGCAGATCTCGTTAGATGCAGACTCTGACACAGTAGCTCTGGGTTGGGCCTGAGGGGCTGCATTTCTAATCAGTTCCCAGGTGATGCTGAGGCTCCTGGTCCATGGACCGCATTTGAGGAGCAAAGCTCCCAAGTACACCTGTTTTCAAAAATGATTCTTTCGAGATTCAATTTGGGATTCAGTTTGTAATTCTATGCATCTTGTGAATATTCACAAAAGATATAGCACATATGCCACCACCTGAAGCCCTAGTTTTTATAATATGAAAGAAAAACTTGAGATTGGTAAGTTTCTTTACAATTTTGAAATTCCAGAATGATCATGGATTGCACACAGTCTCTCTTATAGTGTGGTTTAAACGGCTACATCCAGTTAACTGCCTTTAATGATCTCCATCCTTCTTAACCTCATTTTATTAAGGCAGTTTATTTTTTAAAAGTCTCCTGGTTTAAGCAAACACAAACTAGCAGTGTGGGCAGATGGCAGAAGGAACACCACCACAAAACCTGCCACTCAGAGTGTAACAGAGCACCGTAGCAGCTCAGAACGATCCCTTTGTTCATTTTGCTAATGAGTGTCCTCATTGCTGTGGGCGTCTGAATAGTTAATTACTTGCAGTTCCCACAGCTGACAGATGGTGGGGACAGAGCTAAGGGTTAACCTTGGAAGAACAGGGGTTGTGGTTTGATATGTGGAGGACAAACCCCCGTATTTAATGTGTTTTCCTTGCGTCCTGCTTTCATACAAAGAGATTCTTAGAACCCGTAGTTAGGTATTAGCTGCTACCATTTGTAAATTTTACACTTCATCTGATGAATTCAAATAGTTCTTCTTTAGTTTATGAGAATCGGGTGCTCATGTAATCCTCTGTGGATGTTCATATTCTGCCACTGTTAGGAAAAGTATGCTTAAGCCTATTAAGGCCAGTATTGTTTGTTTATTTCTTTCCACACACACACACACACAAAACCTTTTAGTCTATAAATGCATTCTGTGATGGTCTCAAATTGAACAATGTGGGACAAGAAATTAATGACGGATTCTTCGTTTATTAAGAAAACAGTGTTGTTTATTAACTACTTACTAGGTTTGTTAGTTCTCATTAGTTAAGATGAATTGGGCTCAAATAATTTAAGTGAAATGGTGAATCAAAGTCATGAAGATTTGTAATTGAGCTTAGTGCAAAATTTAAGAACATATTTTAAATATTACTAACTCTTACACACACACACACACACATATATATACCATACGTAATTTCATTAGTAAGTCACTTGTTTTAAAGGACTTATTAATGTACTACAAAAAATTTAAATCACTTCTTTTTCTTTAAAACTGTTACAGGGGAAAATATTTTAATAGTTTACTTCCACATATCCTTAACCTTAAATGAAAGTGTAGTTCCAAAGGGAAATCAGTCGAGAGAAATTATTTTGTTTTTGAGGGAAGATTTTATTTTTAGTTATTGCCATCATGGAATTACTGTAAAAAGAATAAGTTATAATTCACCTGTGATGACCTTAAGATCAAAAGTATTTTTAATGTCTATAGTAATTTTGAACAAGGCATGTAGAATCTTCTATCTCCTTTGGCATAATAATATTTTGAGATTGCATAATCTGTTTAATATCATACCACAATAAAGTATAAAGTTCTGCACCAGCTTCCCCAATCCATTAGAGCTTAATTTTTTTTTTTTTAATGCATGGCAATAAAATCTAGACAGCCATAAGGGAGGATATTCAGATGTTTTCAATAGCTTTGAAACAGACAAGAAGAAGAAGGCAAAAAAAAAAAAAAAAAAAAGAGTAGCTGTCCCAATAAGCGCGTCTATTGCGTAAGAAAAAGCTCTCCCATAATGGACATGGCAAGATTTAAACAAAAGACGCACATAATAAAAATGTAAATGAGTTTGCTTTACTAAAACTATAACTTTAAAGTCTTTTGTTGTAAGTTATCCTGAAACCTTCTTACAAGGTAATCACTGTTTGCATAGAGATTTAAACCAAAGTCTTCAATAGCATTAAACGCCTGCACAGACCCCGTGTGACAAGCATGCAAAGCCATGTTAATGTTCAGAATATGAATTGCCTCTGGGTGGCTCCTCCACCAAGCAGAAAACCAACTGTGTGGATATCCGTGTGCCTGATGGACTCCATGCGGCTCCCAGCCTGAAAACGTCACCACTTTGACATGTGATGTGCTCCTCATGACACTGGCAGCACTGACACTGGGAAATGCCACAAAGGCAACAAGCCCCCCTCCTTAGCCATGCACTCTGCCACCCCCTGGCGCTGCCCGTCCTGGTCCCCCCAGCCTGCCTAGTTACAGGCGGACAGCACTTCAGACACACACAGAGGGAAGTGTGGGTGGAGGGGCCCCAGCTGCCTCCCCGGACACAGCCTCCATAATGAATTGACCTGAATGATGAGGGCACACAAACAGTATGATATGCATTATTCCTGTCAATAAAATGTCCCCATGTGTTGAGGTCTTTGTACAGAATGTACTGGAGCCTTTCTTCCAGCAAGCTCTATTTAGGCTCCTTCCTTTTTACTATTCTTATAAGTGTGTAATAGAATTCAGAAAATTATATGATAGCTTTTCTGTATCTGTATTGTCCTTGTCTTGCATATTTAAATCCTTGGCTCCCTGCTTAGGAATATGGCATTCTCCATCTTTTAGGAATCTTTTGCCAAAGAAACCAGCTCTCCAAAATCAAACCTAGAAAAGGAAAATTTGGAGTACAAAGTGGAAAATGAGAGGCTGCTTCAGATCATTTCAGAGCTTGAAGAAGAAATCCAGATCAATCTAAAAGAAAATTCAGGATTAGGTAACATTTTGAAATCACTTTTGAGAAAAATCTGTATATTGGTCACTTTGTAAAGCTCATAACTATGTTTGTCTTTTCCAAACATACATTCGTTTGGTTATTTACATTTGAAAGATGAATTTCATAGCCATCTTTGCTTTTTATTAAAGATAGCACTTCTTGCTTGGGACAGAGGATGTGTTTGTAGTTGTACCCCTGAGCCATGTCACGTTAATTCAGGGTGTTGTTTCAAGACAGACATTGGCCTTTGCAAAAATTTGCTAATCAATGCTCCATTTCACTTAGAAATATTATAGCCAGATAGAAACTTTTGCTGATTTGTTTCAGATGCTTAACTGATTATCTAAACTTGATAACATTTAAAAACTTAAGAATACATATAGGGATATGCTTTGTAGGGAAAACAGAGTTAGCCCTTCAGGAAAATATGCTAGTACTTACTAGTTACTTCAATTTTTGATGCAAAGCTTAAATACACAATTTCATTTGTATACTTAATACCTCTTTTCTTTCATACCACAAACATTGGTGAAAGTTGTGTTTAAATCACCGAAGTTGTTAGAACATGTGGAAAAGAGAAAAAAATAATCACCAAGGTGAGATTGCTCTAACGTATTTTTTCATTTAACTGTGATCCGAGTGATTATGTTAATTACATGATGTTGTCCTTAATCTGCAGTATTCAAAGCAATGAGCAGGCAATACAATGAATTATAGCAAAATATCAGTAAAATGAGATATATTATATTAATATTATCCCTTGGATGTAAAATTCTACCATGCCAGTATAGTCTCATTCTCTTCTGCTGTGGCATAGCAAGGCTTTTTAGTTTTGGGTCGTTCTTATTAAGTCATAAACTGCCACCTGCTAAAGCTCTTTGTATTGGCTGTGACCAACAGCAAAAATGTCCGTCGCTAGTATTGATGAAAAGCTTTCAGCCCTCAGCCACACTTGGATCTTGAACTTACTTCTTAATCCCTATCTGACCGGCCATCTGAACAGCAGGAAGAAGGCTGCGAATGTCAAGGGCAGTTGTGAAGGTCACAGTCCTGCTAGGCCTTGTGTCCACTATGCCTGCTAGTGCCCCACAGCCTGCCCTGAAGCAGGCCGTTTAAATACAGGGGCATAAGCATGTAATTTCATGGTTGGCCTCTCTCTCCTTTTGTTTACAGAAGATGAACTTATAAGTATGAAAGAGATGGCAGAAAAGGATCACAAAACTATTCAAAAGGTACTATAACGTTTTACGTTGATAAATGACTCTTTTAAATGGAACTATAGGCGCAATTGGCCAAATAACACTGTGTCCAGAGTGTCTTATGACATAGAGGAAAGTTGATTCACATATTTAATCTCTCCCCACTATTTGGGAAGGGTGACTAGAAGCAAATAAGGACTCCACCTTGAAAACTCACGGATGTATAGATACTTCTTTTGTTTGGGATCACTGACCATCTGCCTTGTTGATTTTAAGGCACCGAATAGTTACATGACACAGAGAAGTCTGAAGATGAGCTTGCAGTTAAGGAAAAAGTTATATTAAAAATGAACAGTCTTATTTTCAGATCAGATGTTAGTTGATGTTCATGAATGAGCTGGGCTTATGTTATCTGGTAAATATTTAGAGCAGGGAATTCTTTTGGTAGAATAAAAATCAAGATTTCCAAGGTGGGGCGCAGTGGTTCACACCTGTAATCCTAGCAGCTTTGCAGGCCAAGGTTGGAGAATCTTCTGAGCTCAGAAGTTCAAGGCCAGACTGGAAAACATAGTGAGACCCCTTCTTTATAAAAATTAAAAAAATTAGCCGAGTGTGGTGGCACATATCTGTAGTCCCAGCTACTCGGGATGCTGAAGTAGGAGGATTGTTTAAGCTCAGAAGTTCGGGGCTGCAGTGAACTAGAATTGCACCACTGCACTTCAGCCTAGACAACAGAGTGAGACCCTGTCTGAAACACACATACACACACACCACCAACCCCCACAACAACAAGATTTCTTAGCTCATTGAATTGAATGCAGTAGGATCTCAGCAATTCCTGCTCTCCCTGCACACGTGGGGCTTCCCTACTCTGTTCTCATTTATCCGCAAACTTCCCTATTGTGGCTCTCAGTTACCATTCTGTTATGGTCTATCTTCCCTGCCCTACTGGAGGCTCCATGAGGGTGGAAACTGCGCTATCTGGTCTCTTAGTGGGGAGCACGATGCCTGAGGCACTGAAAAATACTCCAAGAGATGAATAGAATAGGAATGCATTTACAGTTCATACAGTTTACAGATAAACAAGCAGATTCACATCCCCAAGTTATTCCAAATAAACATAAATATCTTCCAGTAACTGAACCGAGTATCCATTTTTAAGTTAAAATGGATTAAAATCAGACAAAATTAAGAATTCAGTTTCACAGTTGCACTAGCCACATTTGAAGAGCTTAGCCACCACATGTGCCTAAGTTTAGGTTCAGATTTCAGCCAGGCCTGATATTGCCATTCAAGATATTCTTTTTTTAATTTTTAAAAATGTTTTGTCTTTTATTTCTTCTAAAAAAATGGGATACATGTGCAGAATGTGCAGGTTTGTTACATAGGTATATATGTGCCATGGTGGTTTGTTGCACCTATTGACCCATCCTCTAAGTTCTCTCTGCTCACCCCCCAGCCCCCCAACAGGCCCTGGTGTGTGTTGTTCCCCAATCTGTGTCCATGTATTCTCAATGTTCAACTCCTACTTATGAGTGAGAACATGCGGTGTTTGGTTTTCTGTTCCTGTGTTAGTTTGCTGAGGATGATGGCTTCCAGCTTCATCCATATCCCTGCAAAGGACATGATCTCATTCCTTTTTATGGCTGCATAGTATTCCATGGTGTATATGTACCACATTTTCTTTATCCAGTCTATCACTGATGGGCATTTGGGTTGGTTTCATGTCTTTGCTATTGTAAATAATGCTGCAGTAAACATATGTGTGCATGTCTCTTTATAGTAAAATGATTTACATTCCTTTGAGTATATACACATTGATGGGATTGCTGGTTCAAATGGTATTTCTGGTTCTAGATCCTTGAGGAATACTCCATACTGTCTTCCACAATGGTTGAACTAATTTGCATTCCCACTAACGTGTAAAAGTGTTCCTATTTCTCTGCAGCCTCACCAGCATCTATTGTTTCCTGACTTTTTAATAATCGCCATTCTGACTGGTGTGACATGGTATCTCATTGTGGTTTTGATTTGCATTTCTCTGATGATCAGTGATGTTGAGCTTTTTTTCACGTTTGTTGGCCACGTAAATGTCTTCTTTTGAGAAGTGTCTGTTCATATCCTTTGCCCACTTTTTGATGGGGTTGTTTGTTTTTTTCTTGTAAATTTGATTAAGTTCCTTGTAGATTCTGGATATTAGACCTTTGTCAGATGGGTAGATTGCAAAGATTTTCTCATTCTGTAGGTTGCCTGTTCACTCTGATGATAGTTTCTTTTGTGCAGAAGCTCTTTAGTTTAATCAGATCCCATTCGTCAATTTTGGCTTTTGTTGCAATTGCTTTTGGTGTTTTTGTCATGAAGTGTTTGCCCACACCTATGTCCTGAATGGTATTGCCTAGGTTTTCTCCTAGGTTTTTATGGTTTTGGGTTTTACATTTAAGTCTTTAATTCATCTTGAGTTAATTTTTGTATAAGGTGTAAGGAAAGGGTCCAGTTTCAGTTTTCTGCATATGGCTAGCCAGTTTTCCCAGCACCATTTACTGGATAGGAGATCCTTTCCCCATTGCTTGTTTTTGTCAGGTTTGTTGAAGATCAGATGGTTGTAGATGTGTGGTGTTATTTCTGAGGTCTCTGTTCTGCTCCATTGGTCTATATGTCTGTTTTGGTACCAGTACCATGCTGTTTTGGTTACTGTAACCTTGTAGTATAGTTTGAAGTTAGGTAGTGTGATGCCTCCAACTTTGTTCTTTTTGCTTAGGATTGTCTTGGCTGTACAGGGTCTTCTTTGATTCCATATGAAATTTAAAATAGTTTTTACTAATTCTGTGAAGAATGTCAATGGTAGTTTGATGGAAATAGCATTGAATCTATAAATTACTTTGGGCAATATGGCCATTTTCATGATATTGATTCTTCCTATCCATAAGGATGGAATGTTTTTTCATTTGTTTGTGTCCTCTCTTATTTCCTCATTCAAGATATTCTCAGATTTTAGATAAAACTACTTTTAAGAAGTATTTTTCAAAGAAATGGTTACCCTGATTGGTCAGAGGTGGGAGATGTTTCCCTGATAACTGAATCCCTCACAGATTTTCACAAGGGGAGTTCATTTTCTTAGGCTTCACCCTATTTGCAGTGACAATAATGTAAATTCCATTTAACCTTCTTGGCATCAACCTCTAAGGTCAGAAATGAAATCTCAGCCTTCTAGTTTCACTTAATAACCAACCAGGGAACCATCACCAGTTTTTCCATTCCTCCCTCCTTTCCTCCCTCCTTTCTCCCTCCTTTCCTCCCTCCCTCCTTTCCTCCCTCCCTCCCTCCTTTCCTTCCTCCCTCCCTCCTTCCCTCCTTCCCACCCTTCCCTCCCTTCCTTCCCTTCCCTCCCTTCCTTCCCTTCCCACCCTTCCTTCCCTCCCTCCCCTCCCTCCCTTCCTTCTTCCCTCCCTTCCTTCTTTGCTTCCCTTCCCTTCCCTTCCCCTCCCCTCACCTCCCCTCCCTCCCCTCCCCTCCCCTCCCCTCCCCTTCCCTTCTATGTCTCAGTCTCACTCTGTCCCTAAGGCTAGAGTACAGTGGTACAATAATATCTCACTTGCAGCCTCAAACATCCAGCCTCAAGCGATCCTCCCATCTCAGCTCCCAGAGTAGCTGGGACTAAACAGGAGTACCACCACACTTGGCTAATTTTTTATTTTTTTATTTTTGCAGAAACAGGGTCTCCCTATATTGCCCAGGCTGGTCTCAAACTCCTGGCCTCAAGTGATGCTCCCACCTCGTCCTCCCAAAGTGTTAGGATTACAGGTGTGAGTCACTGCACTGGGCCTGGTTCTTTATTGAAAATGTTTCTCAAGCTCTTCAGTCTGTATACCACTGGTAGAAATGAGTAGCATGTACTTCTGACTCTCTATAAGGAGTACAATAACAAATTAAAGCAAAAAAACAAAATCTCACTGGTAAGCCACCAGTTGATGGCTGGCTATATCTGTGAGTTTAAATATATCAGTTAAGTGCTGCCTCAGCTTTCTAAATCTGCACTGTGCCATGGTGGCCCTTGGCCACATGTGGCTATTGAGCACTTGAAATGTGGCCAGTGCAAGTGAGGAACTAAGTTTTGATAATTTAATTTCCAATTATTTAAATTCAAATTTAAAAACTCATTTCAGTTCTTGGAAAACCTTTCTGTATATTTTTGATAACTTGGATATGTGACTTTACTTTTTCATTTGTAAATTTTATGAAATCTGAATACAAATAAAGTATTTCCAATGAAAACGTAGCTCCCCAATTGAGATGTGCTGTGAGTGAAAAATACACACTAGATTTCAAAGACTTGGTGTAAAAAATGTGAAATGTCTCACTAATAATTTTTTATATTGATTACACATTGAAATAATATTTTGAATATATATTGGGATAAAAAACACATTATTAAAATTGCTTTTACCTATTTCTGTTGCCTTTTTAACACAGCTACTATAAAATTCAAAATTATATATGACTCACATTATATTTCTGATAGCTTTGTTATGTATAAAATAATATATAAATATAATATAATATATATAACAAATTATATAATATAGTATAGCAGAGTCCTAATCTGCTTGATTTTTTTTTTTAATTCTGTCTTTCTTTTCATTTTTTCTTTACATGCACTGGAACTTCTCATAGACATTGAATATAGGGACATTTTGGTACTGAGCAGAAAGAATCTAGAACCCTGGATTCCTGTTCCATTTTTGGAACTAGGTCCCCTGGGGCCAGTGCCTGTCTCCTCCTTCCTGTTTCTCCCAGGCGTACTGTGTGGACTGAATGAGATAATGAATGTCAGCATGCTTTGTCAACTGGGAAGCAGTTCAGATGTTGTTGAACAAATGACAGCTGATATTTGCTGGTTTTTTTCCAATATCCTGCACTAAATCAATTAGTTCAGCAATGTTTATTAGTTGCCTTTAAGTACTAGGCACTGTGCTACTGCTAGAAAAAACAAAATGCATGTATATACCTATGGTCCCTTCTGGAGACAGGTGAAGTCTACAGGGATAGACCAAAACCACAGGGCAGTGAGATAGGGACTATAAGAGAAGTGTGTACTAGAGAAGAGATGCCTGGCTTCATCTGGAAGATTCTAGAAAACCTTCATAAACAGTTCCACAACCTTTCTCACGTTCTCCTGTTGAGGCCCACTGGAGCTGATTTTTTAGGTTTTTTTGTTTGTTTGTTTGTTTGTTTGTTTGGGGGTTTTTTGAGATAAGGTCTTGCTTTGTTGCCTGCGATGGAGTGCAGTGGCATGATCATGGCTCACTGCAGCCTTCCTGGGCTCAAGCAATTCTCCCACCTCAATCTCCTGAGTAGGTTGGACTACAGGCATGCACCACACATGGCTAAATTTTTTTTTTAATTTTTTTTTTTTGTGGAGATGGTCTCTCACTATGTTGCTCAGGCTGGTCTCGAACTCCTGGGCTCAAGGGATCCTCCCACCTCACCCTCCCAAAGTGCTGGGATCATAGGCGTGAGCCACCGTGCTGGGCTTTGGAGCTGATTTTTCCAGGCAGGCAAGAGTGGAAGAGCTGGGTACAGGGTATGAATGCATAAAGCCTGACAGGGGTTTGTGGAACTGCTTGTGACTGGATGTGGCTCCAGAATGCAGTAGGAATCTGATGAAACTATATAGGAAGAATCTGTAGTGGGGCAGACAGAGTGGGGAGACCAGGGGTGTGGGGAAGGGGGTGTAAGCAGGAAATGGAAGAATGGAAAGGAGCAACTCAGAAGCCTTCAGATAACCACGTGTTCCCCCCACCCTTTTTTTTTTTTTTTTAAGCCCTGGATGCACTTAAAAACAGGTTGAAAATGGGACTGAATTTGGGGAAGCTGACCTCTTGCCATCTATCTGGGCTAAGCATGGTCAGTTATGGAATTCATAGCTTTTGTGTTTTAATTCCAGGAATCAAATACCAGCTGTATCTGTGTCGGTCTTCCAGCTGCTGCCACAGTAGACTCTGTTCTCATGAATTTCATTCTGGGAGGGAGGCAGACCCGGAGTCAGAGAGCACAGTACAGGTGTGATAGCGTCAGGATGCAGAGAAGCAGAGTTTGGTGTGCGGCACACAAGAGGCATGCCCAGCCTGGACTCTACGGGATCAGGGAAGGTTGGAGAAAGGATACTGCAATGGCCCCGAGAAGAGCAGTTAGAGTTAGCCAGGAAAGAGATGCAGGAGAGTTGGGAGGGGTATTCTAAGTACCACGCAAAAGCACCTTGTATAGCAAAGGGCGTGTGGTTTCCTGTAGCTGAAGAGAACATGAGGGCAAGGAGTGGCAAGGGGCAGAGGACGGTGGCAGAAGATTATATTCATGCAGAAAGGTTTGAATTACCTTCTGAGTGCGTTGGAGGGCCTTGAACATTGCGGCAGGATCAGATTTGTGTTTCAGAAAGAAAATTAATGGGAGGGAGGAAAGCCCGGAACCAGAGTCCAGTGAAGTTGTTGCTTGGATAAGCCAGGGAAACAATAAAGAACTGAAACAAGAACAGTGACACTGGGGATGTTTATTAAATTCATACAGACATGAATTAATTAAATTGAATGCATATCACAACGAAAGGTTGAATTTTACTAGCCTATAACACACACAAACAGCAATTGATCAACGTAAATACAAAGGCAAGTCACAAGGGAACAAGGGCCCTGCAGTGAATGGGGTTTTTGTTTGTTTTTTCATTTTTAATTTTTGTGGGTACCTAGTAGGTGTATATATTTACAGAGTATATGAAATATTTTGATACAGGCATAGAATGTGTAATAATCACATGAGGGTAAGTGGGGTATGCATCACCTCAAGCATTTATCCTTTGTATTACGAACAATCCATTTATACTCTTTTAGTTATTTTTAAATATACAATTAAAGTATTGACTATGGTCACCCTGTTGTGCTATCAAATACTAGGTCTTATTCATTCTTCCTAGCCGTTTTTTTTTTGTACCATTAACCCTATTACCCCACCCCTCACTACCCTTCCCAGCATCTGGTAACCATCCGTCTTCTCTCTATCTCCGTAAGTTCAATTGTTTCAATTTCTAGCTCCCACAAATAAATGGTTGGTTTGTTTAAAGACAGGGTCTTGTTTCTAGGCTGGAGTGCAGTGGTGCGACCATAGTTCATTGCAGCCTTAAATTCCTGGGCTCAAGCAATCCTCCTGCTTCAGCCTCCGAAGTAGCTTGGATTACAGGCACATGCCACCATGCCCAGCTAATTTTTGTATTTTTAGTAGAAATGGGGTTTCACCATGTGGGTCAGGCTGGTCTTGAACTCCTGACCTCAGGTGATCCACCCGCCTCAGCCTTCCAAAGTGCTGGGACTACCAGGTTGGTCTCACACCCTTGGCCTCAAGCAATCCTCCTGCCTCAGCCTCTCAAAGCACTGGGATTACAGGTGTGAGCCACTGCACCCAGCCCAGTGTATGCTTCTGATAGCTATTTTCAATTGGCATAAATGTGGTTTGATATGCACATAGACATAGCGCAAAACCCTAAAATAAGAGATGGGTCACATAAAGCCTTAAGTAAAATTGTTCTTTTTGACAGAGTAGGACTTGCTTTATTGTGATGTTACATTTTGATGGCATGGGGTGAGAAAAGGTGTAAATAAATCGGTATTTTCTGTGTATATTTTACTTGCTTGCATAATAATTCCGTAATAATATAAGATGATAATCTGTAGAAATTTATTTTTCTTTTGATCAGATTGAGATCCATTTTTCTCATATTAAAATATGTTTCACTAAATTTTCTTGAGGAGGGATTTTAGGTGTTCTGTTCTTATCTTTAATAAAAATATAATTTCTTCTCTATTTCAGTTAATGGATAGTAGAGACAGATTAAGAGAAGAGCTTCATTATGAAAAATCATTAGTTCAGGATGTGGTAAGATGATTTACATTATTTCCTAACAAATTTGAATTCAGGAATTTAATTTAACCATGAAAGTTTTATAAACTTTATTTGTGATTGTTTCCTGTGAATGACTCATTTCATCTTTATCAAAAATCTAAGTACATGTAAAATTATAAACATATGTAAATGGTCATTTTAAAGAAATCAGTTTGAGTAGCACAGCAATAAATATGCTTACTAGAGTCTTGTGTAAAAAATAGTATTACCATTTAAAACCATGTATAAAATTTCTGCATTTTATTATGGAGATTTAAAAAAACAAATATGAGAGCCCGCTATTTTGAAGGAATTGCTATTTTCAGTTACAAATTGCCATAAGTGACAATAAAAAAAGAGCCCAGCTAGATATTTTGGCATTCTGTGTTAGTCTCATAAGAAAACACTGCCTTTTTATGTTCTTTTAAGAGAACTTTCCAGACGGCTGGTCTTTTATCAGTTGACTACCCAGCCCCCAGCCCCCAGCCCCGCCACAGCAGCCCCCTGCCCAGCTTATGGTGGCGTATTTGGCTTTCAGCTGATTACCACTAGTATGTCTTTGTTACGGTAAACTGACTGTGTTTATTATAATAAAAAATAAAACACAGCTTGACTTGCGTTCTAAATGTGCTTGAAAAGAATATGATACTGTTTGGAAGAGAAAAGGTTGCTCATAGGAAATCAACACCACTTCAGATATTGAAACATTCGCTTTTTTACAGCTTGTCACACTTTGTGCCAAGTCATGACTGTTTCCCTAACTCTGTTTTGTTACTCTCAGCACCCTGTGTTTTGGGTTCCTTGTCATAGAAATTAATGCAAAACAATTCTCCTGGATTACAATAAAGCCTTCTACGAAACCAACTTGGGAATGCAGGCAACGAAAAAAATTTATGGTTGGCGATTCGCAAAAACCATGTGTTAACAAATGTGTTATTTTGGGCCTTCTACTTTTAAATACCTGGCATATAAAAATAGACTCCATTATTTGAGTCTACTTGGTGAATTTCTTCTACCCCCACCCCCACTCTCCTCTGTCATTCCTCCAAAGTTCAGGCTTTGCTTTGGAAAACAAACAACTAAATATATGTGCACATTGTCATTAAAATTGAAAGTGTTTTTATAGAGTGGAAAGCCAATGTTATATTGTTTGTTAGCAGCAATAGAGAAGAAATTAAACTACTCAATCAGTGAATTTGTGCCTATACTAGGAGCAGATCCCATACTCTTTGAATTACTTTGCCTCTTTATTTTAACTGTAAGCCTTTAACGGGTGCTATTGTATTGCTCACAGGGGAACCAATCACGTTTTATTTTGTGGTTTAGAAGTTTGTTGCGCCCCAAGCTTGTTGCCAAGCAGCAAGAGCCTGCACCACAAACCCCACGACAGCGAAAGAGCCTTCAGGATGCCTAGACTAGTCTAGGAGCTCATGATTTCAATAGAGGGAGTGGGCTTGAGGTTCTTCTTGTGATGGAGGTTTCCATTGCATACCTGCTTTGGACCCATCGAGGTCACTATTTCGCCACCTTCTCCCTATCCCTGCAAGGCATTCTGTTACTCACTTGGAGGCAGCCTGGCCTTGTTGTTGCTATTTTGTGCTTCCTTTGTTTCTCGCTATCCTGCGTTTTTCCAGGACCCAGGATTTGTGATTGCACTGACAAGGGAGAGTGGGAGAAGGTGGAGTTGACCACAGTCGTTTTGTAAAAATGTAAATACTTTCTAGCTAGAAGGGTTTTGTTACATGCTTGTCTATTACTATTTTCCAATGAAAGTTATTTTCTGACTTGTTAAGAGTGCAAAAAGTCAAAGAACTGGTAGTAAAGAGGCACAATCAGTAAGTATATGTAAACTGGCTGTGTGTGGCAGCTCATGCCTGTAATCCCAGTGCTTTGGGAGACTGAGATGGGAGGATCACTTGAGCCCAGGAGTTCGAGACCTGCCTGAGCAACATAGTGAGGCCCCGTTTTTATATAAAATAAAAAAGATTAGCTAGGCATGGTAGCGCATGCCTGCAGTCCTCCTACTCAGGAGGCTAGGTGGGAAGTGTGAGGATCACTTGAGCCTAGGAGTTTGACACTGCAGTGAGCTGATTGTACCACTGCTTTTCAGCCCGGGCGACAGAGCAAGACACTGTCTATTTAAAAAAATAGATAAATATTTATTTATTTATTTATTATATACAACTTATACACATATTTATTATTTATATAATATATATGTTAGGTAAGCAATGCAACCTAGAGTGATTGTATCCTTAGAATGGCTTTTGAGGAAGCATATGAAATAATTTTGTATCTTCCCATGATTCCTAGGCTGAGTGGCTTTCACTTATTTTGAAGTTAACAAAAGAGAGGGTCCTCATCAGAAAAACACCATGATTGAACTCTTTCTCTTACTTCATTTCCATCTGCTTCATCCCCGTGCACCCTATTTCTTGGAACAATCCAGACTGGAGATAGGAAGGAAGTACATAGGTTGCCCTAGCCCCATTCTGGGGGCACAGCACTGAGTTACCATTGCAGTCTCCCTCGCTCCCACAACTAGGTTCCTGACACCTGCGTTCCCTCCGAGGCATGCCTCAAGCCTGTGCAGTCCTGTTATATGTCATGTGGCAGTATTTGGCCATCCAGTTAGGAAACAGATGTTTCCGTGGCCTGTGCAAAACCACGTTTACATGGAAGCTCTGTGAATAGTGGCTCTTCATCAAGACAAACATGACACAAGCGTGGCCTAATGTGACTGTGTCCCTGTATGCCATGGAAGGCAGAGGAGCAAGTTCTGCTGTCCATGTGGTCCCTGTCTCGCTATCAGTGAGTCTCTGCCCACTGGTCAGTCAAATGTGCTCCATGCAATCTTGGATATTTATTAGTCCTGCATAGCCTTCACAATCTAATTTTTAAAATAACATTTATAAAATATAGAGACAGGGCCTCGCTATATTGCCCAGGCTGGTCTTGAACTCCTGGACTCAAGCAATCCTCCTGCCTCAGCCTCCTAAAGTGTTGGGATTACAGGCATGAGCCGCTGCGACCGACCCACAATCCACTTAGGAAGTCAAAGAGCTAGAAGGCAAACCTTGTGAAAGGAAGAGCTCTCCTGAGGGTGTGTTGTTCAAAATTCATCAGAATGAGCCCCATGAATTCTTGCAGCCATCTACCCTACCTGAAATCAGCAGGTAGATTTCTCTCTTTACACTCAGGAGATTCAGATAAGGATGCCTCAGAGTTCTGTTCCTTCTGTGCTGTTCCTTCTCCCTGAACTGACCTCTCTTGGTCAGCACCTGGTTAGCTCCTCTCATCTTTCAGGTCGGAGGTCAGATGCTGCCTCCTCTGGGAAACTTCTCCCACCCTGACTTCCCTTGCCTGGAAGAGGTGCCCACCCTCATGCTGGCGTGGCACACAGTTCTCCTCTTGTGGCTCTCATCACATTCTATAGAGATGGCCTGTTATCTTACCTGCTGTTTCCATTCTGTGAGCTACAGTTTTGCCCGTAAAACCTAACATGGTGGCCCTCATGGAGTAGATGGCCAATAAATATTTGTTATGAGTAAATGATGGAAGGGATAACAAAAAATATTTATTTGAGAATGGCTTAACCCACACTATATATGGCATGAACTATATGTACTTTAATAAGCCCGTAATACTGTTAATACACATGTGACACAGCTATACAATACACAGAGTAACTACAGTGGGGTTTCCAGGATTAATTTCCAGGTTCCATTCCAGGGGTTCTCAACCTTTTTGGTCTCAGGATCGCTTTACAATCTTAAGTGTCATTGAGGTCCCCCAAGAAAATTTGGTTTAGATGGTGATACAGTTTGGATGTGTGTTCCCATCAAAATCTCATATAGAAATGTAAGCTCCAATGTTGGAGTGGGGGCCTCATGGGAGGTGATTGTATCATGCGGGCAGATTTCTCATGAATGGTTTAGCGTCATCTCCCATGATACTGTCTTCACTATAGTGAGTGAGTTCTGGTCATTTAAAAATGTATAGCACCTCCCCACTTCTCTCTCTCGCTCCTGCTCCCACCATGTGAGACACCTGCTCCCCCTTCACCTTCCACCATGATTGGAATCTTCTTGAGGTCTCCCCAGCAGCAGAAGCCCCTGTGCTTCCTGTACAGCGTGCAGAACCGTGAGCCAATTAAACCTCTTTTCTCTATAAATTACCCAGTCTCAGATATTTCTTTATAGCAATGTGAGAATAGACTAACACAGATGGGTTTTATCTATTGATATTTACCATATATGAAAGGAAAACAGAATCAAATTATTTATTAAATGACTTGAAAATAACAACACTAAACTCTTTACATGCTGACATAAATGGCATATTGTTTATAAGAAAATCTTTCTCAACACAGAAAATGTTTAGCAAAAGTGGCTTTGTCTTACATATGTGTGTATTTTGTATACGTGTGTGTGTTATTATTTTTTTTTTTTTTTTGGAGTTGGTCATACTCTGTCACCCAGACTGCAGTGCAGTGGCACAATCATGGCTCACTGCAGCCTTGACTTCCTGGGCTCAGGTTATTCTCCTGCCTCAGCCTCCCAAGTAGCTGGGATTACAGCCATGCACCAAGATGTCCGGCTAATTTTTCTATTTTTTGTAGAGACAGGGTTTTGCCACATTGCCCAGGCTGGTTGTGAACTCCTGGGCTCAAGTGATCCACCCATCTCAGCCTCCCAAAGTGCTAGAATTACAAGCATGAGCCACCATACCCAGCCACTTATTTCTGCAAATTTCTTTAGTATTTGGCTTCCTGGAAAATATTTAAATTCTCGTAGATGCTTCTGTATTCTCTGCCATGATAAATATCACGTAGCTTCTGAAAAACTCCAGTGTCCACTTGTGAGACCATGAGAATGAAGAAACAGTTACAGATCTCTTAGTATTATTATGAGAATAATTTAGGCCTCACAGAACCCCTAAGGTTTGGGGCACCTTAGGGGTCCTTGGACCACATGTTGAGATCTGCTGCCTCATATAATAAGGAAAAACTCTTAGCCAGGTGTGGTTAAGTGAAATGTCTTATCCGTTTGTGATTCTGATCCTCTTCCTTTGTTTTCATTTAATTTATTTATTCACCAATTCCTTTCCCTGGCACATCGCTATTAGCATGTTACACTTTCTAATACATTTACTAATACTAATACATTTACATAAATATAAGCCATTACCCCTGCGCTCAGGGAGGTGGTCCAAATTTCCACATAAGGAAATTGCCATTTATCTCTCGCAACGTGGTGATTAGGCCAACTGCTCACCATGGGCAATATCTAGTGTTGTGCTGTTGTATTCCTAGATGGAATACAAGGGTACAGGCATACATACCTCTAGAATGTGTGGTGCAGGTATAAAGTTTATTGATTAAAAACTTACAAGAAGAAAATTAACAGACAGGACACACTCCTTTGGTCTTTTATTAGCCCACCAAGAGGAGAGCTCGGGTAAGGTGAATCACAGGAATTGCTTGGGAGAGGGATCCCCCACACACACCACTTTATATATTTATAGGGAAGTTGGCCATCTAGCACACTATATGACAATGGGAGCTTCCTGGCCAGGGAATTGTCTTTCTAAAAAGGAGAGCACCCAAAGCTGAGCTAGAGGAGGTGGCATCAATGACTTCTGTATGAATAGGAGTCCTGCAGGTCTTCAAGAGGCTCCCTTTATCCCCCCCTGAGCCATTTCACTGACCAAGCAACAGAGTTGAGGAAGGAGCTATTGGGTCATGGGTTTGTCTGTTCCCACTAGTAATGTGTAAAGGTTCCTTCCCTCCTCAGAGAAAAGAGGAGTGGATTATCCACACCTACACTCAGTGGTTAAAGCATTGATCATGACTGATAGGGTGACTATCTCATCCTGGTTTGTTCATTCTTAGCACTGAAAGCCCTACATCCTGAGAAACCCCACAGTCCTAAGAAAAACCAGAATCGTTAATCACCCTAATGGGAAGAAACGTGGAAGCTTCTTCTATTACTCCAGGGATTCCAAATAAACATAAGTTCATGTATCAACTCCAATGTATTGAGAGAGAATTCTGAGGCAGAATGGAAACTGTAGGAAAAAGGGCTCAAACTTTTAAAAATTAACCATATTGATATTGATTACAGGGAAAACTTGTCAAGTGAGCTAGCATTCAAAGTGACTCCCGCCCAACTTTTTTAAAACCTCAAAAAATTCTAGATACAGTATTACAAACATCTTTGTAAAAGCATAAAAAATTGACCAGGGACATGGGGCTTACCTGGTCAAAAGTCAAACATCAAGGGAAACACAGAGGGGTCAGTTGAGGTTTCCAAGCTGATTGTCCTGAGGGGATTTACTCATCTGCACTAAACAGAAGTCACAGTGCAGGGCATGCTAGAGTGCCTCTGTGTGTGTGTGCGTGTGCATGTGTGTGTGTATGTGTGTGTAGGGGTAATCAGCAGTGATCTCTTGCATTAGGCTGAGAACCAAAGGTCATTCCTGCAGGATGAATGTGACCAAATGTAAACCTGCAACCTACCTAATACCCAGAGGCCTGCAGGGGAGAGTTGCCTCTGTACTGAGCAACACAAGGGGGACAATCTCTTCCCGAAGGGTTTTGAGAGGCAGGACTTACAGGGGATTTGCAACTCAAATTTGTATTCACAGAACCTCAAACCCTCAGTTTAGTTAGTTTGCTTGTTTTTAAGAGATGCGATCTTGATAGGTTGCATAAGCTGATCTCGAACTCCTGTGCTCAAGCAATCCTCCCACCTCAGCCTCCCAAGTAGCTGGGACTACGTGCCACTGTACCTTGCACCTGGCATCAGTTTGGTTTTAAGTGAATAGGAAGTACCCCTGAAAGAAGCAAATGGAAATACTCTCTGTAAGGAAGTAATTTAATCCTAAGCCTCAGAGAATTCCCAGAATTCTCTCCCCTACAATTATAGGAGCAATTAATATCACATAGTCAAAGATAAGGAAGCACACAAGGAAATAAGGAACCACCTGTGTGTTGCAGCAAGTCAGGGACCCCGAACAGAGGGACCGGCTGAAGCTGCGGCAGAAGAACATAAATTGTGAAGATTTCATGGACATTTATTAGTTCCCAAAATTAATACTTTTATAATTTCTTACACCTGTCTTTACTGCAGTCTCTGAACATAAATTGTGAACATTTCATGGACATTTATTAGTTCCCAAAATTAATACTTTTATAATTTCCTATGCCTATTAAATCCTAGGCATAGGATTTAATCTCTCAATCCCGTCATCTTTGTAAGCTGAGGATGTATGTCACCTCAGGACCCTGTGATGATTGCGTTAACTGTACAAATTGTAAAACGTGTATTTGAACAATATAAAATCAGTGCACCCTGAAAAAGAACAGGATAACAGTGATTTTCAGGGAACAAGGAAAGATAACCATAAGGTCTGACAGCCTGCGGGGTCGGGCAGAATAGAGCCATATTTTTCTTCCTGCAGGGAGCCTATATAAACAGACGTGTGAGTAGGAGAAATATCACCGAATTCTTTTCCCAGCAAGAAATATTAATAATTAATATCCTGGGAAAGGAATGCATTCCCAGGGGTAGGTCTATAGACGGCCGCTCTGGGAGTGTCTGTCTTATGCTGTTGAGATAAGGGATGAAATACGCCCTGGTCTCCTGCAGTGCCCTCAGGCTTACTAGGATTGGGAAATTCCAGCCTGGTAAATTCTAGTCAGACCAGTTGTCTGCTCCCGAACGCTGTTTCCTGTTAAGATGTTTATCAAGACAGTGTGTGCCCAGCGGGACATGGACCTGCATCAGTAATTCTAATTTCTCCCTTGCCTTGTGATCTTGCTCTGCCCTTTGACTTGTGATCTTTCATTGCCCTTTGAAGCGTGTGATCTCTGTGACCCACTCCCTATTCGTACACTGCCTCCCCTTTTGAAATCCCTAATAAAAACTTGCTGGTTTTGCAGCTCGGGGGCGCCATCACGGTCCTACCAATATGTGATGATACCTCCGGAGGCCCAGCTATAAAATTTCTCTCTTTGTACTTTTTCTCTTTATTTCTCAGACTGGCCAACACTTGGGGAAAATAGAAAGAACCTACATTGAAATATTGGGGGCTGGTTCCCCCAATACCTGTGAGAAACAATACAGAGTAAAAACAACTACGTGGACTTCAGAAGTTCAAGTTTTCCAACAATATTTACTGTGTGTGGTAGTTTGCCTCCAAAAGTGGAGCAGGACTTGGTCCTAGTCAAGGAACTGGCAATATATGCCTAGTTGGATTTCAAAATTACTGTGGACCAGCTATTGCTCTATGCCTCCTTCTTCCCTTGAATGGAGTGGGATCTCTAGTGCTTATCCTGTGTCCCACAATGGAACATTGGCTGTGTGGGGACAGCTAACTTGTCTCTTTAGTTTCTGGATCTTCAGATCAAGAGAGATTGTACTCAAGGAGCCTCATCTGCACCTGGACCTGATTTAGATAATGAGATTCCAGACTGCAAGCTGATGCTATAGTACAATGAGATTTTTTAAGGCCTTGAGTGAAGATAAATATATTTTGTTCATGGGAAGAATATAAAATAATGGAGCCAGAAGCAGGTGGATGAAGAAAAAGCATTTGAGGGACTCCAATTTCCATTCATGATAAAAAATACTCTCAGCAAACTGGGAATAGAAGAGAACCTCTCAAGCTGATAGGCGATATCTACGAAACACACTATTATCATGGTTGATAGTGAAAGGATGAAGATTTTGAGTCTGAAGTCAGAAATATGACAAGAATTTCTGCTCTTATCACTTCCATTCAACATTGTATTTTAGGTCCTAACCAGTGCAATAATGCACACACACAAAAATAAATAACATCCAGATTGGGAAGGAAGAGGTAGAACTTTTTAAATTCCCAGACGACATGATCATCTCTATAGGAAATCCTAACAAATCTACAAAAATAGCTACTAGAATTAATAAGTGAATGCAGAAAGGTTGCAAAGATCAAGATACAAAAATCTTGTACTTCTATATATAAGCAATGAGCAATCAAAAATTGAAATTTTGAAAAACACCAGTTATGATAGCATCAAACAATATGAAGTGCTTATGGATAAACATGGCAAAATACGCATAAAACATGTACAGTTAATAATATAAAATACTGCTGAAATAAATGAAAGACTTAAATAGGTGCAGAAATATTCCATTGTTCATGATTCAGGAGATGCATATTATCAAGCTGTCAATTCTCTCCAGATTGATTTATAGATTAAACACAATCCTAATCAAAATCCCAGCAGGGTTTTTGTTGTTGTTGTTGAAATCAACAAGCCTATCCTAAAATTTATATAGACATGCACAAGACCTGGGATAGCTAAAACAATTTTGAAAAAGAGCAAAGTTGGAAGATGCACATGCCTGATTCAAACTTGCTGTAAAACTATAGTAGTCAAGGTAAAGTGGTCTTGGCATAAGGATAAACATAGATTGCTGGAATAGACTAGAGAATCTAGAAGTAGAACTTATGGATCATATATAATGAATTGATTTCTGACCAAGATGCAAACGCAATTCAAGTAGTAAGGATAATCTTTTCAACAAATAGTACTGAAACAATTGGACAGCAATAAGTGAAAAATGAACTTCAACCCTTACCTGACACCTCATGTAAAAGTTAACTTGAAATGGATCAGAATTGTAATAGCTGAAGCTACAAAACTTCTAGAATAAGGTATAAGAGATAATCTTAGTGGTCTCAGATTTGGCAAAGATTTCTTAAATAACAAATTACAGTTTATCAAAAATTTAAAAAGTTTAGCCAGGCATGGTGGCTCACGCCTGTAATCCCAACACTTTGGGAGGCCAAGGCTGATGGATTGCTTGAGCCCAGGAGTTCAAGACCAGCGTGGGCAACATGATGAAACTTCATCTCTATAAAAAATAGAAAAATTAGGTAGTCATGTTGGCATGCACCTGTAGTCTCAGATACTTCAGAGGCTGAGGTGGGTGGATCACCTGAATCCAGGGAGGTCAAGGCTGCAGTGAGCCCTGATCACATCACTGATCACACCACTGCACTCCAGCCTGGGTGACAGAGCAAGACATTGTCTCAAACAACAACAACAAAAAGTTTACTCTTCAAAAAAATTTTTTAATGAAAAAACAAACCACAGAGTGGGAGGAAATATTTGCAAAATATATTTAACAAAGGATTTGCATATAGACTATGCAAAGAACTCTTACAATGTAATAATACGAAAACAACCCAATTTTTTAAATGGCCAAGCTATTTGAACAGGCACTTTATTTAAAAAGATATATAGATGGCAAATGATGACATAAAAAGATGCTCAACATCATTAGTCTTTAGGGAGATACAAATTAAAATCTCAATGAAATATTGCTATATACTCACTAGCATGGCTAAAATTTAAAAGGTCGACCATATAAAGTGTTGTCAAGGATGTGGAGCAACTAGAACTCTTATTCTCTGCTAGTGGAAATGTAAACTATACAACCATTTAGAAAAATATTTTGACAGCTAAAAGAAATTTCTAAAATTCTATACTTAACAGATGGTCTGGCTATCCCACTCCTTGGTATTTACCCAAGATAAATAAAAGCACATGTTCACACAAAGTCTTGGGTCACAAATGTTTATAGCAGCTTTGTTTGTAAGAGCAAAAAACTGGAAACACCTCTGGTATACATTAATAGATAGAGCGGAGTCTAAGTCTCTTTGTAGGACTCTAAGAGCATGCTTTTTGAATCTGGGTGCTCCAGTATTGGGTGCATATACATTCAGGATAGTTAGCTCTTCTTGTTGAATTGAACCTTTTACCATTATGTAGTGCCCTTCATTGTCTTTTTTGATCTTCGTTGGTTTAAAGTCTGTTTAGTCAGAAACTAGGATTGTGATCCCACTTTTTTCTGTTTTCCTTTTGCTTGGTAAATTTCTCCCTCCTCCCTTTATTTTGAGCATATGTGTTTCTTTGAATGTGAGAGGGGTCTGTTGAAGACAGCATACTGATGGGTCTTGACTCTTTATCCAACTTGCCATTTTATGTCTTTTAATTGGGGCTCTGTCCCAGGGAGAGATCAGAGTTCTGTACATATAACCCTGGCTGGAGTTGCTGAAATTCCTGCAGGGAGGCCCCACCCAGTGAGGAGAGCTGGATCAGGGTTCCACTTAAAGAAGCAGTCTGGCCACTATTTCTGCACAGCAGCTGTGCTGCATTGTGGGAGACTCCTCCTCATGTGAACCACCTGGACTCCCTAGAACTGGTGGGCTAGAACAGCTGAGTCAACCAAACTGTAGAGATGGCAGCCGCCTCTCCCCCTGGGAATTTGGTCCATCTCAGGCCGTCTCCAGCCTGTTGCTGCTGTCTGTCTGGAATTCCAAGCCAGTGGGTCTTAACCTGTAAGGCACCATGGAAGTGGGGCCTGCAGAACAAAGCTGCTTGGCTACCTGGATTCAGTCCCCTTCCCCGGGGAAGGTACAGACAGATCTGCCACCTTGCCAGGATTCCCAGGACCAGAGTATGTAAAACTGCTGGATCTCCATGTATGCCTGAGCAGCTAGTCTGCCAAGACTCCACACACCTCTGTGTATCAGACCCAGGGCCCTGGTGGTATGGGCTCATGAGGGGATCTCCTGATCCACAGGTTGCAAAGATCTATGGGAGAAGCATGGTTTCCCAGGGGAGGTCACACAATCACTCACCACTTCCCTTGGCTGGGGGCAGGGGTTTCTTTGGCTCTGTGCCACTTCTGGGTGGACCATCACCCCACCCTGCTTTTCTTCATTCTCTGTGGGTCAGGTTGTCTGCCTAGTTGGTCCCAGTGTGAGAATCTGGATATTTCAGTTGAAGGTGCTGAATTCAGTCGCCATTTTTATTCTTCTGCATGACAGCCATGGACCACAGCTGCTTCTAATTGGCTCTTGGCCCCTCCCCCAGTATATAGTCTTTCATGGGACAGTATTACATATACTTGAAAATGATGTGTTTTCTGCCATTGTTGGGTGTTATAAATTAGATTGAGAGTGATAGTGTTATTCAGGGCATCTATATGTATTTAATTTTTTTGTTTCTATCAATTTCTGAGACAGGAGTGTTATTTATTAATTCTCATAATTTTGCCAATTTTGCTTTGCATATTTTTTAGCTCTGTTATTAGGCACATACACGTTTGTGATCGTTATGCCCTCCCAATGAACTGATCTTTTTATCATTATATGTCTTTCTTTAGCTCTAGCATTTCTTCCATCCTGAAGTCTACTATACTAGATATAAATGCATTTTCTCCAGCCTTCTTATGTTTGTGTTGCATTCCTTTTTCAATGCACTTATTTTTAAATTCTCAGTATATTTATATTTAAGTGCTTCTCTTGTAGACAGTAAATAGTTGAGCTTGCTTTTTGAATACATCCTAGCCATTTCTGCATTTTAACTAGATTGTTTAATTCATCATTCACTGTTACTATTAATAGGGTCAGATTAAGGTCTACTATTTCGTTATTTATTTTCTATATGTCTTCTCTTGGTTTTGTTGTTGTCATTCCTCTGTTCCTTCTTTTTTGCCTACTTTTAATATTTTAGAATTCCATTGCAAATTATCTATTACCATTTGGCTCTATCTTATAGCAGGCGCTCTAGTGATTGTAATTTACATTCTTAACTTTTGACAGTCCACTTGGAGTTAGTGTTGGACAATTTCATGTAAAGTATAGAAACTTTGCAAACATATATGTTTATTTATATATCTATTTATTTCTTCATTCATCATGTTACAGTTGTCATATGTTTTATATTTATACCAGTGTCATAATTCTTGCTTTAAACAACCCTATGTGTTTGAAAGAAATTAAGACAAAATAGTCATATATTTTCTGATGCTCTTCAGTCCTTTCTAAAGATCACAGGTTCTATCTGAGGGATGATTTATTACATTTTCTAGAAATTTCTTATAGTAGTATGAAGAAAATGATTTTTAAACCATTACAACAAAGGTTAACTATAATACAGCCATGTGTTGCATAATGACATTTTGGTCAACAACAGACTAAATACACGATGGTAGTCCAATAAGATTATGATACCATGTTTCTACTGTAACTTTTCTATGTTTGAATATGTTTAGATACACAAATACATATCATTGTGTTATAGTTGCCTACAATATTCAGTACAGTAACATGCTGTTCAGGTTTGTGGCCTAGGAACAATAGGCTATGCCGTAAAGTCTAGGCGTGTAGTGGGCTGTGCAACCTATATTTCTGTAAGTACACTCTAATGTATGCACATGATAAAATTGCCTAATGACACATTTCTCAGAATGTATCCCCATTGTTAAGCCATTCATGACTGTATTAGGCTTGAGTTCAAACCCATTGAAACCAACTAAGTATAGCCTTTCGTGGGCATCAGTAACTATCCTCTCAGACTGCAAGATGTCATTAGACAGCCCTGCTTGCTCTTGAGTTCTGCTTTATTGGTAGGTGAGAGAAAATTTTACAAATCCATTGTAGTTGTTGTTCAGATGCCAATGAGATTAATGGTTAGATGTGTTTCTCATCATTTTTAAATTTCAAGTAGGATTATTTATAATTAGAATCACTGGCATTACTCATAAATTCATATTATGAAAAAATCTTAATATTATGGAAACATGCACTAATAATACATTTTTTGATACAGTACCTTTTATACCTAGAAATTAAAATTGATTTTTTTTCTGAAGTCAGGGTCTCACTCTGTTGCCTAGGTTGGAGTGCAGTGGCACAATCACAGCTCACTGTAACCTCAAACTCCTGGACTCAAGCGATTCTCCTGCTTCAGCTACCTGAGTAGCTGGGACTATAGGTACACACCACCACACCTGGGTAATTTTTATTTTTTTATTTTTTATAGAGACAGAGGTCTTGCTATGTTGCTCAGGCTGGTCTTGAACTCCTGGCTTCAAGCAATCCTCCTGCTTCAGCCTCCCAAAGTGTTGGGATTACAGGCATAAGCCACTGCACCCAGCTTTGAAATTGATTTTTAAAGTAAAATTTCATTCATTACGTTATTGAAGTTCAACAATTAAATTATCTTAAATTTCTCAAACTATCTTTTTTTTTTTCTTTTTTTTGAGACTGAGTTTCACTCTTGTTGCCCAGGCTGGAGTGCAATGGCACTATCTTGGCTCACTGCAACCTCTGCCTCCTGGGTAGATTCTCCTGCCTCAGCCTCCCAAGTAGCTGGAATTACAGGCGCCCACCACCACGCCCGGAAAATTTTTTGTATTTTCAGTAGAGATGGGGTTTCACCATGTTGGCCAGGCTGGTCTTGAACTCCTGACCTCAGGTGATACACCTGCCTCAGCCTCCCAAAGTGGGATTACAGGTGTGAGCCACCGTGCCCGGCCTTCTCAAGCTATCTTATATTAAGAATAAGGCCTAGTATTTATAGCTGTTATACTAATGTATCAAATTATCACCTCATAAGCAAATAATGCATGTTTTCCTATGATCTTTGTTGTACTTAATGCAATGAATAAAGGCTAATGACTTTAGATTTTTGCAATGTTATATATTCCTGTTCACTTTTTTAATAAAAGTTCTTTTTCTGGATACAAGTTTGTTTTTTCTTTGATACTATAACTTTTATCCCATAATCGTTTTGGGAGACAAATGGTTTAAAACGTTACTCTTTCATTGCTTATAGAAGTTTTATAGAAAATTGTCTTTTTTAATCTTTGCAGATAATAACCAATGATATGGGTCTTCAATTTTACAGATTAATAAACAGAAAGAGGACAAGGAAATGAGAAAAAAGTATGGCAGCTTAAGTGTAAAGGTTTGTATTTAAGTTTTTTCTCTCTCTCTTTCTCTTTTATTTTGTGCTTCTCTGATTTTGGTATCTGAATTGACAAATCTGTGTAGCATACTGAGGTTTTTCACTTTCCAACCTGAGTTTGAAAAAGAAAGTTCTTGAAAGTGAGAGCAAGGCCAGGAGCAGTGGCTCATGCCTATAATCCTAGTACTTTAGGAGGCCGAGGCAGGAGGATTGCTTGAGTCCAGGAGTTCAAGACCAGCCTGCGCAACACAGTGAGACTCTATCTCTTTAAAAATAAATAAATAAATAAAGTGGGGCAAGAAGTGTGAATGGGAGATCAGGAGCTGATTGTTGAGAACAGGGAGCAGAGAGTGAAATCGAAAGCCAAAAAGCCAGCTAGCGGGGCATCAGGAGGAGTGCATCCTGATATCCTCATCCTTCCTACTATTTCCCTACCTTCTTCCTACCTAGATACAAGCCTCGAGCTGCCACCCACCCCCCTCCACATAGACCCCACCATTCCAGGGGCTTCCAAAGAGCATGGATCTGTTGGTGTGTTCTTAGGACATGAGGATTAAAGGGGGAGAGTGGAGAAATAAGCCCAGCCTGCCAATCAAATCCTGCCAGGGGAGATTGTGGGCCTGGGAGCAAGAACAAATCCATGCGCTCTAGGACTGAAAACCTCAGTTCTGCAATTCCAGCTCAGGGGAGGGGAAGAGTGTGAAAGAAAGGGACACAAATCCAAGAAACAAAATGAGAATAACAAAGTTGTGTCTTTTTGTGTGGCAGGTTGCAAGATCAGCCAAGGGGAGAGAAGCCTCTTTGTCCCCATGGCCCAAGTCTCCACCCAGCACCACAGCTTTGAGGCCACATTCTGCGACCATGAGTGTATCATCTGCTGGGGCCCAGAAAGCTAAAATGCCAAAGAAGGCTTTAAAGGAAGACCAAGCTGTGGTAAGAACTGCTTCCATGACCACACCCTGTCCACCTTCCTCTGCACAGGGACTCCTGTCTCTTTAGCCCTATCCATGAGGCCTGCAGTCTAAGCACACCGGGTTCTCACCCCCTGAGTGGGGGGCTCCAGCTGCCTATTTCTAAACCAACATGTCAGGGTGAGCCTCCTTTACTTTTCCAAGATGAAGTCATCAGTATGCCCAGCCAGGCAGTTGATTTAGCTAAGTCACTAAGCACCAGTGGGTCTCTATTTAATTACCAAAATAGAGAAGCTACATCCCAAGCACTTTCTAGGATATGCAGTCTCAAACTCATTACTGCCCAGTGTCATCAGAAGATTCCGGGAAGGACACACAGGTAGCCAGTCCATTTGCTCATGCAGGATTCCTCAACCTACAACTGGATGAAATCACACTCTCAGAGACATGCATGAACTCTATGCTGCTGCTCTCCTTTTCTACCTTTCCCCAGATCATCACAACTGTTTCTGCAGGAGCTAGGGTGGCAGCCTTGGTCTACATAAAGAGGTGCTAAGAAGTAGCTCTGAGACACTCAGCTCACTGTGGGCTAATTGTGTGTATATTTATGAGGCACTGCTCACTACATTATACAATACCTCCCATCATTATGAGCCTGTATCTCTACAGCCTTCTGCTCTTAGCTATAAAGATAGTTGTATTTCTACAACTCTTAGTTGTTCTGTGGACACTGTGAATTGTGTAAGTAGTCAAGGCTCCTTTTAGAAGGCATAGAACCCAATTGGTGACACATATGGCCAATGTCGTGCTTCACACAGAGTCTCTCCACTGCATATTTTGCTCTCTCAAACTCTGTCCTGTTCCTACGTGTTCCCACATTCTTCCTTCTTCTCCTACACAGGGCAGAATTTGCACTTCTCTCACTTAGAGCATGGAGGAGTGGAACAGAATTGTGCACACCGTGTGCATCCTTGCTCCAAAAAGGGGGAAGGCAAGGTGCAGACCTCTCGTGCCCACTCTCCAGGAGATGGACCACTCCTCATATCCACAGAGCGGGAGGGAGCAAGTAGAGCAAGGCCAGGCTTGTTGCGCTACTGGAAGTCACTCTACTGGGAAGAGAAAAAGCATTCTCCTCTGTGAGCATTTCCACTTCGCAGAGAGCTAGGAAGTGTAGACAACTGGAAATCAGTATAATTTCCCAAGGGAAAAAACTGACACTGGAAGAGGGTAAATTTTGCATAGAAATGACCAGTGACTACGTTCTAGAAGTAAGATTTTTATAACCCAGATTTTGGGAAGTATTTTTTTGGACCACATATAAAAAGAACTGGCCTGCTGTGCAATGCTGCATGCTGACCTGGTTGGGGAGACCAGCCATGCTGGGTGAGGGGCCCAAGGCTGGGTCAGCTGCCATGAAATCAGTCATGTGTCAGGGGTCTGTGGTCTGAGGCTCTGAGATGATGGCTGGGAGGACTACAGAGCCCGGTCAGCCACTGGGGCAGAGCAGCTGAGCCTCTTGTCCTGAGGTCACAGCAGCAGGGGGCAGCTGTAGCAGAAGGTGCCCCGGTCCCCACAGCAACCCCAAGGCTGGAACTAAATCCTAGAATTCCAGCTTGGAAGCTCCGGTGTCCCCAGTTTACAGATAGAAGCTGAGCTTCCAAAGTCACAGCCACAAGGGGCAGAGATATTCCCTGTTGTTCCCCACCGAAAATGCAAAATAAAGGACAAAGACTGACAAATCTCTGAGAAGGTGTCATTTCAACAGGCTTTTCTCTTTGTGTGACAATCTTTCCCTGTGACTCTAATGATTGTGGCCTGGGTATCTCCAAACAGTACATTTTGTCAGCTGAGGGAGTCTCTGAAGTTAATATATAACAATAAGTCAAAATTGGACCGGGGGAGGGGAGAGATTACTTAAACTGGGTTTACATATTTCTATGAATTGGCTCAATTTTAAAATGAAGTATGTTTTTCTAGTTCACTGTTATTACCGTCACTTACACTTTGTTAAGTGTAATATCCTATTGTTCTAAGCGCTCCCTTCTATCCCCTTCCACTGTGGTTTATTCTTTACCGTATATATACACATTCTAGCTATAATTTTCCCGCTCCTCTCTTTTAAATATTTAACTCCATGGAGGTAGCTGGACCTCTTAAAAATTGTCTTTAAAGGGTTTTATAACGTTTACCACGTGTAAATGACCACATGGAGGGCTTGTTACAGGAACTTTGTACATCAGTCATTTAACGTATCTAATTAATCATACTTATTTTTTTGAAATCTGTGTCATTCGGTGGGAACAGCACATGTGCTACCCACAACGGAGCACACAGTGATAAACTGAGTGTTTAGCCAGTCTGAAAAATACGATATGAACATTAGCTGTCTGATTTCTATTAATGAACGATTTCACAACATAAAATTTGTATTTGTACAGTGCTTTTATGTAAAGTTTGTTTTTTGATATGTGCAAAACATTTCAAACACTCAAGTTTCATATATCAAGGTTAAAATGGATTCTCAGGTTTTCCTCTCCCGACCCTGAGTAATTAGTTAATTATGGTTGCACCCAATACATGCTTCCATGGAGGACTTCTGAGCTTCCATGGGGTAACCTGGTCTATACTGATGAACATATGGTGCATGCTTTGATCTGCAGAAAGAATCAGGGCCCTTCTGTGTGGGAAATGGGACATAGGAGAAAATCAGTCATGTTCCCATTCTTAGAGTTTTCTCAATACAAAGCAATTTGTACAGATAAAAGACTTCAATAAAAACTCTAGAACTTCTTTTTTTAAACATTCAAGAAGTGTTAGATAAAATAGTATTGCAACTATTTCGCAGTTATGACCATAGTCACCTTGCAAGCTAGTGATTTAAAAAAAAATTGTTATTATGGGATATAGAATTATTACTATAGGTATATAATATTATAGGCTAGATGGTTGAAGAAAAGATCTTTTCTTCTGAAATTTACTATTTTTCTCCTAGATGCAACTCTTACTTGGTTAAATTGCACATTTAAGATAAGCTCTATGAGAGAAGAAAACAATATAATCTGCTTACTGTTTCATTATTCCATTCTTTTTTCCCTTGGCTTGGCTTGATACAGCAGGCAGTTAAGAGAGCTGCAGAGCAGTTTGGGAAAACCAGCACTTTACCTGTTGTTTATCCGGCAGCGCTAGGCAATGTAGTAATACAGAGATAGGACAATCCTTTACATGTGCATGGTCTTCAGAGGTTGTCAAAGGATATTTACTATATTTTGATGGATTATGATGACACAAAATAATTTTCCTTATCATACTTGATCTTTGTCTTATAATATGGATAACCCTAAAATGTACAGATAAAATGTCAAAATCATTGAAAATCACATTTTTCATTTATCACTAAAATGAATTAATCTTTAGATTCTGCTCTCAGAGAGCAAAATTGAAAATGTGAGTAATATATTTAAAATCCAGCTGAAAGGTGGCTTTTGTCTTCTGCCTTATTTTATGCTGGGTAGTTTGATAATAAATTAAATAAATACCTTTGGTATATTTGGAACAGAAAATATTCTAGTGAAAATAGCGTTTAATATTTGTGGGATACATGAAAAGATGTTGTCAAAAACCAACTGAAAAGGGGGTTTGTGCTTGTGCTCTTATTGATTTTGTTGGGAAACAATTATAACATTTTATTTGTGGAGCTCACTAGGTTTGAGCGTAATGTAAACTGAGGACTGAAGATTTTGCTGTGAAATCAGGAATAGATAAATTCAAGGTATGGATAATGTCCTTATTCTTCCCAAAGCACTGTCAGCCATTGGGACAGATGTGAGGTCCTGACCACAGATGATAGCGACTTGGTGGTAGCAGAAATGTCATCCCTGACATTCAGGAGCCCACAGACAGCGAGGTGACCCTCTCCCCCCACCCCCCTCCCCTAACATGGTGTTGCTTGATTCCATTTGCTGGGGCTTCAGCTGTGGATTTCTCTCCAGTTCCCAGTGGGAGTCAAGGCTGGTCCTGAACACCAGGTCATTTGGCCAGACTCCTGACACTACCCAGACGTGGGTCTTTTCCCCGGAAGGCTGAGCATCTGACATGCTGTCACTCATCCTGACTGCCATCGTCACATCTGCCAGTGCTGCTGCCTGGTGTATTACATCGCTGCTCACCAGAGTCAAGCCGGAGGTGGCTGCACCCCTCTAGATGCTGGCAGTGGACTGTTGACCACTGTCTTTGGATTTAGCCTGGCCAAACTTGTCAGTTTCTCCAATCCTAGTCTCTCCAGATCCCAACTTTCTCCTCAAACCCTGGGAATAAGTCTATGTGAGTTATAACACATCAATTTTGTTTTCTTTAGGAACTTATTTTCATGAAGGATGGTTATTAAACCTTTTTTCATTTAACACTCTCTTAACTTTCTTTTCCTCAGTGGAATCTCTGCTTGTTCATCATGAAAATTGATCCTATTAAAATTCTTTGTTTCCTCTTATTGATTCATCTATTACTATTTTCTTCCCATTTGCATATCTGAACAATCTTAGATAACCAGTGACATCTCACCAGGTTGATATATTGCTCACCAAATCCAGAGTTCTTAAGTTGTGTTAGCTTATGCAGCTCAATTAGGGAATAAAGGTACACTTTTATTTTAGGCTTTAAAAAAATCTTTAAAACAGTCCAGGGGTGGCTGCTCACACCTGTAATTCCAACACTTTGAGAGGCGGAGGCAGGAGGATCACTTGAGGCTAGGAGTTTGAGACCAGCCTGGGCAACATAGTGAGACCCCACCTCTACAGATATTTTTTAAGTTAGCCAAGTGTGTTAGTGCGTGTCTGTGGTCCTAGCTACTCAGGAGGCTGAGGTGAGAGGATTGTTTGAGCCCAGGAGTCAAGGCTGCAGTGAGCTATGATCCCACCACTGCATTCCAGCCAGGACAATAAAGCTAGATCCTGTTTCAAAACAAAGAAATGTGTCTTAAAAACAGTTTGAGGATCTCCTCCAGCAATTTTAGTGTGGGAATCATTTCTTTGTTGCGTGTGTGTGTGTGTATGCAGGTATTGAGATACTGTATCTCAGCCCTTGTATTAACTAGACTCCCCAAATTTTCATGGCATTTTCTCTTCCAAATCTGTAAAAGAAAAAGAAGTTATCTACACCTAATACCATGAAGCACTGTAGAGTCCAGTTAATCCAATGGCTGAAAGTATACAGTGAACATTTATTTGAATTCATTCCCCCAGAAATGATGGTCACAGGCCTAAACAACCTCGAGTGTGATTCTGGTGGTCTGTCTCCCTAGTTGACAATTTGCAAGTCGAATTCAATTACAATTTATAAGATTTCTGTCTGGTTTACATTAAATAAAGCATAAGAATATTTGAAAGGTCTTTTTGTATTAAAATTGGAAAGATTTCAATATGAAGGTTTAGATTTTTATGCAACCACTGGAAAAGTTAGGAGAGCAAACATTAGGAAAGTAATATAAAAAAGATTTCAGACTGAAGCATCCAAACAGCTGATTGATAAGAGGTCAATAAGAAGCCACTGCAATCCATAGGAACCTCTGGTGGGAAATCTCCCACCAAATAGCTTAGTCTTCAGCAGTAAAGAGAGTGTTTCTTATGAGCTCCCAGGAAAGCCACTTAAAACTCATATCTGTCCATGAATCTTGCTCTAAATGCCTTTGGATAATCTTCTCCAATATTCCCATTAAAGGGACAGTTCTTTAGAGTTCCTAACATGTTATATGCTTCAAAAATTAAAGTTTAATATATTTTCATGTAACAGAAATTGATATACTTGTCACAGTAAGATTTGCATTTGACACTTTTATTTATGCCATTTCTAGAGCTTTCATTTCTTTGTGTAGATCTAGGTTTCTATCTGGTGTCATATACCCTCTTCCTTTTGGTCTGCCGGCAATGAATTCTCTTAGTTTTTGTTTGTGTCTGGAAAAAACCCTTTTTTTTGCCTTTATTTTTGATAGGTATTTTTCCGAAATATATTCTGAGTCTGCATTGACAGTTTTATTCTTTTAATACTTTGAAGATATGACTACACCCTCTTTCGGCTTGCATAGTTCCTGATAAGAAGTATGCTGTAAATTTTAACTTCGTTTCTCTGTTTGTAATGTCTTTTATTTTGGATTGACTTCAAGAGTTTCTCTTTCTCTTTGCTTTTCAACAGCTGGATAATAAAGTATCTTTGGTTGTTTCTTGTCCCCTCTCCTTCACCTCTTTATTTCTATTTATCTTGAACTTCTTGAATTTGTAGTTTGATATCTTTTATTAACTCCTAAACATTATCTACAATTATGTCTTTACCTTCGAATATGTCTGTGCTGGACTGTTTGATGTTGTTCCACAACTCTTACATGCTCAGCTCATTAAAGTTTGAACTACTTTTTTTCTTTGTTTCAGTTTGGAGAGTTGTCTTTTTTTTAACCTAACTTCAAATTCACTGATTACTTTTTTCAGTTATATTGAGTCTATTGATGAGCCCATCCAACAAATTATTCATCTTGATTGTTGCTTGGTTTATTTCTAGTATTTCCATTTGATTCTTTTTTACATTTTCCACCTCTCTGATGAAATTCCCTGTCTATTGTTTATCATGCATAGTGTTCACCTTTTCTCCTAGGTTCTCTAATATTTTGATTATAGTTCTTTCAAAGTCTTTCAAAGTCATAGTTCCAAAATATGGGTCATCTTTGAGTCTGGTTCTGTTTATTGCTTTGTCTCCCAACGATAGATTTTTTTTCCTGGACTTTTTGTCTGTCTTTTGTTTGGTTTTGTTTTGACATTTTAATTTACTTTGAATATAAGTCACTTTTTGCAAGCTAGGAAATAGAATCAACCTAACTCAATCTAGTCTTCTAGGGATCCAGGCTGAGTCTTGCAATCTTTAGCAGAATGCCATCATAATACTAGGTACTAGCACTAGGGTTATCAACTCTAAATAAGAACCACTTCTCTGCATTTTTCATTAGGAAACAGCCAAAAGTCTGATCCTTAAAGGCATGATATACAGAATAGCTTGATATACGAAGGACAGAATGACCCAAATTGTATGCTGCCCAGTCTATTGGTGAACCAAATTAGAGCTCACTAAAGATTGGTAAACAGAGAAAGTGTTTACATTTTGAAAACTTGCTCTGTAGTTTGAAAAATTCCTGGATGCTGTTGATAAAAAAGCAAGTAAAAAATATTACAGATGGACTCTCACTGACATTTGATTTTACCATCGTTTTCCACTAGAACATGAAGGTAGAAATAAGTGTAGGAGATAAGATACTTAGATATTTTAAAAATAAGTTACCTAGTAATTTTAAAAAGACATACTGTATTCTTTCATTTGCTACAAGAAGAAATTGACAATGAAGACTATTTAACAGAAGTGTTGAACTCTAAATAGGATGGTGAAGGCAACACATTCCATTACAGAATAAGTTCCCATTTTTCCAGACAATGAACATTGCTATTCCTCCATGTTCCATATTCCTGGGGGAAAACCTTGTCAGCAGCTTTTTGTCAGGGCCAGGAGATGAAAAATAGACCATGTCCGAATGATCTCATTGTAAGCTCAGTTAACATCTTTGGAATAGACCCATAAAATCTGGCCAATGTTTTATTAAACATCTGCAAACTGCAGAATTCTTCAGCCCTTAGACATAGTTTCTGCTCAGAATCTTAAAGCCAGGTACAGTTCCACTGTGACTCTTCTCAGGGCTGAGGTGGTGCTAGTCGTCAAAGTCTGGAAGGCCATGGTAGGAGTAACCCTGGTAGCTTTTGGATGCATTCGGCAGGAACACCAAATTGCCAGTGATCAGAACTGGAACAACCTAGTCTGTCCCCACTTTGCTGATGTAGCCCAACAGCAGGAGGGAGCCTATGATAATAGAAAGGTGCCAATCAGAAACAGCACAGTGGTGACTGCAATGGCCTTCTAAGGCATCTTAGGAAGGCCTTTTTTAAACCTTAGGAGGTGAGTGTAGCCACTGTCTGTGCTGGAGAGCCTTGAGTATTTTGCTTTGCTACTAGGGATTCCAGTAGCCAGATTGGTGTGGGATGGCATCATCACACGCTGACACAGCTATAGTTGGAGCACCATGCCAGGCCACCAGTGCACCAAGAGCTCGCCCATGGTTGGCAATGGGGATGCCAGAGGCCACATGGTAAAACCACCTAACGTGGCTGGCACCATCCAGCCTGTTCCAGCGAGCTGCCTCATATTTCTGATTGAATGCTGCACATCATGTGTAGAATAGTAGAGATTGAAATAAATTGTATTCACACATTGAAATAACCTGTCTCTTATGAGACTATACATACACACACCCATACACATATGTGTGTATACATATATGTGTGGGGGGGATGTGTATGACTACTGTGACAGGTTGGGCCAATCTAACCAAAGTTGAGTTGAGTTTGCTTGTTGCTATGGTTACCTCTACTAGACCACAGTCTTTTATTTAAAAAAAAAAAAACAGAGTCTGACTCTGTCACCCAGGTTGGAGTGCAGTGCTGTGATCTCAGCTCACTGAAACGTCTGTCTCCTGGGTTCAGGCCATCCTCCCACCTCAGCCTCCCAAGCAGCTGAGACTACAGGCACATGCCACTATGCCCAGCTAACTTTTGTATTTTTTATAGAGATAGAATTTTGCCATATTGCCCAGGCTGTTCTCGAACTCCCGAGCTCAAGGGATTCTCCTGCCTTGGCCCCCCAAAGTGCTGGGATTACAGGTGTAAGCCACTGCACCAGGCAACAGTTTTGATATTCTTTTTGTGGTGGGTATGTGACTAGAGTGGGAGCTGGGGTCACAGAGTGCTTTTCTCTGACTACCACTCTACCCTCAGCTTATAGAACCTGTCCACCTGTGCCATAGAGAAGATCTGCCTCTATGCTCTTATCCATGCCTCAGTAGTGCACTGCTATTGCTTGGTGCTCCATGAGTGAAGGTAGAGAAGATTCTCTGTGGTTCTAATCCAAACTCAGACTTTCAGAAGTGTTGTGTGCTCAGGCCCCAGCGGTGGACTTTCTCAGCATTCTTGCCCCTCTTCCCTGGGGCAGTTCACTCGCCTTGTATCTGAAGTTGGTCTTGGGCAGGAGTTTCCTGTCCTTCCTGCAATAGTAGGACACCTCCACTTGGTATTGGCATAGAGTTGAAGGTCCAAGACAATTACCATTCCCTTCTCCCAGGGGAGCAACCTGTTTCTTTTGTTTTTCCCATTGACATAATATATCTCCATTTTTGAGCTGTGAGCAAGAGACTCTGCTGCCCATCCCAGCAGTTGAAAACTTTTCCTTCTGAGAAAGGAGTGGCCTGGGAGAAATAAATGGGATTTGATACCTAACACTTCTTCACAGCATCAACCACTGATCACCTTCTTTGAGCCTGGTTGGCCAGACAGTTTGCTTCCCCTCTCCCAGAGGCTTAAGACTTTCACATGCTAGGATAGAATGACCCAAGGAAGGTGATTTTCCTGTAGTAGCTGCTGATCCCCTCCTCAAGTCTGCACCATCAACAGAGACTCCTTTCAAAATTGCTCTGCCCTCAATTTTTCTCATGAGTATCTGGTAAGGGACAGGAAAAAAAAAAAAACTTGTGAGTGAGTGCAAGCTCCACTTTTAACATGTGTCCCCAGCTACTTCAGACTGCCCCGCTCACCAACATTTGATCTTCAGAAGTTCTTTATATTTTAGCTTATTCTTCTTACAAGCTTGTGTTGAAGCTGGCATGGTGCTTCTTCAGCTGTAGACGAGACCTATGAACTGTTCATGGCTCTCATCTCTCCTCTGAGGGCATTGTTCCTCTTTGGAATTTAGGTTACCTGGGTGTAACCCCAGCTCTCTAATGGGTTCAAGAGAAGTTGTGATTTTGTAGTTTATCTAGATTTTTCTTGTTTTTAGTGTTGGAATGGCATTTTTTGCTTCCTAAGCGGGAGCCAGGAGTCTCAATTTTTTAAATAAAATGGATACAGGGCCAGACATAGAAGCTCATGCCTGTAATATTCCAGCACTTTGGAAGGCCCAAGCAGGAGGATTGCTTGAGCCCAGGAGTTCAAGACCAGCCTGGGGAACATAGCAAGACTTCTTCTCTAAAAAAAATACGAAAATTAGCCAGGCATGGTGGTGCACAGCTGTAGTTCCAGTTACTTGGGAGGTGGAGGTGGGAGGATCACTTGAGCTGGGAAGGTGGAGGCTGCAGTGAGCCAAGATCATGCCACTGCACTCCAGCCTGAGCCATGGAGCAAACTGTCTTGAAGAAAAAAACTCACAAAACTGATAACATACTTATTATACAAAATTTGCTCAATGAGGAAATGCCAAAAGAAGAAAATTTTTAAGAAAATCCTGCCACCCAAAGATGATCACTGAAAACCTCTCATTACCACCCTTCCAGACAAGTCTTGATGCAGATTTTTATGTCAACAGGATGTGGATAACATCATTCCATACCGTTGAATTTAGATAATCCATTATATGTGCTGTATGTATTTCGCCCCACAGAAGTAGCACAATTTACATAACCAATTCGTGTCAATTTACCAGTGCCTTCCTGAGATATTATTTCTTTTTTTTTTCGGTTATAAACAATGGCTTCATCATATTTAATAGATACATTCCTATCACTGAAGTGACCTTGTCACAAGTTTTTGGAGTGAATAGTTTAATAGATGTGTATTCTGCTTTTGCATAGATGACTTCCTACATGAACACATGAACACATGAACACAAGGTCTAGGATGTTCTAGAGCCAGGTGAGGAAGCCACACCCAGACAGACTTTTGTGGCCTTCTGAACCTTTGAGACATGCTTGAGAGTTGCATATAGCCTGGATCAGCCTAAATCCTGTATGGCTTCACAGCCCAGTCATTCTACCAAGATGCCTCCGAGCCCTTTGGCAAACATGGAATGGCACCTTTGGGGACATCAAATGAAGAAAGTCTTGTCCTGTTTTTGAAAGATTTGCCTACCTTAACAATTTTGTTAGAAGAAAATTCACAAGTGATATATGTAGATAAATGTTTTGTTTTGATTTTTGGCCCCCGTCATGACTACTGTTTCAGCACACAGCCTCATATTTTATTCTCCGTGTTCCCAATTCTCAGCCTCTTCTCTCCAAATTGTAGGTGCATGAGGTTGGTCCTTGTTTCGTGTGTTTCTATTAGCCCCTCCTCTCCCTGGCCACTTCCCACCCACTGGCACATTACTGGTGTTCAAAAGTAGTTATTTGCATGGCAGGTTAAAAAATGTTAATATGAAAGTCAAAGTGATTGAGGTTTTAAAGAGGAAAAATCATTCTTCATCATGATGAGTCAGAAAGACTACTTTAATGGTAATATAAATATATTCGACGATTTAAAGGGTATAGAGGTAAAAGGCAAAGTACCTTTCATTAAGCCCAGAGAAAATGACTAAAGTTTCATAAGAGAGATGTTTGTGGAAATTAAATGTACTGACTCTTGATAAGAAAAAGAAAACAGAGATGTGAGGGTATGATAAGGAATGTAGTTAATCTTACGGCAGTTAATAAACATAATTTGCTTCTTCTGTTATTACAAACCCTGGCTACTATTCTAATTTAGAATAGTATATTTGTTAAATTTTTAAAAATATGATATAAGTGCTTAAAAATGGGAAGCAAATTTAAGAATCATAACTTCCGTTATAAATGAACCTTTATTTCTTAATTTTGTGAATTTTTAATTATAAATGTATATACAAATTCAAAAGAGAATGAGAAATATTTATAATAAATTATTTTAAATCACAGCCAGTAGTGGTGGCTCATGCCTCTAATCCCAGCACTTTAGGAGGCCAAGGTGGGTGGATCACCTGAGATCAGGAGTTCAAGACCAGCGTGGCCAACGTGGTGAAACCCCGTCTCTACTAAAAGTACAAAAAAATTAGCCAGGGGTGGTGGCAGGCACCTGTAATCCCAGCTACTCGGGAAGTTGAGGCAGGAGAATTGCTTGAACCTGGGAGGCGGAGGTTGCAGTGAGCTGATATTGTGCCATTGCACTCCAGCCTGGGCAACAAGAGTGAAACTCTGTCTCAAAAAAAACACACATTTTGTTAAATTACAGTATGTTATTATCTTTACAATTATTTAATTTGTGTTTGTGTTTTCCTACTTAGGAAGTTAATTACTTTTATTTTAATATTAACACTCATTTTCACATCAATCTATTATCAGTCCAGTGTTTGCACCTGTCAATGAAGTGACCACATAAAGACCAGTGTGTGTATTCCAGAGAAAGTGGAATGTCAGCAGCTGGCAAAACAAAATGACAGTTTAATGTGGACAGAGCCAGGATTCAATAGACCATGTTGCAGCAAAGTTGAAAGTTCAACTCGAACTGGAGAGCAAACACTCTAGTCTACATGTGATGCTTTTTTTTCTCTTTTTTTAATGAAAAGAGACGTTATCTTCATCATCATAATAGTGTTGTCTTTTGAAGAGATTGAATAATTATTTGCTTTACAGAAGATAGATTTTAGAACAGACTTATCTCTAGTTATTACATAGTTGATCATTATATGAAAGCTGGAAAAAGGGAGCCTTAAAAATTGAAACTAATTTTTACTGTACATAAATTTAAACACAGTTTTTTTTTAAATAAGCATTCAATCACTGATGTAACTTTGGATATAGTGAAATAAGTATATTAATGTCTTTCTACGTGGAAAATTATTTTGTTCTACTGATTTGTTTTCCTAATTTTCTGGGGATTAATTTTTTTAATTTGGGTTAATTTTTTTTAGCATAATGGCAAGTGTTCTCCCTGACCCTGGGCCTGGGGCTCTTCCCCTGGTGATTTCCTTGGACTACTGTTAATCAAATGGCAGTGAACTCACTCTCTACCCCTTGTACCCTGGACAAAGAGGTGGTTCACGTGGATTGTGCCCTTTGAGAACAAATAGGTGGAGGGACTCCAAAAAGTGTCCATCTCATGTCACTTTGGTGACCCCCACTTTTTTGATGAATGGCCTTATCCAAATCTTCAGCTTCAACCCACGTACTGATGAATCCCAAATTATCTCTCTAGGATCAACCCCTCTCTCAAATTCCAGGCCCTGTCTCAGTTGCTATATTAGTCTCTTTTCACATCACTGATAAAGACATACCTGAGACTGGGAAGAAGGGGTTTAATGGACTTTCAGTTCCACATGGCTGGGGAGGCCTCACAATCATGGCAGAAGGCAAGGAGGAGCAAGTCACATCTTACATGGATGGCAGCAAGCAAAGAGAGAGCTTGTGCAGAGAAACTCCCATTTTTAAAACCATCAGATCTTGTGAGACCCATTCGCTATCTTGAGAACAACATGGGAAAGACCCGCCACCGTGATTCAATCATCTCCCACCAGGTCTCTCCCACAACACGTGGGAATTATGGGAGCTACAAGATGAGATTTGGGTGGGGACACAGAGCCAAACCATATCAGTTGCCTATTACATGTGTTCATTTAAACAGGCCATGGGTACCTGAGACTCAAAGTGTTTTGGTAAATCTGAATTCATCAAAAACAAACAAAACAAAACAAAACAAAAAAAGGCTAGCACACAAAATTGTTCCTATTCTTATTGTTTGTTCTTAGTGAATAGAATCATTCTCCATCTACTTGCCCAAATGAGAAATTTCAGGCAGCTCTGTCCTCACTCAAAAAGTCACCTAAATTTCACCTCTTTTGTAATTTCTCTCAAGTCTGCCTTCTCTACTTTAGCTCAATTTTGTTTTCTATTGTATCTCCAGTGCTTAAACAATTGTTGGCATATCATAAGCATTCAGCAAATATTTACGGAGTGAACAAAGAGAACAAGAAAAGCACTTGGCCCTGCCTGAAACAGTTAATTCAGGGAACAGACAAAAATTTAAAATATATTATTTCAGTAAAAAATATTTTGGGAGACATTCAACAGAAACTTTTTTCCATTAACAAGGACAGGCAGCTATGAAAAACGAACAGTCTGAACCAAAGAACAATTTATTAAAAGGAACAAATAAAACTTTGAAAAAAAGGCAATAGGCAGGCTGAATAATAAAATTGACAGAGCTTAAGACTTAATAATCTGGAAGATAAAGTGAAGAAAATTTCCTAGAACATAGTGCAAAATGGCAGACAGAAATAATGAAAAAAGTTAAAATATGGAGAACAGATCCAAGAGATCTAGCACCTTTCTAATAGGATTTTTTTGAAAGCAAAACAGATATAATGGAAGCAACACTATAATAAAATGCATTTTTTAAAAACTGGTATTATTAATAGGAAAATTGTTTTCAATGGGCTGCCATTGTCCAATTGCAAATTATATGTATAAATACTGAATTATCTAAATTATATAAGACAGTGAAGACGGCCAGAGGACTGTGGTTAGCATATTGTAAGTCTCAGTTCTCTTTCTCAAAGCTGCAGAAAATCCACATTGTTATGCATTAATTTGAAAATTTGTATTTACCTTGGTTTATTTTCTTGCCAGATAAGCTATGCAGCACCTATTGGGACACATGAAAAGAAAAAAAGATGAAAATATCAGGATCTAAGATATAATAATGACTAATATGACCATTATTACGAACCTAGTTATTGTTTATATTGATGCTGGCTATGCTTAGAAAGTAGCAATGACTCTGGAAGCTACACTGAGAATTAGCCTTATGAAGAGACAGAAGACCTGATTGCCTCTTTAGTATTATTCTGTAGCACATCTCTGCCACATCCACGGAAGTCTCTCTCATTCATGATATGCCTACAATTCAGCTATTAGAGATTCATTCATTTTGCTGAAACTTTGTCCTCTTGCAAAATATAAACATTATTGATAAATGGCATAAAGCTCTACTGTGATTCAGTTGGTAGATCCTTTCTTGAGAACTGTTTTGATAGAAGGAGGAAATGAGTAACTGGGGGAAGCTGCTGCCTATGACGAAGAGATGGAGAGACCACAGTAAGTGAAGGAAAACACAATTTACAATTTACAAAACACGATTTACAATTTACAAAAAGGGGCAGCTTAAGGGGCTGATGAAGATCAATTTTGGTTGCTTTGTAATATGGTTTAGAGCTAACTGCTTCTAAGTTCACCATTTACGGGAAATAGAGGCATGGGATCTTAAACCGTTCCTATGTATGGTAATTTACAAGTAAATATAACTCATTGTTCTCTCGAAAAAAAAATTTTTTTGAGACAGGGTCTCGTTCTGTCATCCAGGCTGGAGTGCAGTGACATGATCACAGCTCACTGCAGCTTCGACCTCCTGGGCTTATGTAATTCTCCCTTCTCAGCCTCCCAAGTAGCTGGGACTACAGGTGCATGCCACTATGCCTTGCTAATGTTTAATTTTTTGTAGAGACAAGGTCCCACTATATTGCCCAGACCGGTCTCAAACTCCTAGGCTTAAGCCATCCTCCCACTTTGGCTTCCCAAAATGTTGGGATTACAGGCGTGAGTCACCGTGCCCCGCCTCAAATTATGTTTGATAGTAGTTAGAGTATGCATACTATTTATAGAAATAGTCTTTTCAGATTTATGGAGAAACAAGATATATTGTTTGTGTAATTAACTTTGTGTTATATTTTCTATTGAAAGGTTGAAGACAAACATGGTTTGGAGTCTCAAATAGAAGCATTAAAGGCAAATTTAGAGAATGAGAAAAAGAAGGTGGAAAGGTACTGGTAATAGAGTAAAAGGCACTGGTAATGAGATATAATGTTCATTTGTAACTAATACAATATTTAACCATCTGTAAATTTTTTATAGGTTTAGGAAGGAAGCTGATCGACTAAATAAAAGCTGGGAAAAGAGATTCTTTATTCTCAGGAACAGGTATGGTGTGAAATATACAAATTCTATTTCTAAAAACATGACTAATCATCCTTTAAGGAAGTTAGGAATGTTGCAATTTTTTTACATACTAATGTTAAATCACCTCATATACTTCTACAAGAAATGCAAAATAATTGGTCTAAAATAGAAGAGTAATCAAAATCACTGAGAAGTAAAATCATTCAAGATGTTTTCATTCCCTATCTGTGTTTCTGTTATAAAAGATCAGCAGGACAGACTCACTCGCTTAATACCTGGTTTAATCAGACCTATTTAGTCATCTTCTTTCATAGGGCTATTAAAACCTTTTCCTGCTCATTTGCACACAATGATATATAACTAGTTTGTATTGTCTTTATAAAGTTGCTTTATGTATCAGATCCTCTACCAGACACAACAGCTCCAGTTCCTCAACCTCTCAAATCTATTTTTCACTCACATAAGCATTTTGTTTCTCTTCCCAGTGTCCTCTTTGCCTTTTTCAAAATGGAGAAACTGTAAAATTCTGAAAAGGACAAAAACGATGCAAATTGGAAAAATGCTTATTTTTTCCCTTACCCTAACATGTTAACATTAAAAATCTGTCTTCTGTTTAGTTGTGTTCTGCCATAATTTCCCCCAGATTCCCTGGGGGAACATGTATGGGAAGTTCTTTTGCAATATTCTTTCACAGTCAAGCATCATCCAGGCACGATGGGTTTAATGTTGGTCTGATGGAGGCCATCGGAGGTCAAACTTGAAGCTTACACAAAAGATCCTGGGATGGCAATGCCCTACATTTGCACTGTATTTCTTAAACACACACTATGGATCTTGTCTGTATAAAATTCTATACCTGGCTATGTATATTCTATGGAAATAATTCATCCTAAGTGCGGTGGCACAAAGAATCCATGCCAAGACAGAAAAAACAGAGGATTCAGGGCAAAAACACCTTGTAGTAAAACATTCTGCCTTGTTCTGTTTGGTGCTGAAATGATCTCCTACCCGTGTTTCGTGTATGTGCTGATAAGCATTTTGTGCTGTGTAAAATGTGCATATTAACACCTGCCCTGTCTCACATAGTTATTTAAGAACAGAACGTAGATACATGTGAGACAAAAGAAAATTTAAATATACACTTGATTTCCTTTCCCTGCAAATAGGTTTTGGATTATCTCTAGAGCTGAATAAAATGACTTTCTCTTATTTATTTCTGTAGGGTTCACTTTCATCCTTAAGATTTACCTTGTCTCTGACCCTACGGGATTTACCCTATTCTTCAGTGATGATTTACAAGAACGTATCAGTTTTCTTTTTTTTTTTTTTTTTTTTTTTTTTTTTGAGAGGGAGTTTTTGCTCTTGTTGCCCAGGCTGGAGTGCAGTGGTGCAATCTCGGCTCACTGCAACCTCCATCTTCTGGGTTCAAGCGATTCTCCAGCCACAGCCTCCTTAGTAGCTGGGATTACAGGCGCCCACCACCACACCTACCTAATTTTTTTTTGTATTTTTAGTAGAGATGGAGTTTAAAGTTTTACTTCTAATTGATTTTCTATTAACCAAGATGTTGACAATCATATTAATCGTTTTGGTCTCTGCAGACTTTATGTTGATATCTAAATATTTAGGAAAGCAGAAGTATTTATTACTACACACTTTCTATGTTTTCTCATTTAACCAACTAATTGGGACATTGTAGATTATGTCTCTCTACTTAGGCTGAAGCTCCAGATATTAATTCAATGTGGCATATACAGCACCGTAGCGAGTGCATTTGTACAGAGTACTTCATCGTGGTGTGATATGGAGATTAATTGTGTAGTCACAGACTTACATGGGCTAACATGGTAATTTCATTTTACTGTAACTGATCCTAGATTAGATGCACTCATTTTTGTTTAGTAGATGAAAAACCTCACCTTAGCCAGTCAAGATCAGAGTCCAATCCAATGATTTCTCAGTCAATTCATGATTTATGTTGGGTCCCAGTCCAATTCAGGGCTTCATTTCCAAGCTCCTTTTCCATCTCTGCCGAGTTCTTATTTCCAGGAAGATTGAATGTGAGCAGTGCGGACAAGAGCAGGGCTAGTCCTTCCTCTTGGTGTGCCAAGCCTGATGCGACTGCCTATGTCATCATTGTCGCACAAACAGTATGCTGGTGTGGCATATCAGCTTTGGAACATATCCCTACCAGGCTGATGCCGCGGTGATGCCGCTGTTTCCACCTCCACCCCAGGCGGCAATCCACATGCATCCACCTGAGCCACCCTCTGTTCTGCCTGATGGGCTCTGGGCCAGATGGACTCACTTTTGCCCACCATGTTTATCAAGCGCATAAGAAATGTTACAGGTGGTTCCCGTGCCACTCTGGCTTGCATATATGGAAGAGGTCCATGCACACATCCCTTCTCCTGCCCTCACTCAGCACTAGATTGCCATCCCAGAGAGACTGCAAACATCAGAAATCTAGATAGGGCATGCAAGGTGAAGGCCCACTCTGCTCATATAGTCCCCTCACCTTGGAACCCTCTGTAAACAGAAACTCTACACTGCTCCTTACTTCAACAAAGTAAACACCTGTGTCCTCACCACACAGGTAAAGAAAGAAGGAATTAGAAGTGGCTTCACGGTCCCTGTTGCCCATCCAGTGCCTGTCACCTCTCTTCCCAATTGGCAAATATTCTGAATTGAATGCTTATCATTCCCTTGGGGAAAGTTTTCAATAACATTCAATTTGTCATAAAAATTGGGCTATTCCAATTTTCAATTTCTTCCAATCAGTTTGATAATTTGTGTTGTCTTTTATGTTTGGGAATTTTCTCATTTCATTGAATTGTCTAATTTATTGATATAAAGTTATTCATAATATCCTCATATTATATATATAAATGACAGTCATGTGTCACTTGATGACAGGGATAGATTCTGAGAAATGTGTCATTAGGCGATTTCATCATTGTGTGAGCATCTTAGAGTGTGCTTACAAACCTAGATGGCATAGCCTACCACACACCTAGGCTATATGGTATAGCCTATTGCTCCTAGGCTACAAACCTGCACAGCATGAGACTATAACTGAATACTGTAAGCAATTATAACACAATGGTAAGTGTTTATGCATCTAAATATACCTAAACATAGAAAAGATACAGTGAAAATGCGGTATAAAAGATAAAGAATGGTCCACCTGTATAAGGCACTTACCATGAATGGAGCATGGAGGAGTGGAAGTTGCTCTAGGTGAGCCAGTGGTGAGTGACTGTGAAGGCCTAGGACATCACCATACACTACTGTAGATTTTGTAAACACTAGACACTCAGGCTACACTAGATTTACCAAAAAAAAAATATTTTTTTCAATAACAAATTAGCCTTAGTTTACTGTGATTTTTTTACTTTATAAACTCTCTAATTTTTAAAACTTTTTGACTCTTTTGTAATAACACAGCTTTAAACACAAACATATTGTACAGCTATACAAGATTTTTTTTCACGTGGTGGTGCACACCTGTAGTCCCAGCTACATGGCAGCCTGACAGGTGGGAGGATCGCTTGAGCCCAGGAGGTTGAGGCTGCAGTAAGTTGTGATCACACCCTGCACTCCAACCTGGGTGACAGAGTGAGACCCTGTCTCAAACATACTTATATAATTTTTTCCTTTATATTCTTATTCTTTAAGCTTTTGTCTGTGTTTTTTTCTTTTTATTTTTTACGTTTTAAACTTTCTTGTTAAAAACTAAGATACAAACACACACACTAGCCTAAGCCTACACAGGGTCAGGATTGTCAAGACGTTACTAGGCAGTGAGAACTTTTCAGCTCCATTATAATCTTATGGGACCACCATTGTATATGCAGTCCATCTTTGACCAAACATCATTATGCAGTGCATGACTGTATCTGTAAGATCTGGTGATGTCCCTTTTTCATTCCTGATATTTGTGTTTCATTCCTGAGAATTTGTGTTTTTCTCCTTTTTTCTTAGTCTATTGATAGTTATCAATTTTGTGTTATTTATTTCAAAGAAATAACTGCCTTTGCTGAATTTTTCTCATATGTCTTTTCATTGACTTTTTAAAAATTTTAATTTTAATTAAAAAACATTTTTTTCCTTTCTAACTTTTATTTTAGGTCAGGGGATATGTGTGCAGGTTTGTTACATGGGTAACTTGCATGTCTTAGGGGTTTGGTGTACAGATAATTTTGTCACCCAGGTAATCAGCCTAGTACCTGATAGGTAGTTTTTCATTCCTCACTCTCCTCCAAACCTCCACCCTCAAATAGGCCCTGATGTCTGTTGTTCCCATCTTTGTGTCTATGTGTCCTCAATGTTTTGCTCCCACTTATAAATGTGAACATGTGGTATTTGGTTTTCTGTTCCTGTGTTAGTTTGTTTACGATAATGGCTTCCAGCTCCATCCATATTGCTGCAAAGGACATGATTTCATTCTTTTTATGACTGTGCAGTATTCCATCGCATATGTGTACCGTATTTTTTTATCCAGTTTACCATTGATGGGCATCTAGGTTGATTTCATGTCTTTGCTATTGTGAACAGTGCTGCAATGAACATGCATGTGCATGTGTCCTTATGGTAGAACAATTTATACTCCTTTGGGTATATACCCAGCAGTGGAGTTGCTGGATCAAAGAGTAGTTCTATTTTAAGTTCTTTGAGAAATCTCAGACGGATTTCCACAGTGGCTGAACTATTTACATTCCCATCAACAGTGTGCAAGGGTTCCCTTTTCTCCACATCCTCACCAGCACTTGTTATCTTTTGTCTTTCTGATAGTAGCCATTCTAACAAGAGTGAGGTGATATCTTATTGTGGTTTTGATTTGAATTTTCCTGATGATAAGTGATATTGAGCAATTTTTCATATACTTGGCCATTTGTGTGTCTTCTTTGGGGAAATGTCTATTCAGTTCCTTTGTTCACTTTTAAATCAGGTTGTTCTCTTGCTGTTAAGCTGAGTTTCTTACATATTTTGGATATTAACCCCTTATCAGATAAGATGTATGGTTTGCAAATGTTTTCTTCCATTCCTTAAGTTGTCTTTTCATTTTGTTGTTTTCTTTGCTGTGAGGAAGCTTTATAGTTTGAAATAATCCTACTTATTCGTTCTTGTTTTTTGTTGCTTGTGCATCTGGTATTATATTCAAAAAATCATTGCCAAAGGCCAATGTGAAAAAGCTTTCCCTCCTATGTTTTCTTCTAGGAATTTTATGGTTTCAGGACTTATGTTTATGCCTTTAATCCATTTTGAGTTAATTTTTGTGTACTGTGTAATATAGGGGTCTAATTTCATCCTTTTTCATGTAGATACCCTCTTTCTTCAACATCATTTATTGAAGAGACTATCCTTTCCCCCATTGTATATTCTTGTCACTCTTGTCAAAAATTAGTTGACCATATATGCATGAGCTTATTTCTGAGCTCTCTAATCTGTTCCATTGGTCTAAGTGTCTATTTTCATGTCAGTACAATCATACTGTTTTGATTACTATAGCTTTGTAACATAGTTTCTCAAATCAGGAAGTGAGCTGCCTCCAGCTTTGTTCCTTTTTCTCAAAAGTGCTTTGGCTAGCCATTTGGGGTCTTCTATGTTTCCATAAAATTTTAGGATTATTTTTCCTACTTCTGTGAAAAATGCCATTGCAATTTTGGTAGCAATTGCATTTAATCTGTAGATTACTTTGGGTAGTATAGACATCTTGACAATATTATTTCTTTTAATTCATGAATACAAGATATCGTTTTATTTATTTGTATCTACTTTAACTTCTTTCTTCAGTGCTTTATAGTTTTCAAGATACAGATCTTTTACCTTGTTGGTTAAATTTATACCTAAGTATTTTATTTTTTGACACTGTTATAAATGGAATTTTTTAAAAAATTTCTTTTTGGATAGCTTATTGGTATATACAAACACAATTGATTTTTGTATGTTTATTTTGTATCCTGTAACTTTACTGAATTTATTAGCTCTGCTGGTTTTTTGATAGAGTAATTGACTTTTGCTTTTATCTTGTTTCCTTCTAATTTTTAATGTTTTATTTGCTGTCTTTTTACTAGATTTCAAGAAGGAAGCCTAACTCATTGATTTTTCAGACTTCTTTTCTTTGAATATATGCATTTAACACTATATATTTTCTTCTAAGTATTGTTTGAGCTGCCTCCCACAAGTTGTGACATACAATATATTTATTATCACTCAAACAAAATATTTTCTAAATTCAATTTGATTTCTTCTTTGATCCATGGGTTATTTAGAAGTAATATGGGCTGGGCACAGTGGCTCATGCCTGTAATCCCAGCACTTTGAGAGACCAAGGCAGAAGGATTGCTTGAGCTCAGGAGTTTGAGACCAGCCTGGGCAACAAAGTGAAACCCATCTATACAAAAAATAAAAAAATTAGCTGGGTGTCGTGGCATGCACCTGTGGTCCCAGTTACATGGGAGGCTGAGGCAGGAAGATTGCCTGGACCCACGAGGTCAAGGCTGCCGTAAGCCCTGTTCATGCCACTGCACTCTAGCCTGGGTGACAGAGTGGGACCTTTTCTCAAGATAAAAAAGAGTAAGTAATATGTTTTATTTCCAGTAAGTTGAAGATTAGCTAGTTATAGTTCTAGTTTAATTCTCTTGTGCTCAGAGTACTTACTCTGAATAATTTTAATCTGTTAAAATGTCTTCATGGTCTTCATGTTTGTTTTATGGTTCAAGCTATGGCCAGTTTTTAAAAATGTTTTTATTCTTGAAAAGAATGAATTTTTTTTTTTTTTTTTGAGCCAGAGATTTTGCTCTTGTTGCCCAGGCTGGAGTGCAATGGCGTGATCTCAGCTCACCGCAACCTCCGCCTCCCAGGTTCAAGCAATTCTCCTGCCTCAGCCTCCCGAGTAGCTGGGATTACAGGCATGCGCCACCATGCCTGGCTAATTTTTTTTCTATTTTTAGTAGAGACGGGATTTCTCCATGTTGGTCAGGCTGGTCTCAAACTCCTGACCTCAGATGATCCGCCCACCTCAGCCTCCCAACGTGCTGGGATTACAGGCATAAGCCACCATGCCTGGCCAGGAATGAAAAATTTTATCACTGATGGGTGAAGAGTTCTAAATATTTCAATGAGGTCAACCCATTAATTTTGTTGTTTCCATCTTTTACATACTTATTAATTTTTTGGCATCATATCCAACTATCAAAATAGAAGTATTAAATTTTCTACCATGATTATAGATGTATCTATTTCTTATTTTAATCTGTCCATTTTTACTTTACATAGTTTACATCTTAGTTGTTGGGTACTCACAATTTAGATACTGATCTCATCTTGTGAAGTTATCAGTAATATCTATCATTATGAAATGCTTTTATCTTTAGTAATGCTCTTTAGCTTAATGTCTGCTTAACTATTTGGTTAAGAGTGCATGGTGTATTTTTTTCTAACTTTTTTCTTTCAGCCTATCTTATTTCTATATTTGAATGTGTTTCTTGTAATCAGCATATAATTGGGTTTCTAACCTAATCTGTCAGTTTTATTTTATTTAATTGTCATACTTTATTTATTTACTTTAAGTGAAAATACGATAGTTGGGTTTGTGTTTACTACTTAACAAGTTGTTTTCTATTTGACCTGTTTTATATTTCTTCTTCTCTCCTTTTTGCCTTGTTTTGAACCAATGAACCTTTTTTATTCCATATTTTCTTTTATTAATTTGTTATTCATTTTCTTTTTTTGAAATTTCTCCTTTGTAAAATTTTATTCTTAGCTTATTGCAGTGTTTTAGAAATTACTGTTGATACCAATTTCCCAAGTATTCTAGAACCTTAGACTATTTTCACTCCATTTAATTCTCTCCTACATTTTAATTTTAATTCTCTCTGTTTTTTTAACTCCATGAAAGGTTGCTATTGTTGTTTGGCATACTCAGTATTCATTTATATTTACTCACACATTTACTGTTTGTTGGGCTTCTCATTTTTTTCTGCTTATTGTGTTTTCATCTGAAATCATTTTCTTGCTGCCTGAATAGCTCTCTTTCATTTTTTGTTTCTTCATTTTTAATACAGGTTTGCTGGCAAATAATTCTCTCAGCTTTTCTTTGGAGGAAAATGTCATTATTTTATCTTCATTATTGAAGAAAGTTTTTGCCAAGTATAGGGTTCTATCTTGGCAGTTATTTTTTCAGCCAATTAATAATGTCAGTAGGCCGGGCATGGTGGCTCACGCTTGTAATCCGAGCACTTTGGGAGGCCGAGGTGGGTGGATCATGAGGTCAGGAGTTCAAGACCAGCCTCACAACACAGTGAAACCCCATCTCTACTAAAAATACAAAAATAAGCTGGGCGTGGTGGCAGGCACCTGTAATCCCAGCTACTTAGGAGGCTGAGGCAGGAGAATTGCTTGAACCCAGGAGGTGGAAGTTGCAGTGAGCCAAGATTGTGCCACTGCACTCCAGCCTGGGCAACAGAGCTAGACTCCATCTCAAAATGAGTAAATTAAAAAAAAAAAATGTCAGTTCTTTGGCCTTCATTGTTGCTGTTGACAAGTCAGCTGTCAGTCTTACTGTTGCTTTTTTTTCATGTCTAGGTACTTTAAATTTTTTCCCTTGATCTTTTGTTATCATTAGTTTTATTATGATGTCCCTAGGTATAGTTACTTTTATTTATCTGGTCTAGCTCTTGAATCTATGGGTCAATGTCATTTCTGAATTTTGGAACATTCTTAGCTATTATCTTTCCATGTATTATTTCTGCTTCATTCTTATCTACTCTGATCCTCCTGCTTCCTTCTTTAAAAAAAACCCTTGTGATTACATTGGGCCCACTAAATAATCTAGAATAATTACTCTATCTCAAGATATGTAACTTACCACATCTGCAAAGTTCTTTTTACTTTGTTAGGTAGCATACTCAAAATTTCCAGAAATTAGAAAGTAGATATCTTCATGGGGGGCAATGTTCACTCTACTACAGTCAACCTTCTGGCCCCCAAATAATCATGCCTATCCTGCATGCAAAATGCATTTACCACATCCCAATATCCCCCAAAGTCTCAACCCATTACAGCACCAACTCAAGTCCAAACTTTCATCTAAGTGTTATCAGCTTCAGAAGTCCTAGTTTGCATCATCTAAATTAGGTATGGTGAGACTCTGGTTATAATTCATCCTGGGACAAAATTTCTCTCCATATGTAGACTTGTGAAATTATAGATTACTTGCTCCCAAATACAATAGTGCGAAAGGCATTGTATTGACATAAATGTCAATAATAGCTATAGACATTCTTGTTTGAAAGGGGAGAAAGTAGAAGGGGAAAATTGAGTCACTAGTCCAAACAATTTTGAAATTGTTTCAGCATAACGCCATTAGGTTTCAAGGCCTGGGCTAATTCTCTGTGACTCAAGGTTCCACCTTCTGGGCCCAAAGCACTACTACTGAGTCAAATATCTTCTTTCATGAAAGGTAGCACGTTTGACCCTGAGTAGTTTTATCAATCTGTTTCCTGCCCATAGAATTTTGGGAATCCAATAACCTTATTTCATTTATTTCCTTTCTCTGTCCTTTTCAGTGCAATCTGGCAGTGTTGTTGCTGATATAACATTCTCAAAATCTTGTACGTCTCCCATGTTTGTCATGGGAAGTCACTTCATTAGATGGGAGGCTCCTTCTCAGGTCTTTCCTAGATAATCTCATCTCTATTTTGGACTCTGCTGAGATGGCTGAAGGGATGTCACACATTTAATCTCTTCAAAGAGTCTTTTGTGTGAGTAAATGCTGTCATTTTTGTTTCTTCCTACACTCTGAAGGCTGTCCAGCCATTCTCTTGCCTTCTCTACAGAGTACGTCTTCCTGACAGCAAATCTCCTAATTTTCGCATCGCTTGCAATCAAGATAGGCTGAGAATTTCCCAAATAGCTAATATATGTGTGATGTTTCAACACACTGTAGTTCTTATTATCTTTGGTGTGTGATTTCTCCAATCTTAAGTCAACAGGAACTCTTTCAAGTTGATTACTGTGTTCTTTTGACATAACCTTTGATGACTTTGTTGAATTCTGGTAGAATAAGATGTCCCAGGTTCATTCTGTGCATTTATTGCCTTAGATCTAGAAACAGTCATTTCTGAAAAATGCCCTGAATTATTTTGGTGAGAAATGCTTTTTAAAATCAGAGTCTGGGCAGTAGGGGTGATCATTGCCATTACTTCTATGCCTTTTCTGAGCTGAAAAACATGTAAGTTTGTGTGGTTTGTGTGTGTGTGTGTGGTTTTTGGTTTTTTGTCAGACAGGGTCTCACTCTGTCGTCCAGGCTGGAGTGCAGTGGTGCAATCACGGCTCACTGCAGCCTTGACCTCCCAGACTCAGGTGAACCTCCCACCTCAGCCTTCTGAATTGCTGGGACTACAGGCATGTACCACCACGCATGCCTGGTTATTTTTTTTTTATTGTTTGTAAAGATGGGGTTTCACCATTTTGCCCAGGCAACATGTAGTTTTAAAAATGAAAGAGGTAGTATGTTCATGCTAATATTTTTATATTTTTATTTGGTAATATTTTAAAATTTTAATGTAGTTTCCTACCTCATTAACATAATGCTTATTTGCTTTATGCTATGATTTACATACATTTTAAGTTTCATCATTTTTAAAATTTCAGCTTTCATGTCCTTAAGAATGAGATGTTTACAAGGCACACACTGTTTCGTCAGTTTGCAGTGCTTGCTGACACATCCTTCAATTATATTGTAAGTGCATGTAATGTTTAGATGCTGTTTGTCTCTTTGAATATACCTGTCTGTTTCTTTCTGTTCTCGTTTAAGGTTTATCAAGCCCCTGTCATTACAGGCTCTAGAGATAGTACAAGGCAGTCACTGCTAGATGCTGAGGGTGTTAAGACAAAGTGCCTGAACCCAAAGAGCTCAGTCCAGTGTGAGAGGTAGATGTGTAAACAAATTGCTACAGCGCAATATGGTTGAGCTACAATGGGGCAAGTATAAATTTCAGAGGAGCGGGCACTCATTCTGCCTGGAGCATATCTGTCAGTCTGCCCATTTGTGGCCACGGATGTAATATTGGGAAATATCAAAGCTTGGAGTCTAAGCTTCCAGTCACATCCAAAGGAAAAAAAGAAGATAGGAGAATCTGTTCCTAGTGCCAAGCCATTCAATTTCACATTAGAATTCGTGTAATAGATAAAGCCCAATTCTAAATTATGCTATTATTTAGCCTATTTGACTTACTGTTTTCATCTGGGGGTTCTAAATGTTAAGGTAATTGATACCTGGTATAGAAATATATCCAGTAAATTTCAATTAATAAGTAAACCAAAATGAGACAAACTTTGTTGAGAACCTGCTGTGATGCTAAGTGCTCTGAGGACAAGTCGGGTTTGTGGGGAAGGGCCTAAGAAACATATAAATATATGCTCTTTTTTTTTGCTTCGAGAGGCATACAATCTAAAATCATCTTCTTTCTGAAATTTTTTTTCAACATTTGTCACTTTAAGACCATTTTCTAAATTTAAGTTGCTGCAGGAGATCAAAGAACTTAAGTACACTTGCAGGATAATATTAAATTAATTCCTGTTTATAACTAAGTTTATATAGTAACCTTGCTGAGGATTTTAATACTTGATTTCTCTGAAATGTTCCCAAACTGATCTACATAGATAGGAATATATATAGTGTCTTTTTTCCCCTCTTGGTTTTTCCTCATCTCACCCTGCAGGTTATAATTTTAGTTGGAGTAATTCTCATTTTAGAAATTTAATCAGTTCGGCAAATAAAACGTTGGAGGATCCAGGAGAATATGGTGTCACTCAAAATCAGGCTTTTTTATGATTATTAGCTGGTAACCTTTTCTAGTCCAAATTTGAATTATCCAGGCTTTGTGAAACAGGCTTCTAAATCTCAAAATTATACCAATTCAAGCACAGGAGTAGATCCAGTATTTTTCCTGAGTACAGTCTTGGCCCTGCCCTCAAGTGGCCATGCAATTCACCTTCCCATGGAGGCTAATGGAGCTCCATCTGGTCTAGAATCCATCCATATGCCACTGTTTCCTGGATTCAAAGTTTATGAATCTTCATCTATACGTCCACACAGTATGTTGACACATGAGATACTCATCAGAGTGTATACAGATTTTCAAATACTGAAGAAAAACTGATGGGGAAGGGGAGAGAAAGAGTAAGCAAGTGAATGTGTGAGTTTAGATCCACTAACACTGTCCCTTGGTTCCCTCTCTCTAGTCATTCATCCACCGTACAAATATTTGTTGAGTACACATACGTACCAAGCACCAAGCTACATGCTGAGTGTAACATAGTGAACAAGACAAAAATGGCTCTTTGCTTCACAGACTGTAAATTCCATGAGGTGACAGACTGGTCCATCTTATAAACTATTTTACTTGCAGAGCTTAGAATAGTGCCTGATCTACAGTGTGAAAAAGATAGGCATTAATAGGGAAACACCAGAATTTAAATTATAAATTTGGATAAATGCTATGAAAGAAAAAGTTTGCTATGATAATACTATTGGGGTATATTTTACATATGGTTAAATGCACAAGTAGTAAGTGTGCCATTTGAAGAGTTTTGCTTTGTAACCATCATCTAAGTCAAGGCATTGAGCATTTCCATCATCCCTGCAAGCTCCCTCATGTCCCTTTGCAGACAATACATTGCCCCCATCACCACACCAAATAAGCGTTGTTTTGATTTCTATCACTACAGATTAGTTTTGCCTGTTCTTAAATTTATGCAGATGGACTCACACAGTTTATACTTTGCTATGTCTGGCCCATTTTACACAGCACAATACTTTTAAGATCCACCCATGTTATTGCATGTATCCATGGCAGTTGTTCCTTCTTAAGTTCCTTTGTAATGCTGAGTAGTATTCTACTGAATGAATAAACCATAATTTGTTTATCCATCTGGCCTCATTGGACAAATGAGCTCTTTCCAGTTAGGGCTATTATGAAAAAAAAAGCTGCTATAAACATTCTCTTACAAATCACTTGTGAAAGTTTGTTTTAATATCTCTCAGGTAGGAGTGGAATGGCGAGGACACAGGAAGTGTGTGTGTTTAACTGCATAAGAAACCACAAGACACATGCATGCACATGTTCGTTGCTGCACCATTCACAATAGCAAAGACATGGAATCAACCTAAATGCCCATCAATGGTAGACTGGACAAAGAAAATGTGGTACATATACACCATGGAATATGACGCAGCCATAAAAAAAGAACGAGATCATGTCCTTTGCAGCAACATGAATGGAGCTGGAGGCCATTATCCTAAGTGACCTAACACAGAAGCAGAAAACCAAATACCACATGTTCTCACTTATAAGTGAGAGCTAAACATTGAGTACACATGGACACAAAGGAACAGACATGGGGGCCTACTTGAGGGTGGAGGTGGGAGGAGAGTGAGGATTAAAAAACTACCTGTCGGATACTATGCTTACTACCTGGGTGATGAAGTAATCTGAACAGCAAACCCCCATGATACACAATTTACCTGTGTAACAAACCTGCCATGTACCCCCTAAACCTAAAATAAAAGTTGTTTTTCTGTTTTGTTTTGAGACGGAGTCTTGCACTGTCACCCAAGCTGGAGTACAATGGCACGATCTTGGCTCACTGCAACCTCCACCTCCCAGGTTTAAGCGATTCTCCTGCCTCAGCCTCCTGAGTAGCTGGAATTACAGGCATGCACCACCAAGCCTGGCTAATTTTTGTATTTTTAGTAGAGATGGGTTTCACCATGTTGACCAGGCTGATCTCAAACTCCTGACCTCAGGTGATCCACCCACCTTGGGCTCCCAAAAGGCTGGGATTACAGGTGTGAGCCACCACGCCCGGCCAAAGTTTTTTACAAAAAATAACAAAATTGCCAGTACTCCAAAGTGACTGCATCGTTTTACCCTCACACCAGCAATCTTTGAGAGTTCCATTTGCTCCACATCCCTAAAAACTTGATATTGTTGTTTTTTTGTTTGTTTTTTGTTTGTTTTGTTTTGTTTTGTTTTGAGACAGAGTCTCACTCTGTTGCCAGGCTGGAGTGCAGTGGCACGATCTCGTCTCACTGCAACTTCCGCCTCCCAGGTTCAAGCAATTCTCTGCCTCAGCCTCCTGAGTAGCTGGGATTACAGGCACCCGCCACCACACCTGGCTAATTTTTTTTTTTTTTTTTTTTTTTTTTTTTTCCCCCGAGAGGGAGTCTCGCTCTGTCGCCCAGGTTGGAGTGCAGTGGCGCAATCTCAGCTCACTGCAAGCTCCGCCTCCCGGGTTCACACCATTCTCCTGCCTCAGCCTCCCGAGTAGCTGGGATTACAGGTGCCTGCCACCAAGCCCGGCTAATTTTTTTGTATTTTTAGTAGAGACGGGGTTTCACTGTGTTAGCCAGGATGGTCTCGATCTCCTGACCTTGTGATCCGCCCGCCTCGGCCTCCCAAAGTGCTGGGATTACAGGCTTGAGCCACCATGCCCAGCCAATTTTTGTATTTTTGGTGGAGACAGATTTCACCATGTTGGCCAGGCTGGTCTCGAACTCCTGACCTCGTGATCCACCCACCTTGGCCTCCCTAAGTGCTGGGATTACATGTGTGAGCCACAGTGCCCACCCAATATTGTTAGTTTTTAAATTTTAACTATTTTAAAATGTTATCTCACTGTAATTTTAATTTGCATTTCCCTAATTAATGACGTTGAGCATCTTTTCATGTGCTGATTGGTCATTCTTAGGTCTTCTTTTTTGAAGGATCTACTTAAGACTTTTTAAAACTTGTGGCTAAATGCACATAACAGAAAATTTGTCATTTTAGCCATTTTTAAATGTACAGTTCAGTAGTGTCGTAAACATCCAAATTGTTCAACCAAATTCCACAACTCTTTTCCATCTTGCAAACCTGAGGCTCCACACTCATTTAAAAAACAACTGCCCATTCCTCTATTCCTGTATTTTTGTCAATTTTTAACTGTTATTGAATTGTAGCATTTTGTTATATATTCTGAATACAAGTCCTTTGTCAGATATATGTATTACAAACATTTTTTTCCTCAGTCTATAATTTTTCCTTCTATTTTCTGAATGGTGTCCCTTGAAGGTCAGATATTTTTATTTTAATGAAGACAACTTAGTTATTTTTTCTGTGGCAGATTGTATTCTCTGTGTCTGTGACAATATCTCACATTCTGTATATATTTCTTATAATATTGATCTTGTCTTTTTTCATTGAATTTCACCAGTTCCGTTTTTCTAGATCAATTGACTATGTATGAGTCTATTTCCAACTACGCTATTCTTTTCCATTGGTTTATTTGTCAGTCCTTTTGCCAATATCGCACTGTCTAAATTAACATAGCTTTCCTAGTAAATCTTGAAATCAGGTAATGTAAATCCTTTTATTTATTTATTTTTATTTAGCTTTTTTTTTTTTTTTTTTTTGAGATGGAATTTCGCTCTTGTTCCTCAGGCTGGAGTGCAATGGTGCGATCTCGGCTCACCGCAACCTCCGCCTCCCGGGTTCAAGCAATTCTCCTGCCTCAGCCTCCCGAGTAGCTGGGATTATGGGCATGTACCACCACACCAGGCTAATTTTGTATTTTTAGTAGAGACAGGGTTTCACCATGTTGACCAGAGTGGTCTCAATCTCTTGACCTCATGATCTGCCTGCCTCAGCCCCCCAAAGTGCTGGGATTACAGGCGTGAGCCACTGTGCCCGACCTTATTTACCTTTTTTTTTTTTTAGCCTTGACTTGAAACTCATTATTTAACTTATATTTGAAGTTCAGAGGTACATGTGCAGGTTTGTTATATAGGTAAACTTGTATCATGGGGGTTTGTTGTACAGATTATTTCTTCAGCCAGGTGTTAAGTCCGGAACCCATTAGTTATTTTTCCTGATCTTCTTCCTCCTCCCATCCTCCTCCCTCTGGTAGGCCTCAATGTAGTTGTTTCCCTCTATATGTCCATGTGTTCTCATCATGTAGCTCTCACCATTTATAAGGGAGAACATGCAGTATTTGGTTTTCTGTTCCCGCATTATTTTGCTAAGGATAATGGCCTCCAGCTCTACCCATGTTCCTGCAGAGGACAAGATCTCATTCTTTGACATGGCTGCATAGTATTCCATGGTGTGTATGTACCACATTTTCATTATCCAGTATATCATTGATGGGCATTTAAGTTGATTCCATGTCTTTGCTATTGTGAATAGTGCTGCAATTAACATATGTGTGCATGTGTCTTTATGATAGAACAATTTATATTCCTTTGTGTATATGCCCAGTAATGGGATTGCTGGGTCAAATGGTAGTTCTGTTTTTAGGTCTTGCAGGAATCGCCACACTATTTTTCACTGTGGTGGAACTAATTTACATTTCCACCAACCATGTGTAAGTGTTCTTTTATAATAACATGACTAGATTTTAGTTTTTAAAATCTCACCTTCATTTATTTACACTTAATTGGCAAACTGAAACTATGTGAATTTATCAACATAGGTGACATGTGTGATATATTTCTGGCATCCTGCTCTTTTTGTTTGTTTCCTGGCTCATGTAATATGAACTGCATTTTACTTGTTTTTATTTCCTATATTGTAATGCTAAACTTTAAGGTAAACTCAAGTACCCACTACATTTCTGAAATTATCAAAACCAAAAACCAAGTAAATTTTGAGTCTTAAAACATTCTGCAAGACAAGAAGATATATGTGTTTTTGTTCCCTGAACTTCGTCTCAGCCCTAATTTCATCAATATATTCCCCTCTTCCTTCTAGTCTTTGTTAATTTACTCTTTGTAGAGAACCACATCATGATTATGTTATTCTTTTTATCACACGAAAGTATTTTTGGTTAACTACTTTCTGCTTTCAACTCTCCAACTACTTGAATAGCAATTATTTATACTTACATTTATATGTTTATGTTTAACCTCACCAGCTACTTTTTAAAAATCATGACTTCCACAGGTCTTGAGTTCTTAGTTTTGATTTATTTCTTATAAACTGGACCATGAATTTGAGTCTTTTCCTTTTGTTCTGGAGGAAGTATTCTACCCACTTTGCAATGTCTTGACCTGACTAAGGCCAGTTTAATTTTTGTTTGTTGCTAATTAGCCCACCTTCCCCATTTTGGCAATTTGTATGTTGTGTTTTTTAACCTTGAAATTTAAAAAGATGTCATCAGGATATGAGTAAACATTATTTTATTAATTTCTCTTGAATAAAATGAGCCTCTCTGATAGTGCTTTTCTTCAACTCAGACATGTTTCTTATGTACACTTTTCTTTTTCTTTTAAAGACAGAGTCTTCCTCTGTCACCCAGACTGGAGTGCAGTAACATGATCATAGCTCACTGTAACATCAAACCTCTGAGCTCAAGTGATTGTCTTACCTCAGCCTCCTGAGTAGCTGGGACTGCAGGTGTGCACCATCACACTTGGCTAATTTTTTTATATTCTTTAGAGACAAAGTCTCACTATGTTGCCCAGGCTGGTCTTGAACTCCTGGCCTCAAGTGATCCTCCCGCCTCAGCCTCCCAAAGTGCTAGGATTGCAGGTATGAGCCACCATGCCCATTATGTACACTTTTAATGACTGCTGTTGTGGGATCTGGGATCTGTTTTTGTTTCTTTTTCAGAAACACTATTGTGGGTCAGATACCTATTTTTCTGTCCTCCATAGTTAATGACATTCTCTTTCAAGTCATGTTATCCTCTTTGTTCTTTTCCTTGACATTTTTTGGAAACTTTTCTGGTTTGTACCTCCCTTCAAAGTTTCCTGAAGAGGTTTCAGGTACGCTGGGATATTGATTCTCCTTGGTCCTCCAAGTGGCAGGGTTTAGGGCATTACTAGAGTAACCTGAAGCTCTGATCCAATAGTCTAAGCCCATGAGCAACTTTGTTGATTTATCCCAGTGCTCTGTGTGAATAGTGTGTTTTTATGTATACCGTGGCAAACTAAATGCCAGGGAACATTGCTCTACATTCTTGTTCTGTTCTCTCCATTTCACCTCTACTCTTTGCTATCTCAAATATTTATTTTAATTATTGCATAGTTAGTAATTTTCTTATGCTTTATGCAAATATTTTTATCCTAGCCTTTTCTCAGCCTATTCTTTTATCCAGGGAGTAAGGTTCCCCATTCTTAATCTCTTAATTTGGGGTCAAGTCTAAGTAGAGAAGAGTTTATTTTGTCTCGAGTCTAAATTATGTTGTTTCATGTTTTTTTGTATGCATGTTTTTCAAACTGTTAAATAACCCATGAATAACAAAAGGATGAATGAAAACACATACACACAATTTAAAGATTGATAATAACACGAATGCCCGCATTCCCAAGAGCAAGGCCATAGCTAGATTATTACCATGCCCCAGAAGCCCACCAATTGCATTCCTCTTCATTTCCTCCTGGAGGGAACTATTGCTCTAATTTTTTCTTAATTTTCTTCATAGTTTTATCACTTGTGCATGTAGTTCTAAGCGGTATGTTGTTGAATTTTGCCGGTTTTTAAGCTTTCTAGAAATAAAAAATAAGTAAATGAAAAATGCACACATTGTTCTGTGATTTTGCTCCATTTTCTCAACATTATAATTCTAAGATTCATTCATGCTGATGCTAGTGGTTGTGATTCACCCATTGCAAATATTCTAATACACGAATATACCACAACTTATTTACCCATTCTGCTGCTCATCAACACTTAGGTTGGTTCTCACTTTTTACTATTATGAGTATTATTGCTCTCAGCATTCTTCTAGTTTCACCTGATACACAGATACAGGAGCTCTTCCAGGTTTTATACTCATAACAGAATTGCTGGTCATAAGAGTACTGGTAAGTTCACTTGCTATGGGTAAGCTGCTGTGATTGCAACAACAAAAAATACACTGACTTAAATAGATGGAAGGCTGCTTCATTCATGTTACAGTGAAGAAGCAAGTGGCTCCAGGCAGGATAATGCCCCATGAGGAGCAGTACTCCATAAAGTGGTACACAGGTTCCTTCAATCTTACTGCTCTGACATCTCCTAAGATATTTTACTCACCCACATAAATAAAGGTGGTCAACTTCATGTCCATGGGTTCTAGACTTTCTCCAGAAAGAGAAAGTCCAGGGCAAGAATATTTATCCTTAAGGATATGACCCAGAAATTGCACATATCACTTCTACTTGTGTCCCACAGGTCTGATCCTAGACCTAGAACTGCATCCAATTGCAAGACAGACTGAGAAAGGTGCTCTCTGTCTATGCAGCCAAATACCTAACTAAAGCCCAAGAGTTTGAGACCAGCCTGGGCAACAAAGTGAGACTCTGTCTCTACAAAAAATAGAAAAAAAAATCAGCTGGGCATGGTGGCACGTGCCTGAGACTGAGCTGGGAGGATAGCTTGAGCCTGGGAGGTCAAGCCCACAGTGAGCCATGATTGTGCCTTTGCCCTCCAGCCTGGGCAATAGAGCAAGACCCTGTCTCCAAAAAAATGAAAGGAGGAGATTAGATATTGAAGGACAATAAATAGCCTCTGCCACAGAAGCTAATGCCAGATAGTTTTCCAAAGTAATATTACTCTGACCCTCTAACCAGGAACAGATGAAAGTTTCTAGTGTTCCATATGGTCTTCAGCACTGATATTGCCAGACTTCATCATTTTTGCCAACCTGTTATTGTATAATGCTTACTCATGGTTTTGGAGTTTACGTGTATGTGTGTGTTTATAATTTTTTTTGCCTTTTCCTGATTACTGATGAAAGTGATCATCTTTTTAAATGTTTATTGACCATTCAGGTTTCCTCTTTTAGGTACTGCAGGTTTCAGCCTTTTGATTCTATTGGTTTATTTCACATTTATTTTTTCATAGGAATTATTTATATAACTTGGATACTAATCCTTTACCAGTTATATGTATTGCAAATGTCTTCTTTCAGTTTGTGGATTAAGTTTTTAATCTTTTTCTGGCTTTTGTAATAAATAAATGTTCTCAATATTAATGTTATTCTGACTTAATCTTTTCCTTTTTGTCTTTACATTTTTTTCTGCCTTCTTTAAAAAGAGTTCATCCAATATTTAATCACAAATGTATTATTCTCTATGGTCTTTAAACTTTTGGCTTGTTTTGCTTTTCATATTTACAAATTTAATCCATTTAGAATTGATATTAGTGTATAGAGAGATAGACATCTGGTTTCATTTCCTTTTATTATAAATAACCATCTGAAGTATCCATTTAATAAAAAGTCTGTCTTCTCCCTTGATATATAATTCCACCTGTCATTATTAAGGGCTCATATATATGAGTCTATTCTGACTCAATCTGTTTCACTGTTTTTTTTCCTGCACCAATATAACACTGATTTAATATCTAAATCTTATCTGATAAGGCTAATGCTCATGCCCTGTTTTGCAAGAGTGCCCCAGCTTTATTGGATCTTTGCATTTCCATGTAAATTTTAGAATCGGATTGTCAATATTCACAGAAAAAAACAAAACAAAAGAAACAAAACAAAACAAATTTAATTGGTATTTCAATTAGAATTATGTTAAATCTACAGTTCAATTTAGGCACAATTGGCATCTTGATCACTGAGTCTTCTAATCTGTAAATATGTTATATATTTTGTTTAGGTATTATTTCAATAGAGTTTTATAACTCTATAGAAGTCTTGAAAGTACCTTTTTTTAGATGTAATCTTAGGTACCTTGTATTTTTATGCTATTATACTTACATGATTTGCATATTACTCTAAGTAGTTTGTAATCAGTTTTTGCCACATGTAATTTTAGTCTGTATTATTAGATGCATACAATTTTATAATTGTATCTTCCTGGGAAATTGAACATTTTACCATTATGTAATGACAAACTTTTTTTATTATTATTATACTTTAAGTTCTAGGGAACATGTGCATAATGTGCAGGTTTGTAACATATGTATACATGTGCCATGTTGATGTGCTGCACCCGTTAACTCATCATTTACATTAGGTATATCTCCTAATGCTATCCCTCCCCCCTCCCCCCACCCCATGACAGGCCTCGGTGTATGATGTCCCCCTTCCTGTGTCCAAGTGTTCTCATTGTTCAATTCCCATCTATGAGTGAGAACATGCGGTGTTTGGTTTTTTGTCCTTGTGATAGTTTGCTGAGAATGATGGTTTCCAGCTTCATCCATGTCCCTAAAAAGGACATGAAATCATCCTTTATATGGCTGCATAGTATTCCATGGTGTATATGTCCCACATTTTCTTAATCCAGTCTATCATTGATGGACATTTGGGTTGGTTCCAAGTCTTTGCTATTGTGAATAGTGCCGCAGTGAACATACGTGTGCATGTGTCTTTATAGCAGCATGATTTATAATCATTTGGGTATATAGCCAGTAATGGAATGGCTGGGTCAAATGGTATTTCTAGTTCTAGATCCTTGAGGAATCGCCACACTGTCTTCCACAATGGTTGAACTAGTTTACTGTCCCACCAACAGTGTAAAAATGTTCCTATATCACCTCATCGTCTCCAGCACCTGTTGTTTCCTGGCTTTTTAATGATCACCATTCTAATTGGTGTGAGATGGTATCTCATTGTGGTTTTGATTTGCATTTCTCTGATGGCTAGTGATGATGAGCATTTTTTCATGTTTTTTTGGCTGCATAAATGTCTTCTTTCGAGAAGTGTCTGTTCATATCCTTCACCCACTTTTTGATGGGGTTGTTTTTTTCTTGTAAATTTGTTTGAGTTCTTTGTAGATTCTGGATATTAGCCCTTTGTCAGAAGAGTAGATTGCAAAAATTTTCTCCCATTTTGTGGTTGCCTGTTCACTCTGATGGTAGTTTCTTTTGCTGTGCAGAAGCTCTTTAGTTTAATCAGATCCCATTCATCAATTTTGGCTTTTGTTGCCATTGCTTTTGGTGTTTTAGAGATGAAGTCCTTGCCCATGCCTATGTCCTGAATGGTATTGCCTAGGTTTTCTTCTAGGGTTTTTATGGTTTTAGGTCTAACGTTTAAATCTTTAATCCATCTTGAATTAATTTTTGTATAAGGTTAAGGAAGGGATCCAGTTTCAGCTTTCTATATATGGCTAGCCAGTTTTCCCAGCACCATTTATTAAATAGGGAATCCTTTCCCCATTTCTTGTTTTTGTCAGGTTTGTCAAAGATCAGATGGTTGTAGATGTGTGGTATTATTTCTGAGGGCTCTATTCTGTTCCATTGGTCTATATCTCTGGTTTGGTACCAGTACCATGCTTTTTTGGTTACTGTAGCCTTGTAGTATAGTTTGAAGTCAGGTAGTGTGATGCCTCCAGCTTTGTTCTTTTGGCTTAGGATTGTCTTGGCAATGAGGGCTCTTTTTTGGTTCCATATGAACTTTAAAGTAGTTTTTTCCAGTTTTGTGAAAAAAAGTCATTGGTAGCTTGATGGGAATGGCATTGAATCTATAAATTCCCTTGGGCGGTATGGCCATTTTCACGATATTGATTCTTCCTATCCATGAGCATGGAATGTTCTTCCATTTGTTTGTGTCCTCTTTGATTTCGATGAGCAGTGGTTTGTAGTTCTCCTTGAAGAGGTCCTTCACATCCCTTGTAAGTTGGATTCCTAGGTATTTTATTCTCTTTGAAGCAATTATGAATGGGAGTTCACTCATGATTGGGCTCTCTGTTTGTCTGTTATTGGTGTATAAGAATGCTTGTTATTTTTGCACATTGATTTTGTATCCTGAGACGTTGCTGAAGTTGCTTATCAGCTTAAGGAGATTTTAGGCTGAGACGATGGGGTTTTCTAGATATACAATCATGTCATCTGCAAACAGGGACAATTTGACTTCCTCTTTTCCAAATTAAGTATCATTTATTTCTTTCTCCTGCCTGATTGCCCTGGCCAGAACTTCCAACATTATGTTGAATAGGAGTGGTGAGAGAAGGCATTCCTGTCTTGTGCCAGTTTTCAAAGGGACTGCTTCCAGTTTTTGCCTATTCAGTGTGATATTGGCTGTGGGTTTGTCATAAATAGCTCTTATTATTTTGAGATATGTCCCATCAATACCTAATTTATTGAGAGTTTTTAGCATGAAGGGCTGTTGAATTTTGTCAAAGGCCTTTTCTGCATCTATTGAGATAATCATGTGGTTTTTGTCTTTGGTTCTGTTTATATGCTGGATTACATTTATTGATTTGCATATGTTGAACCAGCCTTGCATCCCAGGGATGAAGCCCACTTGATCATGTTGGATAAGCTTTTTGATGTGCTGCTGGATTTGGTTTGCCAGTATTTTATTGAGGATTTTTGCATCGATGTTCATCAGGGATATTGGTCTAAAATTTTCTTTTGTTGTGTGTCTGCCAGGCTTTGGTATCAGGATGATGCTGGCCTCATAAAATGAGTTAGGGAGGATTCCCTCTTTTTCTATTGATTGGAATAGTTTCAGAAGGAATGGTTCCAGCTCCTCCTTGAACCTCTGGCAGAATTTGGCTGTGAATCCGTCTGGTCCTGGACTTTTTTTGGTTGGAAGGCTATTAATTATTGCCTCAATTTCAGATCCTGTTATTGGTCTATTCAGGGATTCAACTTCTTCCTGGTTAAGTCTTGGGAAGGTGTATGTGTCCAGGAATTTTTCCATTTCTTCTAGATTTTCTAGTTTATTTGCATAGAGGTGTTTATAGTATTCTGTGATGGTAGTTTGTGTTTCTGTGGGATCGGTGGTGATATCCCCTTTATCATTTTTTATTGCATCTATTTGATTCTTCTCTCTTTTCTTCTTTATTAGTCTTGCTAGTGTTCTATCAATTTTGTTGATCTTTTCAGGAAACCACCTCCTGGATTCATTGATTTTTTGAAGGGTTTTTTGCGTCTGTATCTCCTTCAGTTCTGCTCTGATCTTAGTTATTTCTTGTCTTCTGCTAGCTTTTGAATGTATTTGCTCTTGTTTCTCTAGTTCTTTTAGTTGTGAGGTTGGGGTGTCAATTTTAGATCTTTCCTGCTTTCTCTTGTGGGCATTTAGTGTGATAAATTTCCCTCTACACACTGCTTTAAATGTGTCCCAGAGATTCTGGTATGTTGTGTCCTTGTTCTCGTTGGTTTCAAAGAACATCTTTATTTCTGCCTTCATTTTGTTATGTACCCAGTAGTCATCCAGGAGCAGGTTGTTCAGTTTCCATGTAGTTGAGTGGTTTTGAGTGAGTTTCTTAATCCTGAGTTCTAGTTTGATTGCACTGTGCTCTGAGAGACAGTTTGTTATAATTTGTGTTCTTTTACATTTGCTGAGGAGTGCTTTACTTCCCACTATGTGGTGAATTTTGGAATAAGTGCAATGTGGTGCTGAGAAGAATGTATATTCTGTTGATTTGGGGTGGAGAGTTCTGTAGATGTCTATTAGGTCTGCTTGGTGCAGAGCTGAGTTCAATTCCTGGATATCCTTGTTAACTTTCTGTCTCGTTGATCTGTCTAATGTTGACAGTGGGGTGTTAAAGTCTCCCATTATTATTGTGTGTGAGTCTAAGTCTCTTTGTAGGTCTCTTGTTGACAGTGGGGTGTCAAAGTCTCCCATTATTATTGTGTGGGAGTCTAAGTCTCTTTGTAGGTCTCTAAGGACTTGCTTTATGAATCTGGCTGCTCCTGTATTGGGTGCATATATATTTAGGATAGCTAGCTCTTCTCGTTGAATTGATCCCTTTACCATTACGTAATGGCCTGCTTTGTCTTTTTTGAACTTTGTTGGTTTAAAGTCTGTTTTATCAGAGACTAGGATTGCAACCCTTGCCTTTTTTTGTTTTCCATTTGCTTGGTAGATCTTCCTCCGTCCCTTTATTTTGAGCCTATGTGTGTCTCTGCACGTGAGGTAGGTCTCCTGAATGCAGCACACTGATGGGTCTTGACTCTTTTTCCAATTTGCCAGTCTGTGTCTTTTAATTGGAGCATTTAGCCCATTTACATTTATGGTTAATATTGTTATGTGTGAATTTGATCCTGTCATTATGATGTTAGCTGGTTATTTTGCTCGTTGGTTGATGCAGTTTCTTCCTAGCCTTAATGGTCTTTACAATTTGGCATGTTTTTGCAGTGGCTGGTACTGGTTGTTCCTTTCTATGTTTAGCACTTCCTTCAGGAGCTCTTTTAGGGCAGGCCTGGTGGTGACAAAATCTCTCAGCATTTGCTTGTCTGTAAAGGATTTTATTTCTCCTTCACTTATGAAGCTTAGTTTGGCTGGATATGAAATTCTGGGTTGAAAATTATTTTCTTTAAGAATGTTGAATATTGGCCCCTACTCTCTTCTGGCTTGTAGAGTTTCTGCCGAGAGATCCGCTGTTAGTCTGATGGGCTTCCCTTTGTGGGTAACCCGACCTTTCTCTCTGACTGCCCTTAACATTTTTTCCTTCATTTCAATTTTGGTGAATCTGACTATTATGTGTCTTGGAGTTGCTCTTCTCGAGGAGTATCTTTGTGGTGTTCTCTGTATTTCCTGAATTTGAATGTCGGCCTGCCTTGCTAGGTTGGGGAAGTTCTCCTGGATAATATCCTGCAGAGTGTTTTCCAACTTGTTTCCATTCTCCCCATCACTTTCAGGTACACCAATCAGACATAGATTTGGTCTTTTCACATAGTCCCATATTTCTTGGAGGCTTTGTTTCTTTTTACTCTTTTTTCTCTAAACTTCTCGCTTCATTTCATTCATTTGATCTTCAATCACTGATACTTTTTCTTCCATTTGATCGAATCGGCTACTAAAGCTTCTGCATTCGTCACGTAGTTCTTGTGCCATGGTTTTCAGCTCCATCACGTCCTTTAAGGACTTCTCTACACTAGTTATTCTAGTTAGCCATTCGTCTCATCTTTTTTCAAGGTTTTTAGCTTCTTTGCGATGGGTTCTAACTTCCTCCTTTAGCTCGGAGAAGTTTGATCGCCTGAAGCCTTCTTCTCTCAACTCGTCAAAGTCATTCTCCGTCCCGCTTTGTTCCATTGCTGGCGAGGAGCTGAGTTCCTTTGGAGGGGGAGAGGAGCTCTGATTTTTAGAATTTTCAGCTTTTCTGCTCTGTTTTTTCCCCATCCTTGTCGTTTTATCTACCTTTGGTCTTTGATGATGGTGATGTACAGATGGGGTTTTGGTGTGGATGTCCTTTCTGTTTGTTCGTTTTCCTTCTAACACTCAGGACCCTCAGCTGCAGGTCTGTTGGAGTTTGCTAGAGGTCTACTTCAGACCCTGTTTACCCGGGTATCAGCAGCGGAGGCTGCAGAACAGTGAATATTGCTGAACAGCAAATGTTACTGCCTGATCGTTCCTCTGGAAGCTTCGTCTCAGAGGGGTACCCAGCCATGTGGGGTGTCAGTCTGCCCCTGGCTAATTTTGGTGGCTTCCAACCAGTTGCAAGTAGTAAGTCTCAATTGTAGGGACAGTCAAAAGGAAGTAGAGTCAGAAGAGATACTAAGGAAAATCGTTTTCTTAAATTTTCTTTCAAAGTGGTCTGAAGAAGAAAGAGGCTCTATCCCATTGGAATGAAGAAAAGGATTTCCGCAGCCATATTTGAGCAAATAAGTGACAAGCATAGTTTCCATATCTTGGTCAACTAAAGGCTGGAGAACATTAACGTCCATTTGATTTGACTATTATTTCCTCCTGATAACACAGTACATATCTTTTGTGTCTTTCAGAAAGTAAAACCCTTATTAGTGCAGTCTAGAACGACCATGACAGCTATATCCTCTTCAAGTCATTGTACATCTTCAGTAAGTAGCTTATTTTTCTTTATTAAATATTTACTGAGTTAATATTATTCAACTTAAGTAATGAAAAGTTTTGGTTCACTTACAGATAGACGGTAAGCATGTGGATGTAGTCAGTGATCAGGCAGCCCTTCAACTTTCACCAAAAGGTAAGAATCATTATTGTTGGAAATGAGGTTCACACCAGAATGGCTACTTAGTCTAGATTAACTTTGCTTTTCTTTTTTACCCTGAGGTATTTGGTATTCTGGGTGAATGCATGACTTTTTTCAGCCACTTTATAAAATTATTGCACAGATAAACTGAATAAAAGAATACTAATATATACTTCTGACTACTGATCACTGCTAATTGAAAATCAATCTATGCCAGGCCCAATGGCTCATGCCTGTAATCCTAGCACTTTTGGAGGCTGAGGGAGGATCACTTGAAACCAGGAGTTTGAGATCAGCCTAGGCAACATATAAGACTCTACCTCTACAAAAAAAAATACAAACATACAAAAATTAGCCAGGCATGGTGGCATGAACCTGTAGTCCAGGCTAATCAGGAGATTGAGGATTTGCTTGAGCCCAGGAGGTCAAGGCTGCAGTGAGCCAAGATCAAGCCACTGTACTCCAGCCTGGGTGACAGAGTGAGACCTTGTCTTTAAATTTAAAAAAAAAAATAGTTATACTTCAAAACCAGAGACTGCCTTAGTTGGAATGTCATTTCTTTTTTTAAAATTAAACTGCCAACAAACCTGAAGCTCCTGTTAAATTCCTATTTTTTTCCAACTTAATAATTAGAAGAAAAGTAGACTGGGCCTGGTGGCTCACACCTGTAATTCCAGCACTTTGGGATGCTTGAGTCCAGGAGCTCTAGACCAGCCTGGGCAACCTGGCTGTCTCACCCTCCTGAGTAGCTGGGACAACAGGTGAGTACCACCATGCCCAGCTGATTTTTGTTTGTTTGGTTGATTGGTTGGTTTTTTTACAGCTGAGATTTTGTCGTGTTGCCCAGGCTGAAATTATTTCTAAAGCATCTTAATGTACTCACATTTTATTGTAAACATGTGGATTAATGAATTTAGCTGGCTTGAAATTTTTTTTAACTTTAGGTTCCAGGGGTACATGTGCAGATTTGCTGTGTAGATGTATCGCATGATGCTGAGGTTTGGGCTTTGATGGAACTCATCACCCAATTAGTGAACGTAGTATGGGATAGGAAGTTTTTCAACCCTTACCTTCCTCTCTCCCTCCTTTTGGAGACCCCGGTGTCTGTTATTCCCATCTTTATGTCCCTGTGTACCCAATGTTTAGCTCTTATAAGTGAGAACATGCAGTATTTGGTTTTCTACTTCTATATGAATTCACTTATGGCCTGCAATTTTATTTAGGAAGTTTAATTAACCATAGAGTTCCATTCCCTAAAAATTCAATTGAGGATTTTGCCTTGAAAATTGACTTTCCCTAGCCAAGAAAACCATTTTGCAAAGGTCCATTTGAAGTAACACAAATAAATTTTGATGGCCACATGACACATAAGGCAGCCCCACTGAAACAAACACCGTCACTCCCTTTTCTAAGCCCTGAAAATGCAAAATGTAGAGTTATTTCCGCTCTGTCTACTGAAAATCCTCCTAAAATCTATTAGCTCACTTTTTTGCCTTACTAATAAAATTGAATATAAATATGTTTTATGATCCATAATTTTACAGTGTGCTCTAAGGCTCATAATTCTGAATATTAATCAGCACTGTAGAGGAGGCATAAGATAAAATGCTCACACCAGATGCCTGTGGACATAACCATGAAATTTCCTCGTATTCAATCTCAGATACAGCTTTGACATGTAATGTTCTTCCCTCTGAAGATAGTTTTCGGAAATAATCCAGTTAACAAAAATTTCTTATTAATTGGTTCCAGTTAATCCAAAATTTACTAGAAATAAATTTCCTATTTTTACTGAATAAAAACAACTAAATGCATGTTAAGAGGAAAGCTGAATTACTAATTTTCTAATTTGGGGAGTAAATGAATCTTCTCTTTAGAAAGCACGATCTTTGGTGGTAATGCCTTGCATTTCACGCATTCAGGCTGGACATTTAAAGGGACAAAATAGCTTTGCACAGTGGCAATATTGCAGCCAATAAGGTTTATCTGAGGTGCAATTATTGCCAGTCAAAGGGCCAAATTAGCCAAGATTATTGCTAATCTTCACCAAACAAGTTATTCCAAGCTCCGAAAGTACTTTACAAGGTTGAGTACCCTCTTCAGACCCCCCGGAAATAGTTTAATACATTATTAATGCTTTCAAGCACTAATTCAAAAATACCTATTAAAGAGGTATTAGATATTGATATGGTTTGGATTTGTGTCCCCACCCAAATCTCACGTCCATTTGGAGAAGGGGCCTGGTGGGAGGTGATTGGATTATAGGGGCTGATTTCCCCCTTACTCTTCTCATGCTAGTAAGTTCTCATGAGATCTGATGGTTTAAAAGTGTGTGGCACTTCGCTGTCTCTCTCTCTCGCTCTCTCCTGCTCCTCCATTGTAAGACATGCTTACTTCCCCTTCCACCATGATTGTAAGTTTCCTGACACCTCCTAGCCATGCGTCCTGTTAAGCCTGTGAAACTGTCAGTCAATTAAACCTCTTTTCTCCATGAATTAGCCAGTCTCAGGTAGTTCTTTATAGCAGCATGAGAATGGACTAATACAGGTACATAAAACATAAGGGGTTACTATAACCTATTTGGTAACAGATCCCAACCGAACACTTTCAAGTTAAAATGCATTCCATTTTTAAATATGTAAATAGGATAGGAACATTATTATTTAAAGTATCCTATGGAATATTATCGTTTCTGTTACAGAATCCTCATATTGGCATCAAAGGTTGAACTTCTTAGGCTATACTTTCACACCACAAAATACTTTGTGAAATTATGTATAACTATCATTCAGTGGATATACATAATATTCTAAATGCCTTTCACGTTTTTACTTTAATCCTCACAAAAATCCTATTAGGTGGGTACTCTTGCTTTCCCCCATTTTACAGATAAGACCACTGAATACAGAGAGGTTGGTAAACTGTTAGGTTTATATTGCAAAGAAGTAGAGCAGCTGGATTCAAATCCAGTGTAGGCTAAGAGTCCATGCTAATCCCCACTCAATTATTTTCACCTGCCCCAAGATTCATGCATGACAACATGGAAAATATCCCATTTTCAATAAAACACAGTGTGGAAAATCCATGGTGTAACAGAGCTAACCTGGGCTTTGGAGGCTGACAGAGCTTTCAAGCTCAGGTGACTACTTACTCACTGGTGCCTTCATCTTAGTGCTTCCTGTTGTGTAAAACAGACACGGCAACCCCACCTCATAGGTTTGTTATGAGGATGAAGTGAGATCATATATGTGACATACCTAGCTAATTCCTCTCTCTACCTGTCCTCTTGAGCTGTTCATAGTATAATCCCAAGCTAAAGCCTTGCAAATCTATATTTTAATCTCCCCGTGAAAGCAATGATGCCCTAAACAGTAGGCTAATAAATTAAAACAGCTAATCTCTACTGCTTTTTTTTTTCTTGAGATGGGGTATTTGTCTGTCATCCAGGCTGGAGTGCAGTGGTCCAGTCATAGCTCACTGCAGTCTCAAATTCCTGGGCCCAGGTGATCCTCCTGCCTCAGCCTTCTGAGTAGCTGGAACTACAGGCACACACCACCACATCAAGCTAATTTCTTTATTTTTTGTAAAGACAGGGTCTCACTTTGTCATCTAGACTGGTCTCCAACTCCTGGGCTCAAGCTATCCTGCTGTCATACATACTCTTTCAAAGTGCTAGCGATTACAGACATGAACCACTGTGTCCAGCCTCCTCTGCTTCTTTAATAGCTGATTTTCTACCAGGCATAAGTAAAAAATAAAATCTAGCAATAGTATCAAAACATACAGTATATGTTTTGAAAAGAGTAAAGTAAAATACAAAATATAATTTAAAATAATGTTACATCAGGTGATATGTCCTTCCTAGGCTGGTTAAAAATGATTTTTTGTTATGTTGCAAGTTCTAAAAATTCTAAACAGAACAAGAAAGTCAAGTGGTGCATGCAACATAGAAAGTTTGAGACAAATAAATCCTTGTTACTCTAAGGGGATTAAAAAAATGAGGTACAATACTATCTGCAACATTTCAAAGCAGTTTTTATGCAGTAGTAATTATCCAAGAGAGCACAGGTAACATTATTAATTTGTTTGCTACTTACTTGTGATAAAATTTGGGATCTGAGCTGCCCATTGTGTACTGTGCACTGCCACAGATTTTATGTACTCAAGAAGACCTTTCTCACAGTCCAGTAATTAGGTGCTATTGACATTGTAATCTTTGGAAATGTTCTTAATGAGCCCAAAAGACACGAATCTTACAGATAAAACCTCAAAGTAACAGTGACTCTTTAAGTGGCTTGTCAGGAAGAGAAAGCTCAAACATCAGTATCTGAAACACAGGAGAAACCCAAATTTAAACCTAGATTACATTGTGTTGTTAATTCTCTGAGACTTCTAGGGAAGAATCATCCAGGGGGTGATCTGAAAAGGTTTTTAAAGGACAGAACAATTGTAACATATTAGATATAATTTAAAATCTTTCTTTTTACCCTTTGAAGCCTTGGACCCAAGATATATTTTCAATAAGTATGTTTTGCACTGATTTATAGAAATAAATATTGTTTGAAAGTGAAGTTCAGTTGCCCCTGTTGTTTTAAATAGAAAAACAAGTTTTAAAATCACGTAAGAAATTGTAAGTTAGTTAAGAGATAAAAAGAAGTTTCAGGCATACGTGTTAACATTGTTTTATATATTGTCTCTAGGCTGTCAGCTATAATGGATATAATTTGTTAAGGTTTTCAGATTCATATTCAAGTGCACATTTTATAATATTACAATGTATATCCAAACAATAGATTCCACATATAATTGATGGCCATAAAAATGTTAGAAGGAGTTAATCAATGAATTGTGAGTTAATACCAGGACTAACCTGATTTATTAAATATAATGTATTACGGGGTCTGTAAATGTTAATGTCACTGCCACCAACTTTTCCATTACTTCCCTTGTTACCATCAGTTACCTATTATTCAAATTTTATATTTCTAGGTTGTACATGTCATGTCTGTCTTTGAGACTTGAGCTAATTCTCAACTACCTTTTCTTAGGAATTTCCCTTGCTTTTTATACATTTATTTAGAGATATTTTCTATTAATACTTGAGGCATATAATTTAGCATATTAGATGATAAATTAAAACCTGGGGCTGGGAGTGGTGGCTCACACCTGTAATCCCAATACTTTGGGAGGCCAAGGCAGGTGGATATGTTGTGCTCAGGGGTTTGAGAACCACCTGAGCAACATGGGGAAGCCCCGTCTCTACAAAAAAAAAAAAAAAAAAAAATTAGCCTCGTGTAGTGATGTGAACCTGTAGTCCCAGCTACTAGGGAAGCTGAGGTGGGAAGATCACCTGAGCCCAGGGAGGTGGAGGCTGCAGTGTGCCATGATGGCGCCACTGCACTTCAGCCTGGGCAACAAAGACTGTCTCAACACAAACAAATAAAAACCTGGAAGATCAGCAGCCTGTCTCTCAATTTTTCCTTCCAAATACAGTGAATTCCGAATGGTATAGAAATTGGTTAGGATGACCAACTGGATTAGAGAAGTGATGACAAAAATAAGAGGCTCTCTCTGTAACTGAAGCTCTGTCCGTAGGTCAGATTGGGATTGAAAAATGTTAGAAATGAAAAGGGAAGGCAACCCATATGCTTTGAAAATACAGTGTTAATCTTTGAAATAAATAGGCAGGTAATTACTTTGAATTTGCAAGATCATAAAAATTTAGTAGAAAAAAGTTTAGGCTAATAACTATTAAAATGTCCCTTATTAATTTGATGGACTGTCTTATTTCAGTCTAATATGTTTTTAAGCATCCATAGACAATATTTCATTTAATAAATACCACTAATCGCATTCCTTATCACACCTACACCTGGTGCTTAAAGCTCTCTGAAGCATGAGGCAGAAGGTAAGAATGTTTCTGGTGTGTGTTGTTAGTCCAGTTGAGCCATGAGTTGGATTCCAGCAGCCTCTCTACCCTGTGACAATGATCTCATCCCAAACCTTGCTGCCTGGTTGCAGACTGATATTGTGTTCATTTAAGAGGCATTATAAACCACATAAGCCATTATGGTAGTAACAAAACACTGAGAAAGTGTTTAATTAGTGCAGAGACAAGTGGGTATTAACTTTTTAATTTAGGAATGAGTCTGCTGGCAAAATGTTACAGGATATTATACATGGATTCATGCAAATCCATGGGCTTACCAAGTGTACCCTTAACTGAGTTTGACATGACATCCTTGTATATGAAAGGTACCATATTAATATTCCTTTCAGCTGCAGGAACCCCCATTTCAGAAATTGTGGGAATAAACCGAGATCAGAAAAGTAGTATTTATGAAGTGTGGCTTCTACAAATGTCACTGGGTTTCAATCTTCAGCTTATCACATTCCTGGCTTGTTCAACTTCTTTAATCAAAGTTGCCCATCTTCAAATAAACAATCACATGGAAAAAAAGATGTTATAGGAAGGAAGTATTTTGTCTACTATTAAATTCTACACAAATGTAAGCTAGAGTTCATCCAAAAATGATGAAATAATTTTATTTATAGACATAGTTAATGTAGAAAATTTTTTATGAGGAAATATTTCAGATATTAAGGGAATATAGAGAATTATATGTTGAACATCACCTGGCTCTATTAGATTTTGCCATGCTTGAGTCATAAAAGTAAGACAATGAAGACTGAGTTGATATCATTCCTCCTTCTCTCCCCAGAGGTAACCACTGCCTTGATTTTAGAGTTTGTCAATCATACATATTTTATATCACTACAGAGACACACACTCTTATACATGTACAAATAATTTATAACATCATTTGGCATGTTTTCAAGCATTATATCCATGATGGTGGAAGTATGTGTTCTTAATTTTTACCTATAAATGTTTTTGAAATTTATTTACAGTATTTTGCTGTATGTAGCTTGAGTTCATTTATTTTACCTGCTGTATAGTATATTCCATTGTATAATATGAATATTCTACAATATATTCATTCTGCTGTTGATGGGAATTCAGAAGATTTTCAATTTGTTAGATTCATAAATAGCTGCTATTTCTCATAGTGTATATGTGTGAGAGGTTTACTAAATACCTAGAAGAGGAGCTGCTGAGTTCTAGTAACTTTACTAGATACTGTCAGAATATGCTAGTAATTGGTTACACTACTTTACACACATATCAGTAGGTTATGAGTTTGTATTGTTCCATTTTCCTACTAACACTTGGAGTTGCCATATTTTTAATTTTTGCTGATATGATGGGTGTGAATTTGCATTTTATTCTTTTTTTGAAATTCCCTGATAACTAATAAGAATAATTCTTTATATGTTTATTAACCATTTTAGTTTCCTCTTCTATGAATTGCTTGGTGCTAGAAGTAGATGATTTTTCTATAATTGGGTGGTTCTTTTTTATAGGAGTCTATACATTCTGAACATTATCTCTTTGCTAGTTTCACGCTTCACAAATATCTTCTTCCTGTCTTAATGCACTGGCTAGAATTTCCAGTACTGTAATAGAGCAGTCAGTGGCACCCTTTTTTGGTTTCTCTCTCTAACAGGATAATTTCTAAAGTGTCATCATGAAGTATGATGTTTATTGTAGGTTTGTCATAGCTATTCTTCAATCAAGTCACTAAAGTTCTCTTCTATAGCAGGCGCTGAAAGTTTTTATAACAAATTGATGGCTAAGCTTTATCTGGTTTTCCCCCTTTACCTGTTAAGCTGATAACTGTGGTCATTCTCCTTTAATCTGTTAATGTTGAAACACATTAATACATTTTCTCATGTTAAATTATACCTATATTTCTTAACTTTTGTGTTGATAATTAATTTTAATTTTCTGGTCTTTTATTTAGAATTTTCCTTCTGAGTTTGGTCTATAATTTTTTTCCCTGAATTCCCATTATGTAGTTTGGATATAAAGGCTGTACTCGACTCAGTGGGAAGGATTACCCTCTTCTACCTCTTCTGTCAGATGATTAAAGTTAGTATATAATAGATATCTCAGCCGGGCATGGTGGCTTACACTTTGGGAGGCAGAGGCAGGTGGATCATGAGGTCAGGAGTTTGAGACCAGCCTGACCAACATGGTGAAACCCTATCTCTACTAAAAATACAAAAATTAGCCAGGTGTGGTGGTGCACGCCTGTAATCCCAGCTACTCAGGAGGCTGAGGCAGGAGAATCTCTTGAACATGGGAGGCAGAGGTTGCAGTGAGCCAAGATCATGCCACTGCACTCCAGCCTGGGCAAAAGAGTGAGGCTCTGTCTCAAAAAAAAAAAAAAGATATCTCTTCTTTGATGGTGTGAAAAATTTGTCAAATTGGACCTAGTGTCCTTTGTGAAGGTGAGAGAGATTTTCGAATACAAATTTAGTTTCTTTAATAGCTGTTAGTGTTCTATTTTTTTATTGAGTCAATTGCAGCAACATTTTTTCTAGACAATCCATTTGATCTACATTTTCAGATACATTGAAATAAACTTGTTCATTGTATTCTCCTATTAATTCTAAAATATCTGTAATTATGCCCCTTTTCTGCCCCTGATGTTTTCTATTTTCTGAGACAGAGTCTTGGTCTGTCGCCCAGGCTGGAGTGCAGTGGCAAGATCTCAGCTCACTGCAATCTCCGCCTCCCAGGTTCAAGTGACTCTCCTGCTTCAGCCTCCCAAGTAGCTGAGATTACAGGTGCGTGCCACCATGCCCAGCTAATTTTTATATTTTTAGTAGAGACAGGATTTTGCCATGTTGTCCAGGCTGGTGTCGAACTCCTGACATCAAGTGATCTGCCCAACTTAGCCTCCCTAAGTGCTGGGGATTACGGGCGTGAGCCACTGCACCCAGCCTCTCCCTGATGTTGTTTTATATATTTACCGTTTGTTTGTTCTTAATCCTGTCAAAGTGTTATATGATTTTTAGTCTTTTCTAAAGTACTAATTTTTGGTTTATTAATTTGCTCTACTTTTTTTGGTTGTTGGATTTATGTGTTTCTCTGCTATTTCCTTCTATTTTTAAAAGATATTTCTGTTTTTTCCTCTAGCTTACTCATTTTTTATTTTTATTACATATTAATAAATGCATTTATGACTTTAAAAATGTTTTAGTTGCATCCCATAAATTTTGACAGCACTTTAACTGTTGCTTGACTCTAAATATTTTATTCCATCATGATTGTCTCTTTAACACAGAGATTTTTAAATATGCTTCGTTCAGATTGCTTTACCTTTAATTAATGACTCCTAATTTCCTTGTAACCTTTCTATTAGCTCGTCTTATTAATTTGGTAGTTCAGACATTCTTTATTCTTCTAATTTATTGTATGCCTAATCTCTTATGTTTTCTGAAAGAGAAATATAAAAATATCTCTCTATGACTGAAGATTGATTAGTTTCTGTTAGTAATTCTGTCAGTTTTTTGTTATACATTTTAAAGCTATGTTAAATGCTTCCTATTTTTTCTTGGTGGATTGTTGCATGCACTGGCCTCTTTAACCCTGGTAATTCTTTGATGTCTTAAATTCTATTGTATCTTATATCAATAACATTATAATAGCTTTCATATTAGTAGTATTTGCATTGTATCTTTTTCATTTTTTTCAATATTTTTATGATCTTTTATATTGCATTTTTCTCTTTTAAGCAACTTAAAGTGATAACTTTTTTCTTTTTAGTTCTCTTTAGTAAAATCTACTTTTTAACAGGTGAATTTATTGTTTACAATTGTGATTATTGATATATTTGGACTATTTTTATTACCTTATCTTTGTATTTTCTGATATTCTGCTTTACTTTCTATTCTTTCTTGCTTTCTTTTAGGTTGATAACATTTTCTGTATTTTATCGTTTCCCCCATGCTGATTTGAAAGCTGAAAGCTGTGTTTCTTTTCTTTTATTGTATATGTTTATGTATGCATATGTTTTAATATATGTGTATGTTTAGAAGTATCATTACTTCAATAATTTGCTTTGTGAGGGCCTGTTGATGGTAAATTCTGTTTGCCTTAATTTTTACCTCACTCTTTGATGGTAATTTAGCAAGACATGGAATTCTAGGTTGGCAGTTATTCTTTCCTCCACATTTTCTTTTGTATCACCACCGTTGAGCCTCTACTTAGGATTATAAGAAGTCTGGTGTCAATTTTCCAATAATTTGTAGTTATTTAGTGTTTTCTTTATGGTGTTCAATGTATTCAATGATGTATTTATCAATATTCATGATAAAATTTGGATCTGATGATTCATGTATTTCTTTACTTCTAGAAATCTCTCAGCTACTACCTTTTCAAATATTGCCTGTACATTTTCTATGCTGATTTCTTCTGGAGCACCTCTCAATCTCTTCTCCATGCCTCCAATCTACATTTTCTAATTTTTCTTTGTTGTGTATATGGGTGAATTCTTCAATAGTACCTTCCAACATTCAAATTCTCTCTTTAGCTATGCCAGTTTATCCCATGTTTTAGTGTTTCATTTTAGTGACTCTTCTATTTCCAAAATTTTAATTGGTTCTTTTTCAAAGCCACTGTTCTTGTTTTACTCTGGGTTATCTTGTATCATAATTTGTTTTTCCTTTTTTATGATAATTATCATTAAACATGAACTCTTTGAACATACTAAGCATAAGTTTTAAAATCTTTGTCATACTGTTTCATCAACTTAAATTTACCTGGAGTGAATTCATGTTCTGATAGCTGATCTTGCTTTTGTCTTGCCTAGCATTCTGTCCTTTGTTTATTTTGGAACTTAGGTTTGCATGCTTACGTCTCTCTCTCTCTCTCTCTCTCTCTCTCTCTCTCTCTCTCTCTCTCAATACAATATTTCCTGAATATAGTTCTGTGACTGCTTCTTGTGCCTCTCTCACTCCCAGTTTACAGCCAGTTCTTATAAGTTTGGGGCTGCCTACTTTGCTGTGACATGAAGGGTCCTAAAGACTCCAAGCCAGCAGGTGGTCTAGCTCAGTTCCTCTGCATGAAGTGAGTTTGTGACCTCTAACCTTCCTAGGCTCATAGCTTACTACAAAGCCATAGCCCAGGTTAAAAACTGTTGTTGTTGTTGTTGTTTCTCAACTTTCTTTCATTAAAGCTTCTGCCTTCAAGAAGTGAATTTGTTCTTCCACCCAGCATGAAGCACATTTAGCTTCTGTTACCAAATATGAGCTTTATTCTTGACCATCAGGATGGGTTTCTGCAGCTGAAACAAGAGACGTGTGGTTTGGGCTATGTATTCCTTTGCTAAGGCCACCATAACAAGCTACCACAAACCAGGTGGCTTCAACCACAGAAATTAATATTCTCACAGTTCTGGAGGCTGGAAGTCTGAAATCAAGGTGAGGTTGGTTTATTCTGAGGACTGCGAGGGAGAATCTGTCCCATGACCGTCTCCTAGCTTCTGGTAGCCCTGAGTTTCCTTTACCTGTAGATGACATTCTCCCTGTGTCTACACATTGCCTTCCCTCTACCTACATCTCTGCGTTCACATTCCTTCTTTTTATAAGGACACAGACATACTGGGTTAAGGTCCACCCTAATGACCTCATCTTAATTTGATCATCTGCAAAGACCCTATTTCTAAATAAGCTCACATTTATAGGTACTGGAGGTTAGGACTTCAGCATCTTTGGGGAGACACAATTCAATTCCTAACAGGCTGGCTTGTTACTTCACCATTTCGTTACAAGAGACATGTTTATCTTGTTCTCCCAGTATGTCTTTTTGCTTTTCTTTTTAAATTTTATCTATCAGGCCCATATGGAGTCCTAAATCATGAACTCACTATACCATTGTTCTCTCTTCTTCCCCCACCAAAAATATCCTATGTGTTCAAATCAGTTCTCTTCATGTTCTGGATAAAGGACACTTCATTTGATTTCTACCTTATTTTATCTATTTTAAGAACACTTTACCTTTGTAAACAACTGCAGTTATTGTTATCCCACATATCCAAAGCATACATCAAGTACCAGTCATTTTTTTAAAGAACACTTTTAAAGTCTCTGTTGTATCTTCATAAAAGTCTTTTCCTTGTGTATCCTGTCTGTAACCTAGGCAGTAAGTTGCCTTCTCTGGAAAAGTGTGTGTTACGGGTTGAATTGTGATACCCCCCCCCCCCACACACACACACACACACACACCGCCTCACAAAAATATGTTGAGACTTTAATCTCAGGCTCCTATGAATGTAATCTTATTTAGAAATAGAGTCTCTGCAGATGTAATTAAGCCAAGGTCTTCCAGGTGGACTCAATTCAATATAACTAGTGTCATAAGAGGAACACGTCCTGTGAAGACAGAGACACACAGGGAGACACTATGTGATGGCAGAGACAGAGATTGGAGTGATGCAACCACAAGCCAAGGAATGCCAAGGATTGGTGGCCACGATCTGAAGCTAGGAGGAGGCAAGGAAGGATTCCACCCAGGGTCTCAGGGGGAGCATGGCCCTACAAATTTCAGACACCTTGATTTTGAACTCCTAGCCTCCACAACTATGAGACAATTCATTTCTGTTGGTTTCAGCCCCCAGTTTGTGCTACTTTGTTATGGCAGCTCTAGCAAGCAAATACAAGGTAACAATTTAATAACTTCATTGGCATTACATTAAATAATTGATACCCACTATTCCAAATGAGTTCAGTGGCAGTATGTTTTCAGTTTGTATTAAGACTTAGGGTAAGGAGTTCTGCCATTCAGTGCCCACCATAAAAGAGATATGTTCCCTTGATCAGTTAGAAAGCTACTTCTTTGAAGCTTCAACATATGTTCTAGCATTAAGGAATCAAATGTGACAAGGCTTGTGTATAAATGTGCCTGCACTTTCCTAGCAGATAGCAAGTGATCTCTATATGTTTGATAAAACTGAGTCTGAGGCCAGGCATGGTGGCTCACACCTGTAATCCTCCCAGTACTTTGGGAGGCTGAGTTGGGCAGATCACTTGAGGCCAGGAGTTTGAGACCATCCTGTCCAACATGGTGAAACCCCGTCTCTACTAAAAATACAAAAATTAGCTGGCCATGGTGGCAGGCATTTGTGGTCCCAGCTACTTGGGAAGCTGAGGTGGGAGGATCACTTGAACCCAGGCGATGGAGGTTACAGTGAGTCAAGATCACACCACTGCACTCCAGCTTGGGTGACAGGGCAAGACTTCATCTCAAAAAGGAAAAAAAAATTGAGTCTGAGGTTAACTCCATTTAGACTCCTGATTTCATGAACTTAGGTTATGTTCTCACAATATCCCTATTTGTCCTGGAGAACACCACCATGTCCAGTACTCTCTTCCATAAACATGCCCATGCCTCCTTTTCTTACTCTCTCCTTTGCTTCCTCTGCAAGCAGCTGCCCTCTGCCCCTCCTTCCTTTTGATGTGAACCTGCTTGAGGGAAATCAGAACCTGCTTGCTCTCCTTCTCTGGCTCCAGTTTCCTCCACTTTCCTCCTGGCTTCATTGCCCTCTAGCACTGCCATCCACTGGGTCACCAGAATCTTACAAATGGCAAATAAAATTTCTAGTCCTCATCTCACTTGACCTCACCCCAGGATTTTGTTACTGCTAAGCATTCCTTAATTCCTTTTTTTTTTTTTTTTTTTTTTTTAGCCAAGGTCTGGCTCTATTGCCCAAGCTGGAGTGCAATGGTGCAATCTCGGCTCACTGCAACCTCCTCCTCCTGGGCTAAAGTGATCCTTCCACTTCAGCCTCCTGAGCAGCTGGGACCACAGGTGTGCGCCACCACGCCCAGTAAGTTTTTGTATTTTTGGTAGAGACAAGATTTTGCCATGTTGCCCAGGCTGGTCTTGAACTCCTGAGCTCAAGCGATCCACATGCCTCGGCCTCCCAAAGTGCTGGGATTACAGGCATGAGCCACTGCACCTGGCCCCTTAATTTTTTTGTGAATAGCTCTATTGAGATATACTTGACAAATAAAAATTATATATACTTAAGAGAAATGATCACCACAGTCAAGCTAACTGGCATATTTATCATTTCACCATTTTCTTCCTCTCCGTCTCTTCTTCTTTCATCCTTCTCCTCTTCCTCCTCCTTTTATGATGAGAACACTTAAGAGCTACCTACCCTCTTAGCAAATTTCAAGTATACAGTACAGTATTGCTAAATAGTTACTCTGCTGTACATTAGATCTTCAGAATTTATTCATCTCACATAACTGAAACATTGTATCCTTCACCTTAATTCTCCAAACGCTCTCCTCTTGACCTCCAAGACACCAACCTGTCCTGGTTCTCCTCCTCCTATTCAGAGCACCCTTCTCAGGCTCTCCTGCTTGATCAATTTTGCCCCTGCTCTGTGTCTTAAATGTTGAGGTTGCTAAGGATTTCATATTTCGCTTCACTTTTTTACACTTTGTTATTCCCTGTTGAATCCTTCAGCAGATCTCTATGGCTTTCAAGATAAAATCAAGTTCTTCAGTTTAGCCTACAAGACCATTCGTAACCCCTCCCTCTCCCATATGTGAGCTTTCTAACCTAGTGGTCACAAATGACTTGCAGTGCCCTGCTGTTTCATGCTGTTCCAAGCACCTGTGCCTGTACACATGCCTTCATCTAGGTGGTGGGTCTTCTGCCTGGTCTCGCTGAGCTTCTGTGTTCAGCTGGTCATTGATGGACTTATGCTGGCTGTCTGCTGGGGTGACAGGGGTAACCAGACCTCATGTCCCTCACTATCAAGTAGGCTAAGCCAAGCTTGCTTTCATGGCACTCTCAGGGTTCTCCAGAGCAGCAAGAGAGCAGGCTCCAATGCACAAGGATTGTTCAAGTCTCCGCTGGGGTCACATTTGCTCTTATCCCATTAGCCAAAGCAAGTCACAGGGCCAAGACCAGAGTCAATGTGTGAGGGAACTGCAAAGGCTGTGGATAACAAGTGGAACACACTACTTAGCCTTCTAGGTTTTACCTTCTCTTTGTTAATCCATTCACTCATTCATTCCACAGACTTTATGAAAACCTAAGCAAAGGCCTAGGCGAGGCACTGAGGATATAGAGATTTTTCTCAGTGCCTGGAATTTATGTTCTAAGACAGTCACTCAATGACTAGCACATTCTGTAAAAGTCAGACCAGGATTTGTGGAAGTCCCATGAGGTAAGGTGGGCCTCCTGAGGTCTGTCTGCATTTTTCACCATTTCTGCGGAAATCGCTACCTTGCTCTTCAGAATTATATATTAATAACCACTTTTCCCATAAGAATAATCAGAAACCAAGATACAGAAACAAAATTTTAAATATTTTCAGTGTGTATGTTTTTAAAACTGTGACTGAAATATTACTGCATTTCTTTGGGAACCTATAAATTCACGCATGAAACTGTGTGATAACAGCATTTCCACTAAATATGCAGATGTCAAGGTGAGTTACAGGTGAGTTACGAGAGCATTTAACATTTCAATCCTTAGGCTCCAAATTGTTCACCTGTTCATAAGAAAAACTAGCTGCTTGTAATTTCAAATTCGTACGTGCAAAAATTGCATAGACCAAACGTTCGAATGAAAATCCTTTTAGAGACAACTACCTAACGCTTCCATATTAAGAGTGTTTATTTTTCTCTAGGATTAGAACAGATTGCATTGGCAGCCCGGTCTTTCATAAAGAGGGGGGTGGGGAATAGAGTTGGGCCTTCATTTTCTCACAAAAGGCACAATGTGAAGCGCATCTGTGAACATTGCATAATTTGTTATGTTCTACACAGAGGTGGGTTTTTGTTGTACACATACCAAAGCTATTTGGTGCCGTTTCACCAATGATCTCTATTCAGGTCCAGAAAAGAAATTGGCCTCAGAAGAGTGAAAGGAAAGTAAATTTTTCTTTAAAAATTAGATACAGATTATCACTTCAAAATGCAGGAGGGAATTTTACAAGTGCCGGTGTACTGATTAGCTTTCCAATGGACATCCAGCCCTTTATTAAACACATGCTAGCTGTGGTCAACTGTGACCGATGTGGTTTATTACTCTCCAGAAGGGCTGAACTGAAATCACCCATCTAATTTAATTGAGAAATGTTGGATGAACTTGAACTGTTTCATGGACATGAATGACCAGAGAATTTATTTGATGAGACGTTAAAGGCTGAATACGGTAACTATCTCTTTGATGGTTTAGTACAGTCGATTCATTAGTTCATTAGCATGCCTTTCATATTTTTCATTACTACCTGAGCAACCTAAATGAAAAAGGCAAAAAATAAAAGTTTTTGTACAGCGTCATTCTAAAAAATTAGCAACCTTCCCTTTATTGGTAAATATTTGTGATCATTTTTAATGTAGTTAACTCTTTTCAAAGTGACATCAGCTTTCCAGTAAAGGAAGTTCACAGTAATTAAATTGTGTGGACATTAATAAGTCCACTGGGATTTTTCATGTGATAGTCCCTAAATTATTTTCAAAATGTTGTCTTCTGACTTCATTCATTAAGACAAAAAAAAAAAAAAAGCCTTTAGGAAGTTGGCATGTTATTCACCAAACAAGCTCCTTTGCATTTTCTCGTAAACTGGGCAGTGTGAGCTGTAATTGGTGGCCTTGCAATGAAACATTTGTAGTAACTTTATCAAGAGTATGGCACAGAGGTGGCATCAGATGACAGTGCTTTCTCTTCATGTGTGTCTGCTAACATTTAAGATAGATTCTGCTTTTTTTCCAATGACTAATGCTGAGGCATAACTTGGAGATATACATCTTTTTTAAACTATATTAAAATATTATATCTTTTAAATTATCCACAGAAAGAGCTAGAAACTCTAATAATAAATTATAAACTCACACTTCATGTAACTAGTGACTCTTTAAATGAAATTTTTCATTGAAACTTTGTCATTAAAATAGAAAGGGCTTTGGCTGTGCCCATACAAGCATAATAAATTGTATATGTTTGTGATACTGAATGACTTTTACCCATATGCTGCACTGCAAAGCTACATGAATGAGGCATTTACCAAATCAGGCCCACCACATTAAACAGAAAAACAATCTTTATTCATGGTAACTTATCAGTTTCAATTAATCAACCCTAACAATGGAAATTCTGATGTGTTCAAGCAACTTGAAAGCAATAGGTCATCTCCAGGGCAGCATTGTTGTGTCTTTGTGCCGAAGATTTCAAACAAAGCAACATCTTCAATAAATATACATGCATATACATATATACATGTGCATATATATACATACAAATGGACAGTTACAGCTGAGCCCTGTGGTGCCAACAAAAATGCATGTGTATTTTTTATTATTTTTATCACAGCACATGTAATTGTTTTCCCTCAAGTATTACTTTTTGAGCTCTGCAAGTTTAAACAAAAGGAAAGAAATTTCCATTGGATGACCATCCTTTCAGTTTCTGTACTGCTATGTGAATAGCATTGTGCAAACCATTCCATTGGTTTTGAAAAGGGGTAACCATTGGTTTGATTTGGTTACACGGTTTAGTAAAGAGCTCCCTCCCACTGCCTTAGGGTCTGTGAAAGGTCTGTGACCTGTTTAGAACTGCCAAGTGAAATGTCATGTTGCCCCTCCCAAATGGGAGTATCTGCATTCATTTGATCAGTATAAAAAATGATTGGGGATGGCGAGATCAGTGCTTTTGAATTGCAATTTATAGCAGTTTACAAAAATGCACATTGTTAGAAAAGAAAACATGGAAGTGTTTCTTTCTAAATTGCATTACCTGTGAAATGTCATTAGTCTTTTAAGGATATTTACATCCTTTTTTTATTATTTAGGAGACTTACTTCAACTAAAGAAAATAAGAATTTTATTACCTTATGATTTTTTGAGTTGTATTTTGGTTTTAGTGTTAAAATTTTTTAAAAAGCAATGTTTCTGAGTTATTCATATAAACATAATTTATCATGTCCATTTATTGATTTTCTAAGATAATCTTTGTTAATGGGTTGTATTAGTAGAAGATTCTTAATTATCTTTCCCAGATTGTTCAGGACATTTATTTGTTGGTAAATTCCTCGTCTGCTGATTTCTAATAGACTAAAATCTCCAGTATACTTAACTCTAGCAAGTTTCCACTATTCCTTCAACATTGTACTACCAGAACTTCTTTGTAAGATGAGTACTTTTCTAAATTATGGAACCCATTGACTCATCTACATGTATGCATAGTTTTATAAAAAGAAATTTCATTTCTTTTCATTAAATGTGCAAAAGAATACACGAAGCTTATCCAGAAAGTTTAGGTAGCCTGTTCAAGTTCATAAGGGCTGAATGCAGCCTCCTGGAGTTTCTGGGATGCAGAAAACAATGCCCTTTATGCTATTTCCAGGCATCTCACAAGCTCTGTATCTTTATGGCAGTGTGTAGCATTGGACATTACTTTAAAGAAAGCTTTGAGTAAGAAAAGTTACCTTGGGAAAAGGCCCTTGGGGCTTTCCTGGTTGATACTTGACTAGAAAAAGAAAGGCCCTTCTGCAGAAAAGACTTGACCCAGATAGGCTCTGGAGCACTCCACTTTGAACCTCCCAACCATTGAAAGCCGAGGTTGTCACGTTTTTATCTTTGTTCATGTTAAGCCTTGGAATGACAGCCTGGCTCCTCTGTGTTCCCCTCTCCCACTGCCCCGGCTATAAGTGTCCACATTGACACCTACCGGTGACCGCAGGCTGCAATGCTTTGTTGCCTTCTCCACGCTCCCGGCTTTCACTGGGATTAGCCCAGGGCCTTTGTTCCCCTTCAAAGCTGGAACATCACATCCCATGTTGTGGCTTTCCTGTCTCAGACCCCCAACGCTTTCCTCACAATTTACGCACCAGGTAAATGTTCCTCCCCACAGGGCAGAGAGCCCAACGTTGAGGTTAGGGGGTGGGGACATCTTCCCATTCCCCAGTTTCAGAGCCCAGGGCCAATGTGGTTTCCTTTCCTTCTCATTCATAATTTTCTATTTCACAGGCCCCGTCTATTTCCATTGCAAGGCAAATGGAAATTTAAAACTTGGAAAAATCAAATCCCTGGGCCCAAACACAGACAACTCTTCCCACTTTTTTTATTCTGCTACAACGGCTTCAAGTAGAATGTTGAGTACTGGCCTTTATCAGGGGCACCTGAGACCATTCCTGCAGCCTGGGGCTGCCGGAGAGCCCCAGACTGTCTCAGAGCAAAGCTTGGCTGGCACACGCTGTCTGGAAGGCCAAGGATAATCTGCCTGCCTGCCCTACCTCCTTCACCGTCTCTCTTCCAGGTTCCTGAAGAGGCTCTCAGCTAGGGCCAGGGCTGGGAAGACCCACTAAAAAAAATGACGCAAAATGCTTTGGGGGAAGAGTGGGAAGTGGTCTGTGTATGATAAGTAAAACAAAGTTTATGTCTGTCCACCTTTCTTCACGTTTAGGGAAGTTGTCGGAATCCCCAAAAGAAGAGTCCTTGGAGGAGCCCTCCATGCGCCAGAGCAGCCCCGCAGAGACTGTTGATTAACCCAGCAGAAGCCTGGGCTGCGCAGACGGGGCCTCAGAAAGAGTGGCCTCGCCGTCCTGGTGTAAGGTGCCTCCCTCGGAAAGGATACTATCTCCAAGGATTTTCTAAACTAATTGTTTAATCTCTCCAGATTATGTATATTAACCAGCACTGCGCTCGAATAGACCTCAATGCGCGCCTTGTGCGCGCTCCTTTCCACGCCTTTAAGGAAAGCCCTGGCTGGTGCTGGGTGAGCGGGGCGCACTGAACCTCCGGGGCAACCACATCCATTCAGGAGCTCCGGGGACTCAGAAGAGCCCAGGCGTCTAAGAGTGGGAAGGGACGGACTTTAATTAAAAAGTTTGACTCCCTCTCTAATCCAGTCTTTCTATACCAAAAGCATCAACCTGTTTTGCTGTCTCCTCACCCAATAACTAGTCCCCATGAAGGTAGGTCATGAAGACTACAGGGAGATCGTACATTTCCTCAAGCAAGATTCATTCTTATCTTACCCCGGCACAGGGCACCTAGCCGCATCTTAAAGGCTGTCAGAAATTCTTTAGTAAGTAGGGAAACTCTTTGGAGTTTTGCTTCCTGGTAAGGATGCAAACCAAGATTCTGCTGGAATGCCAGACACCGTTTACCAAAAGGCGGGTTTGCTTTTCTTCCATGCGTAATGTCCAACTTGGTTCTTTCTATTCCCCTAACTACAAGTAAGGCCTTGTTAAGAGCCTGTATCTGAATCGTAGGCTCTGGATTACAGAATTCTACAGTTATTTATTAAGTCTCAGGAAATATATTTGTGGTAGTTGTCACATAAAGCTGATATACTTTAGTTCAAAAGAAAGCTGCAGAGGTGATTTATTTGTGCGTAAAAGGAACAAGATTTAATTGGAGAGAGACGTGTTCTTTTCAACGCAAGTACATGGGATGGTATAGCGCTGTGGAGCGTTATTCGAGCTTCATCTACTATGCACTATATGCCGCTGTCTCCAAAGGAGTGTTGCCCTAGAAACTTGTTTTAAATCTGCTGCTATATATCAACACCTTGTTTTAGCAGTCCTTGGCTGAATTACAGTTACACAGTTTGGCGCTTCTTTCAAATTTCCTCCCATCAGTTTGGCTAAAGAAAGGAATTTTTCTCCTTTAGAAATGAATTGGCTTAATTAGTAAGTAGATTAATGGCAATTGCTGGTGAGTTGGTTTCCAGCAGAGTTTCACCAGAGAGGGTTAATCGGAGTCAGGTCTGGAATCTTTCCCAGAACTGGCTGCCAGCCATTTCCACCAACCAATCAACCCTACAAGAAACAGAGGAAATGAAATAAAATTTGTATTCTCTGTGCCATCGTCCTGGACAGAAATTCCTTGGAAGCAGCCTCCTGGTTGGGTGTGATATCAAACTGCTTCATTTCAGAACTTTAATAGAAACTTGAACCTTCAAGATTTATCTGGGTACCAAAGCAAAGTTTCAAATGGCACAATAAAGGTCTCCACAGAACCCTGGATGTATTGGAAATTTCTGAGGCTCTCAGCCAATTTCAGGTTGGGAGAAATTGCAAACCACCCAGGTCCTGCCCTATATCTGTTGTCCATCAGAAGTCCTTCAAAAGTTTTGCTGTATGTTTTGCAGCCTTTTTACTTTTTTACTTATTTTTTTCCCATAGTGATGAAAATGCATTCATAGTTTAACTTGCAGCTGCATTAGTCTTACAAAAAAAAAAAAAAAATCCCTGCTGAGAAATGCATATAATAGGAAAAACAGATCGGCTGGACAGCAGTGTAATTAATGCCAGAAAGGGCTGAGGCCGGTTTCATAGTTTGTCTTTTGAGGATATCAAGACGAGACCTGGTGAAAAATGACGCATGCTTTAGCATTTCAGAAAGCTGGCAACTGGCAGCGCTTTTCCTTTTTTCTTTGACTTTCTGCCGCGGAACAAAGAGGTCCGCAGAACTAGCTAGGTTGTAATGAGTTCTATGTCCCTAGCACATTAAGTGCATCATGGAAACATATTGTATCGAAATAGTTTGGAGGAGAATACCGGGGATGAAAGAGAATGGGTGCTTTGATCAGCTCCCTGGGGTCCTGAGCACGCACAGACTGACTTGCAAGGAGTTATTCAGCTCCAGCTAGACACACTTACAACACCATTGAAAGAAATTTGCATATCTGTAATTTATCACATTGGTCCAGAACATTATTGCAAGGTAAATAAAAGTTAGTTGAATAAAAAAAATCAATCATCGCAGATATAGAGAAAACTGTGAAGCCAGTCTTTCCACTAAAAAATAGAAATAAATATGTCTATAAAACATAGTGACTTAGAAGTAGCTGACTTTATTTTAAAATGCCTTTAGAACAACAGGTTATGCACTGGCAAAAACAAGAGTGGCCACAATTTCTTTGCCTTTCTGGTTTAGGGGAGTGTGTTCACTGCTTCCCACTGGAATAAAGTCAAAGTTGAGATGTGTTTGGCCATAACCAGCCTGCAACATGCAGACAAAAATTAGTACACACTTTGAGCAGATATGAAAGACGACTTAATCTCTCTGGCATTTGCAAATGCTAAGTTAAATCTCATTTCTTCTTCTGTTGATTTCATTCCTAAGCCTTGTTTGCTGAATTTAGCTCAAGAGGATGAAATGTCCAGAGACCTGGTCAATAGGAAAACTTGCTTTCGAATGCCCCATGAGAACAAGTGAAAATTTAACAGGCAGGCATTGTTCTGAGTTTTGAAACAACCCAGTTAAACAGCAAACAAGAATCTTCAACTTGACCTTGAAAAAGGCTGTGTGCCTGCAGATAATCTATCAAACAACTCTAGATGACAATGATATATTTCAAAGTATTGTCAGATGAAAAGATTGATAAATTTGCTGTTGCAAAGAGAGAACTTTGGAAACAGGCAACAGGCACTTTAGCTCTCTGACTCCGCCTCCTCCTCTGTCCTCACTGCCCCGTCCCCACCCCACCACCCCCAGCCGCCCTTGGGGCCAACTCGGTAGAAGAAGGCCAGTAAATCAGCACTGTAATATTTCTTAAGGGGCACGGAAAAGCTGTGAACAGTACTTCTCATATTAAACGCAATATTTCTTTGCTTTCGTGGGGAACAAAAGTCATAGCAAGACGTCTTTATGGCTAATTCAGTCAAAGGCACATCCCTGGTTCCCCCCGAAGAAAGGTCAGTGTCGTTGTGTTTGGTCCACCGAGGGGGTGTTTTCACACTGAAAACTGAGCCAGCTGTCCCTGTCATACCCTCGCCATTGGGGAGCGCGCACTAGCCATGGTTATTAGGCACTTCTACACCTGCAAAATACACCGATTTCCAAGACTTTTCAAGACACCCTCCCGTTCTCATGCCCCCTCCTCTTGTCTGCTAAACTTTGACAACACAATTCAAGCCCTGGATGAAAGCGCTGCACGCAAGAAGAACTCTTGGGAGGGGTGGCCCAGCTACCATCTCCCAGTGTCTATTGAGCGGCCATCAGAGAAATGAGGCGGCAAGTGTATTTTCAAAAGTACGGAAAAACTTCCAGATAATCGCTTCGAGGTGTCACATTTGCTATTGCCACATATGCCAACTGTTGAACCCTAATATTTTATTATATGCACCGGTGTGAGTTGTGGGGTTGCAGCCAGGCGTCCTTCGCTTAGAAGTGGCTTGTTTTAAAATTTGTAATTAGCATGTCACTGACAAGCGCCAGGAGACACATTTTTTTTTGAGTTGCCCAATGCCAGTGCACGTCTATATTTTTAAAATCCGAATGCCAACGCTTGCCCAAATGGATTTTATAAAACTTCTAGAAACATCCCCTAGCTAGACTCATACCCTGAATCCAATTCCGAAGGCCTGCGCTCCAGAGATAGGCGACTAACTAGCTGTTTGGGAGACGTCCAGCGACTCCAACAGGAAAAGAGCTAGAAGGGATCCTGTGCAGTCACCGAAGAGAAATTGTAAAACTAGAAATAATTCAGAAAACGCATCTTTAAGAGCGAGAATGCCCCGAGGTGCCGGTACCTCTAAGACAGAAGGGCTAATGTAACTAGCTTTCTCCATCCGCACTTACATAGGGCCTAGGAGTGGGGGTAGGGAACCGAAGAGTCCTATCTGGCTGCGGGTTGCGGGGAGGGGACGAGGAGAGGAGAAGAGCCCATTTAATTAGCCGGCGGTGTGTCTCTAATCCTCATCTTTGTCTAATCCACCCAAACTGCCGAGCTCTACATGAGAAGTCCCTAGAGTGGGCGAGGTGCAGAGGTGCCCAGGACGCCTTGGGTTCCTGGGACACAGGCAGAGGTGAAACACCCCACATGCCACAGGAAGCGGGGAGGGGGTGCCTCTCACCACAACGGAACCCTAAACTATTTCCTGAAGGCTTGGGGCCTCCACACAACCCGCCTCCACCAGCAAAGCGCCGGCGCCTCTCCAAAGCGATGTCAGCGCAACAGGTTGTTTGGAACAGGTGCCGGCCAGCTAGGGATGGGATTGGCCTTAAGTTGCGGGGATCAGTCAAGGGCCAAGACTCCCCGAGAAGCAAGGGCAGACCCCCAGAGGTCCGAAAGTGGGGACTGGCTAGAAACCTGCGCCCCCCGCTGCTGTCGCTGCTAGCGCTGGCGCCTCGGCCCAGAGGCAAAAACCAGCTCGCCACAACCTGCGCCCCGGGCCACGGGGCCCTCTACAGGCGGCCGCCCGAGGGCTTCCCTCCCGGCCGCGGGGCGTAGTTGCCCCGGGCCTCCTCCGAAGAAGCCTGGGGTCCCATCCCCGGATCTCCTTTTGGCCGTTCGCTCCCCTCCCTGCTCGCTGCTTCCTGGAGCCCCTCTTGGAGACTTCCATGCGCAAAGATAGCAGAACTGCGGAGAGCAAGGCGTCGGGCAGCCACTTCCAGCCTCAAGCGAAGACAGGCAGCACAGGAGTCCCGAATGCCCCTGGGAGCAAGGGCTAGGCGGGCCTCCGGGGACACTCGTCCGACTCCACCCCGGCTCTCCGGAACCCTGGGAACGCGGAGCAGCGGGCGGGGCGCATGCGCGCCTCCGGCCAGGGTCCCTCCCCGGCCTGCGGAGTTTGGGGAAAGTTTGGCGAGGTTTGCCCTGGCAGCGGCGGATGTCCCAAAGGTCAGGCTGCCCTGGGGATGCAGCCAGGATCCCCCCCAGAGTCCCAGGAGCGGGCTCGGCAGGAGCCGGAGGGCTGAAAGGCGGCAGAAGGTGGGAAGAGGGAGGCCTTTTGTGTGTGGCACAGGAGAGTCACTTGCGCACAAACGCAGCAGCGCGCTCCGCCGCCGCCTCAGCCTCCACGGCAGCACCTCCGCCTTAGAGGCGCTTCATTACAGCCGAGCCCTTCCCCCGCCTCCCCCCGGCCCTGGCCTTTGTTCGGCTTGAAAGTAATGCTGTGAATTAAAAGAAATGACAATATTTTCTATCTGCTTAAAAGTCCAAGAGAAGAGCCCTTGAGCTTGGCAAAAATCAGGCAAATCATTCATCATGCCACCCCGCACCTGTGGTCTTGGCATTGAAAACCCTCCAGACCTATTCCTATTAAACTTAATTATTCCCCCAAAGCACACAATGGTTGAAATGGAGCAGGTTGGAGTCTGTTTATTGGTGGTAAATGTTTTTCTGAAGATCTTCTGAATCTCATTGTTAGCTCGTTGTTTGAGGCTGCCCTCTTTCTTTCAGACTAGAGTAGCCTTGGACTTTTCAATTTTCAATCGTAACATCTGCTTAATCGTACGGATCAAAATATGGAGACACAAAACATATGTAATGGTTGATTTGTTAAATCCTGGTAATGAGTTATTAACAAGGGAAAACAATAGGCCAGGATGGTGAGAGCCTTATGGTAACAGAGTCACTTTATGTAACGCCTGACGTTTCCCTTCTTGATAAATGGAACTAAGGTCTGAGCGCCAGGTGATAGCAAGAAAATCAATGTCTTTAGGGGCCAGCACTGAGACTTTTCTCTATGTGAAAAATTAGGAGACATAAAATTTAATTGGCTGATCAGGAGGGGGGGGAAACAGTGGTCTTAAGTTTAATTGCCAGTAGGCTTAGCAAGAGAGACAAAACAAGATTTGGGCCTGTTTGTTTGCTGCACCCCAGCCTCAAGTCCAAGTGTATCATTGAAAATGTGTTTTATTATAACACATGTCATGCTTTACAGTTCCCATATTGTGTAAAGACAATAGTTAATGGTACATTAAAGACAGGCAAACCATGCCAACACGTCTTGGAGACATTGTAAGGGCCTCTCTCTTTGCTTGTTTTAGGCAGCTGCAGCCCAGGACCCAGAAGCACAAAAAGAACAAGTTTGAAATACCAGGTGCATCCTAGAGAACCACGACAGGGATTGATATGTTATAGCCCAGGACATGAACCTAGCAATAAAGATATCATTTCGATTGTCTGTGGCTTCCACGGCCTGTAAAGCCGAGAGGCCCCTAAGCAGCCTGCTTTCTGGCAGCCCTGTCTCTCTCCCTGGGTTTCCCCATCTCCCTGGGCCAAATCCGAACACCTGTTGGCCAGACCTCACATCCCGTCGTGGGAATCGTTTCCTACCAGTGGTTCCAGATCTCAAAAATGCAATTGGTTGTGGAATTATTTAGGACCATTCCCACAGGCTGCAGAAGGCTTTGGAAAGGCTGTGAGAGGGAGGGTGAGGGCGAGAGGGAGGGTGAGGGCTCTTCCCAGAGAGGTCCGCCAGGGAGTACTCAACTGGTGTTTGTTCAACCTCGCAGCTGGTACTCGGTGCCACCGCAAAGGCCCATTAATGGAAATGGGATGAGTTTATGGATTTAAGAGGCTTCACACCCTCTCCACGGAGGGGCGTTAATCCTGGGGCTGGCAGATGAGCGGTCCTGGGAAGCATTCTCAGCCGATTTCACAGGAGTTCCAACAAGGCCTTTTATGCGCTCTGCTCCCAGCCTGGGGTGGGGGGACCCCCTTCTTTCCCACCCACTTTTTCTGCCTTACAGGACTTCCAGGCTCCAGAATGCAACTTTTTATGAGAGTGTTAACTAACCCACAGTGCCTCCTTCATGGGAAGGAGGAGGCATCACAAGAGGGCTCCATTCCAGAGGCTGCCCAGCTCCAGGTGCAGAAGTGGCTGCTTCTCCTTTTTTTGCCTCTCTCCTCCTCTGCTCTTCTGGAGTCACCCCACCACTCGCACCTCACCTCCTAATCTAAAGTTCTCTTTAGAAGGGGGTGGAGGGGAGAACAGGAATGGGAATGGTGCCTCCGCTTTGTAGCTTCTGAAAATAGAAAGCCACCTTCCTTCTGACATGCAATGTCTTTTAAGACAATCACAAGAGGACCCTAACACTAAAGCCCACCAGAAATTGAAGAGGGAGGGAGGCCTGGGGACAGGGGGCTTTTATTGAATGAAATCATTGGCACTTTGCCATGAAGGTAGATACAGCAACCTGGGATGGAGACCAGCAAGATGGGCTAGAATTGAGGATGTGTGTTTGGCAGGAGGGGGTGAGATGTTGGGGGAGAGGAAGAGGCAGCACCCCAGGCCACCTCTGTTCTCCAAAGACTTTATCAAGCCCACTCCAGGGCTCCCTCCCCCGACCATGGCTAGCAGTGGAGTCTGGACCAGTGGAGAATGATTTAACCAGCTCTCCAATAGAGATCATAAAATTCAGCCTGTACTGGGCTTGCAGCTTCTTTATTATGCTAAATGGACAAGGGCAGCCAGGGCAGACTTTAAACTCTTTCCCCTGGTGGTCCCAGGCTGGGTTTCAGTGCAGGGGATGATGGGTGTTCAGAAGGGCCGGGCTGGGCAAAGATTCTCCATAGCCATCCAGGAGTTTGGCTTACTCAATTATCTTCATATGCATCTTTTTTAAAAGTTGGACGAGAAGTGTGGACTTAGAAGGACCATTGAATACCTGTCACTCAAACTGCCCTCACATGATCCTTCCAGTGCCAGGCCGTGTTTGCCGGCCAGAGATGCCCAGGGCCAGAGGCTCCCCAGCCTGGCTCTGCCACAAGGAGAGCAGCCCCTGCACCCAGCGCAGCTCGGGCCTCCCTGACGCCAAAGAAGACTCTGAAATGATACGTTTGTTCTGCCTTTACTGCTGCATTTTTTTTAAAAAAAAGAATTGCTACACTAGAATGAATGGATTATGAGTAAATAAAAAGAAGCTGTCAGTCTCTTTGAAGGTTGTGCTTAAAGGGACTTGCCAAGTCAGGACAGAGAGTGACAAGATAGAGACCCTGGTGTTTTGCATGCTCAGCTCGGTTCTTCCGCTTCATCTGCACCGCACTAAAGGTTGTGTTGAGGCATTGAATCGCAAAAAAAAGTGGCACGCAAAATAAAAGGTGCCACATCACAATGATTGCAGTGTTTTAACTGCGAGTGCCACACTGCCCAATCCAACAGAAACGCAGGTCTACACAGCCGAAGAAAACGGTACAATACTTCCATAACTTATAATTAAGTTGAAGTCGGCCAAACATTTGACTTTCTAATGAGTGTAATGAGATTACATGCCTGATGGAAGCATTTGTGCAAAAGCAACTTTCGTGTTTAATGAGGCCCTAATAAAGGACAAAATCGAATTATTTTCTCTCGTTCTGAAATTCTGTCTCCAGTGTGAAATCTTCTTTTAGGAGGAGTGGAGGGAGAGGGCGCGAAGGCTTAAAAGGGGTGAGAGGGTCCACGGCCAAGGGGCTCCCGGGAGCCTTGCGACCCAGAATCTCCGCGTGTCTGGCCAGGCCGCGCTGCGGGGTCGGGCTCGCGGCCTCGCTTTAATTGCTCTTGGACGAGGTCCATGGCACCCGCGGCGCGCGGGGAACCCCTCGGTGGGTCTGAAACTAGGTTAAAGCAATTAGCATGCTGCCAACATATTGTCCTGCGGCAGGGCCGTGAGTATTAGAGGCTATCCGCAATTGTACCTTCGCCCACCAGGCCGCTGCGGCCCACGGAACCACACCCCGCCTGGGCCAGGCCTGCGCCGCACGGGGCTACGGTGCCACGTCAATGAGCGCGTCTCCAGTCCGCGCTCGCGCCAACGCCATCTGCGCGCGCGCCAGGCCTCAGGGCCCAGTGCCGGCGCCCCGGCTCTGGCGGGCAGGGGAGGACGCCCCGAGAGCCCGGGAGGCGCTCTTGGCCACAAAGGAGACAAACCCAAGCCTGGACTCCCAGGCTTTCTGGCTAAGCGACCTCGGCCGCGCCCTCGCTCTTCTCCCCTTCGCTAGGGGGCTACCCTACGCCCCCCGCCTCAGGCTCGCCTTCTCCCCAGGTTGCTGGCCGAGGAGGGCCAAGTTCTGATGAAGGCAAAACGAACTCAGTTTTGGAAGTAAGCCTGTTGCGAAGGTGGCAGGGGTAGCGGGCGGCTTCTTCCTACCTTACCTAAAAGACCCTGGATTTTGTTGAGTGGCCTCCGAGTGGTCTCTAGGCTTTGGCACCGTAGCCTGTCCCATCTCCTTTGTGAGGAGTAAGCCTGAGTTCCAGGTACCTGATGCTGTTGCTGCCGAAGAGGTTGGTCACAGGGCAGCTCAAGAGTAGCCCCTTTCCCAGCCAGTGGAAGCAGAAAGGCCCATTCGCTTAGCCCACTAGCTCCCTGCTCCCACAGTGCACCGCGCGCTCACTTTTATACACCAGGAATAGACAACGTAGGGGTGACCTTGGGTAAGTCAAATGTCATCTCTGAGCCTTAACTTTACCATCTGCAAAATGGGAACAATAAATACTCCAGGATGTATTTGCATAGGGTGTTTGGAAGGTGGCCCAAAATACAGACAAAAGTTGCTGTGTAGGGCAGGCGACCTAGATGAAGTGCTGTCATAGAAAGTTGAGGTCTAATCCTCTAACCTACCCACCTTTAGGCTAAGTCTGAAATGTAGTTTCTTACTAAAAAGCTACACTTTGAGTCTCTGGTTTGGTTAATTTTTACTAAGTTAATTCTTTTTAAAGAGTATCTATCAAATCATGTACTCAAAAACCTTCAGGAAAAGGTGTAAATAGCATTTATTGACAACGCTTAGAAATAAACCATATCTGGCAATAAATAAGCAGGACGTTTTCTGGCCAGAGTTCTCCCAACAACACAGAGTTCAGGAAAATCATAGGCTATTGCATATTTTCAGAAAATCAGGATAAGTTATATAAATTATATATTTAAAAAGAAATCATCTATTTCATCAACTCAACAGGATAATAAATAGATAAATAATAAACAGTTGATTGCCATTCGAAAAATTTGATTCTTAAATTACATTTACATTATAGATATTTACATGTACAATATGCACAGAGACATAATCAGATCTTCAGCCGAGTCTGGGACTTCTCAGGACACAAACTCAAATGGTGGTTCGTTTTCTATGTTGTTGAAGGAAGATTTGCTGTTGAGTTTTCTGGGGTCCTCTGGGGTCCAGACTTTGGCTGTTCGGATAATATTTTGTTCCTTGAGTTGTTTTTCATCAGTCCATGAGAGAGAGTGTCCTGCTAGGGGAGGGAGGCCATAATCAGGGTCGCTGGGGGAGGGGGACCCTGGACAGGTGAGAAGAGAAAACAGACTGTGAATATCCAACCACATTCCCATTGGTCCCATCAGGTCCTTTAGGACCCTTTCCTGGGTGCTCTCCGGTTATACTAGAACCACCCTCTTCCTCCACACTTCAAGTCCCCACCGTCCCCTCCCAGGAATCCGAGGAGCTGCAAGTCTGGCGGGGACGCGCGCCCTTGAGAGCCGCGGTCAACGTGGCAGAAAAATAAAAAAAAAAAAAAAAACGAGAAACGCGAGCTCGCATTCAAGTTTTTCCGTGCCCACCGACAATCCGTCGGTCCGACTGTCTGCTTGGCAGTCAGCTCCCCCAGCCCCTCCGGAGCCTTCGAGTGCCCGACCCCTTCTCCCTGAGCTGGGAAGCGGAAGCACTTACGGGTGCCCCGATGGCAGATGATGACCTTCTGGGCCTGGCTGCCCGGGCTGTCCCCGCCCAGGCGCCCGCCGCCGCCCGGCCCCCCGCAGCCGCCCGCGCCACCGCCGCGCAAGGGCAGGTCGGCCTGCACGAGCTCGCTGAGGAAGTTGATGTAGCCGATGGCCAGGCGCAGCGTGTCCACCTTGGAGAGGCGCTTCTCGTAGGGCAGCGTGGGGATGTGCGAGCGCAGCCCCTCGAAGGCGTCGTTGATGGACTGCATGCGCCGCCGCTCGCGCACGTTGGCCGCCTGCCGCAGCTGCTGCAGCTCCGCCTCGGAGCGCACCCGCCGCCGGCGCCGCGCCGCCGCAGCCGCCGCTCCGCTCAGGCCGCGCAGCCGCGCCCCGGGAGACAGTACTGCCGCCCCGGCGCACGGGTAGGCCAGGCACGAGGGCGGCGAGCCGGGCGAGTAGGGGAAGCCGCCTGGGGGCGCCCCCGTCTCGCAGCAGTAGCCGCCGCCGCCGCCGTCGTCTGGCTCACCGAGGCCCCCCGAGGACGGCGGGGCGAGCGCTAGCGGGGCGGCCGGGGGCGCGGGCTGCAGCAGCAGGCACGCCCCGTCGCGGTAGCAGTACTCGTGGAGCTGGTGGCTAAGGAACTCCACCTCGGCCTGCTCGTCCGCCAGCAGCTCATCGCCGTCCTCCAGGGGGTCCCGTGAAGACTGGTCGGTGAAGAAGTCGTCCTCGTCGAAGTACGAAGAAGGAAAGGCGTCTAGGCCCCCGGGGAAGTGCTCCAGCAACACCGCGTCCATGCTCGCCGCCGCAGTGGGCAGCGGGACTGCCGGGCTGCGCGTGTTAGTTCTTGGTGAGTTTCTAAGGCCCGTCCGAGCCCCTCCCTCCCGGGGCCCTGGCTGGGGGCAGCTAGGCGGCCGCCGGGCTGCCCGCCCCCGGGCCTCCCTGGAGTGCCCGCGGCCGCTGCGCTCTGGCCCGCGCTCGCGCTGCGCTGGGGAGGGCTGTGGCGGACTTCCTGGAGCTGAGGGCCGGCACGCGAGGATTCTTATAACAACATCCATAGGCGCGTGCCAGGGACCCATCGCGCCAGCCAATCAGAGCGCGGTGTGCCGGCGGCGAGGGGGCCCGGAGGCGCGGCGGTGGGCGGGGGTGGGGGGCGTTTTGCTCCCTTTGGGAGCTCCTGGGGCGAGGAAAAGGCGGGGTCGCGCGGCCCGGGGCTCCTCGCACCGCTCTCTTCCCTCTCCTCTGCCTCTGCATACTGGATTCTGTACCTGCCCCGCGTGCGGCTCCAGGGGCACCTGCGTCCCGCGGTGCCCGCTGCGTACCCGCGCGCGCTGAGCAGCGCCGGCTCCTTCCGCCCTGGGACTGGGGCAGCCGCGCGCCGCGTCTACACGCGGCCAGAGAAGTTCCTAGGGGTGCGCGCCGGTGGCCCAGACGGCGAGAGCGGAGCCCGCGCGGCGATCGTCCTCCTCCGCGGCAGCCTGGGCAATCTAAGGGTGCTGCCCTCAGGGACCAGGTGGGTGCATTCCGCCACCCCCTTATCCGAGGTGCGCGGGGCTCCGGCCTGGGTTCTGCTGGGGGCTTCTGTCCCATCTCTGGACTTTTCAAGGGCTTTTGCACAGTTTGCAGAGTATATGCGGGTGTCATTGGAAGGTGATCCGGGCCCACTCCCACTGCGTTCCAGACGCAACACGGGGGCTGGGAGCGCACCTATGGGACTCCGCTCTGGAGCCTGGCTGTGGTGCCTGGTGCGGGTCCCCAGCGACATCGGCTCAGTGGCTGCCTCCCCTGCCCTCCCCGGCCCGGAGAAAGGAATGGGGAGACGGGAGGGGCAGCCCCCAGAGCAGCTCAGCGGGGCGCGTTTCTTCTGAGAGCAAATCTAGACCCTAGGGATTCTGAGCAATAAACTGGATACAAAAGGAGTCCATTGAATCGTCTGCTCCGGCGCAGTCCGGAGGGAAGGCATTGAAGTTAAAGGGCAGAATGTGAATCGTTTTCAAAGCCCGAGTCTCTCACCTTTCCGACTGGCCACAGGGACCATCCCTGAATGACTTGTTTTTTTCTTTCTCGACCTTTCTTTTCTGAAAAAAAAAAAAAACACAAAACGTATGCAGCTCTGCCCCAAGACAGACTTTATCACAGACTGCGATGCAACGTGAATTCCTCTTTTTAAGAGCAACAAAGAAACACTTTCAAGGTCTGGGCAATTCCGGTTAAAAGCCAGGCTGCAGCTTCCACCCCGGGAGAGTTCAGAAGCGCAGCCATCGTGCGTATTCTCTCTACAGAGGACTGAAAGGAGTCGTCCTCCTGGGCCGCTTCCTTTTTCAGGCACTTGTCTCACTAGAGGCTTCTGTTGGGTATTCAGACGCCTCTCAAATTCCAAGTCATGCCTCTTCAGATTAGTGATTTAAATACGCTTCTTGGTTTTAGACATTGCACTGTAATTAACTGAATTGAGAACAAAGAGTTAAACCAAAAGATATATAAGGTTAGAAGGCCAGAGATTGCCTTACCTTGAACTGCCAACAACCCCAAACAATTTTAACCCAAGGACTGACTGGTTTTCAGTAGTTTTTTCCTGTGTTAGTTTCTCAGCCTTCACAGTGAAGGAGTCGTTCACTATTTGCATATCCTTAAAGGCAAATATGGACAGTTTCCCGGTGATAGAGCCTGAGCTGTGATTCTCTGCAATTAGATTTCTCTTTCTGACCTCAAAGGAAGGGAAGGGGTGTGTGTGTGTGTGTGTGTGTGTGTGTGTGTGTGTGTGTATCAAGGCCAGAGATCTAGCCAGCTAGTGATGTGCACCCTCCCCTTCCTCACGTAGACTAAAACTAAGTGGAAACATGCCCGTGCCCGTGGGTCAATGTGAAGACATGCAAGAGTAGCAAATTACCCAGCTTCAAAGCCTTATCGGAAATATTGACAACTATCCACTGCAGAGAAGACTAGAATTGAGCCTACAAAGTCTCTTTTCAAGAGGCTGAAAGGCTTTCTCTGGTGGCTCTCTAGACTGGTGGCTCTTGAGAAACTGTGTGTCATAGACATGTGGGTAGGTGGAGGACTGGGAGACAGGGGAGTGAGTGTGAATATATGGGTATCTTTTTTTTTCTTTTTTTGGGGGGAGGGTGGGGGTTGGGGGATAAAGTCTTGCTCTGTCGCCCAAGCTGTAGTGCAGTGGCACGATCTCAGCTCATGGCAACCTCCACCCCTCAGGTTCAAGCGATTCTCCTGCCTTGGCCTCCCGAGTAGCTGGGATTACAGGTGCCCGCCACTACGCCTGGCTAATTTTTGTATTTTTAGTAGAAACAGGGTTTCACCACGTTGGCCAGGCTGGTCTGGAACTCCTGACCTCGAGTGATCCACCCACCTTGGCCTCCCAAAGTGCTGGGATTACAGGAATGAGCCACCGTGCCCGGCTATATATGGGTATCTTTTTATTCAATATGATTTTAGCAATCCACTTCCACAGAAAATCATCTGACATTTTTGATGAGTTTGCAGAAGAGTTACAGAGAAATTCACGTTGAGCACCCAGTGAGCTCATGGGAAATTCATTGCTGCTAGCAAGCTTATTGTCTTATGAAGGGGGCAGAACTAGCCTGCAGGCTCTGGGTGGCTCCTAGGGGTGCATGAATGAGCATGGGATAGGAGGAACAGAAAACGTACTCACTTGTTTCAGACATAGCCCTTCCTACCCTTCCTCCTCCTCCTCCTCCCTCCACTGCCCTCGAAGTTTTTAAAGAATTGCTAGCTGTGTGCATACTGGCCTTGTTGAGAATCTAGGACAAGGCCTACAGACAGTGACACTGTGTCACACACACACACACACACACACACACACACAGGCTTTAAGTAAGACATGATCATTCTTTTCTCTTATAAAAAGAAGAAAGACTTCTCCGCTAATAAAGGAAATTTTCTCTGGGTCACTAGGGGTCACAACCATGTGGATGGCTGCCCTCTGCCACTGGAAGCAACAGGTTGGATGAGAAGACTGAACCTTACCTTGCCAGGCTAGAGCCCCCACCCCACCCCGCTCTCATTCCAGTCATGCCTTCCACACCCCTGGATCCTCTGGGCAGTTGGGGAGCCTGGAGAGGGGCTTGGTCACAAGGCTCCAGGAGTCTCAGAGAGAGAGAGAGAGAGAGAGAGAGGGAGAGAGACAGAGAGAGAGAGCGTGAGCGAACTCAGGCTTCTCACCACACCCTCACCTTGTAAAGAGCTCTGCCTCATTATAGAGTCGTATCTCATCCCCGGTGGGGGGCAGCAGAAGGAGCACTTGGTTCTTTCTAGACCCAATCCCTGGTGAGACCTCAAGACTTTTTCAAGTCTTTCAGCACAGGCTCAGTGCCACCCTGTTGCCTTGGGCCTGGCAGATTCCCAGGCTTCCTTCCGGCTGCTAGTAGGTCTTGTCCCATCTCCTAGGTTCTCAGCTGCAGGAGAGCTTCTGGCCAGGGCCATTGATGTTGAGCCTTGGTCTCATCTCTTCTGTCTCTGCCTGTCTCTTGTTATTGTTTTTAGAGACAGGATGTCACTCTGTCACCCAGGCTGGAGTGCAGTAGTTCAGTCACAGCTCACTGCAGTCCTGAACTCCTGGGCTTAAGGGAGCCTCCTGCCTCAGCCCCCTCAGTAGCTGGGACCTCAGATATGAGCCACCATGCCACCATGCCATACTGCGCTCTCTTATGCTTTCTCTCTCTCTTTCTTTCTCTCTCTTCCAGCTATCTCTCCCCATCAGGAGTCTTGGGGACTTGAATATTTATTCATTTCTTTCTCATCAAACATTTCCAGAGTCTTTTCCCAGCTTCTAGGAACAATGACTAGAGGGTTAGAGCCCAGGTCCCTGGCTTGTCCAGGATGAACTTGGGGCAGAGGCCACTCATGAAGAATGGCACCTCCTGGCTCTCCATCATCAGCTTACCCATGGAACATTCTCATAGTGCATGATGCTGGGTGTGTATCCTCCCTGCAGGAACCTCACACTGCAGAAACCAGGATGCAGCTGTCTCACCCATAGTATCCTACACACCTCCTTAGTGCCTGAAAGCAGGTACTTATGGATGTGGCTCGCAGTCTGCTCCTAGCTTGAGAAAGGGTCCATGTTAATTCCTCATGGCCCAAACTGTTCCCTCCCCCATCTCAGAAATGCAGTGGTGATGGCAGGTGGGTGGTTTCTCCTCTCCTGTGTCCCTGTCACAACTCCTTATCTGAGATATCTTTCTTCTCCCCACTTGAGTGGCCAGGTACCCTCATTGGTCCACCCTTTATCCCTGTACTCTTAGGAAAAGATTTGGAAAATACACTCACAAGGTTCATGCTGAAAGGCCTCTGAGGCCCAGAGACGTTCAGAGGCTTCCCTAAGGTCACACAGAAAGTTAATGTCAGTTTTTTTTTAAATATAGGTTTTTCAAAAATAGAGACAAGGTCTGCCTGTATTGCCCAGGCTGGCCTCTAACTCCTGGCCTCAGGCGATTCTCCCACCTCAGCTTCCCAAAGTGCTAGAATTACAGGCATGGGTCACCATAAACAGCTAAGTTAATGCCAGTCTTATCCATCTCAGCCCAGTACTGGCTCCACTGGCTGCTGAGAACAGATTCCTGCCCTGCTTCCCTCACACTTCAAAGGCATATTTGTACTTATGTGCAACATTGTCTAGGCTGGTCTTGAACTCCTGGCTTCAAGATATCCTCCCACCTTGGCCTCCCAAAGTCCTGGGATTACAGATGTGAGCCACTTTGCCAAGCCCCCCTTTTTCTGAAGAAGTTGTTGAATGTAGTTGCTTTAATATGATTTTCACATGCATTAGCTTATTAGCTTCTAATACAGAACTAAGAGATGAACTGGGCAGATATTTTACTAAATTTTTATTTTTATTTCTTTTTTTGAGACAGGGTCTCACTGTGTCACCCAGGCTGGAGTGCAGTGGTGTGATCATAGCCCACTGTGGCCTCTAACTCCTGGGCTCCAGGGATCCTCCCCATTCAGCCTCCCTCGTAGCTAGGACTACAGGTGCACACCACCATGCCCATGCCCAGCTTGGGCAGATTGCTTTTCATCATTCACAGGTGGAAACAGATTTAGAAAGGCTAACTGGCTTGGAGTGACATGCTGGCACTATGGAGCCACAAGTGGAAATAAGTGGGTTTCTAGCACAAGGGAGTGGGGAATCTCAGCATCGTGTAGGAGGGTTTCCTATGAGATGTTCTCCACTCAGTGGCTGCTCAGCCTAAAAACAATACATAAATAAAGCTGGGCTGTCTCCCACTGAGAACGAGGGCAGGAGGCGCATATCTGTGGTAAAATACAGAGAAGACCCACAGGCTGAATGCCCAGCACCATTCCTTGTTGCCTTTGCATTTCTCCTTGTTAAACATTAACCTTTAAAGTGAGAAACACCTAAATGCTGATATAATTATCCAAATAAGCATTTTCTGTCATGCCAGGGTTTATTTGATGAATAGCAAAGCTTCTGAGCTTTGTCCTTCACTTTTGTTATTCGGCAAGGTGTTTGAACTTTAGTCATGTAAACACTGCAAGTCGTTACTACCGGATGTCTGTATCTTGGCCTCCAAAGTGAGCAGTGGAAAGAACAACAATGAATTTAATAGAAACAAGACATTTTTTCTGTTTCTTGTCAAAGCTATACATGTTTTCTGTCTTCATGTCCATTGGCAGGGCCTTAAATGAACTATGGTGCATCTGTGTAATGGAATATCCAGCAGCCACAAAAAAGAATGAGTTTTTTTTTTTTAACGTGGTGATATGAAATATTTCCAAGATGTATTGTTAAGTGAAAGAAGCAAGAGTGACTAGTATGTTCCTTCTTGCATTTAACAAAGAAGACAGGGAATATATGTAAGCGTGTTTGTGTAGGCATCAAATATCTCTAGATGGGCTGGATGCAGTGGCTTATGCCTGTAATCCTAGCACTTCGGGAGGCCGAGGCCAGTGAATCACCTGAGGTCAGAAGTTCGAGACCAGCCTTGCCAACGTGGTGAAACCCTGTCTCTACTAAAAACTCTTCATCTGCTGGGATAATCTGTGCTTGAAGAAACACATGCCAGGGAGGTGGAGGTTGCAGTGAGCTGAGATTGCACCACTGCATTCCAGCCTGTGCGACAGAGTGAGACTCTGTCTCAGAAAACAAAACAAAACAAAACTCTAGATGGATAACCAAGAAACTGATGCGATTATTGCATCAAGAAAGGAACTGAGTGGTTAGTGGATAGAATTATTATTGTATAGTCCTTTGTATCTTTTGATTTTTAAAATATGTCAATATATATGCAAGATTTTAAAAATTTTAAAATATTTTTAGTTTTTAATTTTTATGGATACATAATAATTGTACATATTTATGGAGCACATGTGATATTTTGATACCAGCATACGAAGTGCAATTATCAAATCAAGGTAATTGGGGGTTTTCATCACCTCAGACAATTATCACTTCTTCATGTTGGGAACATTCCAATTTTTCTCTTCTAGCTATTTTGAAGTATACAACCTACTTGAGTTTGAACTTGGCTGACTTTTGTATTTAGTGGGTTCATGGTGAGGCCTCAATAATATAGGTTAATTGACTAACCGAGTGGATAAGGTAGGCTTCACCACAGCAGCTTTTAGAAAGTACCGACTTCTGGGGCGGGGCGGGGGTGGGTGGTGGCAGGGTGTGAATTTCCTCTTTTTAAAATATTTTTTCTTTGTGTATTGTATTTATTTTGAACATTCTTTTTTTGTAAAAAATTGTATTTCAATAGCTTTTGAGGTACAAGTGGTTTTTGGTTACATGGATGAACTGTGTAGTGCTGAATTCTGAGATTTTAGTGTACCTGTAGCCCAAGTAGTGTATACATTGTACCTAATATGTAGCTTTTCATCCCTAGCCTGCCTCCCACCACCCCACTTCTGAGTCTGCAATATCCATTATATCGCTCTGTATGCCTTTATGCAGGAAATTTTTTAAAAGTTAATGAACTTATTTTTTTAAGAAAAATTTTGGAGTTTATTATCTCTTTATATAAGCCCTGGAGGAGCCCTCCAGAGATCTGGATCATAGCTTGTGCCATTTTAAAATATCAGCAAGAACTAGGTGGTAGGTGGGAACAACAAGGGCTCACAGGGACTGCCAAGTAACCTCGGTGACTCCCTTCCATAATAATCTAAAATGGATGGCATTGGATGAAATGCTATTTCCTGTATGAAGTCAATATCGGATAAAGTTTAGAGAGATTCAACATGTAAAACACATTTAAAATTACTAAATACTCATGAAAACCACCACATTTTCTGCATTCTCTGCAATTGCACAACCTACAGGTGACTTAACATTTTGGTCTATTTTCTTCCATGTGTTTCCAGTTCTATTTCTTACAGTTTTCACTGGACAGCATCTCACAATTTCTCCATCTCTTTACTGGCAGGCTTTAATGGTGGCATGATCGTTCATCACACGGCTTTACTGTTGGGTAATTTCATGTTCATTGAGCACCACTCACTCCATCTGAGAACTCACAGTTCAGTTCATGCTTTCTGTATCTCTTTGACTGCCTTTGTATTCTATTTGTGGTCTGACTTTATTCTCTGCTTGGTGGGCCATTACTTTCATTCCCTCCAAATTTTTCTACCTCTTATCAATAACACTTTTCACTCATATCAGGGGTTCTGAAGATGTTAGGGTATTGCAGTGGCATTATTGCTCTTGTTCCCTTAAAATCCTGTCTAGAGCAAGAAACTCTTCATCTCCTGGGTTAATCTGTGCTTGAAGAAACATATGCCAGACCACACCTGGTTCAAGCACAAAAGTGCCCAATATTAGGCAAGAAACTCTTCATCTGCTGGGTTAATCTGTGCTTGAAGAAACATATGCCAGACCACACCTGGTTCAAGCACAAAAGTGCCCAATATTAGCCAAGAAACATTAGGTTTTTAGGAAAACTGCCTAAAAACTCAAGTATACAGTTTTCCTGCTTATGCTTTTCAAGAAATAGGCAGCTGCATGTCCCTAGCCATGCCTCTGCTCCTGCATGTGCAAAAACAAATTATCCTAATATTACCTCACGGGGTTATTGTGAGGATTAAGTGAGTTAACACATATAAAGCACATCAACAGTGCCAGGCACATAGTAGTAGTTGCTTAATAAGTTATTTAGTAGTAGGTGCTCAATACATGATGGAATGGATATGTGTAAGTCATCGTGAGAAGTGGGAGCCTGCTTAATCACACAGGAGTCATTCTTGGTGTTGGCCACCCCATCCTACCTCCTAGATTCATAGTGGACAGTATCAATGACTATATCAACAAATACTGAGTTTAATTCACTGTCCACACTGGAAGATGCAGCACACCTCTATTCAGCTCTTCTCACGACTTTTGGAGCAGTCAGGATTTGGTCTAGTTACAGCTTTTTGCTAATGCCGCTGGCTTTAAAGTGGGGGCCAGAAAAGTAGTTCATTGGCCAGGCATGGTGGCTTATGCCTGTTATCCCAGCACTCTGGGAGGCTGAGGTGGGAGGATCACTTAAGCCCAGGAGTTGCCTTGGCAACGTTGTGAGACCCCATCTCTACAAAAATTAAAAAAGTTAACTGGGCATGGTGGCATATGCCTGTGATCCCAGCTACTCAGGAGGCTGAACTAGGAGGATGGCTTGAGCCCGGGAAGTTAAGGCTGCAGTGAGCTGTGAATGCACCACCGCACTCCAGCGTGGGTGACAAAGTGAGATTCTGTCTCTAAAAAAAAAAGGAAAGGAAAGAAAGAAAAAGAAAAGTAGTTCACTTACACAGTCTAGTCCTCTAAGAGAATTATCTGTGCTGAGGCAGAGCAAGGTGCTCAGGGTGGTGGGGGGTGGGTGTTCCCACAGGCCAGTGCTTTTCATTTCTCCTCTGCAGTATCCCTCTCCAAGTCACAGTTAGACTGACTCCAAGGCTCTGAGTGTAGGAGTCCAGGAGGAGACAGCTTTCCCCCTCTAACTCCCTCACTCTCCCCAGCCCTGCAGAGAAGCCAGGGGCGTTTATTTCACTTCTTATCTGAAGGATCAGCCAGGCTTGTTATGGGACACAGTTGCCTCACAATCTGCTCACTCCTCTGTAACCAGTGAATCATATTTATAGCCATTTCTCTCTTCATAACAAGGGGACTCTCCATTACTGGGATTGAGTTTCCTGGCGGGACCTATCATTGGACTTCTCATTTCCATGGGCCTCTGATTTTTCTGGATCCATATTTCTTCAATGAAAGCACCACAGTTTTATTACAACAATTTTTTAATTTTGTGACATCATTTAGATGATAATCTTAAAAAATAATGACAATGAAGTATGGGTGTCTGCTGGAACATCTAGATGAGCACCGTAGGACTTGGTCCAACCATGGGACATGGGACCCGAATCTGGGCTTCCATTCGTGTTTAAGATTAGGGGGTGCCAATCAGGCAACTTTAATTACTGCAGGCTAAAGAAAACACACAGAGATTGTGCTTGTGCCTAGAAAAGATGAAATAGCTGCACAACAAGCTAGACAGACAAAGCTACCATGGTAGTTTAATTAAACTGGGGTAGAACTATCCCATGGCACACAGTCGACTGAAGAGAGGAACTGATACCATGTTAGCTTTGTAGGTGGCATATGTCACTACGACAGAGTCATATTATCCATCATATTAAATGCTGGTTAATTTGAATTTTGTTGATTTATAGAATTTTTTCATTTTAAATTTTGTTTGGCTTTGTAGTTATCCAAGAGCAGTACATAGAAAGAGTTTATTCTAATGGTCTAAGTTTTTGTAAATTACTAATTTATTAATATGAAATTAATTGTTTTAATAATTAATTAAAATAATTAAATTACTAATTAAATTATTAATATGAATAATAATTGAATGTAACACTGAGAGCCCATAAATGTTTTTATTTGTTTCTGTTTTGTTTTCTATAAATGTATAAATTTCTTTTTGTGCATGTTGAAAAATGTACCCAAAGTATTACTACAGTATTTGTGTTCAATTTAAGTAATCTCTATGGAGATTTTATACAAGTACATATATATGTGTATGTGTACAAAAATATACACACCTGTACACATATGAACATATATGCATATTAAAGTCAAGATTGAGAAGTACTGTTCCAGATGATTACCAAATACAGATGTTTGGCTTCAGGAGGTAGATAGCAGAGAGGAAAGAGGACAGGGAAAGAAAGTAAAAAGGAAGTGAAGTAAAATAAGAGGGAGAAGATGCAAGAGGAAGAGTTGGAAAGGTAAGAAACACATATGAAAGGGCAGAGAATGGAAAAGCATGGAAATTTGACCCACATAATCTGAATTCAGATCAAAATATCTGCTCAAATGTCCTTATAGTCATTTGTTCCTGGATCTTGCTTAGATTTAGTTTCACTGACTAGTGAAAGGGGAAGAAATAACAATGTCTACCTGAAGGATTGTTGTGGAAAGTAAAGCAAATGATTTAGGTAAAGCATCTGATACACAGCAGGCATTCAATGATTGCCAGTTCCCATCTTGCTTCCCCTACACTCAGTGGCTAATCAATAAGTTTTTTTTTTTATCAAATGTCTATAAAGTACAGAAGAAAAAAGAAAAAGGCATGCATGAGAAGTGATATTACAGGGGTTCAAAGAAGAACTGGGTTCTCTTCCACTGCTATCTTTCACCTTGAGCCTTGATTATCTGTATCAACTTAGAAGTTCTTTTTTTGACTGTACACCTTGCATTATTTTGGATAAGTGTTCTGCCTTCTGTAACAAATGTCTAAAGGGTGATTAAAATATAATATTTATGTCTCTCTCATGTAATAGTTTAGCATAGGCAATCCAAAGTTTATATGATGACTACACGGGTTGGAGGTCCAGCTTCCTTGCAGCTTGTTGCTCTGAAACATGCTCCTGAAACATGGCTTCCATCCCTGAGTTTAAACTGGCTGCTCCTACTCCTACTCCTACTCCTACCATTGTATCTCCATCCCAGCCAGCAAGAAAAAGGAAAGGACGCACTTTCCTTCTTTCCTTTTAGGAACATGACCTGAAGGTTGCTTACATCGAGGATGGTCACAGTCAATGGGCCTGAGCTGTCACATAGCCACATCTAGCTGCAAGGGACACAGACAAACAGTCTTGAGGTTGGTAGGCATGTTTCTTTATATATATATATATATATATAATTATACTTTAAGTTCTAGGGTACATGTGCACAACGTGCAGGTTTGTTACATATGTATACATGTGCCATGTTGGTGTGCTGCACCCATTAACTCGTCATTTACATTAGGTATATCTCCTAATGCTATCCCTCCTCCCTCCCCCCACCCCACAACAGGCCCTGGTGTGTGATGTTCCCCTTCCTGTGTCCAAGTGTTCTCATTGTTCAATTCCCACCTATGAGTGAGAACATGCAGTGTTTGGTTTTTTGTCCTTGCCATAGTTTGCTGAGAATGATGGTTTCCAGCTTCATCCATGTCCCTACAAAGGACATGAACTCATCATTTTTTATGGCTGCATAGTATTCCATGGTGTATGTGTGTCACATTTTCTTAATTCAGTCTATCATTGTTGGACATTTGGGTTGGTTCTAAGTCTTTGCTATTGTGAGTAGTGCCACAATAAACATACGTGTGCATGTGTCTTTATAGCAGCATGATTTATATTCCTTTGGGTATATACCCAGCATGTTTCTAGTTAAAACTTGGAATGTCATCAAAGAAAGAGAGAAAAGTAGTGTGTGTTGGGGAGATGGAGATTAGCTGTGCCCAACGCACCTTATCATTACCAGTTTTGAGTATGACCTCTTGAGAATATATGTACATTTATATATTTTAAATTCACACAGATAGGACTGTAGTAATATATTGGGTACATTTTTCAACATGCACAAAAAGAAATTTTAAGAAGGTGAGTAAAGATTTAAGTTCTAAAATTCTTCCTGCACCTCAATAGAACATCTTATTTGCTTTGGAAACTACTACTTTATATAATGCTGAACAATCACTTAAGTTTGTTTTCTTTTTGCTTTGTTTTGAGACAGAGTCTCACTCTGTCACCCAGGCTGGAGTGCAGTGGCGCAATCATGACTCACTGCCTCTTCCACCTCCTGGGCTCAAGCCATCCTCCCACCTCAGCCTCCCAAGTAGCTGGGACTACAGGCATGTGTCACCACACCAGACTAATTTTTGTAGAGATGGGGTTTCACCATGTTGTCCAGACTGGTCTCGAACTCCTTGTACTCCCAAAGTGCTGGCAATACAGGCATGAACCACCACATCTGACTACTTAGGTATTTTTTAAGCTGAATAATCTTGTTGTTTTTCATAATTATATATGAAGCTATAAACACAGAAATACTGAGAAAATGTCAAATCACGCTGTTTTAGTTTATTGCTTTAAGGAATGTGTTTCGAGCATCAACCATGTTCAGGTGACTGTGTTATGTATGTGGAAATACGGAGATGAATATGTGCAGTCTCTGCCCCTTAGCACGTTCTTGGTGTAGTAAAGACAGGAGTGAGTAATTATGATCCGGTTCAGTGAGGGCTATATTGAGGCATAAGTCGGTATAAGAATGAGGGGACAGAGAGAGCTTCAAAAAAGGAACAATGTTGGCCACGAGTGGTGGCTCACACTTGTAATCCCAACACTTTGGGAAGCTGAGGCAGGCAGAGAGGTCGGGAGTTCGAGACCAGCCTGGCCAACATGGTGAAACCTAATCTCTATGAAAAATACAAAAATTAGCTGGGGGTGGTGGTGTGTGCCTATAATCCCAGCTACTCGGGAGGCTGAGGCAGGGGAATTGCTTGAACCTGGAGGGAGAGGTTGCAGTTAGCTCAGATTGTGCTTCTGCACTTCAGCCTGGGCAACAGAGCAAGACTCTATCTCGGGGGGTTAAAAAAAAAAAAAAAAGGAACAATGTTGAGCTAAGCCAGTCCTGAGGAAATAATGACCACAAGAGGAGGGGCAGAAATGTGCTTCTGGGAGGTTGAACATATTTACAAAAGCCTAGAGCTGTGAATAGCCCATGGATATCCCCAGCAAATCCATGGGATGTTAGGGGCTCAGCCCCAAGCACAGCCTGCGTTCTGCACCTTCCAGTGTGCCTTTTTGCATCTACTTTCTTAGTCCTGCCTCCACAGCCCAGCCTCATCCCAGGCATGGAGTGGCCTCATGGTGAACACATGGATGCCCCACCAAGACCTATGTCTTCAAAGAATGCCCAGTGCTCCAAATTATCCTTTTTGCCCTCTTTAGAAGCCAATTACTTCAGGGCCATTGGTCTCAGCTAGAGGCCATAAAGGAAAACATCTGCTCCCCTAAGGTATGGGCAACACAGAGCAACCACATCATTCCCTCCCCAGCATTTGATTAGGGTTCTTGAAAGGTAATGCCGTAAATCACAGGAAGGGATTTTTTTGAATCTGGCATTTGAGCCTTAGTGCAGTCATTTGAAGGCATTTCGGGGGTAGACAGAGATTTCCTCGTGTCCACTGAATCTCACTTTTATTTAGCCTTTGCCAGCCCTAGAAACAGATTTCCCTGTGTGCACCTCATGGTAGAATGTCTTTCTGTATCCTTACACACTCCTGATCCTGGCCTTTTTTCTTTTTCAGAAGCTTGTTATCTACTACACCTGAGTATAAACCCATTGTAGAAATCCAAGATGGTGCTAGGAATATATGCAGAGACTCCTAAAAATGTTAAGGGATGTCCCAGATGGAACCAAAGCTGAGAATGCATCATCTGTTATATAATATTTCCCTGCTCAAATTTAAAATGATGTGAGGGAATTATGTTGTCATTGGCCTTGGAGGTCTCCAGGACTTAGAGAGTACATTTCTTCTTCAGCTGGACAAGTTTGAGCAGAGAAGAAAGGAAGGTACAGGTAGATCATTTTATAATTTCTGGATGCTTTACAAAAATAAAAATTAACCGGAAAAGCTTCCACCATACCTAGGTTGTGGGAGCCAGTGGAGCAAACCACAGATACTCTCTAGTTCGTCCAGGCAGATGATAGCTTACACTTCTCTACCCTCTTCAAGGTGAAATGTGGCCATATGACATGCTCAGTGAATGAAAGATGTGTGAAAATGACATGGTACCTCTGGGAGGAAGTTTTAAGAGCCAGTGCACAGTTTGTCTTTTGCCTCCATATTCTGTAATGATTGTGGACGTACACCTTGGGGCAGGACATCTGTCAGCTGGGGACCTGGAGTGACTCTGATGAACAAAGTTCCCCCGCAAACCTTCATAGAACGGGTAACCTGGACCAGAAATAAACTTTTGTTGTGTGAAGCTGCTGAGATTTGGGGGTTGCTACTGCAGCAAAACCTAGCCCACCTGACATACCTAGGTTGGTGCATGTAGCATTCTGCACCTAGTGTCATTGCATAGAGACTCAGTACCTTTGTGGATTTGTTTACAGTCTTTTGGTTTTAGTAGTGAAAGCCAATTTGAACTAAGTTAGACATTAAAAGGGGGATACATCATGGGATACAGAGCATCTCCTAGAATCTGATAGCAGGAATGCAGTGAGGCCTCAGGAGGCAGCAGTGCCAAGTGTTGTAGAAACTGAAGATTCTCCCCTGATAGCTATTTTCTCCTTCCTTTCATAATGGCACTCCAGGATTTTAGCTGGGCACATAGCTACCCAGAATAAAAACTACATTTCCTGCTCACCATGGCAGCTCTGTGTGGCTATGAAACTAATTTCTAAGTAATGGGTTGTGACCAGAAATGAGGCCAAGCTTTGAGACTCAGTCTTTGAAGGAGAAAGACATGTCCTATATTGTCACTTCCCCTCTTTCCACTGGTTGGGATGCTGAGGCAACAGGAGGAGTTGGAGCAGCTACTATGAACCATGAGTTGAAAGCTACACGTTGAGGATAGATGAGCAAATACACAAGAGGAACTGAAGTCCCCCACATCATTTAGAGCCCATACCAAGCCTGGAATACCTATCCAGCTTTGTTTTGTCTCTATGAGAAGTAAATAAACTTGTATCTCATATTTGTAAACTTTTTACAGTAGAGCAGCTAAACTTGTACACTAGTCAACACATCATGATCTAGAAAGATGCCTGGACATTGTCTCTGTCTTTCCTGTGCTTCTTTCTCTTTCCTTCTGCACATCTTCATCCTTTTCATTTTCTATGGATCAGCTTTCTCTGATTTTGAGTTATTTCATAGAAAACGTGGCTGCCTTAAAGAAGCACGATGTTCATGTCTGTAACACACATTTATTAAGCACCTGTTGTGTGCTGGGAAGTGTGCTTGGAATATCTCTTCTATGTACTGTTCTGTCTGTTGCTAGCATTAAACACTAGCAACAGAACAGTAGGTACAACATATCCTTTTTTCCATGGGGCATATGGAGGATTGAAAATGAGGATTAGAGGTAGACAGTAACATGAAACAGAATGATCATCATGAAATTTGAAGAAATAAAAAATTTTATTTAAAAAAGGATTTTATTAAGGATGAAGTAAAGAGGGATGGTAAGGATGGAAATGTAGATGGGATCTAGATCAAAGAAGACCTTGTAAACTGTGTTATGGAGATGGGCATCATATAGATAGTCATTTGCAGATTGGATAAACCTTATAGGGGTATAGGAAGAAACTATCAGAACTATCATCTACATTTTTTATCTTTTTTTAGAAAAATTGTGTGTCCTATGCATTCTTTATAATATATATAACTGACTCGTATAGCAGCACATCTTTATAACTTACCTATAATTAATTTGGGAATAGAAAGCCGACAAACGGTTTTACCCAGGGGGATAGCATGATCCAGTTTACCAATTACGAAGGGTGCTTGGGGCTTCGCTGTGGAGAATGGATGGAAGCAAGGCAGGACTACAGGCAGGGAGACTGAGCAGAAGGCCGTGGCAGCAGAACAGCTGGGATATTGTGAAGGACTGAACTGGGTGGTGACTGGGCAGATTGGAGAGAGATTTTGGAAAGAATTACTAGGATTTCTGAACTTATTGAATGTGGGAATTGGAAAAAGAGAGAAGGAAAAGATGATACTAAGGATTCTGCTTTTGCCATCAGGATGAATGGTGGGCCTGTTACTGCAATTTTAGGCAAACTAAGGTCTGTAAATTGGCCCTAAATTGGGGGACATGGAAATTGCTGGTAAAATGATTAAAAACAGTTTCAATGTGAGATTGGGGTGCAGACTGATGAAGACTGAATAAAGGCAATGAACTTGATTGAGACCCCTATCTGGAGGAACTTATTAAGAAGTAGAGTTGTGAATGTGATAAAAGAAAGGTCAGGGGTGACTTTTCCGTTATTTTTGCAGATGGGAAAGACTTTCACCCTGTGAGGAATCTATTTTCTCCCCTTTATTCTCCTTGCAAACAGTCCTTTTCAGACACACACCCATCTTCCTTATCCTTGGCCAACTGCCTTATTCCTGGACCAACTTCTCTATTACTTTAAGAAAATCATTTTCTTTTATCTGGTCAAAAACGAATCCTAATAATTGATGACACATATAAAAGTAATGAGGGTGGTGGCCTTGCATTAAGGGAAAGGAAATTTCCAGCTAATATTAGGCAAGACAGACAAGCTCTAAAACCTTTTGAAGTTCCCTTTAGACACACCCAACATTTCTGTCTCCCTCATCTTTTCTTCAAGTTGGCCCTGAGTATTATTAAACACCACTTGTTCTTTTTAAAATTGTCTTAATATTATAGCCGTATTTCTTGTGCTATTTTTCTTTTTCAGTATTTCCGCCGTGTGAAGACTTTTTGGGGCTTACCTAGAGAGTAAACTCCATTGACAATTTCCTCCCTAAGGAAAAAAAGCATTTTAAGGTTTTGCTTTAGAAGCCAGCTTGAGGGGGTGGGGGTGGGGGGCTAAATTTCTTGGTTTGTCAGGCCTTCGGGACACAGACGGGTACAGGAGTGACCCACTAAAGGCATAGCTGTTGGTGCAGCCCAAAGAAGCTAACGTACCTTCCGTGGTTTCTTCTGGGCAGGGAGCGACTGTGGCGTTGGGAGAGGTCAGTGAGAAGGCCACACTGCTGTTTAACCAGGAACAGCTGCTAAATGCGCCTGGGCTCAGGCCCTTCTTTGCACAGGAAGATAGACAAGGAGAGGGCAGGCCTACCTGGAAAGTTCAAGTTAAATCCTGGCAGGCCTCTGGAGGCCCAAGCAGCCCAACATATGGGCAAAATGTTTCTTCCCCGGCACAGCGGTTGTCTCCCCGGAGAGGTTCAAGCCTCCTGTGACCTCCTGCTGCCGTTAGTCTTGAAACCAAATCGGGACTGGGCAGCCAGGCCCCTGCAGCTTTTTCTGTCCCGGCAGCTAGGATCTCCGTCTGCACCCCTGGCTGGCTGCTATGGCTGCAGAGGAGCAAGAGCGAAACCGCGCGAGTGGCAGGAGCAGGCCAGGCCGGAGGCCCCTCCCCGGCCCCCAATCCGGCGGCCTGCCCTCCCCCTCCCGGGGCGTTTGTATAGCAGACACCTGCAGCACGGGCGGCCGCCCGGGTTCCCGACACAAGGCGCTGGTACCTGAGCCCTTGACTGGTAATGCACCATAAACCGCTCCTTTCAGGCCCTTTCAGAGCAGGAGCACGGAGGTCACCGTGCCTACAAACCCCTCTGTGTCCGCCACGTCTCCTGGGCCCTGGGCGCTCGGGCCTCCAGCCGCAGAGCACGCCTGCCCGTGGGAATCCCAACACTTGTGCTCCGCGAGGCCGGCGGGGCGGGGGCGGGGGATTGGGACCACCCTGCCCTCCCCCAGCCCGGCCTCCCCCGCCCTGCCCGCCGCTGGTTCACAGAGCGCAGCGAGTGGAACGAATTGGGTGCGCCGTCCTCAGACGCTGGCGGAAATCAAATGATGAGGCGAGGTGGGACACCCGCTCTCCGCCCCGCGGCCGACGCCCAGCCCACGGCAAAGGTATCACACGGTGTCCCGCCTCGCGGCGACGCGAGCGGCGGGATGACTCGGCCTGGGCCCTGGCGCAGCCAAAGGCCCGGCTCGCTGGGGCGCGATCCCAGCTCGGCGCGCACAGCCCTCCGAGTTCCAGGTTGGATTGGGTGCGGTTGTACCTGTGGAGTGGGTGGCCCGGTGACTGCCACCCGGGCCAGTGCTGCCAGCAGATGTGCACATCCTGGGCGGGGGCTGGCGGCCGAGTGTCACTAGTAGGGGCGGCGGCTAGGCAGCCATTCGCCGCCTTCCAAGCCCGGCGCTGCGCGCAGGGCTTGGAGCACTCGGTGCTGAGACGCGAATGCGCATAAAGAGAAAAGTGTTTCCAGTGTTTCCCCAAAATGGGGAACAGGGAAGAAGGACAAGTATCATGCAAGACTGCCACTGCCACCTGTCTTTTGCGGACCATGCTGCCTTCTTTCCCGCTGGCCTGGCTCTGAGCACTGAAAGCCGGGGAGAGGGCGCCGGCCTTAGAGCCAGCCGCACTCGGGGACCGCAGGCGGCGCTGGCCCGGGCCACCCAAGCCCGGCAGATGAGCCTTTGGCCTGCGGGGGACCGGGCCGGAGGCCAGGGGGACGGCAGTGTCGCCGGAGGGAGCGCGCAGCCCAAGGCCGGTGCTCCGGCCCCGCGCGCCCCCTCCCGGGTCCGCAGGGAACCCGGGTTACCTGGGGAGCCGGGCTTTGTCGGCCACGCTGGCTCTCCGCGGCCCCAGAACTAATTAAACGCCTCTTTTGGCCAAGGGAAGTCTTGCGCCGGACGGGGGTGGGGGCGTGTGGGGGCGGCATGTGGGCACCGGAATAATCAGCCCCATTCTTGCGCTTCTACAGAACCCGCGGCGCAGCGAGAAGTGAACAGCGGCCGCCTGAATGGCGGTTTCAAAAGGCGACACCTGCAAGCGCGGCCGGTTGTGAATTGAATTGAGTCAAATGCGGCGCCCGCTCGTACCTGAGCCGCGAGCTATTAGTGTCAGGCGCGCCCGGTCGTCCGGGCGGGGAAGCGCGCGGCCAGGCCGTCCGCGCTGAATGCGGCAAGCTGCGGCGCGGCCGCTCCATGGGAATGTCGCCACTTGTGCTGCTAGCGGTCGGGAGGGGGTGCGCTGCCCTTTCAGAGACAGACACAATTAGGCAAAATGCTCAATGAACATTATAAATGACGTGCGATCGCTCTGCAGATTGCCTGGCAAATCAAATTATATGGTCGCTCGCGGGCAATTTCCATGTGCTTTTAAAACTTAAACAGGTATTCGCCCATTTAAAAAAAAAAAAAAAGGAGAGGGGGTGAGTCGACTCAGGGATTCCGGAAAAAACAAGTGAAAGAGTCGGTGTTGAATATTCACACGTCCCCTTTGTTGGCGACTGACTTCACAATGGGCTTGGAGAGGGGGTGCGTTTGGACGAGACACATTTTTTACTGTCTTCCATGCTGCAGAGGAAGGCACCAGAAGTTTGCATTTATTACAACTCACAATTACAGTGGGACTCCCTTTTTTCTTTTAAGACTAAAATTCTTCTCATAATGAATGACTTGAAAGCTACTGTCATTCTAATAAGATGGAAGAAACATTCTAATCAGATGGAAGCGCGCCCGGGTGCACTTGGGGAGGAGGCGGAAAGAGCCCTGCGCTTCTCCCTGGCACCAAGCATTAATCCAGGAGGGAGCTGGGGAAGCTGGGGCTCTGCGCTCTGCACAGCCCAGACTCTGGGCCTCAGGCGCGGCCCCGAGGCTCCCCGGTTGTCATTCGGCCTCCCTGCGGTCCCCCAAGCATCGGGAGGAGCAGCGGCACAGAACCAGCGAGAGAAGCAGCGCTGGGTGCAGTGCGCCCAGGGCGGCTCCGGCAGTGATGCCGGCACCGGCATGAGCACCCCAGCCGCCCTTGGTCTGCCCCAGCTTGGGCCTGCGCTCTGTGGCTGCGACCCTCGGAGGAGGGGGGCAGCTGGAGGCGCCCGGATTGCGCGGACCCCCGCAGAGGCCAGGAGCCGCGCCTCCGGCGAGGGGCTGTCATCGAGCAAGAGCAGAGTCGATTCTGGCTTCAAAAGAAGGAAGCAAGGAAGCAGCAGCCATCCGTGGCCTCACACCCCTGCCGACCTCCATCTCATTTTCGATTTTCTACTCTTTTTGTTTCTAGATAATTGGGACAGAGGGAGGGGCGAAGAACTGCGGATCGTGGTGACAGTTGGTAAATATATGCATCTTAGTGAGGAAAGGCAAGCAGAAAAGAATATTGGAAATCCAGCTTTGGGGTTCGTCTTTGTCGGTGACTCACTGTGTTATCTTGGGCAAGTAGCTTAACCTCTTGGGCTCAGTTTTCTCATCCATGAAATGGGAACCAATGTCTGATGTGTCTTCCTCACGGGGCTGTTTTCATTAGGACTTTAATTGGGAATGGCAATCTTTTGGGTAGGTTGTCTTTGTGTGCCTTAAAGTCAAAAACTATACATAAGCCCCAAGGATAAAAACCTCCGTGGGAGGACAAACCTTAGAAACTCAGAGACCTGAGCACTGGTGTTCCTCCCCTCCCAATCCTCGCTCAGGAATCGCTCCTTATTGGGACTGGAGGAAAGGGATGCTCTTCCTAACTGCTTCCCCGTGCAAAGAGGAACTGGGTCCCTGAGGAGTGAGGAGAGCAAAACTCAACCAACATCCGGACCATCTGGTTGTGTGTGTGTGAGCGTGCGTGCATGTGTGTAAGGGGGCAGGTCTCCAATACGTTGGACATTTTCGTTTCTCCTTGTCTCACACTTTTCCTGCTGGTACCAATGACCACTTCGTGAAGAGCAATGAATGAAGCGCAATTCATGAGTTAGGAAGGTGAATTTCATTGAGAAATAACATTTTTTATTGCAGTTCTGGGCATGAGAGTCCCGGAATGGCGAAGGTTCTGGGAGCCTCGTGGAGCCAGGTGCGCTGGCCTTGGTGCTGAAGGTAAAGGCCGAGCCTGCGGAGGCAACCGCCTCAAACCATGGGCCATCTGCTCAAATCTAAAAGCAAGGGGATCACACCTTTTTAATACCTCCCGTCCCGGGTGTGTGCTTGTTTCCGTTGGGGGGATGGGGGGGAGGGTGTGTGTGCGCGCACGCCCGCGCGTGTGTGTAATAAAAATAACATGAAAGCACAGTGACAGTGTCTAATAAAGTTTAGTTAATTGAATGGACATTTAGATACCTTTCTCTCAATCTGCTCCATAACTTACTTATTCAATTCAATGTGGGAAAATTTTTACTAAATAATAGTCATGCAATGTCTTAAGGATGCCTGACTGTTTCTCACTTTGTTTTCATCGTCTGATCTAAACATTATGGTGGAGAAGTTTCAGGCAAGAGCAAAATTTATCAAAGACAAGAGTGGTCCATTCAACACTTCTTCCTGATGACATTTAAGTTCTTCACTGCCTCTGGGCCCAAATTGGGGTGATTCTATCTCAGGAAAGAAATAACTGAGACAGAATCATCTTGGAAAGGTATATGCGGTTTTAATTAATGAATCTATTCTGAGATCTCTAGGGAAGCTCAGTTAGTACTGGGTCAAACCCAGTGATTAAGGCTTCATGTGTGCCATTTATAGGAAGAATTTTCCTTGGGCTAAAATATGGTAAAAAGACCAAGGACCTGTTCTGTTCATTTTTCTGTCACAATATCATCTTTTTTTTTGAGACAGGGTATCACTCTGTCACTCAGGCTGGAGTGCAGTGGCATAATCACAGCTCACTACAGGCTCAAATTTTCAGGCTCCAGCGATCCTTCCATCTCAGCCTCCCGAGTAGCTGGGACCACAGGCACTAGTCACCAAGCCCAGCTAATTTTTGGTAGAGACAGGGTTCGACCATGTTTCCCAGGCTGGTTTTGAACTCCTGAGCTCAGGCAATCCACCTGCCTCAGCCTCTCAAAGTGCTGGGATTACAGGCATGAGCCACCATGCCTGTAATATCATATTTAACAGTTAAAAATCTATTTATACCCTGCTCATTCAAAATACATATTAAGTAGTATGCGCAAATATGTGTACTTTAACAAGATCAGAAAATAAGTAAATGAAAATATTTGGAGTGAAAGTAGAAAAAATCAGATGTAACTGGAATTAATTTCTGTACACTTGCTGGAGATGCTCTAAAGTTCTGGCTCCAAACCTCCTCATTGTTCCCAATGCAAAGAAAAAACACAATAAATGTCATGATTCACGGGGTCTAAGATAAAAGTAAACTGGTTTCTCACAGAAGAACAACTATTTGCAGTACTGACATCAGACAGAAACCTCTCCCATGTGCCCCCATAAAATGATGTACCCATAAAATGAAAAGTGACCTCAACCGTGTCCCTAAAGCAAATAGATCTTAGTTGTGTGGGCTAGCTTCCATTTGTGTCACTCAGTGAAGCCCCACAATATTCCCTTTGTTTGAGTAAGAATAAAACTGGCGAGAAAAAGACCTGGCAAACAGCACGCTCACTCACATCCTTACTGGGATGTTGCAATCTTAGCGTTGGGGACAAACCATCCTGAGAATCCTCATGCTACAGTTGTTGCAACTTCTGAAAGATTTGCAAAAAATACTCTTGGGACTCAGCCTGATATTTAAGGAAGACCAATGACAGTGATAGACTTTGGAAAAGAGGAGGTGTTACTGTTAGTGCTGGAACCATCAAAGCCATCTTTGGACCAGCACTCCAACTTCAGTACCTATAAAAGTCATCAGCTTTAACTTCAAAACTTATGATTTGGTGGGTCTAGTAGCATCAGGAAAAAACATTATATATATATATATAAATAATATTATATATGCACATTATATATATGTGTGCATATGCATCTATATGTATATGCATACATATACATGTATATATGTGTGTATATGCATACACAAACATGTATATATGTGTGTGTATATAATTTTGGAAAACATAATTTTTTAATAAGCACCCTAGATATGCAATGAGATCACTAAATTGTTTCCTTCTTCTCTTGTATAGAGCTAAACTACAGTTTCCAGCCTTTCCTGCAGCTGTGTTGGACTGTGTAATTCAGTCCTGGCCAATGGAATGTAGGCAAAAGTAAGGTACATCACTTCTAGCATTAGTCCCTAAAACCACTCTTGAAATCCTCTAAGTTGGCTTTTTCTCCTCTTGTCATCTGCCACCTTGGTACAGAGGATCCCAGAGAGGACTCTAAATGCCCTGAGTGATGGCAGAGACATTAGATGGAAGGAAAACTGTGCCCCTGAATGAGTGTGTAGGGAAGATCACCCTTTACAATCTGCAACAGTCACTGGACTATGTAATAAGCAATAACTACATATTTATGCTGTCAGCTACTGAAATTTGGGGACCATTTGTTACAACCTCTAGCTTTTCTTAACTTAATATACCAGGTGATTCTAACATAGTCCAATAACCACTTTTGGAGAAACACTACTCCAAACAAAACTGTGGAGAAGCAAATGATTCCGCCTTCTGGTGACAATTCCTTAGCGTCTAAGAAGGACTCAAATGGTAATGGTTTCAGGAGTGGTAGCAATCCAAGTGGATGCAAGATTTGGGGTCGGTGCCTCCATTCCATAAATGTTGCCTGTTCATAAAATTTACTCAAAAGTCACAATTTATATGGCATTATTTTATTTCCTGAGTATTTACCTCCTTTTTTTCTCTCTGCCTTGACCCTGTCACCACTGGGGAAGAAAGATGAGCTCCAAGAGAAAAGGAAGAGCCTCAGGTCTGTAGAGTCTTTGTTACGTGGTAGACACTATACTGAACACTTTTCATGCACAATCTCATTTACACTCACATGCATTCCTTCAAAGTAGGCATGAATATTCCCATTTTATAATGAAGACTCTAAAACCTTGTTGGAATTGCTGTGCCAGCATTAGGGACTTACTGATGAACTTAAAGCTCTGCCCCTTTAGGGAGTTTGACTGGGTGACCTAAGTACACCTAAGCTATGCATCTCAGTGGGAAGATAGATGAAGGGGCATTAACTCAATCTGAGTGGTATCACTGGGCTGGAACAGCAGTTAGGGAAGGGCTTTGCTCGATGATGTAGACCGGTTTGCTCAGTTCTGCAAGGGACTATTCTAAATGGACCCATGGTAAGCCTATTCAAACTCATTAAGCTCCTTGAACTCTGACCTGGTAGAAAGGATGTGCTTTTTATTAAGAACCTTACAAAAGTACTATTTTTAACCCCAGAAACTCCATTTCTAGGGATCAGTTCTAAGGAAATAATTTGAAATATGGAAAACACTGTACACAAAAAGCTCTACTATGACACTATTTATAAACAAAATGAGGATACAACCTAAATGTTGTTTAAGTGGATAAGTCATTGGGTTAATGATGCATTATTAAATGACACACATGGTCATGAAAATAATCATGCAGAGGGCTTGTAATAACTTTGAAAATGTTGAAAAGATAATGTTAAGTGAAAAATATTAAAATGTAGATTTGAATTAAAATGGCCATCTAAAATGAAAAAAAGAACATCAAAAACTAGTGATAGAAAAAAGATGGAAAGAAATATACCAAAATGTTCATAGCATTTTGTCTTTGGGAAAAAGAATTTGAGGTAATTTTCTCCTCCACTTCTCTAATTTTTCTCAAATGTTCTCTTATGCTCATGCTTATATTTTATAATGGAAAATCAAAAAATAGAAAATTTAAATACAAAGAATTTGCTTTTAGAGAAATAGTTCAGAAGAAAAATTTTAAGCTGTAAAAAAAGTTGAAATACAGCACATAGAAAAATGTATGAAATACACAACTCAAGGATTTATCACAAGACAAGCACCACCAAGCTCAAGAGCTAGAATACTGCCAGTGCTCAGAAATACCTCTTATATCCCCCTCAGTCACCATCCCCTTTGTCGTCTCCAACAGTAATGACTGTCAAGCTTCTATGGTCACTGTTTCCTTCCTTTTCTTCAGAATGTTGTGTCCTAAGTCTGAATCCTTAAACATGAGAATTTTATCTACCTTTTGAACTTAATGGAAATGGAATCATAAAACATTTCTTTGTTTCTGCTTTCTTTTTTTTTAACACTATAAATGTGAGGTGCCTCCATGTTGTTGCATGTGGCAAAATTCATTAATCGCTGTATAGTGTTGCATTGTGTGAATGCAACATTATTTGTCTATCATTTTCCTGTAGATGTTTCCAGTTTGGACCATTAGGAAAAATGCTGCTGTGAACAGTCTTGTACGTTTCTTAGTGCATGCGTGTGCAGACATTTCTTTGAGGATAAACCTAGGAGTGGAAGTTCTGGGTCATAGGACATGCGTATCTTTTTCTTCTTCTTTTCATAATATTCCTTCTTATATGTATCAAAGCTCATACCGCACAATGAGCTCTGAGTTGCAAAAGAGAATTTATTTTTTGCGTCTGTCTAAGGATGTGGATATCTTCAGTAGATTTAATGCTGTACTGTTCCCCACAGTGGTTCTAAGAGTTTACGCTTCCATTGGCAAGAAGTATGTGCTTTAACCCTTTATGGAGTGGAAGCATATGGCCCATAAAAGGAGACTCCAGGGGATTGGCTTTTAGCCTTTTTCTTCTCAGGGACAGACTGGAGAAAGCTTTTTTTATCAGATTATGGGATCCCCAAGGCTCACAATAGATATTGACATTGCTATATACGCCAGCTCAGAATCTAATCTGACCTTGAAGTGAATCTCCCAATACAATTAAAAAAAAAAAAAACCATCCCAGCAGTCACAGAGCTGAAGGGCACTCAGAAATAACACTTGGGTGAAAAGAGGTAGGTACTGAGGAGTAAAGTTCTGGATGTGAATGGATCACACAAATAAAATATCTTTTGATAGTTCTGAGTCTGGGAACTTCAGGAAGCCATGGAGATGGTAATGGGGCTAAACCAAGAATTTTCAATATTAAACACTTAGAGAAATGAAATCTTTACTGCCGATAGGACTGGGCAGGATTTCTAAAGCTTCCTGGCTTTGTTTTGACCTGGAATTCTGTGAACTCATTGTGATAGCTCTGGCAACATCATGCTAATCACAGGCTTTGGTTGGAAGTCATATGTATCTCTGATTAACAAAGTTAGGAAAATTAGCTTTAAATGGACACATGTATAGTCTCTTAAACCTTGGGGCCCATGGGGTTCGTGGTGTTGAGGAGACTGGGGAGCACTGAAGGTTTATCATGAGGAATGTGGGTGTGCTCAGCAACCTAGAAACATACCCACACCTATCTGTTCAATCTCTCCTTCGTGGCCATTCTTCATTTTTTTAATTTTTAATTTTTTTACTTATTTTTAGAGGTGGAGTCTTGCTATGTTGCCCAGGTTGTTCTCAAACTTTTGGCTTCAAGTGACCCTCCCACCTCAGCCTCCCGGGTGGCTGGGATTCCAGATTCTTCCATGCCTGGCTCTCTTTGGCCATTCCCTACTCTCTAACACAGACTCTCAGTGATGGGTCCCGTGGAGGATGACAAATTTTACCCTTGTCCACAGGCATAGGGGCTTAGCAGGATTTGACCAGCCTGTTAGGCCAAGGCAAAAGAAAAATCAAGGGGATGGCGTGTGCCTTCTCTGTAAGAAATACATCTTGGGGGACAGAATGGATGTCACCATAGATGAAAAGAAAGACCTGTATTAATTTTCTGCAGCTTCTATAGCAAATTACCACAAATAAAACAGCACAAGTGTATTATGTTACAGGTTTTTTTGTTTGTTGGTTTTTTTGAGACAGAGTCTCACTCTGTCACCCAGGCTATAGTGCAGTGGTGCGATCTCGGCTCACTGCAACTTCTGCTTTCCATGTTCAAGTGATTCTCATGCCTCAGCCTCTAGAGCAAGTGGGATTACAGGTGTGCACCACCACGCCCAGCTAATTTTTGTATTTGGTAGAGATGGGATTTTGCCATGTTGGCCAGGCTGGCCTCAAACTCCTGAACTCAAGTGATCCACCCACCTCAGCCTTGCAAAGTGCTGGGATTACAGGCGTAAGCCTTGCACCTGGGGCCTTATGTTACAGTTTTGTAGGTTAAAAGTCTGACATGAAGGCTGGGATGCAGTGGCTCTGGCCTGTAATTGCAGCACTTTGGGAGGCCAAGGCAGGAGGATCACTTAAAGCCAGGACTTTAAGAGCAGCCTGGGCAACAACGTGAGACTCTGTCTCTACAAAAATAAATACATAAATAAACAAATAAAGGAAAATAAAAAATTATTAATTTTAGAAGTCTGACTTGGGTCTCAGTGGACTGTAACTGAGTGTTAGCAGGGCTGCCTTTCTATCTGGAGGCTCTAGGGGAGACCCATGTAGATCTGTTTCCTTGTCTTTCAGTTTCTAGAGGCCGCTCACATTCCTTGGCTTGTGGCCTCTTCCTCCATCTTCAAATCCCGGTAATACTGCATCCCTGGACTATCTCTCCCCCACTCACATCTCCTTCTTCCTCCCTTTTCCTCTTTTAAGAATGCTGTGATTTCTTAGCGCCCCCAGGATCACCCAGAATAATCTATTTTAAAGGCAGCTAACTAGCAACCTGAATTCCATCTGCAACCTTAATCTCCCTGCGCCTTGTCACCTAGCATAGTCACATGTTCCAGAGATTTGAGCGTGACCATATTTGGGGGCCATTATTCTCCCTGGCACAGACCTTGGGTAACGGGATGGTTAATTCATGTGCTGTGAGCTGCAAAAGAAAGAGAAGGCCAGGAGTGGAAGTAGGGGAGGACAGATTGAGCCTCCAGGGTATAAAAACAGCTTCCCCCACAACCCCACTTCTTCCTGGTGAGGCACAGAGCAAAAGAAGGTGAGCGAGCCCTGTAAATGATGCCGCTGCACATTGCAATCCCAGAAGCCACACCCTTGGGTTTCATGAAAAAGTTCCATGAACTTCCAGACATTTTCAGGCAACAGCTTGACTTGTTGCTGAGACACTGATATGCAGAGCGATTCTTCACGGTAGTGTATTTGAACCTTCTCTCCTTGCATCCCAGGAGAGACCTAGTCTGAATGTGGCCTCCAGGAGTGGAGGGACTAAAAACGCCAGAAGGAAGAACGAAAATGCTAGAAATCAGCCGTGTCCTAGCAGCTAAACTTGTGCCTTCTCTATACAGGTATCGGGCCTGAGCACATTACAGGCATTGCCTTAATCTTTGCAAAAGCAATCACTGTCTATTATTATCCTGATTTCGAAGTGAGGAAAAGAGAGACACCCTTGACCGTCACAGTCCTGCAGTCATGGTCAAACATGGAGGGCTGGAAAGGAGAGCTGGGCGCCTCTGGGTGTTTTGTCAGCCAATGGCTCTCTTTCTGAAGGAGGTTGCTTTTCTCTTTTTTTTTGAGATGGAGTCTCACTCTGTCACCCAGGCTGGAGTGCAGTGGTGTGATCTCAGCTCATTGCAACCTCTACCTCCCAGGTTCAAGAGATTCTCCTTCCTCAGCCTCCTAAGTAGCTGGGATTACAGGCACCTGCCTTCACACCCAGCTAATTTTTTGTATTTTTAGTAGAGATGGGGTTTCACCATGTTGGCCAGGCTGATCTTGAACTCCTGACCTCGGTGATCTGCCCACCTTCACCTCCCAAAGTGCTGGGATTACAGGTGTGAGCTGCCGAGCCCGGCCGGAGGTTGCATTTCTGTTGAATTTCCTCCACTTTTGCTCAGCAACACTAAGCGCATTTGGCTGTCGGCACACCCTCCCTGCCAGCCTGGCAAATGGAAGTGAGATGTCCTTACATTCCTAATTGAGCAGATTAAAAATGCCAGTTCCCAGGGGCTGATGGCAGAATTGCCCCCAATGCCACCTGGCCCCTTTGAGGCCCCAGTGATGCTGAAATGGGGCTGGGGGATCGGGGATGGCCAGGAGATTTAGCTCTCCTTTGTCCCCAAACTCTCTTGTTTGGGTGGGGCTGCATCTGTTGTGGGGGACGGCTGTCCTGTAATGAGGCCTGTGGCTTGGCTGTTTCAGCTCTCTGGCCTTGTTGGCACAGGACCAGCCTTTCTTGGGTGAGTGGGAGCCTCATGCCCTCTTTATGAAGGAGATTGGTCCAAATTCTTGAGATGGGCTCTCCAGACCTTTGTTCTGGGTCTTTATTTACAATTGTGGTTCTTATTGATCTCTCCTGGAATCCTCCACTACTAAGCTAAGGTGACTAACTGCTACCCACAGCAGTAGTTCAGTTTCTGCCATTTCCCATTTCAAATTATTTCATGTGTTTTGCCTCCCAGCTAAGTTTCTTTCCCTTTCCTTCCTTCCCTCCCTCCCTCCCTCCCTTCCTTCCTTCCTTCCTCTCTCTTTCTTTCTTTCCTTTTCTCTTTTTTTTTTTTTTTTGGATAGGGTCTCCCTCTGTCACCCATGCTGAAGTGCAGTGGTGTGATCATAGCTCACTGTAGTCTCAAACTCCTGAGCTCAAGTGACCCTCCCACTTTAGCCTCCCAAGTAGCTGGGACCACAGGTGCATGTGCCACCATGCCCTGCCATTTTTTTTTAATTTAATTTTTTGTAGAGACAGGGTTTCCCTGTGTTGCCTAGGCTGGTCTCAAACTCGACTTGTCAACTAGGTTTCTTGAAGGCAAGTACCATTCTCATCCTCTAATATACCTTCCTTCGGTCACCTCAGTGCTACAACCTACCAGGGACATAAATAATTGCTGGATGCAGGGGTGGGGTTGGCTGAATTATAGGAAAATTAAGTTGTTTACATTGATTTCCAATATATGTAGCTCTCTGGTAGAACTAATCAAAGCACCAGAAACTTCCGAGCAATACATATGAATCATAAAGCCATGCTTTATCAAAAATGCTTTTCCATTTCTAGATTTTATCCTTTAAAACATAAATTCATGTCAAAATTTTGTTTAGCTGCTGTGTCAGTAGATCTTTTATATCTTAAGAATTTGGTATGTTTTCTTCTTTCTGAAAATGAGAATTATTTAAATAATCCCATTGTCTTTCTGTCAGGTAGCTCAAAGGTAAAATCTAAACCTAGTCGGAGCAATAATTATACGTCACATTTTCCATTCTGTCCTCCTCAGGTTATTTTTGGTAAGGGATGGAGTGCAAATGGCAGAAGGTAAAACTGACGTTTTAGGAGGTGTTGAAAGCCAGAGATAAGGAAGCATGATTGGGAGGTGTTTAGAGATACTGTATCTGCTGCAATTTTGATTTCCTTCTCTTGAGGCTTGATTTCTGGCTCCCCCCAGCCTCATTTTCTTTTTTTGTTGGTGTGTCCTCGGGAACCCTGGCCATTTGTCACCAAGACATACCTACCCTGCCCCACGCTTCTAACCCCAAAAGCCCCAAACTAAAGAAATTTCTCACTCTAATCTCCACTGTCCCTGATGGGCACACTCCAGGGGCTGAAGTCACAGCCAGGGGACAGGGCATGGTGGCTCACACCTGTAATCTCAGCACTTTAGGAGGCCAAGGCAGGTGGATCACCTGAGGTCAGGAGTTTGAGACCAGCCTGGCCAACATGGTGAAACTCTGTTTCTACTAAAAATACAAAAATTAGCCAGGCGTTGTGGTACATGCCTGTAATCCCAGCTACTTGGGAATCTGAGGCACGAGAATCGCTTGAACCTGGGAGGCAGAGGTTGCAGTGAACCAAGATCGTGCCACTGCGCTCCAGCCTGGGTGACAGAGTCTCACTCAGTCTCAAAAAAAAAAAAAAAAAGTCACAGCCAGGCCTGAGAGCAGAAGCCCTGAGTCAAAAAATCTGAGGCCAGCTGGACTCTTCTGACACTGAATCCTTGGCAGTCACTGCGTTAAGATGTCAATTTTTCATGTTTATTTTTCCTAATAGTGAGTTTGGAGCTTTATTGACTCTCTAAAGCTCCTGACAGCCCCTGGAAGTTAAACTGCGAGAGAACAATCTTGAATTCAGTGACTTTAACTCTTTCAGCAGCTTGCCCTGAGCTTATGACATGCCAAAATCCTTCTGCAGCTCACTGGGGTCTGCTCAGCCATGTCTCTCCCATCCTGCTCTTGTGAAATGGAGTTTCGCTGACACCGCTGGCTCTTCCCTGGAGCTATGATACATTTCATCGGGTTGATTTGAGCCTGTTGTTCTAGCTGATGATGACTTTTCAACAGCTATATTGAGGTGTAATTAGCACATCATACAAATCACCTAGTTGAAGTGTAAATTTAATGACTTTGTATATTTAGTAGATTCGCAATATATTATATCCATCACCACAATCATGTTTAGAACATTTTTATTACCCTCAAAAGAAACCCCACACCTTGGCTGTCACCCCCAATCTCCTCATCCCCCCAGCTCCTGACAATCACTAATCTACTTTCCAGCTCTGTAGATTTGCCTCCTCTCGACATTTCATATAATGAGAATCATGCAGTGTGTGGTCCTATGTGACTGGCTTCTTTCACTAGCTTAATGTTTTCTAGGTTCACCCACACTGTGGATGTATCAGTACTTGATTCCTCCTTTTTTGCCAAATAATATTCCAGTCAGCAAGACCTCATTTCCCAGCAGTTAAATGTGGCTACATGACTAAGTTCTCCCCAAAGATGAGGCGTCAAGACAGTGAGTGTGCCTTCCCCATGTCTCTTTTGCCTTCCTGCTGGGTGCAGCCTGGACACAGTATGGCCCAGCCCCAGCCACACAGAGAAAAGGCCCTCAGGGATGGCAGAGCTCCACGATGGAAGATCTCAAGTCCCTGGATGACCACACGGAGCAGAGCTGCTCACTGACACAGAACACACACCCCAGACTATTACTTGAGTGAAAAACGCGTGCTTTTTGGTCTTTAAGCCATTATATTTGGAAGGGGTGTTCTCTTGTTCCAGTAGCTCAGCTTTTTGCCCTACCTAACACATTGAGGGAAGTAACATGTTACTCTAGTCAAGATTTTATTGGTTGTGAATTAATCAGCACACTTTGAGTATAGTCATTAAGCAGGTTGTGACCTGCATAACCATCCTGTCTCCATTCTCTGGTGTGGCTCTTTATGGTCTTACGGTTGTGTGCATAGGCTCTGGCATCAGGCTCCTGGGGTTCAAACCCCAGTCTCAGCTTCTACTACTCGTGTCCCTGGGCAAGTTACTTAATCCTCCTCATCCATCACCTTAGTTTTGCCAATTTAAAAATGTAGACACTTGTAGTGCCTATCCCCTGTTTCACAGCGCATTTCTGCAGATGAAATGAGTGAACACATCTAGTGCTTAGACCGAGACTGGCACCATGTAAATACCTGCTGTCTCTTAGTTCTTATTTATTATTTTACACCTTGTTCATAAAGATATCATTTATCCATAACATTGAATTACTCCTAGTGTGTGCATTGCATCCTGCTTGGTTCTGGGGCTAGGGAGAGTATTAAGACAAAATTCTTTTCTCAAGGAACTGACAGTTTAATAGGAAAGTCAGATTAAAAATAACTATGGAATTGAATTGGAGCTATAATATATTACAAAGTGTGTGCCACATAAGAGGAAAGATGTATTAGCCCCTCAGGTTGTGGGTAGAAAGGTAAGAGTGTCAAGAAAGAGGTTGGATTTTTTTTCTTTTTTTTTTTTTTTTTGAGACAGGGTCTCACTCTGTCACCCAGGCTGTAGTGCAGTGGCACGATCTCGGCTCACTGCAACCTCCACCTCCCAGGTTCAAGCGATTCTCCCACCTCAATCCCAGTTACCTCCCGAGTAACTGGGATTACAGGCACGCACCACCACGCCCAGCTAATTTTTGTATCTTCAGTAGAGACAGGGTTTCACCATGTTGGTCAGGCTGGTCTCGAACTCCTGGCCTCAGCCTGCAAAAGTGCTGGGAATACAGGCTTGAGCCACGGCGCCCAGCCAAGGATGGATATTTTAAGAACGTGGCTGAAATTCAGATACACCATTTTCCCAGCAGATCCTGGCCTTCAGAATGCCAATAATGGCAAATGCCAGTGGGCAAATGCTGTTGATCTGAACAGAGGGTCTCATAGGTCTGAAGCAGCACAGAACCAGGGAGGATGTGTTCGTCTAGAAACTTCCTAGCAGAGCTAACCCCCATCACAGCATAAGAAGAAACAGTCGGGCGCAGTGTCTCACGCCTGTAATCCCAGCACTTTGGGAGGCCGAGGTGGGCGAATCACAAGGTCAGGAGATCGAGACCAGCCTGGCTAACATGGTGAAACCCCGTCTCTACTAAAAATACAAAAAAATTAGCCGGGCGTGTTGGCAGGCGCCTGTGGTCCCAGCTACTCGTGGTCCCAGCTACTCGCAGTCCCAGCTACTCGGGAGGCTGAGGCAGGAGAATGGCGTGAACCCGGGAGGCGGAGCTTGCAGTGAGCCGAGATCGCGCCACTGCACTCCAGCCTGGGCGACAGAGCCAGACTCCGTCTCAAAAAAATAAATAAATAAATAAATAAAAATAAAAAATGAAAGAAGAAACAGTCACTGTCAAGGCTCCTTTGAAAGCAGATGCTTGAAATGTTCGTTGAAAATAGGAGAAAAGTGATCTGTTCAGTTGGGTAAGTTGTTTAGAATCCTAATTGGTTCTCGAATTCTCTCCCATCCCCTGGCAGGTCACTGTACTTGACCGGATTTTTTTCTCACTGTGTGTCCGCCGTTTCACTTTTTTTCCTAAGCCAAGATCTCTTTAATTATTCTATTCCCTATTAAGTGGGCAATTTTCACACTGTTAAAATACCTCGCCACAGCAGTATTATTTGTTTGTTCATAGTCTGTGGGCTAAGAAAATACGGAATGTGCATTTCTGGTGCTAGGATTACTTCTAATTTTTTAAGTGTCTCGGGTGGTGGGAGGGGAGGGAAGGGTGTTCAATGGGTTTGATTAAGCAGCTTCCCAAAGAGGAAAAGCAAAGCAGCAGTGAATGAAGGGTTCTAAAGCAGTCATTTGGCTCCCTCTGGTGGGCTCTTGCAGAACTCATCCCCCCCTCATAAACAATCCTGTCGCGCATCAACTCACTTATTTGGAAAATAGAAAAATGCAACGAAACAGTCTGTTAACACAAATCCTTGGCTAAATTCCAAGGATGAAGGAATTGACTGAGGACTTTAGGTCAATTTAGGCAGAGCTAAAGCAAAATTCAAGAGATACAATTGATTCAGTTCCACTCTATGCAAAATAGATATGGCATTTTAGCAATATTTGTATATTAATTTTGGTAGCTACCATTTTTCTTCCATAGTGCCTTAGTCTACAACACAAAGTCCATTCAATACATGTCAGGATCTTGCCTTCCCCCACCACCCCCCACAATTGCTCAAAAGACTTGTAAAGGTGAAGGTCGCCCTCTAATGGTTTGGATGAGTCACACATGTGAAATTTTTTGTCTTAGTTTAGACACCTCAAACAGAATCTACCGTTTAGAATTCGAGAACCCTCCTCCCACCGCTAATATTAGTTGCACATTTCTAGTTGGTTGATAAGGGATATTTAATAATTTTAAAACCACATTAAGTTAATGCATACTTTGCATTCCAACTCTGTGTGTGTGTGCGCGCGCGTGTGTGTGAAATTTCTAAACTACAGCTGGTCGGTGGGGTATGGATCACTGAGGTTTACCTGCCCTTGCTGTGGGAGGCGACAGGGGCTTTGCAGCTCAGCCCTGTCCTGACACAAGAATGCTGTGCCTCTCAGGTGTCTAGGGAGCCCACCCCCTGGACAACAGAAGCAAGTGTAGCAAGATCCCCCAAAGCTCCTGGGTGCTTATTTCCACCTGCGGGACCCTCTTCAGCCCCCAGGACTCTGCCCTCCCCGGTTGACCAGAGGACATTTCCTGCCTGCCTTTTTACGACGCTGCATAATTAATTACACGGGACCATCCGGTGCCTGGAGCTCACCGCTCATTATGATGACAGAGTCATGGGCCGTCAGGCAGGGGCATTTGTTTTTGGACGCACTTGGCTGCCCATAGTCCTTGACTCTAGTGTGCTTAGTGTGGCGGTGCAGTGAGGGCGTTCAGAGGCTGAGTTCTGCTGATTGCAGCAAGATGGACCATTCGCATCAGCTCAAGGTCATCTCGTGGGTGACCTCGCAAACCCAACCACCTGAGAGTTGGTCGCTCACGTTTAATGTAGTTCTTCCATTTTTAAAAATGTTTTGAAAGTACCTATCATGCACAAGGCCTTGTGCTGGACACTGCAGGAAGTTAAGATCAGTAAAAAGTCCCTAGTGGTAAGGAGTTTCCTTTCTAGTCTGGTAGAGAAGACAGGTTGTGCATTAAAGGCAAAATCCTTTGATCCACACAAAAGAAGTGCGCAGACCTGCACAGCACTGCTGTTTTGCTGTATTGAATTGTTCACAGGCCTGTGATTCCTAAATGAAAGATATTTTAATAGCTAGTTGGTTTCTTTCCCTTTCTTTCTCTCCCCTCATCCCTCCCTGCTTCCTTTCTATTTTTCTTCCTCCCTCTTTTCCTCCTTTCCTCTCTTTTTGTTTTTTCTCTTCCTTCCATCCTCCCTCCCTTCCTCTCTTCCTTCCTGTCTTCCTTATTTCCTTCCTTCCTGTCTTCCTTATTTCCTTCCTTCCTGTCTTCCTTAATTCCTTCCTTCCTGCCTCCCGCTCCTTCTCCCTTTCTTCCCTCCCTCTCTTTCCTTCTCCTTTCCTTTCTTTCCTTCTCCCTTCCTTTCTTTCCTTCTCCTTTCCTTTCTTTCCTCCCTTCTCCTTCCCTCCTTTTCCTTCTTCTTTCCTTCCTTCCATCCTCTCTCTCTTTCTTTTCAACAGGCACAGTGCCTGGCACGCTGTAAGCTTGTATTGACCAGAACAAATACATAGGAGGAAAATGGGGTTGGCTCTGGAGAAGGGCCGGCTCACACGTGCAGTGTGGGTGGAGGAAGTGGTGAAGGTGGGCGTCATCATCAGCACCGCACAGCCGAGTGATTGGGAATGCTCCTAATTAGGTCACAAAGGCCCCTCCAGATTTCTCTCGTTCCTACCCTCTGCGACTTTCCTGTTCCATGCAGTCTAGCCCAGCAGATGGATCGTTCTCATCTTGGTTTTTTTTTTTACATTGATTCCAGTTTGGTGCCGTTATGAATATGACGCTGCTATGACCTTTCTTGTTGTGTCTTGGTGCACATAGAGACAAATATTTGTGAGATATTTATCCAGAAGTAGGATGCATAGGTCCTAGGATCTGGGTACATTCAGCTTTGGTGGCTGGTACTTGTTCTGGTGGTCTATTGCTACCTAACAAATCACCCCAACATTCTGTGGTTTAAAACCACCACCATTTTATTACATCTATTCTGTGGGCTACAAATTCAGGCAGGCTCAGCTGAGCAGTTCCTCTCTCCCCTTGGCTCAGACTAAGATCATTTAAGTATTTGGCTATCAAGTGATCTGGAGGGTACCAGATGGCTTCACCCACACACCTGGTGCCTCAGCGGGGACAGCTGTGAGGCTGGGCTCAGCTGGAACTGCCGAGATCGTCCTCCATGAAGCCTCTCCAGCGTGGCCATCTCAGGATGGTGGGGCACCTTACAGCATAGCTGGCTCCCCCTGGAGCAAGTGTTCAAGAAGATGGAGGGGGAAGCCACAAGGCTGCTGCTGACCGAGCCTCAGAAGGCTTGCAGCGTCACCTCCGCCACGTTCTGCTTGTCACACAAGTCACCTAGGCCAGCTCAGATTCACAGGAATGAGAATTAGACTCTGCCTAATTCCAAATAGGAGAAGGAAAAAAGGATTTGTGGCAACCCTAATACTTCCCCAAGGTGGTCATGCCAATTTCCACACACGCCTGTAATTTATGGGACTGTGAGGGTGAGATTTTTTGTTTGTTTGTTTTTGTGAGACAGGGTCTCTCTCTGTCACCCAGGCTGGAGTGCAGTGGTGTGATTATAGCTCACTGCAGCCTCAATCTCCTGAGCTCAAGCAATCCTCCCATCTCTCAGCCTCCCAAGTAGCTGGGTCTACAGGTGCGCACCACCACACCCAGCAAATTCTGTGTATTTTTTGTAGAGATGGGGTTTCAACACATTGCTCAGGCTGGTCTCGAATTCAAGGGCTCAAACAATCTACTTGCTTTGCCCTCCCAAAGTGCTGCAATTACAGGCATGAGTCACCGTGCCTGGCTAGGGTGAGATTTGTAATAGGAACTTCTGTTGTAATGAACAAAGCCGTTTGCACGCCTCTGGAACCCCTGTCCTCTTTCCTTCCATCAGCTACAGAACAGACCTGCTTTCACTGCTTCTCAAGAATCTGCCTCAACCTCAACACGGTGAAACTTGAGGCGATTGAGTTACTTGGCTTAACTTCCTACCTCCTTGCCAACACATTCATCAGTTCCACATCCTCACCTCGTTCCTTCCCTCCCAGCTCAGGAGAATAAACCTCTGTTCCTCTCCAAGGCCAGTCCCTGACCCCGGCTTCAGCCTCCCCAAGCCCGACTCTGGCCCACCCACTCCCATCTTTCCTCAACCTTCAGTCTTTCCCCCTCTACTGCTTCTTTTCTCTCCAATGCAACCTTTAATGGGACTGTTTTAAAAAATTATCAAAAACTTAGACATATTCAGCTGTTTGCCCTTTTAATGTATTTTTAGCGATCAACTCTGAACTGTGAAGTTGATCTCAAATCCAACAGAGGGAAGGGCCCTAAGAGAAAAGAAGGGGGTGAGGGAGATATTTTAAGTAAAAAAAAAAGTATATAAAATATCTATTATATATATCATATTATATATAATATCTATCATATATCATATTATATATAATATCTATCATATATCATATATATAATATCTATCATATATCATATTATATATAATATCTATCATATATCATATTATATATAATATCTATCATATATTATATATAATATCTATCATATATTATATATAATATCTTATTTATTTTTTTATTTTTTTATTATTATACTTTAAGTTTTAGGGTACATGTGCACATTGTGCAGGTTAGTTACATACGTATACATGTGCCATGCTGGTGTGCTGCACCCACTAACTTGTCATCTAGCATTAGGTATATCTCCCAATGCTATCCCTCCCCCCTCCCCCCACCCCACAACAGTCCCCAGAGTGTGATGTTCACCTTCCTGTGTCCATGTGATCTCATTGTTCAATTCCCACCTATGAGTGAGAATATGCGGTGTTTGGTTTTTTGTTCTTGCGATAGTTTACTGAGAATGATGATTTCCAATTTCATCCATGTCCCTACAAAGGACATGAACTCATCATTTTTTATGGCTGCATAGTATTCCATGGTGTATATGTGCCACATTTTCTTAATCCAGTCTATCATTGTTGGACATTTGGGTTGGTTCCAAGTCTTTGCTATTGTGAATAATGCCGCAATAAACATACGTGTGCATGTGTCTTTATAGCAGCATGATTTATAGTCCTTTGGGTATATACCCAGTAATGGGATGGCTGGGTCAAATGGTATTTCTAGTTCTAGATCCCTGAGGAATCGCCACACTGACTTCCACAATGGTTGAACTAGTTTACAGTCCCACCAACAGTGTAAAAGTGTTCCTATTTCTCCACATCCTCTCCAGCACTTGTTGTTTCCTGACTTTTTAATGATTGCCATTCTAACTGGTGTGAGATGGTATCTCATTGTGGTTTTGATTTGCATTTCTCTGATGGCCAGTGATGGTGAGCATTTTTTCATGTGTTTTTTGGCTGCATAAATGTCTTCTTTTGAGAAGTGTCTGTTCATGTCCTTCGCCCACTTTTTGATGGGGTTGTTTGTTTTTTTCTTGTAAATTTGTTTGAGTTCTTTGTAGATTATGGATATTAGCCCTTTGTCAGATGAGTAGGTTGCGAAAATTTTCTCCCATTTTGTAGGTTGCCTGTTCACTCTGATGGTAGTTTCTTTTGCGTGCAGAAGCTCTTTAGTTTAGTTAGATCCCATTTGTCAATTTTGGCTTTGGTTGCCATTGCTTTTGGTGTTTTAGACATGAAGTCCTTGCCCATGCCTATGTCCTGAATGGTAATGCCTAGGTTTTCTTCTAGGGTTTTTATGGTTTTAGGCCTAACGTTTAAGTCTTTAATCCATCTTGAATTGATTTTTATATAAGGTGTAAGGAAGGGATCCAGTTTCAGCTTTCTACATATGGCTAGCCAGTTTTCCCAGCACCATTTGTTAAATAGGGAATCCTTTCCCCATTGCTTGTTTTTCTCAGGTTTGTCAAAGATCAGATAGTTGTAGATATGCGGTGTTATTTCTGAGGGCTCTGTTCTGTTCCATTGATCTATATCTCTGTTTTGGTACCAGTACCATGCTGTTTTGGTTACTGTAGCCTTGTAGTATAGTTTGAAGTCAGGTAGTGTGATGCCTCCAGCTTTGTTCTTTTGGCTTAGGATTGACTTGGCGATGCGGGCTCTTTTTTGGTTCCATATGAACTTTAAAGTAGTTTTTTCCAATTCTGTGAAGAAAGGCATTGGTAGCTTGATGGAGATGGCATTGAATCTGTAAATTACCTTGGGCAGTATGGCCATTTTCACGATATTGATTCTTCCTACCCATGAGCATGGAATGTTCTTCCATTTGTTTGTATCCTCTTTTATTTCCTTGAGCAGCGGTTTGTAGTTCTCCTTGAAGAGGTCCTTCACATCCCTTGTAAGTTGGATTCCTAGGTATTTTATTCTCTTTGAAGCAATTGTGAATGGGAGTTCACTCATGATTTGGCTCTCTGTTTGTCTGTTGTTGGTGTATAGGAATGCTTGTGATTTTTGCACATTGATTTTGTATCCTGAGACTTTGCTGAAGTTGCTTATCAGCTTAAGGAGATTTTGGGCTGAGACGATGGGGTTTTCTAGATATACAATCATGTCATATCTATCATATATAGATATATCTATATATGATATATATAGCAATAGATATATATAGATATATATAATATATGATTCTATCATATATTATATTTTATATATCTATCATATATTATATTTTATATATCTATCATATATTATGTTATATATAATATCTATCATATATTATGTTATATATAATATCTATCATATATTATATTATAAATATCTATCATATACTATATTATATAATATCCATCATATACTATATTATATATAATATCTATCATATATTATATTATATAATATCTATCATATACTATATTATATATAATATCTATCATATACTATATTATATATAATATCTATCATATACTATATTATATATAATATCTATCATATATTACATATAATATCTATCATATATTACATATAATATCTATCATATATTACATATAATATCTATCATATATTACATATAATATCTATCATATATTATATATAATATCTAGCATATCTTATATATAATATCTAGCATATATTACATATCATATTATATATAATATCTAAGTGTATGTGTATATATATGGGTTTTTTTTTACAACCTATTTTCTTTTTTTTTTTCTTTTTGAGTTTAAGACTGAGTCTTGCTCTGTCACCCAGGCTGGAGTGCAGTGGTGCAATCTCAGCTCACTGCAACCTCTGCCTCCCGGGTTCAAGAAATTCTTGTGCCTCAGCCTCCCAAGAAGCTGGGATTACAGGCGCATGCCACCACACCTGGCTAATTTTTGTATTTTTAGTAGAGACAGGGTTTTGCCATGTTACCTAGTCTTGTCTTGAACTCCTGGCTTCAAGCAATCTACCCACCTCAGCCTCCCAAAGTGCTGGGATTACAGGCATGAGCCACCACACCCAGCCTACAACCAATTTTCTTCCAAAGGGTCTTGAAAAAGGGAAACTTTTTTAAAAAGTTTATCAAAATATGAGTCCTAGTACTTTTTGTTATTGTAACCATAAAGAAAAGGGCTGCCAGTGATGAACAAGTCTAGTGGTTTACAGGTTTTTAGAACACATTCCTAGATATTCTAACATTAGTGAGATAGGATCAAGAAGAATCTCCAGAAATCTTGTTGGCTGTATTCCTACATTTGGATAATCTTCTGGAAACCCAGGTGATTTATCCTCAATGGAAAACTGTATTTATTGCTTCTGGGGAAATGTATTTGTTGTTCATCTCAGTGACAAAAAATCCAGGAGTCATTCCAAAATGAAACAGAATAAGCAAAAGAAATGGGAGAGAGTCTCATGGAAAATGAAGCCCTCCAGCTCAAGTTCTCGTCCATCCAGGCTGCTGGCAGTGCCCAGCCACAGGAAACTCCTTAATGTCTGCACCTGCTGTTGGGCTGGGCCAAGGCCGAGCAGGCACCAAGGTTAGGTGTGCCCCAACCGGCTCTAGGCAAGATGACAAATCGTGTGAACAGCAAAAAGATGCGCGGGTCAGAAAGGGTTACGTGCTGCCAGGCAACTTGCACCTCCTAACCATGCCCACCCTCCATCACCCCCTGAAGACTCTCTGACAGACAATTAGAGCTTTTGATTTAGTGGTGGCCACAGTAATGGATCAGGTCCCTAAAGGAAAATGATGACAGGCTCTCCTGGTGGACAAGCTTCTGTTTCTCAGCAGTGAGCAGAGCAAACAGAGCTTTGCACCCCAAGGCTCTGACATCTGCAAAGTCCCCGAACCTTAGGGTAACACCTACCTTATCATGGCCTGGAGCAAATTCGCATGCAGAGCAGTGACTGGAGCCTATCACTTGCTGCGAGACCGTCCACTGGGACGAACTGTCGTGGGACTCTGCGGAGTGAAAGCATGCCGAAGGAATGTAAGCCATTCCTGTTTACGAATTCTTGCTTTCCATATCACAATGTGGCGCAAAGCACCAGAGAAGGCACACTAGTGGCCGCTCTTATTTGGTTCCCACTCCTCAAGCTGACAGGAACTAGCTGTGGGACCTCAGCCGATCCCTAACTCCTCTGAGCTTCATTTTCTCCATCTGAGAAAATAGAAATGGACCAGAAAGATCCTGTTTGACGTCCAAATTATATTTTATTTCAACTTGAATAATAGGCATAGAATGAGTCCTAGATATTATTATGTGCCAGATGCTGTGCAAAAGTCATCCATTGTATTCTAGACTCTTTCCAATAACCCTCTGGGGTAGGTTTCAGGGGCTACTGTCATCTCTGATTTTACACACAAGGAAACTGAGCCACAGAGAAGTTAAAGCCCTTTCCTAATGTCAAACAGTCCATAAGTAGCAGAACCAGGATTCAGACAGCTGCTGCCTGCAGAGGCTTAACTTTTAGCCACGCTGCTATATACCATGAGACCGGGGAGGGTCAATGTCAGTCTTCTTTATCCCCCAAGGGACCTGTCTAAGGCTGCACAGCTGGCAAGTGGTGTGGCCCCAGACAAAAAAGCCAGTTTTTGTCTGAATGTAAAGTCAATCCTCTTCACCACTGTAGTATCACCGATGTCAAACTCCCAGAAGCATAAATGGAAACGTTCAATGGCAAGGCATTTGTTAAACAGCAGCATAGCCATACAAAAGAATATGCCTTCAGATTATAGGGGCGGGCTGGGCACGGTGGCTCACGCCTGTAATCCCAGCACTTTGGGAGGCCAACGTGGGTGGGTCACCTGAGATCAGGAGTTCGAGACCAGCCTGGCCAACATGGCGAAACACCGTCTCTACTGAAAATACAAAAATTAGTTTGGCGTGGTGGAGTGCACCTGTAGTCCCAGCTACTCAGGAGGCTGAGGCAGGAGAATTGCTTGAACCTGGGAGGTGGAGATTGCAGTGAGTCAAGATCACGCCACTGTACACCAGCCTGCTAGCCTGGGCAACAGGGTGAGACTCAGTCCCAAAAAAAAAAAAAAAAAAAAAAAAAAACAGATTACAGGGAAGAATAATTATGTGAGAAGACGTTCAAAACACACTGTGGAAAGCAGTTACAAAACAGTATGTGGCTTAAACCTATATGCAACCATGGAAAAGGTAATGAAAAAGAAAAGTGAAATGCAATTTCTCCCCTATTTGGTTCATAAATGTGAACAGTCTAGCAATACCAAGGGATGATGAAGATATGTGGAAGTGGGAACTTTTTTTATTTTTTTTTGAGATGGAGTCTCCCTATGTCACCAGGCTGGAGTGCAGTGGCGCAATCTCAGCTCACTGCAATCTCTGCCTCCTGGGTTCAAGCAATTCTCCTGCCTCAGCCTCCCGAGTAGCTGAGACTACAGGCACATGCCACCACGCTTGGCTAATTTTTGTATTTTTAGTAGACACAGGGTTTCACCATGTTGGCCAGGTTGGTCTCCATCTTTTGACTTTGTGATCCGCCTGCCTTGGCCTCCCAAAGTGCTGGAATTACAGGCGTGAGCCACTGGGCCCAGCCAGAAGTGGGAACTTTCAGATGCTGCTGGAGTGAGTGTATATGGGCAAAAACTACTTCAGAAGTCAACTTGTCAATCTTGAAACGTGTATACCCTTCAACCCAGCAATTCCAGTTCTAAATACACATCTTGAAAAGCCCTTAAGAAGTGCATAAGGAAACTTGTAGAGGAGTTTCTTTGCAGCATTGCTTGTAATAGTAAAATACTGGGAACTGTCAACATTTTAACAATAAAAGAAGAAATCAAATTGTATATATTGACGCAACAGAATGCCACACAGCTGTTTAAACCAATCAGTCCGTGCTACATATATCAACATGAAGATATTACAGACATGTAGAGTAGAAGTAAAATCAGTGGGCCCAGCGCGGTGGCTCACGCCTGTAATCCCAGCACTTTGGGAGACCGAGGTGGTTGGATCACCTAAGGTCAGGAGTCTGAGATCAGCCTGACCAATATGGTGAAACCCCCATCTCTACTAAAAATACAAAAATTAGCCAGGCGTGGTTGCGTTCGGCTGTACTTCCAGCTACTGGGGAGACAGAGGCAGGAAAATCATTTGAACCGGGGAGGCAGAGGTTGCAGTGAGCAGAAATCATGCCCCGGCACTCCAGCCTGGGCAACAGGGTAAGACTTCGTCTCAAAAAAACAAACAAAAAACCAAGAAGTAAAATCAGTGGCCGCAAATCAGTATGCATAGTAATTACCATTGTGTAAATTATATAAACATGCACACTGCACACGTGCGCACACGCAGACACACACACGCCCACATGCACACACACGCACAGGCACACACGCACACACACACACGAACACACACATGCATGCGCACACATGCACAGGCACACACGCACGCACACGCACACACGCACACATGCATGCACATGCACGCACACACACGCACACGCACGCACACACAAGCAGGGCCTAGAAGGATATATATGAATTCATGTTATTGGTTGCTCCTGGCGAAGGAGGAAGGAGACTGGAACATCTGAGAGAGGAACCAAGAAGATGTCACCTTCCCCTGCAGCATTTCATGCACACACACAGAAAAACACATACACACCCACGTATTATCACCAGATGCTCACATTGATTCATTCTGCTGGTGAATAGTACAGATGTGTTGGTTAGATTACTCTGTACTAATTTTCTTCAACTCCCCCAAGTATTTCATTTTTATATAATAAAAAGTATGTATTTACCTGGGGGGGAAATGATCTCCAAAGACACACGGTGGCTATTTTTAGAGGTTGGAATTGTGGTGATGTAGATTTTCTTCTCTCCATTTTTTACTTTTGTAATAAGACAAAAAGTGAGTTATATGCAAATTTTTGTTGAATCTAGGAGCAAAGTGAGGAAGGAATTTAGACCCCTGAGTGAGGTATTTTCATCACCGCCCTCTGTGGTGGTCAGTGTTTCCACTCAGGACTTAAGGGTTAAGATATTGGGAAGAAAATGGAATTATGATGAAGTCTCTCCTGCAAAAAGAAAAGTTGAGTCAGTAGTGACCTTTATAAAATGCATGGGGAAGCAGCAGGCTGGTGACAATTTTCTGCAGACAAGAGAAAAAAAAAACTTCTATTTTTGTTTCTAGCTTAGAGCACAGGTCTAAAACACCTGACGGCTGGACAGCATAAAAACTGGTCAAAAATATGGATACCTTGAAGTGATTTTAATTTCTTCATTAAGGTGTTTTTATTTAATAGGAAGAATAATTTGAATTGACAGATACTTCTACTAGTGCATCCAAATCACTTGTCATCTAAACTTGGACATTCTTGAGAGAGAAAGGACAGCTAACGTGGATCAGGACTCTCCTAGGCATGGGACATAAGGTCTTCCTAACTATGATTGTCTGAAGTACTTTGTGCAGTAGAGCACCAAGGCTGCCATGCATCCAACAAGCATTCAGTCATCCAATGAGCGTCTAGTGAGCATCTACCATGAACCGGCACTATGCATGTCCTGGGAGAGCAGCAGTGACCAAGACAGACTTGAGTGGCCTCCACTGAGCTCATCACCTCCACGGAGAGGACCAGCCCTGCTTTCAGAGACTCCAGAGCCCAGTCGCTCTGAGGCAGAGCCAGCTCAGACCCTGGCTTTTAAAGTCACACCTGAGACCTGCTATTCAAACCTACATTGATTCCTGCATAGGTGGTGGCAGGAGCTGAGCGGCAGGGAGCACCACTAAGGAGAAGCTGGGAAACCGTATCCGGACACTTGCAGCCCATCATCTAGCAGGGAAGAATGCTGTTAAGCAAGTAACTACAAAATTCATGAATTGCACGTCTACTGCGTGATTTGAGAGCCTAGAGTGTATAACAGGAATATCTGACCTGGTTTAGGAGCTCATGGGTTTTTCCCAAGGAAGTGGCGTCAAGCCGAGACCTAAAGAGTGATAGGATTTAACCGGGTAAGAGGGAAGGGGCTTCGTGCAGAGCCCCTGCATACTTAAAAGCAAGAAGGAACACAATGCATTTATGGATCCAAAAGAGGCCAATGTGGCTAGAGGACACAGAGAAATTCATATGCTTGGTTTATTTCTCTAGTTTCGTGTGTGTGTGTGTGTGTGTATTTAAAATCATATCCTGTTCTTAAAAACCACACTTCACTCTGAGCATTTTACCCAGCAATGAAAGGCTTTCTGGAGGCTTCGAGTGAAGCTATGTACAGACACAGTTTTTTTCCTGGGAAGTGCACAGGAAGTGCACGGCTGATGGGATGGGAGTAACAGAAGCCCTTCCCAGTGCTGGTGCAGAGGTGAGAACCCACTTCTGCCCCAGCCAGGTAAGACCTGGCACAGTTCCACAGTAGCCCGGGCGGAGCAGCTGTGTGCGGTCAGGGACCCTCTGTGCACTCTTAGGAGCTTGCTGGTTTTTACGTCCCAAACTCCCTCTTGCTGCTTGCTGGGTTAGGGTTTTATCTTTCAAGTGGCCTAGAAATCCTGCGTCCCCTAGCCAGCACAGCGAGAGCGGCCAGCTCAGAAGAAAAACGGCTGATCACAGTGACAGAGGCAAATCTGACGCTGAGAAAGGCAGGCATCTTGCCTCCCCGTGGCTGGCTCTGTCATTTTTTTCTGGGACAGCAGTTTCCCTCCATTGAGTATGTACGGCTGGAACTGAAGCAGTGTGGATCTGGGATGTTTGATTCCACGACACATAACTGGTTGGGGGCAGAGGGTCCATCAGAACGATGAGTGGAGCTCTGGGAGCTGGGACCAGCATCCTGGGGTCAGCACAATGGCTGACACCCACGTTCCTGCAGAGTGCGCTGAAACCAGGCTCTATCAGCAGCCGCTCCCCACCCAGCCGCCCGGCGAAAGGACTGGTTACAGGATGGGCGTGGCTGCCAACTTCATTAGGCTGTCTCTCTGATGGTCTCTCTGTGGCTTCCACAGGGAAAGATTATAATAGTAGTGCTAAAGAATTATGATAGTTGGCCGGGTGTGGTGGTTCATGCCTGTAATCCCAGCACTTTGGGAGGCGGAGGCAGGAGGATCACCCTAGGTCAGCAGTTCAAGACCAGCCTGGCCAACATGGCAAAACCCCGTCTCCACACAAAAAAAAAAAAAAAAAAAAAAGTATATGTATATATATAATTTGTATTATATATATAAAATTTGTATTTTATATATATATTTGTATTTAATTTTGTATTTTTAATTTGTATTTTATATTTATATACATATATATATATGCAAAAATTAGCTGGGCGTGGTGGCGTGCACCTGTAATCCCAGCTACTCTGGAGGCTGAGGCAGGAGAATCTCTTGAACCCAGGAGGCGGAGGTCGCAGTGAGCCCAGATCACGTCACTGCACTCCAGCCTGGGTGACAGAGCGAGACTCCATCTAAAAAAAAAGACTTATGATAGTTAAGTAGTGCTAAAAAAGAAGCCTCACAGATTTTGGAGTCAGAAAAATCTGGGTTTGAGGCTGGTCCTGGTGCCTCATGCTTATAATCCTAGCACTTTGGGAGGCCTAGGTGGGAGGATCACTTGAGGCCAAGAATTCAAGACCAGCCTGGGCAAAATAGTGAGACCCCATTTCTACAAAAATAAAAATAAATTAGCCAGGCATGCTGGTGCATGCCTGTAGTCCTAGCTACTCGGGAGATTAAGGCAGGAGGATCCCTTGAACCCAGGAGTTTGGGGCTTCAGTGAGCTATGATCAAGCCACAGTACTCCAGCCCTGGGTGACAGAGCAAAACTCTATAGAGAAAAGAAAAAGAAAAATCTGGGTTGAAATCTTAACTTGACCCTGCTTGCTGGGTATCCTTGGGCAAGTCATTGAACTCTTTAACTGTAAAATGGGACTATCAACATCTATCTCATAGGATGGTTGTAGGGATTATATGAGATCATGTATACCAAATATTTAGCATGGTGCGTGACAGGTAGTATGTTCTCAGTAACTGCCTGAGCTAGGGAGAAAATTGTTTCTCTCCCTTATTATTCTTAGCAGAGCTGTGTTGGAGGTCACCGGCTTGAAGATTGAACCAGGGACAGTGGGGCTGTGATGGAGAAAGACAGCCAAAGGCTTTCACACTCTACCTGTTACTGTCCATGGGCTTTTAGAACTCTGATTTAGGCTGGGCACAGTAGCTCACACCTGTAATCCCAGCACTCTGGGAGGCCAGGGCAGGTGGATCACTTGAGCTGAGTTCAAGACCAGCCTGGGAAACATGGCAAAACTTCGTCTCTGCAAAAAAACAAAATTAGCCAAGCATAGTGGTATATGTCTGTAGTCCCAGCTACTTGGGAGTCTGAGGTGGGAGCATCGCTTGAGCCCAGGAGGTAGAGGCTGCAGTGAGCCATGATGGCACCACTGCACTCCAGCCTGTGAGACACAGCGAGACCTTGTCTCGAAACAAACAAACAACAACAAAAAACCCCCTGATTTAGGGAACTTTCAGGAGTTGGTCATCCTCAAACCCCAAATCAGTGGACTGCCTATAATTTAAAACCACTTTCATCTGTCTGGTTTGATCAGGTCTTCCAAATGACAAAAACAAAACAAAACTTCCATGTCCCAGCAAGGTTATTGAGGGGACATGTGAAGTAAAAATGAAAAGAGGTGGTCATCTAGATGTTATAACATTTGGAGAATCTTGTAAATTTCTTATTGCCTCAAAAATATTTGTTTAAAAAGCTCCATCCAAATTTGGTTATTATGATATGCATCCACTTGGTGGTCTCAGCCTCTGGTGACCAGAGCTAGGTGTATGGGCTGAGTCCCGTGGTCTGCATGCAAATATGCAGAGTGAGGTCACGGAAGGTAGACCCTGGTTGCCATCTGCAAGAGGAACAAGCCATCAGAACCCTCTGGCTTTCAGCCTAGGTCTCAGTTATTTGTCTCACAGGGTGCAGTTGATTTAAAAAGTTATAAAAGTACCCAGGGGTGATGCTCACATGGAATCAGAACCTTAGGACTATAAAATAAAGATCAATAAAAAAATCTTTTATGGATCCGTTAGCAACTTTCTGTGGGATGTGTTCTGGCCTTCCTTGTTTTTGACTGGGCAAGCTGCATTCATGCCCTCCTACGGGGGTGGATAGATGGCGAGGCATTTTCTTAAACACAGAAAGCAGGATTTTCCTGGCACGAACAAAGAGTGATCTCAAAAAAATAACTCGTCCTGGTGTTCAAGTACTGCCAACTAAAAGGGCCACAGAGGCAGTGCCCTAAAATGCAAGGCATCATTTTTGAAATTTAACTGGCTTTAGCTAATAACTCTATGTGGTCATTTAATTTATTCACATTTAATCTATGTGCGTATTAAAAATTATTATAAAATTAATATATTTGATGAAGAAAAATGAAAAAAAAAACCAAATAGTGCAAAGTGAAAAACTCTTATTATGTCACCATCCAGAGGCTATGGCTGTTCATAAAGTGATGTAGATCCCCTCAGTGTTTTTCTATGCCCTTAATCAGAGCTTTCGTTATTTAGTGGTGTACAAAAGTTGAAGCTACAGCAAACATGCTGGCTTGCAACCCATCCTCCTCCTTATTTTAACTTCACAATTTCCCTTGAACATTTTCCTATGTCATCATGTCATTCATCTGTGACTCTAAAAGCTGATGGATATACCACAATTTTTCTTAGCCTGTCCTCTATTGCTGGAGTTGCATGCTTTTCCCAATATTTTACTATTATACACAACAGTAGCTATAGAAGTTATCTACATATACATCTCTGCATATATTTCAGATTATTCTTTTAAGGAATTACTGGCAAAGATATGCTATATATAAAAGGCATTGACAAATATTGCTAGGGGCTGGTTCCCTTGAATCCCTGCAGTAGTATATAGGGTACTTCTTGTCTACACCTGGCCTATACTATTGCACTCACTTTTTAAAATCCTTGCAGTTTGATGTGTAATGCTGAGGTTTGGGGTGCAATTGAACCTGTCACCCAGGTAGTGAGCATAGTACCCAATAGGTAGTTTTTCTACCCTGGCCTCCCTCCCTCTCTCCTTCCTCCTGTGTCCCCAGTATCTGTTATTCTCATCTTTCTGTCCATGAGTACCCACTGTTTAGTTCCCATTTATAAGTGAGAACACACAATATTTGATTTTCTGTTTCTGCATTAATTCGCTTAGGATAATGGCCTGCAGCTCCATCCATGTTGCCACAGAGGACATGATTTTGTTCTTTTCTCTGACTGTGCAGCATTCCATGGTGTATATGTACCATGTTTTCTTTTATCCATTCCACTGTTGATGGGAACCTGGGTTGATTGCACATCATTGCTATTGTGATAGTGCTGCGATGAACATGCAAATGCATGTCTTTTTAGTAGAGTGATTTATTTTCCTTTGGGTATATACCCAGTAATGGGATTACTGGGTCGAATGGCAGTTCTATTTTAAGTTCATGGAGAAATCTCCAAACTGCTTTCCACAGTGGCTGAATTTACATTCCTACCAACAGTGTATAAATATTCCCATTCCTCTGTAGCCGCACCAATATCTGTTGTTTTTTGACTTTTTAATAATAGCCATTCTGACTAGTATGAGATGCTATCTTATTGTGGTTTTGATTTGCATTTCTCTGATGATTAGTGATGAACCAAAGGATACTGCTGTTAATCACTCCCTTGCATGTCTTCTTTTGAGACGTGTCTGTTCACGTCTTTTGCCCATTTTTTAATGGGGTTATTTGGTTTTTGGTTGTTGAATTGTTTAAGTTCCATATAGATTCTGGATATTAGACCTTTATTGGGTGCATTGTTTGTGAATATTTTCTCCCATTCTGTAGGTTGTCTGTTTATTCTGTTGATAGTTTCTTTTGCTGTACAAAAGTTCTTTAGTTTAATTAGATCTCACTTGTCAATTTTTGTTTTTGTTGCTATTGTTTTTAAGAACTTAGTTATAAATTCTTTGCCAAGGCTGACGTCCAGAGGGTATTTCCTAGGTTTTCTTCTAGGATTTTCATAGTTTGAGGTCTCATATTTAATTATTTAATCCATTTTAAGTTAATTTTTGTATATGGTGAGAGGTAGGCATCCAGATTTATTCTTCTGTATATGGTTAGCAAGTATCCCAGCACAATTTATGGAATAGGGAGGCCTTTCTCCATTGCTTATTTTTGTCAATTTTGTCAAAGATTGGTTGGTTGTAGATGTGTGGCTTCATTTCTGGGTTTTCTATGTGTCTGTTTTTGTACCAGTACCATGCTGTTTTGGTCACTGTAGCCTTGTAATATAGTTTGAAGTCTGGTAGTGTGATGCCTCTGGCTTCTTTTTAAATAGGATTGCTTTGGCTATGTGGACTTTTTTTGTTCCATATGAATTTTAGAATAGTTTTTTCTAATTCTTTGAAAAATGACCTTGGTAGTTTGATAGGAATAGCATTGAATCTGTAGATTGCTTTGGGTAGTGTGGCCATTTTAAAGACATTGGTTCTTCCAATCCATGAGTATGAAATGTTTTTTTCATTTGTTTGTGTCATCTGTGATTTCTTTCAGCAGTGTTTTGTAGTTATCCTTGCAGAGCTCTTTCACCTGCTTAGTTAGATGTATTCCTAGAAAATGTTTCTTGTATGGCTATTGTAAATGGGATTGAGGCAGTATTGTTTTAATTAGCATTTCATTATTAGTAATGATTCTGAAGCTATTTTCTAATATATTTTGGTCATTTTTAATTTCTGCTCTTGAAAATTGCTTGTCAATGTCTATTGTCCATTTCTCCATAGAATTTGTCTTTTTATTACTAAATTATAAGAGCTCCTTATTTATACTACAAAAATGTTCCCCATTTTGTCTTTTTCCTTTCAATTGTGTTAATAAAAACAGAAGTTACCAAGTAAATGCAGCAGGCATTTCTGGTCTCTCCCTCCGACCTCTCCATAGCATTTCACAGAATTGACCATTTATGGCCTCTCTGGTCACTCTTTTATCCTTGGCTTTCATGACCTCACACTCTTCTGCTTTTTCTCCTCCTTCTTTGGCTGGTCCTTCTTATTCTCCTTGTGGGATGCCCCCCTCTGCCCATCACTTAAGTGTTCATGATCTTCAGGCTTTTGTCATTGCTCTTACCTCTCCTCACACTGTACACCCTCCCTAGGCAATCCACATCCACTCCCTTAACTTCAGCTATTCAATTACAACTATAGGCTGATGATTCCCATGTCTAGAACATCAGCTTGGATCTGCCTCCTGAGCATCAGATCCATATATTCAAGGGTCTATTGGACATCTTCCCTTTGGTGTCTCCCAAGAACCTCAAACACAATAGAAATCACCATCTTCCCCTTGTAGTAATACTCCTTCTCCTCTGTTCCTTATCTTCTTAAATGGCTCCACCACCAATCTGGTTGCCTAATTCAGAAGTCCGGGTATCAACTGTGACTCCTCCCTTGCCCCCTTCCACACATTCAGACAATCAACAGGAATTGGAAGATTTTACCTCCTAAATTTCTCTCATTTCCACTTTCTCCATCTCATACTTGCAACACCAGTCCAGAAGATAATCATCTCCCTCTGGGTTACTCCAAAAACCTCCTAAATCTTCTCTCCATGCTCTCTTCCTTTCTATCCTTCCCATTACAGATAGAGTTATTGTCTTAGTCTGTTTGCATTGCTATAAAGAGATACCTGAGCCTGGGTAATTTATAAAGAAACAAGATTTATTTGTCTCACAGTTCTGCAGGCTTTATAAGCAGCATGGTGCTGGCATCTGCTTCTGGCAAGGACTTCAGGAAGCTTCTATTCATGGTAGAAAGCGAAGGGGAGGAGGCATCCCATGGCATGAAAGAAAGAAAGAGAGAGAGGGAAGGGGTTCCAGGCTCTTTTAGACAACCAGATCTTCCAGGAACTCATAGAGCAATAACTCATTCATTACTACAGGGATGACACCAAGCCATTCATGTGGGATCCACCCCCATGACTCAAACACCTCTCACTAGGCCCCATCTCCAAACTAGGGATGGAATTTCTTTTTTTTTTTTCTCTCCATTGCACTTTTATTTGAATGTAATATTTGGGATAATTATCCAAAAGGGCCAATATTTCCCATTTTAATCTGAGGTCATAATAAAACAAGCAACAAAACAGTGTTTGGGATTTCAGTTTCTCACCCTTATCAAGATTCACTGCCTCCCATCATCAATATTTATTGAGCATTTACAGTGTACTAGGCACAATAGAACATACAGAAAACATTGTCCCTGTTCTTGAGGAGCTTACATTCTGAAATAAAAAATACACCTCTTTTAAAATGGCATTTTTGTTTGGTGTTTTCTGCAAAGTACTGACGAAATATTTTGTAAAGTGAGCTTTGGGTATAACTTAGCCCCATCATTATTTAGAGAATAGAGGAAGAGAAAGAGGAAGGATTAAAGGCAGACAATGACAGACCATTCAGGATAGGTAGGGTTTTAAAGGGAGATAAACACAGTATCATCAACTAAGGAGAGATTTGCTGCAGTAAATAGGATGAGGGAAATAGTCTGTGGGATGCAAGCAAAGGAAGCAGGGTGCCTTAGACACTGAGTGGAGCCAGAAAGATCATGCGGCCTTTTTCCAAGTACATGGCCACCAAGTAGGAATGGTTGGTGACAAGAAAGACAGAAGGCTAAAAAAGGAGGGTAATCTTGTGCACCTGACAGATAGAAAGAATAAAGGATCAACACTGAAGGCAGGCTATAAGAGTATCAAGAAATTGTTAAAAACCAAAAAGTTATTTGGAAGCACAAAACTTATAGTTAATGCTACCCAATGTCATGATGGGCCAAGAACACTGTGGCTTCCTAAGTTAGAAAATGCCATTTACCAATATTTCAAATGGAACATATTACATTTTTTTCCAATCAATCTCCCCCTCTCCCAGAAAAAATAGGAACTGATTTTTTTCAGGGTGGGGAGGAAGAGAGGGAATCATGGGACATGGAAACAGTAGTTATATTAGTAGTATTTTTGTTGTTATGATAAACTTTGTGTTTAAACTTGGTAAAAGCCCATTAGCTGCCAAGAGAGAATAAGGAATACATTTCAAAAAAATGTACAATTTCCTTTAGAGAAGTTTCAGAACCAAAAGACTAATTTACATGAAAAGCTGTAGAGAAAGTAGTTGAAAAGTCCATTCATAAAACGTTTATTCCACTTACATGAATTTAATACGTGTGTTCTTAACAATTATGCTTGGATTGTTCATGAAAATTTCATAAGACATTAAACAAAGCTAGCCATCATCTCAAGTTATTTCCCTGTTAACTATTTTTACAGCACATGCATGTTAGGCAAGTATCAAAAAAAATCACAAAAGCAAAAAACCTAAAAAAAGTTAAATACATGGGTTTTTGTTTTATTGCTGTGCTTGATATACATGAAGTAGTGAATACCAAGCAATTCATTTTTACTGCATCTTTACTTTTACATTTGTTCTTAGGTTGCCTAAAACATTTAAATACAAATAAAATGAGTGTAGCAAAAATAATGAATGCTAACAGCAGGTAACTTTATAAATAATGGAATGTGAACCATTTCTGCCCTTATACAGAGTAAAATGGGTCACAACTGTGTCTAAAAGAACACTTCTGCAGCTGTGGTCAAAGGTATGAGATTGAGTATTCCACAATTATACATGGTTTAACATGTGGTATCCATGGGGCATCTGTTTCTACCACAGCCTTGTAAGTGCTCCATACCTTAAAGTACCCACAATTACTACACCTGTGACTGGAACCAATGATCCCTTTTATTCCCCACCAGGACAAACCAATATGTAGGCAGTTTTCTTTGCTTAGACATGGAAGCAGTTTTAACACTGGCCCTTGTGAAGCCACAATATACCAAAAGTACTATGCCAAACATTTATAACCTGTATAAAAATTCCACGTCCCCATATTGAACACCTCAAGATGAAAACAGATAACTCCCTAAATGTTAACTTCCTCTCCTCCCCTAATATTAAACATAGAAACCGTATGGGAAATAGAGAAATTCAAATAGAAGTAACATAAACCTGACATAAGTCATAAACAAAAAACTATTTGTGGGACAGCATGGATGACAAATGGTCTACTGTGTAAATTTTAGAATGAGGCAGACAAAAGCTGGAAGGCCGGTTAATTTTCCACTCCTTCTCCTGCTTCACCTTCGTCTGCTTGGGTATCTGATGTCCACAGTGTCAGGTTGTCCCTCAGTAATTGCATTATTAGCGTGCTGTCTTTGTATGACTCTTCACTTAATGTATCAAGTTCAGCAATGGCTTCATCAAAAGCTGTCTTTGCAAGAGAGCAGGCTTTCTCTGGGGAGTTCAGAATCTCATAATAGAACACAGAGAAGTTAAGGGCCAGACCCAGTCTGATAGGATGTGTTGGTTGCATTTCCTTTTTGCTGATTTCAAAAGCTTCTTGGTACGCTTGTTGTGACTGATCCACAATCCCTTTCTTGTCATCCCCAGCGGCAACCTCAGCCAAGTAACGGTAGTAATCTCCTTCCATTTTCAAATAGAAGACTTTGCTCTCTGCTTGTGAAGCACTGGGGATCAAGAACTTTTCCAAAAGAGACAGTACATCATTGCAGATATCTCTTAGCTCCGTCTCAATTTTCTCTCTGTATTCGCGAGCCATCTGCTGTTTTTTCTCAGCTCCCTCCGTCTTTTGTTCAATACTTGAGACGACCCTCCAAGATGACCTATGGGCTCCTACAACATTTTTATAAGCAACTGAGAGGAGATTCCTTTCCTCATTGGATAATTCAGCTCCTTGCTCAGTTACAGACTTCATGCAGGCTGCCATGTCATCATATCGCTCAGCCTGCTCGGCCAGTTTGGCCTTCTGAACCAGCTCATTTTTATCCATGACTGGATGTTCTGTGTCCAGAGTGGGTGGTGGCGGTGGACAGACAGGGGCTCAGCAGTCTTTGGGCAGTGGCAAGGCTGAGACTCTGGGGGTGGAATTTCAACATGAGATTTGGAGGGGACAAATATCCAAACTATATCAGTTATTTTCCAAAATATACAAATCTGATCAAGCTAGTCCACTATTAAAATCCTTTAATGGCTTCTCATTACACTTGAGATAAAATTCAACCCCCTTACTACTAGTTGCATGGTGTGCCCACCTGTTGAGTTCTTCAGCCTTTTTTCCTGTAAGTTCTTACGCTTTTTCTCGAGTCTAACACGACTACCATATTTCAGTAAATCTGAAATATCATCAACCATAAGATGCAACATTATTTTATGTGACATTAAGAAAAAACAATTCTGCCAATTAAAATGGTAAAATAACTTCATTGCAAGAGATGTCCAATTTCAGCGATGCAAAAATGGGAGAAAATCTGGGTTTGGTACCAATGAAACAGTTCTTTTCTTAGCTCTGTGGAACCAGCTTCCATCATGTCTGGGCCTCCCCATGTGCTATTTTCTCTTCCTCCTTCCTCACACTCCCCCTCGTCCTCATAACATCCCCCACATCCATCTTCAGCAAAATTAAACATTAGGTAAAATTGGTCCAGTGCACCCATTCTTCTTTTGTTCTCTTTTTTACTAAAATCGCATTTCCTTCCCCAACTGAGCTGAAGTTTGGAAGAGATGTTGGGGCTTGACTTTAGGCTTTGACAGGGCGTGGCCTTATTCTTTTTTTTTTTTTTTTTTTTTTTTTTGAGGCAGAGTTTCGCTCTGTCACCCAGGCTAGAGTGCACTGGCGCGATCTCGGCTCGCTGCAAGCTCTGCCTCCAGGGTTCATACCATTCTCCTGCCTCAGCCTCCAGAGTAGCTGGGACTACAGGCGCCCGGACTGCGCCCGGCTAATTTTTTGTATTCTTTTTAGTAGAGACGGGGTTTCACCATGTTACCCAGGATGGTCTCTATCTCCTGACCTCGTGATCCACCCGTCTCAGCCTCCCAAAGTGCTGGGATTACAGGTGTGAGCCACCGCGCCTGGTCGGCGTGTCGTTATTCTTAAAGCCTATCTGGGATCTCGGCTTGGTGCCAGATGCATTGAGAAGTAATGAAATTTCTCAGACAGGGCATTCCAGAATGCCCCAGCACTGCTAACCCTCTGCTATTGGCATCACCTTCAATCCTGAAGAAGTTGCTGTCTGGTAAGTAGACAGTAGCTTCTACCATGGGGAGCTGCGTCCTGTGCATGTACCATCCAGCCATGCCACGTATTCCCAGAAGGCACCCTCCTGAACTCCCAAGGGCCCCATCTGCACAGCTCCCTCCTTTCTGATGCCTCTTCATCCAGATTCCAAACATTTCAGCTGATCCAACTTCTAGTTTCTGATCTCTGTCTCCTCAGCTCAGCAAGGTCACTGTGCTCTACTTGGAGTCTGGCTCTCTGTGTCATCCCCAGGCAGAGAGTTTGGTGACTGCGGCTCACTTGTGAAATTTCCCTTCTCTTGCTGCTAGTATAATGAACTCTTCTGACCTATGTATCACCCAGCTTCAAAATCATCAACATTTGGCCAGTCTTCTTCAATCTATATCACTAGATCTAGATTACTACCTCTAATCTAGACACTATCTCTGCTGTCTAATCTAAATCACTGTGCAAATTACTTAGAGCAAATCCTAGACAGGTCATTTCACTTATAAATATTTCAGCATGCATCTCTAAACAGTAAGAATTATTTAACAAAACGCCACAAAACACTATTTTACACAACATAATAACAATATTTTCTTAATATCATTATATATATGGTAATGTTCAAATTTCTCCAGTTCTTTCATAAACTCTTTATAGTTTTTTCAAATAGTGATCCAAGTAAGGTCCCAT